>NC_000006.12:50060000-50705683 GCF_000001405.40 Homo sapiens
ACCTACTATGATTATTATATTCAAAATATTGCTAACAAATTTCAAAAAATAAAATATGCTTCCTTGTCCAAGAATATAGGCATTATATAATTTATTTTATTTTAATATTATAATTAATTAAAATATTTAATTGTAGTTAAAGTGAAAAATGTTAGCTAAAGAAAATACCATTTTCAACTGAAATTTCTGCAAAATAATTTCATATTATACTGTTTTATGAGAATTTACGATGCTTAAATAATTTATTTTTATTTCATACTCGATAGTGTTTTTTCTTTCAGTGTGTTAAACTATGTTCTTTGCTGTTTCCAATAATTGCCATCATATTTTGGTTTCACCAATCTTCTCTCTTTTATCTTTAATGCTACTTTCTCTTTTCAGTATAACGCCATTTTCTTCAAAGTAAGGAAATGAGAAAAAGGTGTATTTAATGACTATTCTAGGTAAGGAAGTACAAAAAAAAGAGGAAGGACTTTGAGATTCAAATAAAAAAAACCTAGACCAAACTCTACATCTAATCTGTTGATGTTATGAAATGTCAAAGAACTTTAAAATAATTGAGAACAACACTTAATTAATATTCAAGGAAAAGCTCCAGATTCTAAAAACAGTAGGGCTGAATCCTATCGGTTGCTGCATGGAACTACTTCTTATTTCCCATATTTAAAAAACTGCAAAGAAAGGCTTTTCCAAATGTTACTTATCATTGAAAACTTGACATTTTAATTTGTGAGACCCTGATCATATATTTTAAACAAATTATATAGTTTTGTGAACATATTAGAAATAAGGGGGGAAGACTTCTTGGATTGTTCCTCTAAAGTCAAACACAGATGGAGTAAATAAACCTCTCTCTAACATCTTTGACTCAAAGAAATCCATTCACTGACAAATGAGTTATTTTCCCTTATTAATAGGGGTAGTATGCTAATAATGGCTTATGAACTAAAAACAATCTGCTCAAGACAAGTTTGAATATCTAGAGACTCACAATTGTTACATGAAATGAGAGTAAAGCTGTATATGCCCTTCCTTTGTCAGAAAGATCAAGTGTCTCAGAGCATTTAATTTAAAAAGAAAAAAATTCCACAAAACACAACAACACTATTTCACCAGTGGAAATGGCTCTGGAGTCTTCCATCAACTTCAAGAATTAGTTTCAAAATGTTGTTTGCTTTCATTCAGTCAGCTACCAGCATGGAGCAGACCACCTGCTGTGAAATAAGGGGGTAGCGACCAACAGTTATTATAGCAGTAGCCATAAGTTTATTGCTTATTGGTACCAAACTTAAATCTTAGTAATTTTGAATTACTGAGTTAGCTTAGAATTATGGAGATGCACAATCATTTAGAATGGCATTCATTCCAGAAGGGTATATTATCTAAACCAATTTTCTTATAGTGATGCAATTGCAATACCATAGTTACGGTTGTATCCGCATTTCCATTATAAAGTCCTATTTTCAGGGTTTTATAATTTGGCCATAAAAATTCTCTCCTTGTAGGAACTTGGCAAACAAGGTCTGAGGCATATAACTGAGTTGTTGTGGGTTATTTTATTTTTTTACTGAAATTAAAAACACACATACATGTTTGATCTGTTCAGCCATTTTACACTTTAACTCTACAAACAACAACAAAAAATACACCAACTATATGTAGACATATGAAAATTTTTGGGGAAAATAACAATTAACCAAATCACTAAGTTGGTGGAGATGATCAGTTTTTATTAGTTACACATTAAGTTCCTGTGAGAGTGAAAAAACCAATTGTTTAGAAGTAGGTTTGGCAGTGCACGTGAAAGTCTCACCAATGTTAATAGCAAACCAATGACTGAGGCAAGTCCTTAAATTTCAAGTCTCAAGTTTCTCATCTCTGAGGTAGAGATAATTACACATTCTCATATAAAGTTATAAGAATCCTGTAAGCAGCAATAACGAGTTTGAAAATTTTAAAGTGCTCTGTAATCATGCAATATTACTTTTTAATTTATAAGGTTTTCTTCCAAATGTATAAATCGTATTGTCCACACTGCTTATTTAGATTTGTTACACATTCATAGCTCTTCCCAAATATAAACTCCTGAAGTAGAGTGTCTCTATCTTTGTTCTCATTGTGGTACACAAATATATGTTGAATCCATAACTAATTTATATTTTCTTTCAAAATTAAAAGTGTTTGCCTGACTTTATTTTGCTATCAGCATGTCTAGTTGGAATTAGTCTACCCTAAAAACATGACAGTCGCCCTCTTATGGTCGACAGAGAGTGTGCACATTGAGTGCCAAGGAAGGGCCAGAATCCTGCCTTTATGAACCAGATCCATAAGAATTTATCTAATTTATAGAGTATAGAAAAAAAATCATAGGTCATGAAAAATATAAATTATTCAATGTAAGAGATGGAGGGCATTTCTAAGCATTGTAGCATGGTAAGTGATGAAGAACACAAACTCTGGCAATAGACTGTTTAGGTTCAACGCTGCCTCTACTACCTGAAAGCTTTCTCTAAATTAAGAAGATACCTAACAACTCTACAACACAATTTTCCAACTATGATATTGGGAATCATTGTAGCAATGGCTTATGATAGTTATTGTAATAATTACATGAGACAATCCATGGATATTCTGGCTCATATTAGGTATTTAGAAAATGTTAGCTATCTTTATGCTGTTCTTTCTGTGGTCCCATATGAATATAGTATTCTTTCCGAAGTTGTTGTTAATGATAAGTAACCTCTTTAAAATTTTTCTTTGTTTCAATAAGCTTAAATAAATCTATTTTTTTTGTTGGCTGTGTCTTGCATTAGTAAGGTACTAATACATGACAAAACTTACCTTCAAAAATTTATAATTAATCCTTTCACTTATGATATAAAAATAAAATAAAAAATCATGGGTCCTGGGTTAAGCACAATATACAGAAAAAACAAACCTAAAATTTATATGGAACTTCAAAAAACCCAGAAGAGCCAAAGCTATCCTGAGCAAAAAGAAGAAAACTAGAGAAACCACATTACCTGACTTCTAATTATGCTACAAAGCTACGCCAAAATAGCATGGTACTGGCATAAAAACAGTCACATAGACCAGTGGAACAGAATGGAAAACCCCAAAATAAATGCATACATCTACAGTGAACTCATTTTCAACAAAGGTGTCAAGAACATACATTGGGGAAAGGATAGTGTCTTCAATAAACGGTGCTGGGAAAACTGCATATCTATATTCAGAAGGATGAGACTACAAGGCTATCTCTAACCATACACAAAAATCACATTAAAGTGGATTAAAGATTTATATCTAAGACCTTAACCTATGAAACTACTATGAGAACACATTAAAGAAACTCTCCAGTATGTTGGGCTGGTAAAATATTTGTTGAGTAATGCTCCCAAAGCACAGGCAACCAAAGCAAATATAGACAAATGGGATCACGTCAAGTTAAAAAGCTTCTGCACTGCAAAGGTAACAATCCAAAAAGTGAAGAGGCAACCCACAGAATGGGAGAAAATATTCTCAACTCTATAGGAAAAAAAATCTAATAATCCAATTAAAAATGGGCAAAAGATCTGAAAAGACAGTTCTCAAGAGAAAACATACAAATTGGCAAACAGGTGTATGAAAAGGTATTCAACATCATTGATCATCAGAGAAATGCAAATCAAAACTACAATGAGGTAACTTCTTACCTCAGTCAATATGGCTTATATGCAAAAGATAGACAATTACAAATGCTAGAGAGGATGTGGAGAACAGGGAAGCCTTGTACACTGTTGGTGGAAATGTAAATTATTACAACCACTATAGGGGACAGGTTGCAGAATCCTCAGAAGACTAAAAATAAAACTACTGTATGATCCAGCAATCCACTGTTAGCCGTCTAACCAAAAGAAAGGAAATCCTTATATTGAAGAGATATCTGTACTCCCTTGTTTATTGTAGCACTATTCACAATAGCCAAGATGTGGAAGCAACCTAACTGTTTATCAACAGACGAATGGATAAATAAAATGTAGTACATAGACACAATGGAGTACTATTCAGCCATTAAAAAGAATGAGATTCTGTCATTTGCAACAACATTGCTGGAACTGGAGGAAATTACGTTAAGTGAAATAAGCCAGGCACAGAAAGACAAACTTCACATGTTCTCTCATTTATTTGTGGGAGCTAAAACAATTAAAACAATTGAACTCATGGATAACAGAGGGTAGAATAATGGTTACCAGAGGCCAGGAAAGATAGAGAAGTCAGAAAGTGGGGACAGTTAATTGGTAGAAAAGTATAGTTAGATAGAATGAATAAGATCTTTTACTTGATAGCACAATAGGTGACTTCAGTCAACAGCAATTTATTGTACATTTAAAAATAACTAAAAAAGTATAATTGGATTGTTTGTAACACAAAGAAAGAATAAATGCTTGAAGTGATGTATACCCCATCTATCCTGATGTGATTATTATGCATTGTATGCCTATATCAAAATATCCCATGTACCCCATAAATATATATACCAACTATGTACCACAATAGCCACAGTGAATTACTTGTAATTTTCTCAATAGCATTCTGAAATCTCTTATTTTTATGAATTCATACATACCTTTCTTTCGTCTAGGATAGCTCTTCCTTCTGGGCATATTTCTGGGTATTAGATGGCTGGATCAAGTATTTTAGGAAAGTATTTTACATTTGATTTATAACTTAAATATATGTGTGTGTGGACATATGCATGTGTACACGCACATATATTACCTTATGTAATGTATATATGTTATGTATTGTATATACATCCTACAGTTTGTACTATTTTACTCTTTTAAATCTTAAATTCAAGTTAAAATGTTAAATGGTCATATGGAATTACAGAATTATAAAAACTCAAGTTCTCTTTCTTCATCTTTAAAAGTATTGTGTTAATATTGTTTATTTTAATTGTTTGTTTATACGCAGGAATATCTTGCACGTTGGGGTTGGAGACAGTGACTGCATTTGAAACAAGCTCAGATGATTTGGAACTGTTATAAACTTCAAGTGTTTATTGAAGGACAAGTTTTAAATTGGATGAGCAGAAGCTTAAATAAAATTTAAAACTCAACAGAATTTGTAGCAACTGCTTAGAAAGTAGATCAACAAAAGATTTTTTCAGTAGGGATATTTCATCACTAACATTATTTGGAATCATTGGCACATGGTGATAATAGCAAACAGGTTGAGCTTTGTTGTTTTCAAAATTGTTTTTAAACAATCTGCAGGCAATGCACCCTTTTGTTGACTGCATTTTTTATAACCATCACCACCACTACATACTTGGCATTCTACTCCACTGCCACTCAATCTTTCTCTCTTCCTGTTTAATCCCATTACCTAACTTTTAGATTATTTCTATTATATCTAACTTCTACTAGTTTTTCATATCATTACTACTTCTTATGGAATTTTTCCCTAAACTGAACTCCCTGAATAATACTGAAATCGATGCCTGATATTATAAGCTCCCAGATTCCGGCATACTCTATATTTACATTGCAAGTCATCCAGCCTCTTTGTAATAGTCCATTTCCTAGTGTATTTTTTCCATAACACTACAAATTCTATAAAGACTGGGACTATATATGACTCTCAGAAGTAGACAACCACTAAAGAGTGTTGAATAACGAAAAACTTCAATTCTACTTCTCTGTCAAGTAGCCCAAATCCTAACAAGTGTAGACTGACTAGCTAGTTTTCCTCCAGCATGTCATGAGATACATCTTTTATACTCTGTGTTTATGAAAAGACCATTGAGGCCATATTATACCGACATTTTTTGGCTAGGTCATCCAACATAAGGATGCATCATCGCGAGTAATACTAATCAATAGCTATTTGTCTATACCTGAGACCAATCTGAGGACACAGCAGAGGGAAAACTTGGGGCATCCATGCTAACAAAAGACATTTGTTCATGTTCCCTATTCAGTCAGTAACATGTTCCCTCTTTCTGCAACTGATTAAAAATTGTTGATACCAGAAGCTTTAGGTAAACTGTCTTCACCTATAGGAGATATTTTCAGAATCCTCTCATATTTCTTGTCTCCCCTGAGTATTCTCAAAGTATTATTTGCCCACCTCTGTTAAAGCTCTTACCACATTTTATGAAAAGTACCAGATTTTTTTCAGTCTCTCCCACTAAACCATAATCTCTTTCAGAGCGTGTATCTATTTTTAATTCATGTTTGAATTACAATCCTCTGTTCAATTTTTTTTGTAACATATATTAAATATATGACCAACGAATTTGAAAAAGCAGAGTGGAAGATCATCCACCTATAATGTTACTTAAAGTGACCCACAGTGCACACTAAACTATTAGGTAGGCAGTAATCTAACCATTTTCTTTACATGCCCATAGCTCTCTCATCAAGGCATACCCCTGGAATACCTCTCTTAAGGCAACACTACTTTCAATAAACTCTTCTTTCATTTGCATAACTTTCTTCCTCCCTGCATTTGTATTCCATATACACAATGGAGCACTATTCAGCCATTAAAAAGAATGAGATTCTGTCATTTGGACCAAAATGGATGGAACTAGGGAACATATTCCATAGCAGGAAATTCTGTGGAACTTGGACACTGAGGACTTGAGTTTTAAGAAGATGACCCTTGCAAAATGGAGACAAACAACATCCCAGAATAAATAAACCTCTTTTTAGAAGATAGTTATTCATTGTGGCCTCTTCTTGCATCTACGATTAAATTCTTGGCTCAGAATGCCATAATTATCTGAGAAGACAATCCCTTTTCAATTATCTAGCAAGTATCCTGTAGAATGGCAATAACATTTCTTATTTTCCTTCTTAGAAAACATTCTTACATATAATTCACTCTGAAGTTATGACTTCAGAATTTACTCCATAGATAAATAGATTACTAGAGAAAAAAGTCCACATTTCTTTATAATCCATAGAAAATAATTCTTTTTTCTCTGGAGCCATAAAATACTTCTTAGCAAGGTTAACATATCTTTGATTTCATATAGGAGACTTTCTGTTCTGTGTGTGTGAGATGACCCAGAAAGTTGAGATGCTATTGAAAAGTAGAACATTTTCCAGTTGGCCTCCTGTACGCTTTGGATGTTAGCACTTTCCTGGATCTGGATTTTTCTCCCCCAGCAAAGAAACAAACCTACTTTCTCACTGACTGACTATCATGAGTAGGGTTCTGTATCTGCCATGAGCACATCCTAATGCAATGGACTATTTAGACATCTGATTTTTCCATTTGCAAACTCAAGGAGAGCTTGGGTAGACAGCATTTATTTCTTTTTTAGCATTAGAATCCAAAACAGTGTGAAAAACAATGGTTATCACTGTAATGTTTAACATCTATTGAACATTTGGAATGTGAAAGCAGTACACTACATATTTTGTAGGCATTCCTCAGTACAATGTAGATGAGAACATTGTGGCACAGAAATGTGCAGAAACTTTCTCAAGTTCACACAGCATGAGTGATGATACCTTGTTGAAACTCACTTAATTATACTCCAGAGCTCACCTAATACGCCTCCAACTCTACAGTGCCCTCTTCAGTATATACTATATTTCTACTAGGTAAATGTAACTTTCTGAACAGTAATGCCTGCATCTTCGCTTCCATGCCCCCCTGTAACCCAGCACCCATGATTTTTTATTTTATATTTATATTTTCTATTTTCTATTTTTTCTATTACCAATGTTATTGGTATTTTGAAAAGTATTGCATAACATCTGTAGATTGCTTTGGGCAGTTGAACATCTTGACAACATTGATTCTTCCAATCCATGAACATAACAAATATATATTTTTTTCTGTGTGTGTGTCCTCTTCAATCGTTTGCATTGGTGTTTTATAGTTTTCATTGTAGAGCTCTTTCCCCTCTTTGGTTAAGTTCATTCCTGAGTATTTTATTTTATTTTATTTTATTTTATTTTATTTTATTTTATTTTATTTTATTTGTAGCTATTGTAAATCGGATTACTTTCTTGATTTCTTTTTCAGATTGTTCATTCTTGGCATATAGAAATGCTACTGATTTTTGTATGCTGATTTTGTATTCCTGCAACTTTACTGAATTTGTTTATAAGTTCTAATAGTTTTTTTTTTGGTGGAGTCTTTTTCTTTGTTTATTTCAAATATAACATCATATCATCTGGAAACAAGGATAATTTGACTTCTTCCTTTTGAATTTAGATGTCCTTATTTCTTTTTCTTTTCTGATTGCTCTAGCCAGGACTTCCTCGGAGCTATGTTTTGAACTTTGAACTTGATCTAGTGGATGGACAACTGAGAGCCACTGAAGTTTGTCAAAGTGTATTTAGCATGATAATTTTCACTTTCTGGAGATAATTTATGACTACATTGTGAGAGTGGGCCATTGGAGTAAAATACATGAGATCAGTCATTTCATTGAAAGAAAATGGTGCTCTGAGTTAAGATGGTAGATAAAAATATAGGTGAAGAAAGAGGAGATAAAGTGCTGCTAGCATTTTGACTTGGACAACTGAGTGAGTCAAAAATCCTAGTTACTGGGTTTAGGAAAACACAAACACAAGAGATTCAGGAGAATGGAGAATTTTGGTACATTGTGCTTAATCTGCCATTGGGATATAGAACCAGAGGTGCCTTAGAGGCAGCAACATGTATTGCCCAGAGGCTGAAGAAAGACCTAGACAGATACGTAGAATTTGGAATCTGAGAATAGAGATGGTTAGTTAGTTGAAGCTTTTTGACTGTGCACTCCCACTAGCAGTTCTATGTCCTCAATGCCTTGTGGCACACATCCTATTTCAATCACCACAACCTGCATCACCATCTTGTATTAACTCTATCTCCTTAGTCAGACTATTTAATTTTGCTGGGCTTTAATTATCTGTAACACAGCAGGTGTCATACATTAGGGGGAAAATATATTTTGAGAGTTCTTAAAATTGGTCCACATTTTTTGTTTCAACTATCTAATAAGCTGTGTGATGTTTTCCTAATTAGAAAGGTTTTTTTTCCTTAATTTTGGAATCTTTAAGAATCTTTAAAGATTCTTAAAGATTTGGAATCTTCAAGAATTTCTATTTAAAAGTAAATTGTATTAACCAGTAATAACAGTAAATAAGCAAATCATTCTCACTGTGTGCCAGACACTATCTGAAGCAATTTACATATTTAATCCATTCAATTTGTTATAAAACCCTCTAGGTAGGTACTATTGTTTCCACTTATTTAACAGATGAGGACACTGGGGAAAAAGAGTTGATATGGTTTGGCTCTGTTCCCACCCAGATCTCGAACTGTAGTTCCCATAATTCCCATATGTCATGGGAGGTACCCAGTAGGAGGTAATTGAATCATGAGGGCGGGTCTTCTCCCACACTATTCTCATGGTAGTGAATAAGTCTCACAAGATCTGATGGTTTTATAAAGAGAAGTTCCACTGAATGTGCTTTCTCTCTTGCCTGCCGCCATGTAAGATGTGGCTTTGCTCCTCCTTGCCTTCCGCCATGATTGTGAGGCCTCATCAGTCTTGCTGAACTGTGAGTCAATTAAACCTCTTTCCTTTGTAAATTACCCAGTCTCAGGTATGTCTTTACAAGCAGAGTGAGAACAGACTAATATAAGAGGTTAAGAAAATTACTCAACATCCCACAGCTAGTGGCAGAAATTGAACCCAGACAATCTAACTCCAGAGTCTGTGTTAATTATCATTAACCTATACTACTGTTAATTTCTTAACTTGGATGATTTGCTAATGAAGAATTGTTTTAGTGATGTTAGATTGTATGATAAGTGCAATTGCTTATAAAGTAAAGATTTTCCAGAATGGGATTCAGTTTGGGTGAACTTTCATAGGTTGGAAACGAAGGTGTAGCTTCTTAAGCTGTTTTTGATGCCCAGGTCAAGCAGTGGGACAGGCACTCTGTTGACCTTCTTTGCCATTCAGATGTGGAAGAGGCCAGCACATGACTGGTAGAGGGGATATAAATGGAGGTGTGGTAGTTACTAAAGCAGGGCCCATCAAAGACACTTTTCAGGCACTTTATAACAGCACCTGTCTTTCCTCAGTTTTTCCACACAACTACGTGTTTAACCATCTGTATGTGTGCAGGAAAGTTATTGACAAGATGTAGTTCAAAATTCCTGGTTAATCTGATGAAAAGTGAGAGAGTCTTTAGGTACAAATAATCAGTAAAGCATTTCAAATATTCTATAGTAACTTCTCCCTGCCTCCACTTCTTTTCATTTCACTCATTTTATCTTGATTCTGTTGTAACAGATGCCGATAGAGTTTTTGACACTGAGAATGCCAGATCCATCATTAACATGTTGCCAAACTGGGAAGGATTTGCTAACAATATGTTTTGCCTGCATCACTTCACTTCTTTTAATAGAGAAACCCATTTGAATAACATCTGAATAAAGGAGGTAATAATAGTAGCCTAAAAGCAGAAGCCAGATTGGAATAATAAACAACTGACCAGAATCTTCACCCTGAATGAAAATTAAATGTCATTAGAGTAATTTTGAAGGCACAAAATAATCTGTCAATGCTAAACCTTTCTTCCAGCCTTTTCCCGCTACCCTTCCTGCTACCATATTTTTAACATAGTGCTCATTGTTGCCCCTCTTGGCTTTACCTAGGATTTAAGAAAAGATAGATTAGATTGACATTAAAGGAATTTTGAAGTATCAGCAAGAACATATTATTCTGAAATTGGTTACCAATTTTAATTCTTTCTAAATTATGTATCAATTAGTGCATGCCACTATTTTCACATATATGCAATATCAAAATTGATATAAGGCATAAAGAAAATATTTTCCTCTTTTAAATTTCAAATATCTAAAAATGCTATAATATTATATTACACTAATATGTGTTCATCTTTGCGTGTGTCTGAGAGAGCAGAGGGAGCTAGAAAGAACAAGAGAGAGAGGAGAGAAAATTGAATTATTGGTAGTATGGAATTCAGACTCATCTATTTATAATAGTATTACAAATTTGTTGTAAGAAAGGATGATTGCTTCATATGACAACAGTAAGATAAGCATGTCCCCATCTACAAAATATAAAGGGTAGAGAGCTGAAAAACAGATATGCATATGGGAGAGGCATTTGAAAAAGCTGTTTTATTTTATGGTTAGTTTACCAGAAGTAAACATATAGGTTTTGTTTTTGCTATTGTTAATTGTTTCTGTAGTACTAAATATGAAATTGCTCATAAATTCTATGTGTACGCTTTGGTGAATGTACCCATGTAACGAGTACCCAGAACAAAAGGAAACAATTGACAGAGTAAAGATATAATCTATGGAATGAGAGACTGACGCCATGCACACATCCCAAGGCTATATCAAAGGCTTATTAATTAATTGCATAACTAAGGTCCATGAGGGCAGCTGGAAAGGCCTCCAAAATGGCACTTCCAAAATGGCTTGAGAGACCAAAATAAAGGAGACTGGCTGGGGTTTTTAATTGTGAGTAGAAGTTGACATTTGGGTGAGGGTTCCACACATGGACAGGGGCTGACATGGTCTGAATTTCTCACTGTTGTAAAAGTGGACATTACCCTGGCTTTTTCATCAGCTTGCCCAGATGTGAGTCAGAAGGGGAAGGAGGAGATGTGAGGTTTAAAATATGTCAGCAGCCAAAATTTTAAAAATGGAGTCAGATGACATATGACATGCACATTCTGTAAGCCAGGCATGCGTAGTCACTTAGGATATAGAAATGGACAAAACAGACCCCTAACGTCACTGAGATTTCAATTCTATTTAGGGAAGACAGAAAATGCACAACACATATAATACACAAGTGAAACAAATAGTATGAGAGATTCAGATGTGTGATGTGGAAAACAAAAGAGTAGACTAGAGGAAGGAGGTTCAGAGATGCAGAGTATGGGGAAGGGTGCAGTTTTAAACAGGATGGTCAGGTTGGGCCTCTGAGAAGGGGATGTTAAGCAAGTACTTGAAGCAGATATGAAGATGTTAGCCATACAGAACCCTGAAGGTAGAAGCGACAGCCACTGCAAAGACCCTAAGGAAGCAAGGTACCTGCTGGAATATCTGAGAAACTGCAAGGAGTCAGGTGTGAAGGAGGGTAGTGAGGGAGGGGAGGAGGAGCAGGAGATGAGGTCATAGAGGTGAAAGGGACACAGACTATACAAGGTATTACAGACTATTGCAAGAAATTACAGTGAGATGGGGAGCAGTGAGAGAGGCTGAGCATAGGTGTGGCATGATCTAATTTATCTTATAAAAAGATCCCTTTAGGTGCTGCATTGAAGATACTAGAAGGGAAAGGGGAAACCCTCCGAGTCAGGAGGCTCCAGTTAGGAGGCTATTATTGTAATCAAGGTGAGAAATGATTTTGACTCAGACCAGAGTGTAAAGAATAGTATACGGATTTTAACATATACTTTGAGAGTAAAGTCAACAGGATTTACTGTCAGGTTGGATGTGAATGTGAAAGGAAGGTAGGGGTCAAGGAAGACTTCAATGCTTTTGGCTTAGGCAACTATGGGCACCCGGTGCAGGTGAAACAGATTTTTATAAAAACACATGAATTAAGCCAAGTTTCTGCCTTCCATCACTCTGTTCAAGGCACAGTTTTATAATACATTATAATGGTATTATGGGTAAGGTGGAAACATACCTTAAAATATAAATAAGCAACGAATTGAGACACAATTGAGGCAAAATAGGTAATGATTCAGTATATAAACACGAGTGTCAAATTATTGGTTTCAAATCCAGACTCTGCCTGTATATTGCAAAGTGATTTTTCAGCAAATCAGTGACTTTTTTCATACCCACATCTCCTCTTATGCAAAATGAAAATGAGCATATATATGTATTATGGATAGGATGTTGGCATGTAGAGACCATGGACTTTAGATTTTAAGTTAATTTGAGTCCTCGCTAAATTCCTTAATAAATTATAATACTATCTTCACCTCTTTAATCTCAATTTCTTTCTTTGAAAAGCAAGAAAAATAATACCTAACTTGTGTACTTTGTAAGGGTTAAAAAGTTCTATATTTGGCACAAATTAGATATCAATTTATTGAAAACTAATTACTTGCCATTTTCTTCATTGAAATGTTTATTTTTCCTCTTCAAAAATGACTTAAATAAGCTTACAGATTTCCATTCCATCTCCTTTTTTTTTCTTACTTCTATTAACAAATGTACATAGCACAGAATGGTCTTCAGAAAGCAGCATTATCCTTGAGATAGTGGAAAGATGGTAAAATAGAAACTAACTGTTTAAACTACCCTTTCTTTGTTTCTGCTTCAAAACAGCCTAATAATGACACCATCTCAACTAGGAAATGTTGTGAATTAGATAAAGTTTATGTTTAATTTTCTTCCTATCACTTTTATTCTACCATGTTTCTACTTTCTGTCAGTTTTTACATCACTAATAAATCCTCAACTTGAAATCTTCACAATAACATAAGTAAATAATAATTCACATGTAGTGGATTAAATCATAGTGAATATGCAACACTCATCAGTTCATTCCCCATGTATTGAAGGTATTTGCAAATTAAATAGGGAAAACTTAACTGTGTAAGCTGAGGCGACCTTCTGTGTGGGGTACTATTAGACTAGTCTGCCCCACATGGCAGTAATGATATAGCCATACACAGTGGTTGAAGTCCCTAGTTTCAGATGCTTTTAACACTAAAAAGGGAGCATTTTATTTCAGGATATTGATACGTATGTTAAATTTTCAGCTGCGAACTATGATAAAATTCATATTAAGCCATGTTCTCTATGCAGGGCATCTAATATTAAGCATTAACATGTGTAAATATATTTCTAAAATATGTTTGAAAATATATATACATAATAGTTAGCCATAGTCATAATAAGGTATTAGGTTATACAACCAATCTTCTGAAGTCGAACATTTTTTAATGTTCCAACACCCTTATCAGAAAAGGTTTGATGCTAACCACTGAACATCTCTGTGGTAGAGATTCATGTTTTGCATCAGCTCTCTTGCATCTTGAGAGGTCTGTACACACCAATTAGAGAGATAAAGTGCTGAAATTGTTGCTTTCTGTCTTCCTTTTAAATGTGAAAGTACCTGTAAAATACTGCTTGTTACCTGCATATTGTCTTTGCCTATTTTTCAAATGGGGCAACAGGAAGACTTAAATCTCCCTAAACTCATAATAGAAATGTATCTTTGGTAAAATGCTCATTTTGCAAATACAGCAACAAAGGATTTTAGACTATCACTGTATTTCTATGCTAAACTAATAAGCAAACAAATGACATGAAAAACAATCAAAAAACAAAACAAAAGTTAAATAAAGTTCTGGTAATTTCTATAAGAAACTTTTATTATTCAGACTATTTTATTTATTATTTGCAGTTCATTCTGGTATGCATCATTCATTCATTTTTCATCAAAACTTGATTACTCACATATTTTTATTTTAGGTGCTATGAACTTGGAGATGGATATGGACCCTGATACTTAACTTTTTTTTTTGAGATGGAATCTCACTCTCGCTCCCAGACTGGAGGGCAGTGGTGCCATCTCTGCTCACTGCAACCTCTGCCTCCTGGGTTCAAGCGATTCTCATGCCTCAGCCTCCCGAGTAGCTGGGACTACAGGCACGTGCCGCCGTGCCCAGCTAGATTTTTGTATTTTTAGTAGAGATGGGGATTTCACCATGTTGGCCTGGCTGGTCTTGAACACCTGATCTCGTGATCCGCCCGCCTCGGCCTCCTAAAGTGCTGGGATTACAGGCGTGAGCCACTGTGCCTGGCCGATACTTTACTCTTGTAACCAATTTTTTGAAACAATTGGGATTAAAAATTCCTGATGTCTGTCCCATTAGATGTCACTGTTATATAGCTTTGTGCTTAATCCAAGCCTCAAAGCTTCATTGGTATGTATTGTGCAACAAGATAAATAAGTAAATAAACAAACAAACAAATAAATAAATGAAAGATATAATTCCTGCTCTAAAGTTGCTTAAAATATCATAAATGTATGGATGCAAGTCTCTGAGAAAAGCCTTATTAGAAAATAAACAGTTACCAAATAATATATTAATAGGCAACAGGAAAAACATCCTACTTTACTGAAATTTATTTCCACCTTGATTTGGTAATTCATTCATTCATTTACTCAGCCCACATATTAGGCTCATACTGTGGTCTAAGGGATGTGCTTCACATTGGAGTATGGAAATAAATGAAGTTTTATTTATTTCTATATAACAAAAGTTATCGATAATCAAATAATCACTCTGCAATATGATAAACATGAGGGAGAAGTGTAGACAAATGTAACAGATTTTAGGAGAAAGAATAATTCCATCTAAAGTATTGTATAAGATTTAATATAGGGTATTTTGAAGGACAAGTAGCAGGGACAGGACTAGGGTGAAGGAATTGAGGCATTATCCTTGAGTGCAAAATTTAAGGTGGTCTCAAAAATCGTTAAGTAAGATAAATAATATTTTAGTAAGATATCTGTAAAAACCAAGTTGGCAAACTATGGACCATGGGCTAGCCACTTATTTTTGTAAATAAAGTTTTATTGGGCTTTCACCAAATGAGGATATGGAGGTAAAATTTTTCTGGGAGAGGAAATAGCGTGAGAAAACACTTGAAGTTTTGAAAATGATATGTGACATATCTAAGAATAACAACCAGCCCTGTGAGATTTTAAAGAATACGTGAATGGAAGTGGCTTTGTTTTGTTTTAATGTGATGTTTTGGATTATAGAGTCATTTTATCTTCTTTTAAAGTTTCTATTTTGCAGGAAGTAATTAATTGAATGTATTGACTTTGAACTGCTTGTGATTTGTTTGAAGACTTGATAGACCTGTAATAATATCTGTTAAATTGAATCTTTTCCTTACCATGTTAAGAAAGTTAGAAGGAAGAAGAGATAGAGAGGGTAGGGGGATACTGAAAAAGAATGTAGAAAAAAGAAGATAAGGACTTAGAAACACATTTTCTTCTATGCAATGTTGCTGGTCTGTTACACGTGAAACAAGAATAGGTGTAAATAAGTGGAAGATTTGTAGAACCCATGTATTTACAGAGTAGTAAGGTAGCATGTAATAAGAGCAAAACTACATGGGAAACATTTGTTTTCTTTTAAGAAATAAAATTCTATATATAATTTAAAAGAAAATATCTATGTTATCCCATGATTTTATAGATTGAATAAAGGCATATACTGTGGAAAAGTGGAGAGTATTAAAAAGGATAAATAAAAGATATATACAACAATAGGAAAAACAGACACAGAAATGTTCAAAAGGACAATGCTTACCAAAAGCAGTATACCTAGTTGTGTACCATATGAGGATCACAATGATAGTTTTTCTATTTTATGTGAATGGTATCATACGCATGTATATTTGAACTGCACGTACATCAAGATTTGATTACATCAGGGCTCAATTTTCAGCATATTATGGGCTCTTCCATAAAGCTCACCATTAAACGTCAAGGTCAACAATGAATTCATTCATAATGTAGGAAACTCATGGACCCGAGGAAAAACCCTTAAGTACATAAGGACATGACAGCCTAAAATCCAGCTGGGTCACCACTTAATGACCGTGTACTAAAGAACTCTAAGGATGTGTAGACCTCCCATCTGGCAACTTGGATCACAGATGCAATGCTGAATTAGAGTGGGTCATGCATCTCAACTTACCTATTGTGTGGCTTTTGCCAAGTCTGCCTATGGCTGATATGCTTTTCTTTAAAATAGAAGTAATTCTTACAAGCAACTTCAAAGCAATATCAAATACACTGATGAATAAACTAGTAATTACCAAGCTCCATTATGCACTGCCTTCATTCCCAGGAATTTACAATAAAAAAGTAAGTTGTCATCAAGTACGGCATCAAAACATAAAGTAGAATCATATCAGGATAGCTCTTTTGCCCCCAGGTTCATCATTATTTTTAGTCACAGTCTTGACTGAGCAACTACTAAATATGAACCACCAAACTGAGAGAGGTAGAATAACAAAGTGAAAGATGCCTAGAGCAATAAACGGATTTTAATTTTTTTTTTAAGCCTCCATCTCTCTAGTGTCCGTTTGTGATAGAAGGTTTGAGAGAAGACATCACAAAATTCAGCAACATAAACAAAAATGTGATGCTCAGTACCTGACCACATGTACTTGGCAGGGCGTTCCTCAATGAGAGCTTAGAGTACTTCTCAGAAATATGGCAATGGGTCATTTGGACAGAGTGGTCACTGTGGCCATGTCTCGTGGCAATGTTCATTTTTCTTTCACTTATGCAGAAGCTATCTGCCCTGGGTAATTATTTTGAGAGCCTGAATATCTGTATAAACACTTACTTTTGCCATAATGTTACAAAATTCCCTTAGCAGTTTATATTTTCCATATTCAGTTATATTTATTACCTTATGCCATGACAGCCTTATCATATCAGGAAGTTATCCACCATGATGATTGCAAACAAACTGACATGTCCAAAATGAAAGAAAAATAAATAAATATTGTTATGTCATTAGCAGGAAGTGAAAAACTTTCAGGTTCTAAGCGCAGTCTGGCCAAACTATATTCAGCCAAGAATTATTCACTGCTTTGTATGCTGCTGCTGTCATAACCTCTGGACTTTATCATGCCCTCCTCTCTCCTGCCTTAAAGATGCCCCTCTATTAAGATGTACAAATAGGAGATATATATATATATATATATATATATATAATATATTTTAGTTTATTCCTTCTTCTGTCAACTTCTCAAAAATGCTTGACTAGTCTTTCTTGTTCAACCCTTTCACTTCTTCTGAACTCTTCCTTCAGTTTTGACCAAATCAAACTGATCGAATTTATTTTTGGATAAAGTTTCTTACTTCAGGAATTTCTTTCTGACCTACTGTGTTCCCTTATGAATTCTGAATCTAGGTATTAATAAAGTTCCTGTCACTTTCTTGGGTTTATCATGCAGACTAGTGTCAACGTAAGTATCTGTCACAGAATTTGAAAAACTGTGAGTCTGCTGAGACCTGCATTTAAAGTGTTATGTAACACAGATGGCATTACCAGTGCATCTTAGCATCTGCATCAGGGTATATTGTGGGTCAAATGCCCACTTCAGAGGTACCAGGAACTGGGAAAGAAAGGCATCAGAGTTCATATTATCTATTCTTGAATAACTATTAATTCCCTCATTCATCCATTTCATTTAAATTTATTTTAGTTATTGTTTCTCAGCCTGCTCATTTCTCTCTATTATCTACTAGAGTCTTAGAGCTGAGGCATTATACAGCATTCTTTCCAAGCCGGAGGAAAATCATTTAGTAAGGCTCTTTGCCCCAGTAGTAAAAAAAATTAAATTTACTCTGCACTCTCACCCATGAGAGATTGAGGTGCCAAAATAAAAAGAAATAGTCTGACAAAACCTGGGTACAAAGAATCTGATGCTAAATAAGGTAACAAATCACATAGTTGAATGCCATTTTTTTCAGGTAACCCCAGGTATACTGAATATACTTTCAAGACAAAATCCTGAAAGAAATAAAAGCATGTAAATAATTCCAGTCATACAAAATCAATGAGAGAGAAACTATTTAAAAATCAAAGTTAATAATAAGGGAGCTTTTCAAAAACTCTTAAGGGTTATTTTTATCTTACAAAATATATAATTATGATAAATCTGGATTATGTTACATATTGAACATGCACTTTAGATGTGTAGGGAAAATATGGTTCCTGGAGAGAGGCCTGCTAACCTAACACCAACTCTGATAAAGACAAAAGAAAGAAAATCTACAAAGCACACTATGAAGAATTAAAAATAATGTAGAGTTCTCATCCTTGTTGGGTTGCACTAAATGACCAAAATATCCTAGCAAGCTTTTAAAGTATCATCGTATTATAGGTTATCTGTCAGCATTTGGTGTATAATAAACAGTCCTCAAACATAGTGGCTTAAAACAATCACTTATTTAGCTCACAGTTCTGGTAGGCAGTTCTTCTGGTCTGGCCAAACTTACCTGATCTGAACATAGCTAGTCAGTGAGTCTATAGGCAGCTGGTGTGCTTTCTAGGGCTGGAAGATTTCAAATGGCTTCCCTCCCATATGGGGAAGTTGGCTGATCATCAGCCAGGGCAGCAGAGGTAATTGGACCATGTGTTTTCGATTGTCTAGTAGGCTAGCCTCTATTTATTTATGTGGTAGCCTTTTTTTTTCCAAGACCAGCAAAAAAGGAAATTATAAAACCTTTTGCTATTTAGGCTTAAAACCGATACAATCTCACTATTGCCAGTTTCCAATGATCATAAAAATTCTCAAGGACTGCCTATATATGCTCACCGATTACGATCACTGCTCACTGACTGCAGCCTCGACATCCTCCCAGGCGCAATTCTCCCACCTCAGTCCCCTGAGCAGCTGGGACTACAAGTTTGTGCCACCATGACCAACTAATTTTTTTTTTTTTTTTTTTTTTTTTTTTTGTAGAGACAGGGATCTCCTTATGCTGCCAAGGCTGGTCTTGAACTTCCTAAACTCAAGTAATCTATCTGCCTTGGCCTCCCAAAGTGCTAGGATTACAGGGAGGCCACCTTTCAATAATCTACCACATAGAGGATAGTAAAATAGAGCTTAAAATATCATAGGGTAAAATAAAAAGAAAAACAGAAAAACTCATCTGTTTACAAAACTATTTACACATATTTCTTAAGAAAGATTTAGAATAACAGATAACTTTGGACTTAAAGCATAGCTTAGCTATTGCTATGACTACTAAGAAACTAATGAGTATAACAATTCTTTGTAAGTTGCATAGCGATCACCAACAGTAAGCTGGAATTATTATCACGTAAAAATCAGTAATGTGGCACAGTCACTTCCATGGCAATACTGAATAAATGAGGTACATAATTTGTACATCTAACATACACCACATTCTGTGATTTATACTGGGTCTGAAATGGTAAACAAAACGATCTCAGTTTCCATCCTCATGAACTATACAAACTAATGGGTGAGATAGATTAAAAAAAAGAGGTAAATATTTATCTACCACCACCAATTACTAGTATGATGAAAATAAAGGGTTCAGGTGTAGAAAATGAAAGGAAGGGGATCTTGACTGTTGACATTAGATGCTCAAGACGACATCTGTGAGGAAACCTCATGGTGGCCAAGGCTTAAATAAGGATCACAAATATAATTAACCCTACATGAAAAGATCATGTTCATGTGAAGATTAGACTTATAGGTACCCACAGAGACTATCTAGTCAACTCCCTTTCTTTACAGAAAAAAATAATTAGAATTCACAAAGGAGAAATTATTCATTCAAGTCTTCCCAAGTATTTGGGGAAGATTTGTGGCCAGATCTAATTCAGTATGCACTTTTATACCACTTTGTATTTTTTTTCAAGCTTTTTCTTTTTTATTTCCAGCTTTTATGTTAACTTCTTGGGTACATGTGCAGGATGTGCAAGTTTGTTACACAGGTAAACATGTGCCATGGTGGTTTGCTGCACAGATCATGCCGTCACCCGGGTAGTAAGCCCAGTGTCCATTAGCTATTCTTCCTGATGCTCTCCCTCCTTCCACCCCAACCCTCTGACAGGCCCCACTGTGTGTTGTCCTCCCTGCCACCACCATGTATCCATGTGTTCTCATCATTCAGCTCCCACTTATGAGTGAGAACACACAGTATTTGGTTTCCTGTTCCTGTGTTAGTTTGCTAAGGATAATGGCCTCCAGCTCCATCCATGTCGCTGCAAAGGACAGGATCACATTCCTTTTTATGGCTGAACAGTATTCCATGATGTATATGTACCACATTTTCTTCCTTCAGTCTATCACTGATGGGCATTTAAGTTGATTCTATGTCTTTTCTATTGTGAATAGTGCTGCAATGAACATATGCGTGCATGTGTCTTTATAGTAGAATGATTTATATTCCTTTGGGTATATACCCAGTGATGGAATTGCTGGGTCAAATGATATTTCTGCCTTTAGGTCTTTAAGGAATCTCCACACTGTCTTCCACAATGGTTGAATTAATTTACACTTCCACCAACAGTGTATAAGCCTTCTTTTTCTCCACCAGCATCTGTTGTTTTTTGACTCTTTAGTAATAGCCATTCTCATCAGTGTGAGATAGTATATCATTATAGTTTTGATCTGCAATTCTCTAATGATCAGTGATCTTGGGCTTTTTTTCATACCTCTGTTGGTCTCATACATGTCTTCTTTCGAAAAGTGTCTGTTCATGTCCTTTGCCCACTTTTTAATGGAGTTGATTGTTTTTTATTGAAGCAACATACCTCAAAATAATAAAAGCCATGTATGACAAACCCACAACCAATATCATACTGAATGGGCAAAAGCTGGAAGCATTCCCATTGAAAACTGGCACAAGACAAGGTTGCCGTCTCTCACCACTCACATTCAACATAGTATTGGAAGTTCTGGCCAGGACAATCAGGCAAGAGAAATAGATAAAGGATAATCAGATAGGAAGAGAGAAAGTCAAACTATCTTTGTTTGCAGATGACATGATTCTATATCTAGAAAACCATGTCATCTCAGCCCGAAAGCTTCTTAAGCTGATAAGCTACATCATCAAAGTCTCAAGATACAAAATTAATGTGCAAAAATTGCTAGCATTCCTACACATCAACAACAGGCAAGTTGAGAGCCAAATCACAAAGGAACTCCCATTCACAATTGCCACAAAAACAATAAAATACCTAGGAATACAGCTAACAAGGGAAGTGAAGGACCTCTTCAAGTAGAACTACAAACCACTGCTCAAAGAAATCAGAGAGGACACAAACAAATGAGAAAACATTCCATGC
This sequence comes from Homo sapiens, assembly GCF_000001405.40. NCBI lineage: Eukaryota > Metazoa > Chordata > Mammalia > Primates > Hominidae > Homo > Homo sapiens. The sequence continues at coordinate 50,081,876 of NC_000006.12, forward strand.
TCATGGATAGGAAGAATTAATATTGTGAAAATGGCCAGACTGCTCATAGCAATTTATAGATTCAAAACTATTCCCATTAAACTACCACTGACATTCTTCACAGAATTAGAAAAAAAACTATTTTAAAATTATTATGAAACAAACAAACAAAAAGACTGAATAGCCAAGGTAATCATAAGCAAAAAGAACAAAGCTGGAGGTATCATGCTACCCAACTTCAAACTATACTACAGGGCTACACTAACCAAAACAGAATGGTACTGGTACAAGAGCAGACACATACACCAATGGAACAGAATAGAGAACGCAGAAATAAAATTGCACACCTATCAACCTGACAAAAACAAGCAATGGGGAAAGGATTCCCTATTTAGTAAATTGTGCTGGGATACCTGGTTAGCCATATGCAGAAAATTAAAACTGGACCCCTTTCTTATACCATATACAAAATTAACTCTAGATGGATTAAAGACTTAAATGTAAAACCCAAAACTATAAAAACACTAGAGGAAAACCTAGGCAATACCATTCAGAACATAGGCATGGGCAAAAATTTTATGACAAAAGTAACAAAAGCAATTGCAATGAAAGCAAAAATTTACAAATGAGATCTAATTAAACTAAAGAGCTTCTGCACAGCAGAAGAAACTATCAACAGAGTACGCAGATAACCTACAGAATGGGGGCAACTTTTTGCAATCTATCTATCCGACAAAGGTCTTTTATCCAGTGTCTATAAGGAACTTAAACAAATTTATTACACAGAAACAAACAAACAACCCCCCCCGCCCGCCGTGCATTCTCACACTTTGTTTTCAAACACAGTTCTGCAAATGTTTTTGGTATCCACTTGTGAGTTCAAGAAATCTTCATACAACAGTAAGAACTATTGATTTTAGGGATGTTGCAGCCGATATCCCTCTTGGGACAAGTGCAGGCTAGTAACACGTGTCAGGGAAGTTTCAGAAAAGCACAGTAGTGAAATGTTTTGGATCTAAGAGTCATTTTGACCTGGTTTAATCCAGCTCTATTACTTAATAGCTGTGTGGTCCCAGGCCTCTTTGTGCTTCAGTTTCCTTATTTTTAAAATGCTGATAAAACTATTAGTACTTAATTCATATAATTGATTCAAGTATTAAATGTATTAGTGATTGCAAAGCACTTAGAACATTTCATGGCATTTAGTATAGCCCCAATAAATGTCTGCAATTATTATGCAAATATTTATTCATGAGGCTTGGGGCTGGACCTCACCACCTTTTCATAACAAGCTTACTGGGCCTGGGCTGGTGGGTAGAGGGAAATAAATGAACTAATGGAGATATTAGAATTGAAAAAGTTCTGTCATTCCAAATAATAGAATAGAGTAAATGGTCAAACATTTTCTCTTTGATATTCAGGGAGAGCAAGTGTAATTGAAAATGATGACAACACCAAAAATGCTTCTGTTTCAGGATTTTCTAGTTGAAAGTTCAGGAGTTGAGGATAAGAATTATGCTAATGAAGATTCTTCACTTTTTTTCATTTCCCCAGTATCCCAACCTGTTTACTCTTCTGATTGCTGCAGGACATTCAGTGTGAGAAAAATAATTCTATAGATAAACTACCGACAAACCATTGATTTCAAAGCTCTTTAAGAACTGAGTGATTGATGCCTGTCATTAATTCATATCCTGATCACAATAAGGACGTTTTGGCTGCCATATGGAGTGTGGGTGGGGCTCAACAAATCCTCCCCACAGCACATACACTCAGAAGCTGCAAATGCCCTTCATGTATGCGAATGTTTGGGAGCTGTCACAAGTACATATTCAGACGTTATACTATTTTAGATTTATGTTAATATGCTACAGGGTTAACATGAGAAGTCAGGAAGTGTCATTTATATATGACTTTGGTAACAACTTCTATCACCCCACCACACGTCTTGTCACATTCCATGCTGTTCTGGAAGTGGCTTATGTTGCCACCTGATCTTAACACTCCAAATTACCATCAGATTCCTCTTGTAGCATCCCCAACATCCCTTAATTTCTGAGTTGTGCAGTCCACGTCTGGTTAATCATAACATATATCTTCAAAAGCCTCGACTCAATTTTGATTACCATCTGCTGCATATTTGAATGTCATTCCGGTAATGGAGTGGCCAGACTGACATGTGTTATACTCAAACCTTCATGTCAAAGTGCAGAAGCTAGTTTTGATAAACTTAATTGAAAGGCATTCTTTCAAAGAGACATTATCCTTGACTACATATATGCATTATTTTAATTAGCATCTTTCTTTGTTCTTTTCAGTAGTTTTTATTTCTTCTTAAAGCTCTTAAATCAACCATGCTGTCTTTATGAAATGTCTAGAGAGAAAAGATCTACAATAGCAACATAAATGGTCATCTGTTACCCCTGGAAAGTTATGGAAGCATTATAGAAATGTGGAAAGCTTGAAAGGCTGGGAAACAAGATGCTTGAAGAAGATAATGAGATTTTGTACATTTATTTATCTCTTCACCCCCTCATACACACAAAATTCCAGAGTCATTTAGTTATTTGACATTGCAGTGTGTGGAGGAGAGGGAGATCCATTGTTTCTCTAAATTATTCTTATCTTAAAGATATCACTTCTCACAGCTTGAATAATTATTGTATCTACAGTAAAACAATAATTATTATCATGGTTATTTATGCAATGTGTCCCAGACTCTATTATACTTGCCATTGCTATTCTCCTCAGCATCAACCTGGCAAATAGAAAGCACTCAAACATGAGTTTGCCTGATCATCCTCCCCTAGGTTTCATTTAGGTACTATGAGGTATAGAGTACTGTGACGAGCCTGGAAGATCATATAGGAGGATACACAATCATTTCTATTCTTAAAGAATTCCTAATCCTAACTGAAAGGAGAAAATCGGTTCAAACACATTGAAAACAACAAAAGCTGCTCCGTGAGCATTCAATCAGAAAACATTTATCAGTTTTATAATAGAGAATAAATAATAGATAAATAAATGAATAGAGAACCTCCTCTAGCATCCCATCATGAGTACTCTCAAAGGTTCCTTTTAGGGTTTTTCAATATCTCTATAATTCATATATGTTTATTGAATGGCTATTATGTGCCAGATCTCTGTGAAGAGTTCCAGCCCTTCCTAGCTTATGAGGAACCCTCTACTGAGGGTGAAGTCACTCAGATCCTAGAACATGCTAAGCTCATCTAATAGGGACTGTCAATGACTCTCTTTTTTCATGAAGTACAGAGCCCCAAGAATAATTTACCTCAAAAAATAATTTCCTTGGCCTCAAAAGATACTCACACTATATGAAAATGTGTGATTTAGTTGAGGTGAGAATTGAATATGATACATTTTTACAAATGACTTGATATCATTTCCCTATTTTTATTTTTTTATCCCTTGATGTCTCTTCAAATGCTGATTCTTTAAGTCATAAAAGCTGGATTTCTATGTTCAAGGGCAAATCCAGCTACTCAGAATTTCCAGTGTTATGGAAAATAATTTTGATATGCTGCCTCAACTCTCATTTGGAAGAAGGTGTAGAAATATATTTTTGGCCTGTATTCAATCCCGGTGGCCTTGTCCATGCTGACAAGTTTGTATTCCAAATTTTTCGATTGGCTTCCTCTACCAGGATAGAAAGCTGAGATTGAATTCGCTGGAAAGTTACGTTAGTTTATTTGAGAGTGAAATTAATAAGGAAAGATTCAAGGATGACATTTTTGTATTTTAAAATTTAAAATTTCTGCTGCCTTTTTGGAATTGGGATAACTCTAGAGCTGAAATTTTCAGAATGCATTTAAATGCCTATCTAGCCATTAGCAAAATATTAGAACAAGGCTCATGACATGACTACTCTTGGATAGAGCGATCATCTACAGAAGCATGACATGGAAGCCAAATCAAATCCTTTTTGAAATAAAGAGGTTTGTTTACTAAAAATTAACATCCAAATTGTCATTTAGGTACACATTTAAAGAGTATAAAGGAAGTATGATTTTCTTGTAAATGTGATGCTTTGCCAAAGTTCTAATCATAAACCCAAAACTGCTGGATTTATTTAAAATAAGTCCTAGTAAGTGAGTGAGGTTTGGCTTCAAAAGGATTGTGTTTTGAATTTATTATAATTAACCTCATTTTGTCATTTGTATGACACATTTTCCCAAAGGATATCAAGATATTAAAGCAAAACTTAGGAGTAATGGCAAAATAGCATGATAATTGGTGTTAAATAGATCATTGATAGAAGATTTCTATCACAGTAGCTCATCTCTCTCCAACTGGATTCCTTTTTTCCTTACTCCCAAATGATGCCAATTATCTAAAAATTTGAATAATAATTTGTTATGTTTCATTTGTCAGCTTATTAACTCAGTTCATCATCTCTTTTTCAACCCCTTTATCACATAGTTATCTTACATTCAGCAATACATTTAATTATAATATTATTATAGCCCATGAAGGTATTTATCAATGACTATTACTAAGTGAAATCTAAATACTAATTTGGCTTTTACAGATTCTTTAAATAGAATTTTGTGTTTTCTGTCCTCTTCTTAGCTTCTCAGAGAAAGTACATTTTTTTCTCATCTTTGTACTAATGCAAATTACTCTATCAATATATATGGCTTTTCCATGAGGTTTGGGAGAAAGTTTAGGGTCTTACTTTGCCCGTACTCCTTCTGATCACATTTCCGCCACTTCTCTTAGAGTTTGGCTTTGCCTATATAAAGGAATATTCTGTGTTTACAAAACATCCTTCCTTCAGAGGCTATTATTTAAAAAGATGTTTAACTCTCCCCAGTGACCTCTTGTAGGTTTGTTTCTCAGGTAAACTTATTTTTAAAATCATTAATTGATTTATATTTTTGAAAATAAGTGAATTTTTATTCAGTGCATTATATAGTAACAAGAAGTGATAGAAATGTAAAAATTCATTTGCCAAAGAGTATGTGAACAGTATAGTCATTTTTCTATTTCTACAGCAGGCCTATGGAAACATAACCTCATTTATCTACTTGGAATAAAAGCTTGGCTAGCCTACATAAAGTAGGCTTTTTTGGTGTCCCAACATTTATAGCCTATACAGATAATGAATGTTTTTCTGAGTGCCTAAGTGATAACCACTAATTCCCAGGTTACAAGTTCATCTATACAGTACCATGTACCCAGAAAAGCCTATCGGTCCAGATTTCAAATATTCAGCTGCATCATATCCATAGTTTCAATTACACTTTATAAACATATTTACTTGTTTTGGAGTTGGAAAAGAATATAATCACAATGCAAGTGACTTTAAACTTGCAATATTCAAAGGTTAAGGTTTCTAGGAAAAAAAACTTATGCATTATTGTTTTGAAAAATCATGAGCAAATTGAAAAAACTTCTCACTTCCAGTTTTAATTTTGGCTACTGTGTGTTTTGGGTTCTCATAGGCATATTTCAAAGGAAGCTGGGATCATGTGAAATATCCATGGCAGCTGTGGATGCCAACCTAGGTCTAGTCATGGCACTAGAATGTACAGTGAGCATATTTGGAATACTTATTCAGCATTGGCTGCATGCTGGCCGTATCTTTTAGTGTAAGGCTGAGGATGAGTCTGATTGGGAATAATTCTCAGTATGCAGATGAGGAAATAAACATCAGAATGTGATAGAGTTAAGATTTTAATCCAGATTTATGTGATTCTAAAATTAGGACAATCATTCCTATACTTTAATGCCTCTTTTATCAGTTTCCTAGGGATGCTGTAACAAAGTACTAAAAATTTGATAGCTTAAAACAGCAAAAAATTATTGTCTTGCAGTTTTATATGCTAGAAGTCTGAAATCAAGCTGTTGGCTCAGCCTTGCTTTCTCCAAAACCTGTAGGGGTCAGTCTTTCTTTGACTCTTCTGGCTTCTGGTTTTTGTCTGCAATCCCTGGACTTCTTTGGGTTATAGATGCAGCACTTCAATCTAAATGACCAGAGTTTATGTATTTTTTAATCTTCCAAGACACTTAACCTAAAACAAATTAGACGCTCCATACATACTCATGTATTTGAATTGAATTGCATTACATTGAATTCTCACTGAGGAACAAAGTAGAACAATAGAATATTATGTAGGGATGCCCCCATTGACTTCTGCAGATGTAGCCATTGGCTGTAATTTCTTGATGTAACACGTCTTAGAAAGTCTGGCTGAGTCTATGATGAACAGGGAGTAATGCTACATCTTCCACATTGAGCTAGAGGAAAATGTTGGCTATACAGTTTCATGAGATTAAGATAGTCCACTTGGCTCATCCTGGAGAAATCTTTAGTCATGATTTACTTAGAAATGAAGTTAAAATGCAGTATTAGTCTCAGTTCTTCCAAGAAACAGAATATATGCACACACACAATATGAAGAGATTTTCAAGAACTGGTTTATGTGCTACTAAAGGCTAAGAAGTCTCATGATCTGTCGTCTGTGAGCTGGAGACTCAGGAGAGCTGGTATTCTAGTTACAGTCTGTGTTTAAAGGTTTAAGATCCAGAAAAACCTAAAGTGTAAGCTCCAGAGGGAGTATAGCAGATCTATGTCACAGCTCAAAAAGAGTCATTCTCCTTTCTGTTTTTTTGTTTTATTCACATCCTCAAAATATTGGATTGTGTCAACCCCCATGAGAAAGGCCAATCTACTATGCTCCATTTCCCAATTCAAAAAAATTAATCTCATCCAGGAATACTTTCACAGGCACACTGAGAAATAATGTTTAATCAAAATATCTGGGCATCCGATGGTGCAGTCATGTTGAACATAAAATTAACCATTACAAATGCTTTTCCTGAATGTTAGTGAGAACGATTCTACATATTTAAAAGCTCTTTAAGAGGCACATTTCCCCTTCCATGATTGCACTACCCTCAATTGCCTAGGCCAATTGTAGGTGATTAGTGTTAGTGCAGGTGAAGGCAGAGAACCCTGTGTTGTCAAAAGAGGAAGCAATTCTGTTGGTGAACAGCAGTTTTCCCTAAATCATCTGTAATGGTCATTGCACACCTCCCCATTTTCTTTCTCTTTATTTCCTCTGGGCTCCAAACTTGGCTTAGAATTCTATTTCAGAAGTAAATGAGAGTTATAAGCAACATATCATAATCAAAAAAGCTGAAAGCTATGAAATTATACAAACTCATATTAGAATCCCAGGTTTACTTCTTATATCCTAGGAAGTCTGAGGGCTTAACCTCTATAAGCCATCAAGTTTCACTTGTAATATGAGGAGATTAATGCATTACACAAGGGTTATTTTGAGAAATAATTGAGATAATAAAATGAAGTATGCTTAGCATCACACAGCTAATGGGCAGCAGAGCTAAAATTTGAAATCGGGGATTGGTCTAAAACAAGGGCCAGCAAACCATAGCCTGCAGATCAAAGCCAACCTTCTACCTGCCTTTAGAAATAAAGTTTTATTATAATCATGCCCATCTTTAAAAGGGCATTACTTATATGTCTTTTGCAATGGTGGAGCTGAATAGTTGTACTGGAGACAAAAATCTAAAATATTTACTGTAGTCATATCTTGTTTTATTGCACTTTGCTTTATGACACTTCACAGATATTGTGTCACTTACAAATTGAAGATATGTGACAATCCTGCATCAAGTAAGTCTATTACTGCAATTTTTTAAACAGCATGTGCTCGCTTTGTGCCTCTGTATCACATTTTGGTAATTCTCACTATATTTCAAACTTTTTCATTATTATTATATCTATTATGGTGATCTGTGATCAGTGATCTTTGAAGTTACTATTGTAATTGTTTTGGAGCACCGCAAATCACACACATATAAGAAAGCAAAGTTAATTGATAAATCCTGTGTGTGTTCTGACTGCTCCACTGACCAGCTACTCCCCAATCTCTCTCCCTGCCCTCAAGGTTCCCTATTCCTTGATACATAACAACATTGAAATTAGGCCAAATAGTAGCCCTACAATGGCCTGTAAGTATTCGAGTAAAAGAAAGAATCAGATGTATCTTACTTTAAATCAAAAGCTAGAAATGATTAAGCTTTATTATGAGAAAGACATGTTGAAAGCCAAGCTAGGCCAAAAGCTAGGTCTCCTTTGCCAAACAATTAGCCAAGCTGTAAACACGAAGGAAACATTCTTTAAGGAAATTGAAAGTGAACACACTTTCAATGAACACACAAATGATAAAAAAGCGAAACAATCTTATTGCTGATGTGGAGAAAATTTGAGAGGTCTGGATCAAAGATCAAACCAGCCACAACATTACCTTAAGCCAAAGTCTATTCCCTAGCAAGGCCCCAACTGTCTTCAATTCTATGAAGGCTAAGAGAGGAGATGGAGTTGCAGAAGAAAATCCTGAAGCTAGCAGAGGTTGGTTCATGAGGTTTAAGGAAAGGAGCCATCTTCATTAAAAGTACAAGGTGAAGCAGCAAGTGCTGAGGCAGAAGCTGCAGAAAGTTATCCAGAACATCTAGCTAAGATCATTGATGAAGGTAGCTGCACAAAGAATAGGTTTTCAATGTGTAAGAAGCAGCCTTATATCAGAAGATACCATCTAGGATTTTCATAGCTGGAGAAAAGAAGTCAATGCCTGGTTTCAATGCTTCAATGGACATGTTAACTCTCCTGTTAGGAGCTAATGCAGCTGCTGACTTTAAGCTGAAGCCGATGCTCATTTACAATTCTGAAAATCCTAGAGTCCTTAAGAGGTATAATAAATCTGCTCTGCCTGTTCCCTATAAATAAAACAACAAGGCCTAGATGACAGCACATCTGTTTGTAGCATGGTTTACTGAATATTTTAAGCCCACTGTTGAGACTGACTATTCAGAAAAAAAGATTCCTTTCAAAATATTGCTGCTCACTGACATGTACCTGGTCAACCAAGAGCTCTGATGGAGAGATACAAGGAGATTAATATTGTTTTCATGACTACTGACACAGCATCTATTCTCTAGCCCACAGATCAAAGAGTAATTTTGACTTTCAAACTTTATTATTTAATAAATACACTTCATAAGGCTATAGTTGCCATACTGCCATAAATAGTGATTTCTCTAGTGGATTGGGAAAAGGAAAATGAAAACCTTCTGGGAAGGATTCACAAGGTCTACATGCCATTAAGAACATTCATAATTCATGGGAAAAGATCAAAATATCAACATTAAGAGGAGTTTGGAGGAAGTTGCTTTCAACCCTCATGGATGACTTTGAAGGATTCAAGACTTCACTGGAGGAAGTAATTGCAGATGCAGCGGAAATAGCAAGAGAACTAGAATTAAAAGCAAAGCATTGTAATTCTCCTCTTCTTAGAAGTGACGATTTGACTGAATTGCCGGATTGTCAGGATAAAATGAACAATTGAGGAGTTGCTTCTTATGGATGGGCAATGCAAGTGGTTTCTCGAGATGAAATTTACTTTTGGTGAAGAGGCTGTGAACACTCCTGAAATAAGAACAAATGATTTAAAATATTTCACAAACTCAGTTGATAAAGCAGTAGCAGATTTCAAGAGTATGGACTCCAGTTTTGAAAGAAATTCCATTGTGGATGAAATGCTATCAAACAGCATCACATGCTACAGAGAAATGTTTTATGAAGAGTTACTCCACATGGCAAACTTTATTGTTGTCTTTTTTTAAATAAATTGCCACAGCCACCACAACCTTTATCAGCTACCACCCTAATCAGTCAGTAGCCATTAACATCAAGATGAGACCCTCTACCAGTAAAAAGATGATAACTCACTGAAGCCTTCTATGATTGATAGCATTTTTTAGCAATAGAATATTTTTAAATTAAGGTATACACACTGTTTTTTAGGCATAATGCTATTGCACACTTAATAGATTGAATACCATATAGTGTAAATATAACTTGTACATGCACTGGGAAACAAAAAAAAATTGTGTGACTCACCTTATTACAATATTGCTTCATTCCAATATTTGCTTTATTGCAGTGGTTTAGAACTCAACCCACAATATTTCCAAGATGTGCCTGTATTTGATTTATTGCATAACAAATTCGTCAGTTCCTGGTCTAACATATCACAGTCTACTTCTGGAGTTACTTGTGGTAATGTTTGAATTTTTAAAAAATATATGAAAAAATAATATAAGTCTTTAAAGACAAATAAAAATTAAACTAAAAGGCATAATAAAAAGTCTACCTATTTCAGTAAATTAGACAGTATCTGTTTTTGTTCATTTTCTATAATATAACTGGAAATCCTGTTTGGCAGCAATTCAAGTAAGTAGTGCTACCAGATACATTCCATTTTTCTAGGAGATATCTATTGTAACAATAAATTATTTTAATATGTCCCTACTGGTATAAGGGTATACCACGTATGTATGTATACCACTGTGTGTTATGACATACTATCTAATAATAATACTGTTAATAATAGTTATATCATTATTAACAAGTTGTCACTCTTAGTTTGACAAGAATTGTTCTGTCAGGGACAGATGGACAATATTATTCAGCTAACCAATTGCTCTTTCTTTTTGTACCATGTCTAAGACATATAGCATCCTGTGGAGGACTGGGCATTTCTAGTACAGCCAGATACAATTTAACTACCTTCTAGTAATCTGAGCATTGTGTCTCATTAAAAAATATTTCAAAAAATGAGCCACCTGTAGAATTTATAAAGGACGTTCCTTTAAAAAATGAATATACTTTAAACTGCTCACATAAATAGTTTCTAACACATATATCAGAATTAGCAAGTTAAGGCTATCCCTGTAATAGTCCACTTTTGACAAAATCACTTGTGAAATAAAAAAAAGAAAAAGAAAAAACTCTACTTGCTGAGTTCCTGCAAAAGATACTGTTTAACTTGTCAGATTGATTTTTTAATCAAAATTCAAAATAATGGAATAAAAATTTAACAGCTTAAAGGTCAAAGTTAGTTAATGCATATCTTCAAATTTGCAACTGATTTACTTATAAGTAAAAACATCCACAAAGTTTAATTGATTTTCCACCTCGTACACTGAGAAATAGTATTTTGTACCTCTTGAATAATTCACAAGTTTGAATCCTAAGGCATACATATATATGTGTGTGTGTGTATATATGTGTGTGTGTGTGTGTGTGTATATATTTATATATATGCTGTATTTATGCCTAATTATTCTGGCTACAAAGGTCAAAAGGACAAAGTGGCCACAAGTTATAATGGGTTGGAGAATTTGGATGGAATGTGGATCTAAATTACTGTGTTACGTTAACTTGTTGAAATCTTATTGCTAAAATTTTGCACTGCTAGGCAGTAAAACAGAAGAAAAAAAAATAAATTGAGAAAGTGTTAATTTTTAAGCAAGTTTGACAAAGATTGAGTTTCATATGACAAATATTGTCAGCAAGACAGGATTCTGTCAGTGGAAGAAGTTTAAACATTAACAATTTCTGTCAGGCTGTTGACACAATCATGGCAGACATTTCCCAAGATGCCGAGATGACTGCTGGCATTTGTCAACAATCCTGTCATAGTGACAGCAATAAGGCCATGTCTGGAAATGTGACAGTTTTGGCTTTGTGCTCCCCTGAGCAATAGCCCAGGTGTTCAGAGAAAGTGTGGGAAAACCCATATTTCTGCATTGTCATTCGAACACAGAAAACACAGGAGGAAAATGAGCTGTCACTCCAATTCCCATGATGCCTTGCTGCTTAGCATAACTCTACAGTGCGGCCCTGGGTCCACTGGTCCATATTCTGACAGATAATTAAGAAAGCAGCAGCTTTTTCTAGACGGCTCTTCCTCATGATTTGCATTTTAGCCAGAGGCGACCAGTTATAAAAAAAACATGATGGAAAGATGGTAAGAAGCCAATTAGATGGATGGATGGCTGACTGACAGCTCTCTGGTATTACGACTCCAGATTTCAGACTACATAGCCTGGCAGTTTTCTACAAGAACCAACTTTTTTGCAGGTTGGTAAAGCTGTTAAATGTGGGACTATATATAGCTCTATATAATTTTTGCAAAGTTGTACATTTTCCTTAAATAAGCATGTATTCTTTTCAATCAGGGTTTGCATTAAACAAGTTTCAACAATTTAATCACAACTTGCATCACTAAATTTAGCAATATTAAAATTCTAGACAACTTGTAGGCACATTAGCTGTGCCAGTAGAGAAGTGATTAAAAAGCTGAGAAGTACTTTGAGCCAGCAGAGATAAAGTGAGCTAATAATTACAATGTCTGTGCAAATATGCTTTGGAACTTTGAATTGTACATTGTTTGCTTTTAAGCAAATAAAAACATAGACCCTAAATTTCCTCTCCGTCTTTAGATCTTGCACACATATATTTGGTTATTATCCCTGTTCAGGGTATAATATATGCTTGTGTGTCTGTTATTTTAGCTAATTTTGAAATTTTTAAAAAATAAACTGTTAGTGTCAAGCTTCCAGTTTGGCCATGATATTCTATAGCTTCTAGCCAATAGGAGTCAACTCTTCACAATATTTTACAGTTTGGAAGCTTCACCAATGTTTCCTGTGTACTGCATGCCGTGTGTGTGTGTGTTGTGTGTGTGTGTGTATATATATATATATATACTTGTCATATATATATTAATATATATTATATATCAGATACACACATATTAATATATATATCAGACACACACAACACACACATTGTTAAAAGCAAACAATTTGCTATTAGTTCGGCATGTCTTCATTTGTAGTTTGAAATAAGAAATTTTTCTTTCAAATTGTAAAGATACCTCAGATTTGATTTTAATCTTGAAATATGAAGGGTAGGCAATTATTTCACTATACATTGAAGTTCCAGTAAGGAATATTAACCCAAGGCAGAAACGTGAGCATATTTTCTTACTGTGGGTAATGAATCTTCTACAAACTGAGGATAATCATTAAACTAATGGTAGGTCTGAATGTTTTTAGTTGCTTAAAACTAAACAATATACATTTTAAAGTTCCATGTATATCGCTCAAACTACACTGATATAAAAATCCACAACACACATAAAGAATGAGTGAGAACCATTTCTCTTTGTTTTCTTTTTAAACTGTACTAATATTTGTCATTTTGCCCTGTTGAAATTAGATATGCTCAGTATACTAATAACAATTCTAAAAAAATTCTAACTGCACATACTTAAAAAGTTTAAACAATTACTCCTTTAAACAAGTTCAAAGAAGTAATTTTTCTCCCATAGACATAATATAATGCAAGTAGAAATAGAAATCATCCTGAAGATTTTTTAAATTATTTTTAAGGAAATTCGTTTTTTTCAATACCCAAAGCCCTTATACAATTAAAATACTTTTACTATTTAATATTTTACTTCTTTCCTCATTTTCTATTTTAAGGGGAGAAATGCTGAATATAAAGTGTCCCAGTAAAGAAATTCTTTAAATAAGGAAAGTTAAAAAGCTTTGAAACATGTGCCTCTATGGTTGGATATTTATGCTTGGAGTCTAGCAGTTTTCTGTTTTTAAATTCCTCATGTCTTCTGCTTTCATCAACTCCTCATACTTTGTATTGAAATTTATTTCACTGTTGGATTATCTTATTTATTGCACAATGGCAATACATTATATCTTCACAAGGTCTTGAGGAAGTTGTGGGTTTTCAGAAAAAAATAATTAGAATTGAAATTTGAGGAATTGTGTATTGTATACAGATTTTAAAATAACAACTCCTTGTAAATTTTGTTTTGTTTCAAACTATGCATTAAGAGACAATTTTCGTTTAAGGGACAATCTGAAGAGCAATATTTATTGAATTGAAATGAGTTCTGAAAATGCTCATTTTGAAAGTATCACTATATCACTGTAGGTTAAAGAGACATGTTTCTAAATAAAAAACAAAGTGTGTCATCATCAAAACAAAACTACATCTCACCACAAAACTTATGAGGTTGTGCCTGGAAAATGTAGTAAAATTCATTGGAGCCTATTTCTACCATCATTTTCATATTAAACTTTGCAATTTGAGTGACTGGAATTTGAACTTAAACAGTGAAGGGAAGCATAAAGGCAAGTTTCCTACAAATTGTTTTTCTTCAGTATATCTATATTTCTAACGGAATATTTGGTTAAAGATTTCCTTTCCTAGTTTCAAAAGAGAATTATTTTTAAGACACATTATGAAAATGGCTAATATTCTCTTCAGTGCATTTTATACTGCAAATTAAAAACTTAAGTAAAAAACATTTAAGATGTGAATGTTAAAAAATGAAGGAAAAGTTCATTTTCCTGAGGTTTTTTTTTCTAGATAGTTTATAGAAATATAGCTTCATTTTATAATCTTATAAAAATCAAATTCTTCGTTCAATATTTATAGGCACTTTCCATAAGTAATGTAACAATTGACCTCAAACATCTTTTAATAACTTTTAAACCATGTCATCAAAGAATAATATTGTTTATGGAACATTTAAAAATCATGTCATTAAGGAATAATGTTGTTTATGTTGAATTGCTCTTTAGCACCTCATACACTTTTCTAACTTTGTAAACACCCAAATGACCCTGCAAACCACCAGTCATAACACACTGGTGAAATATTTGCCTCCTTTACTTATTGGATATAGAGCAGTTTCCAGGAGCCAAGGGATTACATAAAATCTGCTCACTTTGCTGACTTGGAATGAAGTCTGGCAGTTCATTTACATGTTATTTTGAGAGAGAGAAAAAAAGAGCAGAGAGTATTCAAGGGACAGAGACACTGAGAGAAAAAAAATCAGCAACATTTCTTTGTTATACTATGTTCATAAATTGTGCAGAATTTCATTTAAATGAATGGTTTGAATTATGTAAGAAATTCAACCAATAACAAGGCATAGATACAGAAACCACAAGCTTCCTAAAGGCTGCAAATGTGTATTGATCCCAATAGTCAAACAAGTCTTTCTCTCTTTCTCCCTACCCTCTGAGAGTCACTCTTATATTTCATTTTAAGCACATTACTGCCTGTCTTGTGTAACAGCTATCTGTAAGCTTTTTAAAGGCAGGGGCTGAAGATGACTTGTCTTTTTTTTTTTTTTTTTTTTTTTTTTTTTTTGCTGTGCTAACAATATCAACTTATAGTAGAGTCTCAAAATTGATTGAATTTAATGTAGACTTTCACCTGGCTTTGCAGCCGTTGGTTCTCATACCTGAGGCAGGTTAACAACCCAATTGACTAGTTAGTTCCGTGGGCCCAAGTTGTGACTCAGCCAGCCAGTTTTGCTATATTTCTCAAGCACAAGCAGAGCAAAGTTGAAGCACAGGCCTTGGTTGCCAGATTGGATGAGCAATGATGCTCAAGATTGAAGGAGCAATCCATGTTCTAGTCATCATCATCACATCATTCGATCACTGTAATCTATCATCTGTCTAAGGCTGACCATTGTTAAGCATCTATGCTATAGAGAATAGTTCTTATACGTATGACTTGTTTACTAGTTAATTGGTTAGTTTCAAGGCAATAGTGACTTCCATAAGGAAAACTATCCTGTATCTGTAGATAAACACGGTAGAATATTGGTGATTTCTTACCCTTTAACCCAATTTTATTGAGTTGATCCTTCAAACATCCTTGAGAAGTAAATATTTTAATCCTCATTTTGCGTATTTCATATACAAGGAGTTACATGACTTTCTCTAGGTCTGATATCTAGTGTGTGGCAAAATAAAATTTGAGCTGAAAGCTTTCTGATTTTCAAACTTCTCCTCCTTTCATTGTGCCTGACTTTCTTAAAAATAATTAATATCATAATTGTTAGCATAAAAATAGGTTCCAGTTTTATTGTATGCATTTCTGGAGAAAAAAACTTATGAATAAGAAATTAGTAGTGTTGTGTACCTTTGTACATGAGTAGCAACTTTATTTATTTTAATTATGTTATTCTCATGTTCTCAATACAAAACAAAAATTTTCTTATCATCTGCAGAGTTTTGACTTGCTAAATAGGTAAAAATATTTGGACACTAATCTTGTTTATAAATTTAATTTAGGGAGGTAGAAGAATAAAAGTAAGAGAATAAAATCATAAAGTCTGTACCTTTCTGGATCTCAGAATCTGTTAGAAAAAAACACAAATAATTCTAATACAATACTTGATACACACATTATAATGTCTTTGTGCTCAGTCTTGTTAAGTGATTACACTGACCAGGATAGGAAAGAGAACACTTCAGTTAAGAAGAACAGCATGAGCCTGAAATATGAGTGAGAGTGCCAAATTATCGCAAGCATCTAGAGCATAGGGTGAATGCTATGAGGGAGGCTTGTCGGGGGATGACTATGTTGAGAAATAATCCTGGAAAATCAGGCTGGGACAAAATAAAGGAGTCGCTTTCTTACCAGACTAAGAAGCTTACACTTACTTCTAACGGAAATTCATCTCCGAGTCTCACTAAGATGTGATCAGATTTGTGAATTGGGATAATTTTAAAAGCAAAATGGAGCAGGGATGGAAAGTAAAAAGTTTGGTGACAGAGAGACCAGTGTGGGGACTGCTTCAGTGACAGGAATGATGAGTAACTGAGCTAAGACTGTGACAGTGAAGTATAGAGATGAAGGTTTTATTACCGGCCAGCCCCAGTTGGTAGCATATCAAAAACACCTCAATTCTTTGCAATTTCCTGTAGTTTTCTAACACTGATAACAGCTTTACTTTCATTAGATTTAGGCCGTAAATCTGCTGGTAATTGCCCAATTTGATTGTTAAGCATAGTTCTCTGTCACCAGTGAAGAGCTGGAGCAGAAGTAGAAAATGTTCAAGTATTTTCTTCTTCTAGGGAAACAGTTCATTATATTAATATTAATTTTTTCTATGTTTATTTTTTCAACAGAAGGTCATACATATGCTATTGGAGAGTTCACAGCTAGCCCCTCACTACTCAAATTGTGGGTGTTATTGCCAGACTGCGGAGATGCACAAGAATTGACTTGAGAAGCAAGGAGATTATTCATGCTCCTGCACACTCTGTTATCTCTGGGAGCTCTTAATCAATGCAGGGTGAGAGCCAGTTAGCATGACTGAGGTTAGGGTAAACGGGCTGTTCAGGGAAAGATAAATTAAAATGTGATTATTATTCAAATTGGAATATAGAGAACATAATCCATGATGGAAGAGAAGGAGAATAATAGAAATAAATAAAAATTTACCTACTGAATCACTTGCTCTATTGAATCTAGTCCTTGAAATTCCAAAGACATTATAATATGCTATGACTAAAGGGAATGATTTGGGAGATTTATACTCTATCTTTATTGGCTCCTGCAGATATGCTGAAATACAAATTCTCACATGCTGGAAATGTCTACTAAATGTACCTTGATATACAAATTAAATTCTCCTATAGAAAACTGTACTGTACTCAAAAACCTATATACAAATAAAAAGACTAAATTCTAAATAACAGTTGATGGTTCCGTGATTATGAAGAAATTCTAGTCATAAACACCAGAATTTAGGTTACAACTTTGGAGCTCATTAGGTCTTTAATAATGTAATTTACCGAAAAGATTTTGAAAATACTTTGTTAATATTTAAAAGCATGATTTCCTTATTTAATAATAATTTATTCTACAGCTAATTTGAAAAAGTGTTAGTCATAAATGTGTTTACTTTGTCTTGTTCTTGAAGATATTGCTGCTAATGTAAAAGACCAGTGATTTAAATTCATGTATGTCTTAGTTGCATGAACCATTTTACTTTATTTTTCTTAGATTGTGCCTATAAACTTCTATATCTTGGTGAGCTTCTCTTTTTCCTAAAAATGTTACCTACCATGTGTTTTTATTCCATATTTTCATCATATAGTTTGACCTTTTCCTTCACAATCTAGTTTCTAGATAGTTATGTTCACTACTGAGATTTCAGCTGTCTCTGGCATATGGCCTTAATGTTAGATAACTTATAATCAGCAATTACTAGAACTGATAACAGACCATGGAAATTCAGATAAATCTTGGGGAATTATTTTTAAAAATACCTTGACATTCTCTCTCTGGATAGATGCATTCACATACATTGCTTTAGCTTCTTTTCACTTACAGATATCCGGGTCAGAGCAGATAAAATTCAAGCCGCCATGAACATGCTGTGCTTTGCTGTGCTTCAGGGGAGAACTTCCAAACCACCTTTATTCAGAACAGCAAAATACCTGTGGTTTAGGCTCATCAACCATTGTCTGTCTTTCTGCTCTTCTCTCTCTAGAGATAGTAGAGAAAGCTAGGCTGCCACATAAACACTTCAACTTCAGGGAAATTGGAAGCTATGAAGTACTTCAAGCATTACAAATTCACCCCTTCTGTCTTGTTTTTCTATCTCCCTTCTTTTTTCCCTCCTTTATTGTCATCTGTCTTCAAATTTAAATCTTGAAAATTAGGGAATATTTACATTGATAGAAGTCTTTGAAAATATCATTTTTATTATTAAGAAGCAAAATATAATTTTGTACCTTTCAGTCAATATGAAATGGCCAATTATGTTTAATTTTACAAACTGAATAAACCTTATATAAAAAATGTGAACTATGAAAGGAGCATGGCATTTATCATTCATTTTTTGCAATGCTTTAATTTAAAAGTAAAAGTATTGCTGTAAAATATGTGGTCTTTCAAAATGATGAATTAATTCACTTGACATTTTTGGTGTTGTTTGAAATTACTTTCAGGTGATGCTGTGATATTAACTACTACATGTTCTTTGATATATAACACAAGAGATCTTGAACTTATTTTCATGATACCTAGACAGACCCCTTTCTGTTCATGATGGCTAAAATATCAAGTTTTTTTCCCCACAGATCATTTAATTTTTTATATCATGAGTATATTACAATATTGCGGTATTCATCAAACTTGAATAAAATTTTTACCCATTAAAAAATAACTAATTCTCAAAGATGTTCAATTTTAACATGAATCATTTTATTTTAATTAAATATGTGTAAACATAAAATTGGTACAAATTCTTTATGATGGATACTATTATACAACTCTAAAAGCCAAATAAATTTATATGTTAAATGCAAGTGAATTTACAAATGAAAAAATAGAAACAAGAAAATTTATTTTATATGACTGAAGAAGTCACTTTTCTGCAAAACAATTGCTGCCAGCAATATGAATATAACACAGCTATCACACAAGATCATGCACTGAATCCTATGTGATAATGTAATTCTCCCACTACTTTCTTTCCATTTACATAAAAGCAACAATAACAACCAAAACTTCTAGTTCTTATCATGTGTCTTAATATTATTTCTCCTTCATTTGTTGTAAGAAATTATTTGCATATTAAATGCTTTCTGTTCTATGCTTTTCTCATTAGCCCAAGGTCATTGATAAAGTATTCTTTTTCTCTTTGTGACTGTAAGCACAAATGAAAATACGGATACTGAAATTGCATGGCACTAGCAAATCATGAAGGGGCCATTAAAATGATCAAAAATGTAAAGATTTTCTA
The DNA here is from genome assembly GCF_000001405.40 of Homo sapiens. Taxonomy (NCBI): domain Eukaryota; kingdom Metazoa; phylum Chordata; class Mammalia; order Primates; family Hominidae; genus Homo; species Homo sapiens. Next base: position 50,101,339 of record NC_000006.12, read on the forward strand.
GATTATCATTTTAAAACCTAAAACCTCCCAAAATATAAAATTTTGTTTAGATTTTTGATAGCTCCTGAGACACATTATTTGAACCTCAGAGACATGTTTACTCTTGAGAAACACTAGAGAGAGTTGACTGGTAGTAGGTTGATCATCATAAAATCATTCCTTTTCTAATGTCCATATTTTTTCTTCAAAATGTTTATGAGATAAGGCACAAAATAAGAAACTTAACCAAAATTTTAGTTTAAGAAGGACAATATTAAATGTTAAAATCCATGATTTTTGTAAATCTTCGTAATTCTGCTATACAGACTGAATTCTGTACTTTTAAGTTGACTTGAATGAAAAGTCAAAGACTTTTAAATAATTAAGTTATCTCATGCATTCAATTAGCACACTCAATAACAAAAAATTGCACTCAATAACAAAAGAGGCATTCATTGATAAATGCAAACTTTTGGGAAGCCCAGAATAAATATGAGTTAAACTGGATTTCCTAAACCTATTCTATTAATGTCTCAGCACAGGACCATAAGAATTCATCTTCTAAATGAGCACTGGACCACACCCACCTCCAACACAGGGTGGACTTCCTTTGAGTTAATGTTGTGATGCAGTTGGTAAAAGGATGAATGTGGGCTTAATTGGCTTTTCTAGATAGAGCACATTCCCAATCTGATCAGACAAGGTTCCTAGCTGTTACTGCTCAGGACCTTTGCATTGGCTTTTCCTTTTGTGTGGAATGCTCTTCTGCCAAATATCCAGTATCCCCTAAAATGTTGTTTTCTCAATTATCAGCTCCTAAGAAATGCTTCCCTGAATTTCCTATGTAAAATAACACTGCCTTTATTACTTCTCTTTATTTATCTATTAGAGTCTGAAGATACAACAATACAGTCTCAACCAACCTTGAAGAGTCTTTTGGGAAAACAACTTCTTAAATATATAAAGTCAGTATACAAGCAGTACTCATATGAGAAGATAAAGGCATCTTTAGGGTACTTTAGGAACTCAGAGCAAGAACCCATTGTGAAGGTTTGAAAAAGATTTTCTGAGAGAGATGGTGTTTGATCTGGATCATAAGGAATGGGTCATAGTCAAAGAACTAAAGTAAGAAGGGGTTTCAAGTCAGAATAAATACGAATGAATGAATGTATAGATTTGTAACACAGCCTGAGGAAATTACATTGATTGGAAAAGCACAAAATTAGAAGGTAAGAAAGTTGGGAAATTACATTTCTGGATAGGTTTGAAAATACACGTGTAGATATGTTCCCCTTTTTTGGCAGTTGTCCAAACCCATAGCCCTTGCAAAAGCGGCACTCATCAGGGACCATTTTAAATTATCATGTAACTTTCATCTTCCCAGAATTAGCTAGAAACAACTGATTGAATCAGGAGGCACCAAGGAGCTGTCTCATTAAATAATGATTGACCAATCAGATTCTCATTCACAGCAATTCAAACTGTAAGGTCTAGAAAGAGGTCAAAATTCATTTAGTGGCAGAGTTTGAATGTAGGTGATGGTAAACCAAAGCCATTTACAAGCAGGCACCAAGGAGGGAATAACTTATGAGTCATAAAGGAGAATGGCAAGCAGTCATAAGAAGACAGAAGAAAAATAAGACAAGGCAGAGGGAGGCAAATGGGAAGAAAGATATCAGTTTCCAATTTTCAATTTCTCACATCCAGTCTCTTTAGTTCTAGCTAATCTTTGCTTCTTGACCACAGATACTCTTTAGATTATAAGTTACCTTTTTCAAAGGGTATTTAATAAATGGCACTCCTTCTGTCACAGTTTTTATTGGATCCAAAGATGGTAGGTACCAACCAGTGCCACAATCCAAAGCTGGGGAGAGACTGGACTTTCAAAGAGGTATTCAAAATCTGATTTTAGTCCTTAGCACCTCACATACGTGAGTGTGTTGAAGTTGAAGAGAGGAATTTTTTTGAGAAAGGGAGAGGATTATCAACGTATTGGAAGGTCTTTCTCTCCATGGAATAAGCATGGGACATGCCTCCTCCTCAACTAAAGTTTAGTGGAGTTTCAAATACCTTACCAGAAGAGCTTGATTTGTGTCCTCTTCGCCTGATGAACACAACCACCTGGTGTAAGAGTCATGTCTAAAAATTCTACAAATGAAAGTTGTGAATGGAGCTGCCTTTGGTTGGTGAATAAAGAGGCCTCAAATGTCAAGTAGCTGTTCTTTCACCCAATGTTGGTCCAGAGTACATGTCTGTTGGGGCCTATTTTGGAAACTGTACTAAGGTGTAGGTCTCAGGCGTAGATGTAGCACCATTGAAGAGAGATCATTCAGCACCTGAGGTGGTGCTGAAGTCCCAACAGAAAGAGGGTGAGTGATGAAAATTCTCAGGACCTAAAGGAGGACCCACATGCAGGTGAAGAGAGTCCTTACCAGTTGTCAGAAGGTTATTATGCATAAGTCTCTGTGGAGTTATAAGGCAATTAGGAGATAGGTGATCAATTTTAAATAATTGCAATAGTCAGAACAAAGAAATGAGACATGACATCTGGGTCAGCTGAGTAAGATTTTTTTCTGTTTCTTATCCCTTCTCTCTTTCCAGCTCAAACCCTGGAGGGGTCAGAGGACTAACTGGGGCCAACAGCCATTAGCGAGGTACCAAGAAGCACAAGCAAAGAAAGAAGGTAGATAACTCATCTATCTTCAACATGGTCCCCAGAATGAAAGAAGTTCAAAGTTTTGGCTTTTACTCAGGATTAGGTTTTTCAGTTACTAAAATGAAGCTGTTATTGGGACTAAAAATTAACATTTGTTTTCTGCAACAGCAAAAGAGCTATAGATAGTAGTTAAAATTGTCTGAGATTCTTTGGTCAGGTTCCTAGAAGCAGAGCTTAAGACAAGGTTCTTGTTTAAGTGATTTTTGATGATATCTCTCAGAAGAAAGTGATTGGCGAAAATGGAATGGGGAAGCAAAAAGCTAAGCAGAGAATGATCTCTGCTGGAGAGCAAATTCAGTCTTCAGTCTGGTTCCACAGAGAAATTCTGGAGCAAATCACAGCATAGCATTGGACCCACCTCCACCCACTGGTTGAATCCTATGGGGAGGTGGGCAGGGTGGGGGTGGGAGGTTTGCCATGCATGGCATGCCGGGGTTAAGTGGCAGGTCTGTACGGGCACTGACAGAACCCATTATATGGGAATAGTGATGAGGAAGAATTTGTCTCACAGAATAAATTTGAACATGGAAAAAAGTAAAACTGTATTCTGATCGAAGCTAACGAGCCTCATCCATGCAGTAACCATTTCAGTCACAATTACTTATCCTTAATTTACCTAATGTTGTAAGTTTCTATTCTTTAAAATCAAAGAAGATTGTCTGGACCAAAATTGGAATATTACATAAGGATCATTCTATCTCCAGCAAATGGGTCTAGGGAAATCAGAAGATATTCTGTGCATATTGGTGCCACAAGTAAAAAGATGAATATAGATTAGAGTCACCTCCTATTGTCAAGCTCACTGTTTCTATAATCATAGTAATGAACTTGATATCTCAAAACTGATTTTTTTAATTAGGAGAAGGACTAATCTAAGATTCATATGTTTGCCTTACAGATTTCATATTTGTAAGCAATGAAAGAAGCAAAATATTTCAGAGATTATGATATGCTATCCTTCCACATCAAATTCACATTCCACAAATTTCAAGTTCCTGTGAACATTGAATGATAGGATTCAATTGAGCCACTCTCTTGGGTAAAACCCCTATCTTCTAAAATTCACTCAGAGAGGTCATATTCTGGCTTAAATTTCAAAACATGTGGCATTTGCTATTTTTCCCTAGTCTAGAAAAGAGAGCTCCTCGAGGTTAACAAATATTTATAAAGTGTTTTATCTGTTAAGATATTCTGCCTTAAACTAGGTACTGGGCTCCCCTGATAGAGACTTGTCATGATGTCCAGTGCCCCAACAGAAACATGTTTGTTTGTTTGTTTGTTTGTTTGTTTCATTTTACCATGAAAAGCCAGGCTACTCACAATTCCCAAGCCACAATAATGTGTTATGAGAAGATAAATGAGAGTGATGAGAGACCCTGTATTTCGTCTTGGTTGCTAACACTATTGCAGGTGCTTTGTTGAACAAAGCTCTTAAGACAAAGCCATAGCACCAGTAGCAAGCACAAGAGTCTGATACAAAGGTCAGGAATGGTCTGACTGTGGAACACAGGCCAGAGAGTGATTATTTTAGGCAGGAGGGCTCCTGCTACAGTTTCTTTTCACACTTTTATGCAAACACTGGTGAGGGTACCAGAGCTTACATAGACAGTCTGAGTTTGAGATAAAAGTCATCCTGTTAAGAATATTTGGGCTCCAGCCTGGATCACAGAGAGTCCTCAGAGTGGCAAAAGAGGATCACACACAAATCTTAATTGGATGACCCGACTGAAGAAGAAGAAATCCAGAGTTCTAAGAGCTCAGAGAAATAAGAAGGAAAAAGACCAAGGAGGCATTGAAATATGAAGGTAAAATCAATACAGAATTGCCTAGGAAATCAATAAGAAGGATAAAGGACATGCAGAGGATGTGAAATATGTGTTCTGTCTCCTGTACAAGTGAGAAATCAGGCAGCATGTTTTGAACATGCTGCAATCCTGTAATTAAAGCTCAAGGGAGAACTGCAAAAGGGAATCTTAATAATCAAGTGAAAAGATGTCCTGGTAATAAGTGACTCCTTGTCAGGAAAACAGTTTCATAGGCAAATCTGAAGTTAAGTATGAAGTCATGTACATAATCAGAAAATAGATTGATAATTGTGTCAGTGTGTTTATGGTAGAGACTGGAGTTTCATTTTAGAACCGTAACTGAGTAGCAGCATCCATCTTTCAACAGGCCAAAGTTACTAGTTCATACCATTACTACAATCCTGATAATCACAGCCTTGTCTCAAGGTATGCTTCAAAGTAACAGATTATCCCCTCTCAAATGCCCAGGTTTTCTGTCAAAGGACAGAAAGTCCCCAAGAATCAGTCTCATAGTTAGATGCATTTATGAAAAGCTAAAGATAGGTGTTTATACTTTCACATAGCAGATACGAATAAAGCAATTAGAAGAAAAGCTTGGAAAAACCCTCAAAAAACAAACAAAATATCTTGGTGCTATGGAAGGAAAATACATATGATAATTCAAAATAGTAATACCAAGAATCATGTTTGATCATGTGAGAAGAATATTGGGAGACCATTTGCTTAAGAAATGTTATAGTATTTTTATTATTCTTTCCTCACCTAAGCAGAGGTGAAGTATTTTACAAGTCCAAGGGAGATCATACATACCATAATCTTTGTGAAAGTCATTTTATCTCAAATTGTTCCCAGAGGTTTGTTTCACAAAGCCTACAATATAAGAAAGGTTCCATTCCAGGATTTGTTCAATATGTACACTTAATTATAATTAAGTTGTTTTGAACATAGGACTATGAAAAATATAACAAGTTTTCTCATTTTTAAAAATAAAACAATCAGAACTTGTAGATTGAAATGATACTTCTCTCCTTCAGAGGTCTTTCAAAGGCAATTCATAATTTTTTAAAAAATGCTACTGCTATTCCTGTTATTTTTGCATATCCTCAAATTGCCAGTATTTTCCAAAGGGGATATTTTTAAAGCTGATGACAAGCAAGAATTATCTGAGCAAAATTTTTATGTGTTGTAGATTCTAGAAAATGGCAGCAGAGGCATAACCTATGTAACTCAACCAATTCTCATGTAAAAACAGAGAACTAATTAACAAAGTCCAAAACACACAACAGGATTTACAACAAAACAAAGGTAACAAAATATCTCCAAATGTGCCAAAGACACAAGTGCAGAGGAGAGAAAGTATGAGCAGCCACAAGACTTTTATGATATCAGTGTCTGTGCTGAAGGAAGCACAGAAGGAACAGGCATCTGAGGATGCTAGAAAAGGAGAATCCTAAAGTAGACAATAGATATTTCCTGGATAATATGGAGGGCTACTGTGGAGATGTAGTCTGAAACTGAAGGAGGTTTTTGTTTTCTCCAATAGTGGTTGAATGCAAGGGGACCCATGGTAGGAAGGTCTGAAGGTGGCTGGTGCAATGTGGCCACTGTGAGCTTTAGATGTAAAGTAGCCAAAACAAAGTTCTGAATGGAAGAGCAACTGCTGAGTGTCATCAAAATTGACTGGATCAATAACGATTAAAGAAAGAGAAGGTGCGCATGAGTGTGGGGAAGATAAACAACCAGAATACATCAAAGAGCACTGGGCCATAATTTTGAGCATTACCTAAAAACAACAGAAAAGAAGCTCTGTGAGGTTAACAAAGATTACCTGAAACCCGTTTTCTTCTAGTTTTCTAATTTCAATAAAATAATGATAATAAAAGTGAGCAGCAAGAAAGCATTAAGATCAAATGCATTTCCTAGCTATAAGATATAAAAAATAACATTAAAAAGCAGAATAGCATTCCTATAAATGATACGAGCACATCAGAAATACATGTCTATAAATACTTAGAAGACATTCAATAATATGGTGATCAAACTTAGGAAAAATTAGAAATTAAAAAAAAATTCCAAAATAATGACTAAATTAGAAAGATAACAAATGTGGTTAAACCTAACAGGTAATGCCTAAAGGAAATACAATAGGAAAATAAGAAAAATTTTCAAATAATAAAATAAACACATTTTGGAAAAAATGACACATATTAAACACAGGCAAATAATATCCAACATATAGGAAGTGGGAATTCCTGAAAAAGAAAATCAAGCACAGAAAGAACCAATGCTAGAACATAAAATCTAAGAACAGTTTGCCGAAGAAAACAAACAAAATGGAAAAGAAAGAAACCTCATATTGAAGAGAACACTACACTGCAAAAAATGCCATGCTAAAGTGATCAACAATGAGACCCATTCTAATAAAATTGTTGCATTTTAAAGAAAGGAGATAAATTCCTTTGGATATCTTTATACCAAAAAGAAGAATAGTACAAATAAAGGGAACAAAAAAATAGATTATCATCAGGTCTTTGTGGGGCTGTGGTGCTTTAGGCAACATATATATATATATATATATATATTATGCATATATATATGCAGTAATATATTTGAGTTACTAAAGGAAAGGAAATGCAACAAGAATTTTACATCTAACAAATCTGTCCTTGAAGCATAAAGGGCACAAACTGCTATCTACATGTAAGGATTCAATGAATGAGATTCATGTTCCTCAGGCTGTACTAGAAAACAAGTGTTAGACAAACAACAGAACTAGAGAGACACTGATAGAAGGACTGGGGTTAGCATTCAATATGTAGCTACTTACAAAATGAGACCAAATGAAGGTTTAGAAATTGGAGAGAATATTATGTCATCACCATATGCTCTGATAAAGAAGAAATGGTACAAAAGTAAACATGAGGAGAGCAGGGAAGGGAGGGCATTAGTAAAAAATGTACAAAACTCTTTTTGGCAATTGTATGGAAGATGATAGTATTACTATAATTATTCTTAGGTTGTTCCATACATAATGTGAAATAAAGAAAATTAGTAATTATGGAATATTCTATCATCACCTGTGTCTTTGAAAACCAGGATTCCTTATATGAAATAAAAGATATAATATGGATTCTGAATTTTAATTGAAAATATCAATATGAATGTATGACATATTTTATCTTTAAACACCTCACAATTCTTTTCATTGGAAAGGCCTAGAAATAATCATCCATCCAATTATGCAGAGGGCATTGAGCATTACTCATAGCTAGATAGTGGTCTCAAAATACTTTTTCCCACCAAGATAAATTAGAGTTTCTAGACAAATAACTGATTCCAGATTTTACATGGGAAATATATAAGATCTGACATACCAGATAGCAAGGAATCCCTTGAAGACTATTATGACACGTTGAAAGAACTCAAGAGCCAACTTGAAAAGGCTTCCATTGCTCAAATGTGGGTCAATTTAAACTTCAACAAGAATACTCATTGCAATAAATTGCAATCTATAAGGTATGTTTATATCCATGTATGCAAAATGTTATTATTTTTAAGAATAGTCACCTTCAGAAGTTGATTCAGAGATCAATTTGTTTTCTTGAGAATTTGTAAATCAAGTTAAGGAATCAAGCATTTTTCTTGTCTTTCCAATAGGAATTGAAACACTGGGTAACCAAACAATAATTTAAGGGAAGAATGTCTTTAATAAAGAGTTCTAGCCTAATAAGTGAAAATGAAAATAAAAGATATGACAAAATATCACAATTGTGCAGCCCTCAGTGATTAATAGCTATAGGCAATAAACTGATGAAGAGCTGAAACATTACATAAAGAGAGAAAACCAGGCAATATATGCCTCCTGATAATACACTACATGTATGGTCTTGCCAAAGGGATCAAACCTGAATTTGATCAAACCTCTAGACTCCAATCTGCAGAAAATACAGAAGATAAGACAGATATGCTGATTTTCACCATTAAGTGTTGACAACTGGCAAAATGTAGAGTATGGGAAACTACCTATCAGACGGCCGATGTTGTATGATGGATAAATTGTAATAAAAATAGAGGGATAAGGGGAAAATCCATAGAATTCAAAAAGACTGAAAAGACATATTGGATTTCAGAATGAGTAAGAATAAGCTATAGTTCGAGAGCTAGCATCAAAGTATGCACATTTTCAGGATAAATATAAAGAGACACAAGAAATGAATCTAGGAAAGTCAGGAAAATAGTTTAATTTAGGGAAGGACTAGGTTCTAATTATCATTGGAAGTGCAAATAGGCTTTTGGAGTAGCTGGAAAAGTATTACTTCTTGATCCGAGTGTTCGTTGCAAGAGTGCATATCTTAAAATAGGTTATACATAAGATGCATGTTTTTATTATATAATACATATTGTATCTATAATATATAATAATTAGCTACAGAATAGTCAGTGTAATTTTCTGTGTCTGTATGTATTTTATGATAAAAATATTTTTAAGTGTTACCTGTTAAAGGGGGTTTAAATAAAGTCGTGTTAAATGTTTTGAGGTTTAAAGTAGGTATAATAAAGTAATAACCCTGATATTTTGCGTAACTCACTACCTGAGTGAAACAATTTCAAAAGAGTTCTACAAATGTTTGAGTAATGCTACCATTGTTCAAATAAAGGTATACCTTAAGTATATCTTAATATACTTTCAGCATATATAATATATTGTAAGCATAATCTTATATATGCTTATGTATACTTAATATACCCTAGTAGTGATTTTTAAGATAAAAGCTTTCATTTAAGTGAATAATTTCCAGTACATTTTAAATTTCATTGTACTTGAATTACTTATGTATACATTTGTGATTGCGGGGATATCAAGTTGGTGAGGAATTGTGCAATATCACTCATCCACTTCCTTTACTCAGAGTAGAATTATACGGAAATTTTTTCAAAGCAGTAATTTGATTTTTTTCTTTCCCTTTCCTCATCTCCCTCATCTTTCTTTTTCCTGAGTCATCTCTTCTTCCTTTATACTCTATTAAAGTACCAGGAAGCTAAGAAAGTTAAAGCTTTACAGACTCTACTTGCACAATCCACTCCCAAGCCTTGAGTTTCTTTTTCATTCTGAGAAATTTGTTTATACTGGCATGTTTTTGTAAAGTTTGAAAAAGTGAGAGATTTTGACCACAATTGGTCAAGATTATCTTTCCCCTTGGTCAAATATTCTTCAATATCTTGTATTGAGTAGCTATAGCCATTTTTAGGATTCAGCCACAAGGAAACAGTTTAGGAATACTGCAGGTTAGATTAATGGGGCATATTTATTGGTTTACAGTTTCCTCCCTGGCTAGGTAAGTTATTGCTCCATGCCCTGGTAAGGAATAGCTTCTACCAGAAAAATGGTACCAGGAGTACCAGGAGTACTCCACTGTTCTGATTCCTCACAGTACTGTGAAGAGGCAGGCCTCGAAGTCACATTACTCTATGAATTTTCTTATAGCAATAAGCACTAAAAGTATATAGTGTGTAGGTGTGTGTGTATATATATGTATGTGTATATATATATATGTATGTGTGTATATATATACACACACACAAATGTGTACATGTGTATATACAGTATATATACGTGTGTGCATATGTATATATGTGTACTATATAGTATATAGTGAAGGAGAAACACATTATGAGTAGAGACTTCAGTTCTCATTCATGCCTAGTCAAAATAAGAGAAATATTCTCAGTAATGCAGACATGGAATTATATATTCAACTTATTTCCTTTCATGAGAATCATACAAAATTTAATTTGTCAGAATTCCTGTATTCATGTATGTGGTATTAGTTTTCTAAAAAATATAGTCTGTTATGATTTTCTCACTAAATGTTTTTTATATCCAATATTGTATTCCAGATTTAATATTTTACCCCTTAAAACAGATTCCAAAATTGCTAGATTCAGGTCCCACGAAGCCTAGGTCTGCCCCTCTACTCACTAGACATCAACTGGTAAATGGAAGGCATGTTAATTTTCTGTACTTACTTTATTCTTTATTGTTAATGAACAGAGGTTAAAAGGATAAATAGAGCTTTTTTTTTTTTTGAATGACCTATGTTACTGCCTTTCCAGTCCTTCACTGGAATTCTACAGGCAATTATGTTCTACAGGCAAATATGTTCACATTCAGGCCAAGACTGACTTAACTTTTGCAAAGAAAGATTGGTTCCTTGATTACAAAGAATGTCATCTTTAAGTTGAAAAGGGCCATTGCCTGGAGTTCAGAAGTTTCTGCTCTACAGAAAAAAAAAAAGACAATGTTGGTTCATACAAACATGATCAGAGTTTGATAGAGAGAATCATTTTTAGGGGTTTTTTCATACCCAGTGCTATTCAATTCTCTCAAAAGTCTTGCGTGGTAGGTACCATTGTGCACACCTTTTAGATGAGAAAACAAGCTCTAGGAGGTTGTGCATCTGCTACAAATTAGTGGCAAAGTCCATGTTTGAACCCAGGTTATCCTGACACCAAAGTCTGTGTGTTATTCTATGCTTCTGTAACTAATTGGCCAGTCATTTAACTCTCTGGCCTCAGTTTCCTAATCCGGACAAATCAGATATTTGCCTAGAGAATCTTGCAACTCCTGGTATCTGTGATTCTATGAAACCAAGTTAAGCAAACTTTATAATATCCATTGTTAGCTGATTCCCATGTCATATAACAGAAAATTCATCTCGATTTCCTTGTGCCTAATCTAAATTTGGTGATAATTAAAAATCCATCTCCTCTCGATCTGTCCTTTGCAGAGGTGTGGAACAGCTAGTTTGTCACAATCTTGCATAATACTTTTCTGTTACGATGAGAGGAGCAAAAGCAGTAGGGAAGGATGAGGGAAGCTCTTGAAGGAAATGTCTGGTAAGGAATGTGGACATGCTAAGGCTTCATCTCATATAAAATATTTAAGTAGGAGACTTGACCTCAACAAGCAATAGGAAAAAAATCCACAAAGATTTATTTTCCTCGCCTCGCCCGATGAATGTTTAAATGACATCTAGAGAGATGTAGGTAATATATAAGTAATAAGTTTTTAACTAGTACATTTACAAGGCATGTGGAAAGAATATTAGGTTTCTCCCTTTATCTGTGAAAAATCAGAAAATGTTTTTGCCTATCTGGAAATAAGGATCTGGACCAGACTGCCACTGAGGTTTGGGGGTGGCGTGGGGGCTTCCGCCATAGGGAGCTCTGGCCCTGTGATGTTTTAGTGGGCTATGGAGCGCTTTCGGGCTGCAGCTTCAGCTCTGCTGTTGTCATTATCACATCTGTTTCCGACTCTGTCTCTTCTGCCTTGTGGTGGGCTCTGCAACTGCTCTCGCTGCAGTTCCTTTGTTAGAGATTTGCCCTCTTGACACCTCTGAATGAAGAAGTTGCAGTACAAAAAGAAGATTGGTGACAGACCCTGCGATTGCATTCCCTGTAGTAGGTCTTGAAACCTTATCTACATGTCATCTGGCTAATCAGAGGTCCATGGTGAGATCTGTCAGAGATTTCTGTTTTAAAAAAGAAATTCAGACACTGTTGACAGGAGAATTGGAATGCTTTTGCCAGTCCTGTACCAGCACTGTCTATTATTATGCGAGTGCAAGCCTGAGGCTGTGGTGACAGAGGAACCTCAGGGTGGCCTCCTAAGGACATCAGCACAGGTGGGCAGAGCCCCTCCCCTCCCTCCACAACAACAGAAGCCAAACAAAGATGAACCCCTCACCAATGGCAAAAAGCAGAGGAGAGGTAAAAATAGAACAGCTGAACATCACTCTAAACTAGTTTGTAGGAGAATATAATGTTACTCATGAATTACACAATCAGTGAGACAGACAGTGTCAAATGGGGTAACTACATCTTCCAAAAGTGTTGGAAATTCATACATGTAACCAAACCAATACAATTCCCAAGCAGAAAATGCCCCTTTTACTTATGGAATTTGCAAAACCATGGAAATTAAATAATTTACACCTACAATTCTTGGCCCTTAAAAAGCAACTCGATTCTTTGGAAATGCTTTGTTCTTTTTCTATTAATAAAATACAAATTGTAATGGCCTTGGAGTCAAACTTTATAAGAGATGAGAATCTAGACATTTATTAAACTCGTTGCCAAATCACTCCATGATTCTAAATAATTAATCATTGAAGTTACACAAGAGGAAGTAAATCTCAGTAGTTAAGACCACAGGCTTCAAGGCTGAATTGTTTGAGTTCAGATCCTGGCTCACAAGTTTTTGTCAACTTAAACAAGCTGCTTAGTTTCTTTCTATATCTCTTTCCTCATCAATAAAAGTGAAACAAGGATAATAATTTATCAAAATCATAGATTTATTAAGGGGATTAGAAGCATCAACACAAAGTGACACATAAGTGTTTCATACATGCTGCAGCTATTGCTGTTTGTATTGTTATTGTAATCATATCAGTCATGATAGGCTACATTAAGGTATGTAATAACTATCCCCAATATCTCGAGCATTTAAATAAGAAAGGTTCATTTCTCCCTCATGCTGTACTTCCATTCGCAGAAGAGCTGTATTCATCAGAGTCATTCATGGATTCTGGCTGATAGAGCAACCACCGTCTTGGAACTTGATGGTTGATGTACCAAAGAAAAGAGAACTCTGAAGTGTCTTGAGTCAACATTTAAGTACCCCAGCTCATAAAAATGCACATTACTTTTGCTCATAATGCATTTTCCAGAAGCAAGACACTTGATCCTATTAAATCACAGGTTAACAAAGAATGAGAAAGAACTACATTATTGTTACCTGGTGGACAATATTAATGCATAGCATTATTTTATTATTATTATTTTTATTAATAGTAGTAGTAACATATTTCAAGACACAAATGGCCTACTTTTTAAAGTTTAATATTCCTAACAAGAGAAAATTTTGAAAAAAGTCTATACGTATGCATTTTATTCTCATCAACACAATATTTCATTGAGGACCAAATAATTTCCATTGAGCATGTGTATATAATACACTACTTGCTTTCACATGGCTTTTCACATAATTCTAACAACCCTAGAAGATAAGCACTTTTAGCCCAATCTTACAGATGAAGAAGCAGTGGCTAGAGAAGTTACATAACTTGGAATCATCTCTACCTGATTCTGTGTGCAGAGTCTTTATGTTATGCCCCATTACACGTTAAAAAGGTTAATCTAGTACAAATAAGCAAAAAATGAGGCCCTGGAGTCCCTATAAGAATTCCACCTAGAGGTAGACTGGCCTAAGAGAAAAGTAAGCTTTTACTCAGTGATTTTGTAAAATCTTAAACCACTTTTTTTGATTTTCTAGTAGTGGAAGCAGAAGTTTTGACTGGTTAGCAACACAGATATCTATTTAGCCTATTTTGGGATGATTACTCAATTTTAAGTTAAATAAAATACTTCATTCACATTATCCTGGTTTTCACACCCAAAGCAAAATTTGAACTTGGGTCCTTAGCCACAAAAGGAGAGTAAGGCATATTAAAAAATACTAGTCCGGTGTAGGTAGTTCCACTGGACATCAACCATCTTCATCTGCTCCTCCAGATGGGACCTCTTTAGAAAATGTATGGGCTGGAGGGAATAATGGGATGGACTGGCAGAGCAGGGAACGCAGCAATTAAAGTACCATTCAGAAACAGTGATTTTAACAAAACTGATAAAAATGTGAGAGGGATTGGGAAACAGTACCTATCATTTTGTATTGGGCTAAAAAGGAATAGGAAAAGAAAGTGATTATTCCTCAATTACTAGCCTCTCATGGATTGTTCAAGATAATTACTCAGCTAACTTTGGGAAACAACACATGAGGCAAAAATTATTATGCTTTAAGGAAACAGCAAGACCACCCCCTGGACTCTGCATTTCTGGATAGAAACCATTTTCAAACCGAGAGACATTCATTTATCTTCTTCCTAACTTATGTTTAGCCCTAGGAATATAATGTTTGACAACACAGGGTGTCAATGTATCAGCTTTGCACTAAGTAAGAGTGTCTCTCTAGGAAGTTAGTTATGGAGCTCACCAGGGAGAATAATTGTATATTTTAACCTGTAATATCTCTTTCATTTTATCAATTTGATATAAATGTATTAGAAAGAAAAAAAAAGATGAAAGAATAAACAAATGCAAGACTTCAATCTGGCATATATCTTTCTGGATGAGATTTACTCCTGCCTACCACTTCTAACTTCATTGCACCCAATTCTCTGCCTCACATGTAGATATTTGTAGTAACCCAAATGTACCCTAATTGATCATTCACATGTGAAAAATACAAGCAAATCATTGTATGATGCTTAGACTTCTCCAGGTGCTTTATGCATATTATTTTATTTTCATAATAATAACCCTTTGCAATAGGTAATATTATTACCCCTATTTTGCAGATGAGAAAACTGAGGGCAAGTGGTGGTACATAACTTGTTTGAAGTCACACAGCTAGTAAGCAACAATCCAGAATTCAAACTGGGCGAATCTAGTTTCAGAGTCTATTCTCTTTATCTTACCTTATGCTTTTAAATTTGATAACATCTTTATCTGGAACACTTTCACGCTCTTACGTCTTGTCAGCTCATCATTCAAAACCTGAGTTAGATTTCACCTACTTAGGGAAATTGTCCTTGACCCTTCTCTGACCTTTGTTACCCTGCCATCCTTCACTAGACTAGGCATCAATCCTCTGTGCCTAGCAGCCTAGGCATAATGCTATTGCAGCAGGGACCACAGTGTGTGTGATTCCCTTTTTAATTCCTCACCTCCTCCACTAGGCTGTGAAACCTTATATGCTGTGTACATTTCTACAACCTTATTACCAAGCCTGGTGTATGGTACACAATAGGTGTGAAGTAAATATTTGTTGAATTAATTAATATGATGAATAGATTGAGGAAACATATATGGAGATTAGAGTTGCCTTTCACTTAAGTGGCCTGGTGATCTTTGAAATTCAGTTAAAATCAATTTGGGGTGCTTTTTAAATAAGCGCACCTCAGAGCTTCAAGTACCATACACAAAAATCAAATAAAGAATTCTGTTGACACGCAGGTGCTTCTCAGAGGAAAGTGAGCACTGCCTATTTTTAACTACTCTACAGTGTTTCCAACCTTAATCCACAAAGTGTCAAATTTCTATGTCTCTTTCTCTAAAAGGACAGCTACTCCTGGGATCTAAAGAATGCTCTCTTTAGTTTTTACAGAAGGAAAGAATATCAACAAAACAAAAGTGGATGTTTGTGACTATATTACATTCCAGGAGAGGCCTTGAGAGACCTTTTTTTTTTCTTTTTTTCCAGATACAAGTGATTCAAATCTCAACATCCTTAAAGGAATTCTGATTTCAAGTTTGAAATAAGAACCATCCTTTGTGTGGATTCAGATGACAGAAGTCGAGGTGATGGTTTTAGACTACATGACATTAAGTCAATAGCTTGTTTTGAAAACCATGCTGATGTCAATGGCTCCTTTATAGTAAGCAGGGGATCCAGTGTGAGTTGCTATAGAAGAGCCTGTTCTCTATGTGGCTGCTCCTGCAATGTCTCCTTCAGAAGTTTCTTCCCTTTCGTTCCCTACTGGGAGTGGGAAAGCCACAGTGTCCAGTAGTCCCAGGCTGCAGGCTTCTTCCTGTTTTTATTATGCATGTGTCTTTGGAAAAAGCACAGGCTTCAGTGTCAAAGCTGCAAAACCCTGAGTTTGAATCCCACCTGAATGGTCTTCAGAAAAGCCTCCTTCCATTCCTTATCCTCTTGTGCTCCTGTTCTTTCTCTTCCTCAGCTTCCTCCTCCATCACATGTATTAAGCCTCTAAAAATAATGTTTTTTCCTATAAAATGAGAATCACAACATGTATCTCATAAGGTTGTCACAAGGATAAGAAACAATAAAAATATGTAAAGTGCCTGGCACAGTGTGGCACATGCACAAATGCAAAAAGTAACATAATTATCATCCACCCTGCATTGTCTGAAGTGCTAAAGATAGGGTGGCCAATATATTAAGGTATGCTGATTTTGTTCTGTTGGATGAATGTGGACTGGAATATTATTCTAACAGAAATCAGTGAGTTGGAATTGACGGAAAAAAATAATAATAATAAACGATTCATAATACACCAAGCAGGCTGCAGGGCATTGTCTTGAAACTTCACATATCCGTAAGAAAAGACCAGGGAAACCCACTTGTACCCACAATTATAGTAAGAGAACATCCTTTTCTACCCTAGGTTAGTATCAAGAGTTTTCACTCATTGCAAGGGAATACTTTTTCCTCTTTAATGGATTTAAAAATTTATATCCTGCCTAGGCATGATAGAGACTTTGTGAAATAAGCAGCATGTGCAACAATGAGAGAAAAGCTGGAAGATAAGCAAGGAAGCACATCTTCTGATTTTCATTTTAACAGTTTAATTCCATAGTCCATTTTCTAACAGAACCAATAACTCTTATCTACCTTCCCCCAACCTTTTCTCTATCTTTCTCCCATATTTATCTTTACCATGTTTGAGCTTGAAAAATTGAAGCAGTAACTATGAAAGTGATCATAATTTTTTGTACAGATCAGGTTACATTGGAAACCTATCATCTCAGAGTATACATAGAAGTCATTGGCCTCCTATGCTACTCCTGTCCTCCCTCCCTTCTCTCTGTGTGGTAGGTGATTTCCTCGTCTAGGTGCCACCCTCTGCCAGTCTTTTGGGTTCTATGCCCTGGCACCTCTTCAAGATTCTTTCACAATCCAATTTCCCCCATCAATTACACACTTCTGTTGATGTAAAACATGATTTAATCACTCCCCTATTAAAATAACAGAAGGACAGAGTGCCGTGGTGTGTGTCTGTAGTCCTAGGTACTCAGGAGGCTGAGATAGGAGGATCATTTGAGCCCAGGAGTGTGAGATTCATTTGACTTATCACCTCCAACCTGTCCAGATTATGTCATAGTTCCTCAGGCTTGAATCCTAGTCCTTCTTACTTCCTATTCTGAGCTCTCTCCTTAGGAGACCTCGTTCATGTACACAGCCTTAAGTTTAAACTACATGGTAATGAATACCAAGTCAAGCCTACATTTCTCTGATTCCTAGATGCACAAAAATGTGACTCCCTTCCTGCTTCATAGCTCCACTTAGAGATCTCTAAAGTACTCACACTCAATTTTAAAGTACAAAGTTTATGTTCTCCTCCTGTCCACAGCATCTTCCATGGATTCTATCTCAGAGATGACATCACCAGGCACTGAAGAGTTGCCCTAAAGACCCTTTCACTCTTCCATACCAGGCCCTAAAAAGAGGGCATGCTAAATTGCTTTCCAACACATCCCCTTCTGGCCCTATGCTATCATCACCGTAATCTAAACCATAATCATTTAATTTTGCTGTGCTACAGAAGAGTTTTAATTAGTCTCCCCTCTTGCTGTCTCTAGTCTGTTTTCCTTTTTTTCCCGCTAGAAAAACACCTTTCTCAAATATATTTATAAATACTGTCTACGGGTTGGATCATCAGGCATCTTATTTCTTCCACCTCTGTCTGCCCTTTTCCTGGGTAGACCAAGCATCTCAAGAAGGCTGAAATTACCTGCACATAAATTCTAATTCATTGACTCCTTTGATAACAATACATCATTTTGTTTGTTTAAAATTGATTATATAATTCATATGAGGTAAAAGATTTTTTGAGTAATTTATTACACATAGAAATTAGTAGATTTTTCTACAAATGGAAGCAGATATCAATGTTTATAAAAATAATATACATTTTTGTTCTGTCCTAAGGATTACTTTTAGACTTTTCCAAGTATTATGCTAAATGAGTTGAAGCACTTCCATAGTTATTACTTTATCTTTAGTGCAAAATTTACTTTTTCCATTTTCATCAGAAAATACATGTTAAATGTTACATGTGAAATCTTTATTTTCTACACAAAGGGTCTAAAAAAACTGGTAGGTCAAACTTCCCCATAATCAATTTACCTGAAAATTAGCCTGAGTGAATGAAACAGGATTTGGATCATCAATTCACTTTTTCTCAATTGTGAGCTTACTGAGTCCCATAATAGTCTGGGAGAATTGTATGGGGATAGTGATGGGAGATAGAATGCTAGAAAATCAGACAAGAAAGGAATATGACATAGATACCCTACACGATCTACTTGGAAGACAAAAACATACCATATAAAATATATTAATTTAATTATAGATAGACAGACAGACACTTGAAGGAAGGAACAGAGTTTAATGCCCAAGTGGATGATGTTAGATAAACACAGCTTTATATTTCAGTGGAGGAAGAAAACAGAGAGTCCAAGAAAGGTTTATTTAAGAGGTGGGATTTAACTGGGCATTAAAAAGTTTAGAGAAGCAGTTGAATTTAGAGCTGACAGAATTTGCTAATGGATTAGAATATGAGGTATTACGGAAAGACAGCAGTTAAATTGGCTCCAAATTGTTTGGCTTGAACAACTGGAAAAAGAGAATTTCATTTACTGAGGAAAAAACTGGGAGAGAACTTGTTGGGAGTGAAGAGAAGAGCAGTAATTTATTCCAAACTTATTACATTTCAGATACTTGTTAGGCAATGAGGAAGAGATGTCAAGGAGACAGTTACACTTATGAGACTGTGCTTCAGGAATGAGGTCTGGCTCAAGACACACGTTTATGAGTCATTCACAAAAGGTAGTTTTGAAGCTGTGAGACTGGATGAAATCACCAACAGATGAGAACGGATAGAGGCAAGAAGAGGTTGGAAGACTCAACCAAATATAATTCAATATTTCAAAGGCGGGAAGATGAAGAGAAACCAAGAGGAGAAATTATGATCTATGAGGCTGGAGAGAAATTAGGAGAATTAGGTGCCTCTGAAGCCTATTACAAAGAGTATTTTAGAGATGAGGGGATGATCATCTTTGATAATGGTTGTTGTTGGATCCAGTAAGACAAGCATTAATAATTGGCCATTGGGGTTAGCTACACATAGGCCATTGGTGACCTTGATAAGATCAATGTCATTGGAGTGATGAGGGACAAAGTCTGGCTGGATGGGATGCAAGAGAGGAATCAGAGACAAAAAAACAAACACAAATCTTTGCAGATGTTTTGCTGTAAAGGGGAGAAGAGAAATGGGGTGGTGGTCAGGTGAAGAAATAAGATCAGAAGAGTTATGTATTTGCTTTTTTTAAGAAAGGAAAACTCACTGATGAGAATTATGAAGTAATGAAGAAAAAATCATGATGCAAAGAGAGAGAGAGAATGACTAGATTTACATCATTGCATAGGTACGAATAAGCTAGGTCCAGCCATACTTCTACACATTTTGGAACAAGTCCAAAGCAACCATATTCGTTTGGTATCTTGAACAAATATTTAAGATAGCATGGGAACCCAGATCTCTCCTCTCTCCATTGGTAGAATATTAAATAACCCCTACTCACCCTGTACCTTAGAAAGGAGTAGATAAAGACCGTTGAGAGTTAAGAGAGGAGTCCTGAATTGAAATACTTACCCAAGTGGTGCTGAGCTAAATTATGTTTTAAGTTTACATGATGATTAAGTTAAAAATCTTTCATTGTTTCCTTGCTTCCTCCCAAGTCCACATCACTTCTGTTAGAATAATAAGAATCCAGTATGTGACTGGCCGGGCACGGTGGCTCACGCCTGTAATCCCAGTACTTTGGGAGGCCAAGGCGGGCAGATCACGAGGTCAGGACATCAAGACCATCCTGGCTAACACAGTGAAACCCTGTCTCTACTAAAAATACGAAAAAAAAAAAAAAAAATAGCCGGGCGTGGTGGCGGGCGCCTGAAGTCCCAGCTACTCCGGAGGCTGAGGCAGGAGAATGGCGTGAACCCGGGAGGCGGAGCTTGCAGTTGGCCGAGATCGCGCCACTGCACTCCAGCATGGGCGACAGAGACTCCGTCTTAAAAAAAAAAAAAAAAAAGAAAAAATCCAGTATGTGATTAAAGAACACTCAAGAGGTTTGCTCTTCAGAGTGGTGATATGTAATATCTGGCCTCTACTATCTCACTTAAACTTCCCAGCACCCTTTAGAGCAGCTATATATTGAACCTTTTTAAGACACATTACAGCTATATAGCCTCTCCAAATATATAAGGCTAGTAATAGGCATTAAAATCCTGTCTAAGTCCATATTCTGTGATTCAACTACATGTCATACCAGGAGCCCTAAGATGAAGATAGTATAATGTGAACCTCTTCTAAAGAAAAACAGAACAAAACAAAAATCCCTGTTGATATACCAAGATTTTAGAAATTGATGTAACACAAGAGTGCTGCTATTTAGACCATCTAAAAGCTGTCATTTTAGAAGTAGTGATTGCTTGCAAGGGAATTTACCTTAATTCACCTTTCTGGACACAATTCTGGCCATGTTCCTGATTATGTCCTACTTTCAGGCTTCCATTTCTCCACTGATCTTTTCAATATGGATTGCATCTTCCCAATCCAGGCTATAGAGGCCTGGTCCCTGATCACTAAACTGCTACCCTCTTGTCTCCTTTGCTAAGTGTTCTTCTGCTGAGGTCTGGCTCCCTGTGCCTGGATAGGTTTATTATTACTCCCTTGTAATAATAACAGATTCCATTTCTATGACACTCACTATGTGTTAGGCAAAGAGCTATTTTAATAAATATTAATTGAAACTTTTACAAACACTTGGCCAGGTAAATATCACCATCCTCAAATTAGAGATGAGAAAACTTAAGCCATGAGAAGTTGAGTAACTTTCTGAGCATATGGAAAGGTCAATATTCAAAATCATTTCAAACACCTACATTTTAGCCACACTAACCTGAATTGCTGCAGATTTCTTTAGTTTATATATGACCAACCCCACTAAGGTTTGCTCTTAATTATTCAAAACCAGATCATGTTTACGAGTTAGACTTGTTGCAGCCTCACAAGGGAGACTTCCTATGAATCTGAGCCTTGTCCTGCTGTTGCACCTGCCAGTTCTGTCTTATGTGGGCATAACACTAAGGAAAGGGAATGTAGAGGCCCTCCACAAATTTCAGGGTAACGGTACAACTGTTTGTGTGGAGTAGGAGAAGAAGGAATAAAGTATTTTGAATGAGAAGAATGTGAGTTCATGGAGCAACAGCTTGGCTTAGAGGTGAAGGCTGTAGAAGCAGCACTTGACCTGAACCTCAGCTCTAAAACCTACTAGCTCACTGTGCTTCATTGCTCATCTGAAAAATGCAGATAACATTGAAGAGTAGCACATACAAGTGTGACAAGGAAGAAATAAGTTAATACAAGTAAAGTATTCAAAACAGCACCTGACACATACATAGGGATTTATTTTTATTATTATTTATTTCACTATCTTGGTTGCGACATTATTCTGGGCACTATCATCTAACTCCCAAGAACTGTGCAGATCTCAGGACTGTGAATGGCCTTCTTCTTCACTACTGTTGGAACCAGAGTGTGTTTCCTGGTCAGGAAAAGTTTTAATTGAATCAAACTCTACATGATGTGTTATGTCTCTGCCAAGACAATTTCATAACAGTGATATCATTTAGAAGACAAAGAAACAGATTTTCAAATACGGTCCCACTTGCCCTAATTTCAATACAATCTTTCATCAGCTTTTATTCTTTTATAGCAGTTACATTCATCCTGTGCTGTTGCTTAGCCAGATTTTTACATTTAGGCTTAATTTCTTGACTATTTGAAGGTCCCTGCTCATCAGCCGCTTAATCACAGCATTGCATTTCTTCTGACTGCTTCCCAATTTGTCTACATTGTTTTTCAAATGAGATGTCTATAAATAAATGGGATTCTGGAAGTAGAATTTGTTTATCATTAGAGAGGAAAATACCATCCTCCTGATCCACAGCCTGATAACTTTATATCTGCACCTCCAAATAATTTTGGCATTGTCACACTCAATATTATGTGTCTAAATGATTGCAGTATCATCATATAAACTGTGCACCTTCCTGCTGCAGTTTCTTTGACAATATAGCTTTCTGCATTTTGTTCTTCTTCTTAACTATCTACTTGCCAAATTTGCAAGCTTGCTTTTTCTCCAAATGGAAGCTCATTTTGTCATTTTCAGCTCCTACTTAAAGTGGCATCTGATGGAGAAAGTAATAAGTTGCTCTTAATACTTTAGTAGGTTACCTCCTTGCATCAGGATAAGCTATCTAGAGCTTAGAAGAAACAGATTTTGCACATATTTCTTTTTTCTTTTTTTTCCTAAAACAAACTGGTGCCACGTTTTAGAAAATGACCTGACTTTTAAAAATGCATGTTGCAAATCTGGTCCAATTATGGAAGTAGGTGGCTCATACCATTCACTCACTAGTTTGTTTTACCAGGTACATAGTTTGATAAGCATCCACAGGATGACTGATTTATATTTTGTACTAGACGAATCACTTGCCTTAGATAACTATGGACATCTTGTTATATGCCATTCCCAAATCTGTCAACCATCTAATGACAGCCATAGCACAAGATGATATTTTTCTTGTTCATAAGTAACAAGGCCCATGAGTAGTGATAGCTATTTTTTTTCTAAGTGTTTATATGGTAAGGGGGCAAGCTATAGCATATATCCATCTTCTTGGGAAATCATAAAATGTTACACCATGTTCATTTTCCATATTTCTAATCAGTAAGATTGTATATACATGGTCGCTATACTGACGATATACTTCTGAGAAAAAACACTTAGGGAAAGTCAAACCCTGATGGATTTGTGTCTCATAATACAATCCAAATGCTCCAGGAAACACTTTCATTATGCATCAAGGTTAATTCCCATTATCTGAAAACCAATATCTTGTCAATTCGAGTTTTTCAGCATTTTTTTAAGAACAAGAAAAAAGATTTAGAATGGACCAACAACTGCAACCCATTTCTCAATCCCACCACTATGAGCACATTGAGTCACTAATGTGGGCTTTGCATCCTTTTGACAGTGATGCAATAATAGAGCTAGGGGCATGGAGGCATCATAAGGGACTGAGAACTCACTTCAAAATGATCTTCATCATTTATTTCAATCAGAAAAAATGTTTTCATGAAGGCCGAGATGAGACTGCTACTTATGGTCCAGTGTTTCTGTGCAGAAACTGATTATAAAACCCATTGAATGGGATGATAATTTGCCCTATGTACAACCAGAAGAGTCCCTTTCCTCCACATTGCCACACAAAGACCATTATTCTATTCAGTCTAAGTAAGAAGAAGAAATCAGGATGACCCAAATATAGAAACATTTAAGTTCATGGAGATTTCTTGTATATTTAAGTTACTTTTAAAGAAAACAAGCAGTTTCATAACTTCTAGAGTTAACTGTAGGATCACTTGCTTCCTCATCTTTTTGTCTTCCTGGATCTCTGAAATCTAAATTTCCCTTCTCCTAAATCCTTCCTTCTCTCTTTTGGAATAATGTTTATGTTTTATGTGCCTGGTCTGCTACTCTGTCCCCTTAGTCTGCCTGGGGAGAAAACTATGCCTATCTTCACACACACACACACACACGCACGCACACACACGAACACCTATTTAGGATGCAGGAAATATGGAATAAGAAACTTTTAAAGCAAGCACAGAAGAAAATATAATTTCAAATAAGGGTCAGTTTAAGATTGAATTTTGAGAGGATGTTGAAATACACATGCAATGAAACTGGAAATAGTAAGTGAAAAGCCAGACACAAAGGATATTTGGGGGTTACATAAATGAAAATTATTACAATAAAAGTAAATATGGATAAGAATTATAATTAATGGAACATCTATGCCCATGAAAAAAGATAAAGAAAGATGGTCTTTTTTTACTCATTCCTGGAGAAAAAGACTTAACTAAAGCTATTAACTCCCAAATGCAGGTAACATTTCTCTATGCCTTCTTCCAACAATTAGAAGAACTTCCTCAGCTAATGCTGTGTAGTAAATTTCTCATTATGCCTTGCATTGAAACATTGTCAACACTAGTGTCTCTTACCTTCTATTTATAATCCAGTAGTTTCTAGGTAAGTTTGTGATCAGATGCATGAGGAGTAAGAGTGAGGAATAACGTTAAGTTCCCAGTATTGCTATAGCCCTTACAATTTCTGGCACAGAGCAAGCATGTTATACATATTTGTCGAAAAGATAAATAAATGAATATATATATTATACTTAGCAACTCAGACAAAAATCTCCGAATGTCAAGAGTCCAGATGCTGTTGACTCTGAGCTGCATGTTCATCTTTTAAGTGAAGGACAAATAAAGCACTCACAGGTTTTAACAGAGACCATAGCATCAATTATCAGTCCATCACTTTCAGTACTTGATGCTCCTAGTTATCCATGTCCTAGTGACTGACATTTAGTCATAGACAGGTTTTTAAGTATAGGTTATGGACTCATGATTTTATATGTACTTTCAAACTAGCATTCATTGTTATTTTCGGAAGTCTTTAGTCCTCAATAATTTATTGTGTTTTGCCCCATGGGTTTAGATTATCTTTGCTCAATTTACCAATGTCATCTTTTTAAACTACTCTTTCATTCTCTTTTGACTGATCATCACATTCCCAGACAAAAGAATTCAAATCACCTTTCTTGATAACCAAGTGAACATAAGCCTAAGGAAAAGAGTCAGATGTTTTTATATAAGCCTATTTCCCTACTGACCACTTCGCAGGCAGTACAAACACACACATCCATCTCCAGACTTTTTCCCTTACTTTTTCTCCACCTGGAGCGCCTTCACTCTTCTCTCTATCTAGTTTCTACACAGCCACCAATGTCCATATTTATAAGCACAACTTTAAGCTGTATTGCCTGTCTATCTATTTGACACATAGCGGATATATTGTTATGTCAGCCATTTATTTTTTCATATAATTGTGAGTGCAGTTTGTTCAAATGCCATGTTTTATATAAATTGTAGCTTACAATATTGATCATGGTTCACTATGAAATTGTCACTCAAATGTTTTTGATCAACTGATGAATTCCTGATAATGTTATATCTTCCATGATGCCAGTTCTTTATAAAATATAACAATCAATTATTTCATTGCTGAAACTTATTCAGGTTAATGTGCCTAGAGGTTTAATTACTATAATCTGAACCTCTACTTCTAGACAACTCAGGATGATTTTCAGCTGCAAGTATTACAAAACCCAGTGACTAATGACTTAAATTTTTGTTTCTTCTTTCACATAACAGGAAATCTGGAATAAGTGTCTGCTGGATTTAATTCAGTAGTTAATTGTATCAGGACTGGAATTTTCTAAAATTATCTTGGTCATTCTGTAACAGATTTGAGACAGCTGCTAAAGCTATGGGCATCAAGTTCATGTTCAAGGGAAGAAGAAGAGAGGAAAGGAAAGATAGAGCCAGTAATTCATTCAGTCCTTTATAGAATAACCCAATGCTTTCCAAGAAGCACTTGGGGTTCCTGGCATGCTTCTGTAAGAAAGGTGAGCAAATGAGAATGAGGCCGGTAATATATTGGGTTAACTAACAGCATTTGCCACAAACTCTCTTATGAATATGCTGTGTATCTCACCTTCCTGGATCATAAATTAGGCATAAGACTAACAACAAATTATGCAAGAGGAGGCTGAGGTTGTGTTTAGCATAAAAATAAAAGAGAATCCCATTTATTATCTACAAAACTTGAGGAAGTAAATATTAGATAAATGAAATATAACGTAATACTCAGTTAAACAGGGAATGGGAGTACAAGTAAACATTTGTTGAGCATATATTATGTGCAAAGAAAAGAAAAGGAAGTCTAGTGTTTATTATTAGCCTCTTTTATTTTGGTCTTAATGCAATTCATGCCCCATGAAGCAGTGAAATATCACAGAAGAGCAGTCAAATAATTTTCTGCTCATGCTCATGGAAAGTATTGAGCTGTTTCTATGCATAATGGGAAAAGGAGAGTTATTTTAGAGAACAGTTTGAAGTGTTCAGGAAACAAAATCCTAAGTCATTTAAATTTGAGCTTTAGATGCCTTTCATAGAGAAGTAGTTACCCTTTGAACAAATATTAATTGCATTAACAAACTTTGAATGCTTACATTGTAAGTATATATTTGTAACTAGTTAAATAAGTTTTGTAAAATATTTCCTTTTAAAGTTATTTTAGAAATACCAAGACTGTAGAATGAATTTGTGACAATTTTGACAAAGGCTACGCTGAAGTTTATATTTGTATTACTTTGCCATATTATTAAAAATAAGTGCTTGTATAAGTTTAAACCTCATGAAGAAACTAATAATTCTTAGTCACCTTAATTGCCTAGATCAGCATATAGAAGAGTGACTGTAAATAATTACAGAATTTCCAGACATTTATTATACTTTCTTCTATGTTAGTGCATCTTGATAACTATATAGAAGAATCTATTATTTAAAAATAAAATTAAAAATTAAATTCAAATATTTTATTAATTCACAGATATCATTTCCTTAAATTCTAATTAAATAAGACAAAATTTCACTATAGTAGATTAATTTGACAAGTTTCTTATTTTAGATGAATAATTATGATAAAGATGCAATTTTGTGCCTCTAGAGTGAATAGTCCTATTCTTCATTAAAGGAGAAATTAACCTTTTTCTACACTAAAAGGGCTATAAGAATTTTAATAACTTACTTTTGATGTTTTAAAAAGTAATATTTTCTCTTTTGCTCGCATTTAAAATGTCTGATATTAGCCTATGTATAAATAAAGGCTTATTATTTGCAGCCAAAATTTAAATTTTTATTTTATAGTTTTAGATAAAACACTAGGTGGCACTGTTGTCACAATGAAAAACTGCATTCATCTACTTCATACTCGAAATAACCTTCTTTTAAAGCTCTTAAGACTTCACAATTGCTTTCACTTTTCCAGTTTGATTAAAATATATATGTAATAAACATAAAATAGAGAAATTAAAATTCATTGTCAACATCTGCTATTCATTAAGAGGTGTGAAACATGATAACTTTTTCAGAAAGTGTTCTCTAAATTCTACAGTTTAAAAAATTTTTTGCATAAAGAGGTAGCTATTATAAACAAATATTCTATTTTCTTTGTTCAAAATCTTTTTCTTTATTTAATGTAGCAATATTATATTAAAATAGTTTTAAAAATTCTTTCTGAAAAAGACTTCCTGAAGTTTAATGGGATGCTTAACAATCAAAGATAAAATATTTTTTAATAATTAAATGAATAATTCTAGAAAATATTCTTATTCTTCAGTCAAAGTAAAGAGATAAAATGAGTAGATCTCAAAAATATCAGTTCATATGTTTGTGTGTTTGTGTGGAAGCAGGAAAATACTGATACAAGAAAAAGGAGAAAAAGTATCAGTGAAAGGAAAAGTAGTTAATCTTAAAAAGAGTTTGGAAAGTGTCAGGTAAAAGTTTGAGAAAGAGAAGTGGAGATAGAATGCGATTCTTACAGAACCAATAGGCTACTTTCCATGAGGTCTACCAAATATCAAAGTGGAGATATGCTTCTCTCTGCTTAATCTGAGTTTAGGTTATGTATGCGGGGAGGTGAAGAGGAAGGTTTGCTAAATGCTCCCAACACTCATAACACCTGCTGATAGGAGTCAATATATTTCAGCCTTTTGCCCAAAGCTGCAGTTTAGTTTGGTGGGAATCA
This sequence comes from Homo sapiens, assembly GCF_000001405.40. Lineage (NCBI taxonomy): Eukaryota > Metazoa > Chordata > Mammalia > Primates > Hominidae > Homo > Homo sapiens. Next base: position 50,129,482 of record NC_000006.12, read on the forward strand.
ATACAGATCCTGAGCTGATGTGCCTGTATTTGAATTCCAGCACACTGGGCAATTTATGAAATTTCTACATCTTGATTTTCTTATCTAGCAATTAGGGTAATGATATTCTTTTGAGTTGATTTGGGAACAATGTTAGAAAATTCATATAATGCACAAAGCCTGATACATTGATAGGCTTTAATTGGAGTGGTGGTGGTGGTTGTACAGGTTGTGAGTATTAACACAGTTCTGGAAATGTAGAGGTGGTGACATTTCCCAGCTGACATGCTGCCTGCAGACATCAGCAGTTTGATCCAAAAGGCTGTATATTTTGTAGGGATTGGGCCTGGGGTTCAGGGGCATTAAGAACTTTGGTTCTCTTGTTCACCTTTGCTTCTATAGAGCATATCCACTAACTGTAGAACCTTCAGAAAATTACATAATCTCTTTGATTCTCAATGTTCTCACCTGTAAAATAGAAATTAAAATAGTGAACCTTCCATCAAAGAAGGTTTTATGAGAACAACTATATATACTTATTACTGTAATAAATGTGCAAGAAGAGCTGAATTTATATTAGTTATTGTGGTTACTGCTACAACATCTACTACTACTGCCATAGATGATCCCCTTGTGACTGCTCAGTCTGTGAGAGTTTTTCTACCTTTTAATTCTTTTTAACTTGGAAAAGCATTTAAAGACTTCAATAATATGCTTCTATGCTGACCTCTCCACTAATTCTGAAAGAAAAAGAATTACCAATAGCAAATGCATTTAGAAAAATTAACAAAAATCCCAGACAAAAGAATCATAAGAGAGCACAGATTTAAAATGTAGGAATATTGTGATTTGCAAATCAGAATATAACACTAATTTGCTGACCCCACTATGCGAACAGCAAATGCTATATTTTGACCAAGTTAAAAAACTCTTTTTTCTAAATCACTTGTTTTGAAAATAATTGAAAAATAATCTAAATTGTATTTTATAACTTATAGGCCTATGTTATTTTATTAAATATGCCTAACTCTAAATCCTTTTCTTCATTATATTAAAAATTGCATGATGATAAAGACTGGTTTCACAATCTCAGCATTGATCTCAACACCTGAACATAGTAGGCACTGAATAGCCTTTCTTAAGAAAGAACAAATGAATGAATAAAAAAGAATATATTAGAATATTCTGTCAATTAAATCATAATGTAACAGCTTTTTAAAAGCTCTTTCTGGCATTTGAGATCAAAATTACTCCTTACATCTTATCTGGCAGCACTATAACCTGTGGACCTTCAAATGTTGACATTCTGAGAGTGTGTAAAATGGATTACGGAAAAGCCAGCCAGATTCATACTTATTTGTGCTACTCCACCATTCCCCAATAGACCCCAGATGGTCTTACTCTTTCGACCTTCAGGACTAGCTAAATAATACCAAATAGTCCCAAATGAATTAGAAGCATCGGGGCAATTTAATACATGAGGTCATGTATTTTATCACTTACTATTAACATCTGCTGTTCTAATTTGCATATTTAAATTAAACGTTTCATCCTATTCTAGCCGGGATTTATTTTCATACATTTTGAATTTAAATAAATAATAGTTATTATAAAAGTTTTAATACTTTCCCTTAGATGAGCAGGTTTGGAGTGCTATGCGTGATGTGAAATTTAAGAACACTAGTAAGTGTCTTTGCCCGAGCTCTCCTGTGCTGCAGGCACTGTGCTGACCTCCTGATATTCTTGCAATGCTTAAGATACCCCAAAAGCCAGATGTTACAGATGTTACTACAAATGAGAAAACTGAGTATCAGGGAGGTTAAGTAATTTCTTCATGGTCACATGGCTAATAATCTGGGAGCTGGAATTTAAATCTGAATACCTGTAACTTCAAAACCTATACTTTTCTCACAATTTCATCATCACTAGAGGTGTTTGCTGAAAGTAACAGTTTCTCTACAGAAGGACAATTAAAGTAACTAAGATTATATGTATTTGATATGCCAGCTTTGGATGGTACACCTGATTTAGTAAGCAAAAAGCAATTTCTGGAAGGATATACGTGACTTATGTAACCTACCTAAGGAAAGCAGTAACTCATCTATACAAAAGTCATAAGGGAGGATTAACACTAATGAGCAGTGCCAGTTCATTTAATACATATTCATTAAACATCTACTATATGTCAGGCACTGTGTGAGAGATCTGCAGAAATGAAGGCAAACACATGTGAAACAGGTTTCAGTGAGTGAGAGCTTACAAGTGAATGAGAATCCATGGACCTGTAAACTTGTGAAAACGAGGCTTGCAGGTGCCTTTTTCACTGCAAGAATGAACATGTGGGTCTTGGTACCTCACATGAACAAGAATGGGAAATAACTAAACCTATTGAAATAAAGGCTTGAACAATCAGATGAGAATGAAATAATTCCACCAGAGGAAAAAATTAATCAAAGTGAATGAGGTAGGTTAGATTATTTTTTGACTCTGGCTCCCACAGCATGTGTCTAAGCAGCCTGAATGTTTTCCTCCATATATTCTCTATTCTACTCCATCTTTTATCAGCTTCATTGGTCAGGAAAGTAAGTGGTTGTTGTATCAATATATTTCTTATATTAAGACCATCTGCCAGCTCAATTACTCGAATCCATTCTCACAGTATGGAATTTCTCGGAGGAGTAATTCTATTGTAACACTGCAGAAATTATATAAATGTCCTATGAGACCAAGAGCTTAGAAATATTCAGAATGACAATCGCTTATATCGTAAAGAGATCCGAAATGTACTGTTGGTTTTTTTTTGTTCTGTTTTTTTCCCTAGACTTCAGAATCTTGTTTTGATTTTGACATCTTAAAACTACATTTTGTGCTTTTGTTTATTCAATTTAATTTTGATGACATAATAAATTCACATTGTCAAAATTATAAAGGCACAACAATGTATAGAACATTTAAAGGCAGTATTATTTAACGAGAAAAGTAGTGGTAGAAGCCAAGAAAAAATCTATTTCTGTCTCCTTTAACTCTGTGAGCATTACCTCTATAAACCTAAGTTTCCTCATCCCCAACAGGACAGAACTAATTGCAGGAGTTGTAGCTGGGATGTTAATGTCAGGGAAGGCTTTTTTTTCTCAATTATTGACCTACCTGATGCTTTTCCTCCATGTACAATTTTTTAATTCAAAGTAGACTGTTAAAAAATGCAAATACATTTAACACTTATTGTGTGACTTAATACCAAGATAGAAAATAAACGGTAAGAAATATAGTTTTATGCATAAAAGTGTATGCTTGGTAGAAATTCTCATTTAAAAGAATGGATAATGTAGAAAATAATCATTTTTATCCAGAAAAGAAAATACACCCAAAATACAGTGCCAGAAATTTAATTTAAAGACACCAAATTATTATTGCATATATGAAACCCTGGTAAATATACTGTTGGAAGCTATGAAATTCTTTTATCTCAAAGTCTTTACAATTGTTCTTGTTCAAATAAATATTGGATCAATTCAGACCTGTTTCAGAAAGCATATTTCTTTTGTTCTTTTTCAAGAAAATGCAATCTTCACATTTAAGTCAAGTGGTAATATCCTTTAAAAAAATTTGTGTTTCAGCAAAAAAATGAGTTTAATAACTATCTGAGTTCAGCAATTCTATACTGCATATTGCAGGTTTTGGCTAGGAAATTAGTATATGCCCAGGTTTTTAGGAGTAGGTTTCAGTGCAGTCCTGCGGGGAAATAGGGATAAAAAGCAGGTGACCTCTGGTGCTCTCTCCCATAGCTGAAAGTCTGTTAGTTTACATTCGTTAAGCTGTTGATGTCTTCAAAGCACTCTAACTGATTATACGCTTTTTTTCTCCTGGGATGGTGTTCTCTCTGGGCAAAGGTGAAAAGCAATTAAATCCAAGTCGAGACTCTGTTATTTTTCTCCTGAATTCTCTCCCTGCTCCAGTTGACACCAGGCAGCAAAGACCATCTTGGGTAAAGCCCACTGAGCAACCTCTCTTTATTCCATGGACAAGAAACTGGCTGGAGAGAGGTCACAATTCTTTTTTTTTTTTTTTTAATGTGCCTAATGTGAATGTATGTAGTTAGTATTTATTTTGTGAGGGTTAAATCTGATTGCAGAGGTTGATGGGGTCATGTTGCTTTGCCCTGGGCAAAAGTCCAAAAGCCGTTGGTAAGATCTGAGTTCAAGGCTGAGGAAAGAGCATGTTCTTCTGAGCCTTAAGAGCTGCCATTCTTCGCCGGACGCGGTGGCTCACGCCTGTAATCCCAGCACTCTGGGAGGTCGAGGCGGGCGGATCACGAGATCAGGAGATTGAGACCATCCTGGCTAACACGGTGAAACCCCATCTCCACTGAAAAAAAAAAAAAAAAAATTAGCCTGGTGCCTGTAGTCCCAGCTACTCGCGAGGCTGAGGCAGGAGAACGGCGTGAACCCGGGAGGCGGAGCTTGCAGTGAGCCGAGATCGCGCCACTGCACTCCAGAGCCTGGGCGACAGAGCGAGACTCTGTCTCAAAAAAAAAAAAAAAAGCTGCCATTCTTACCTTTGCTTTAATGGCACATCTCTGTTTTATTATAGTACATAGAGAATATAGTACATAACCAATTTTCTGAGATATCAGGAAAATCTCCCTGGAAGTGTGTAAATGAGTACATGTACATGAATTTTTTTTATAAACTGTGATAAAATTTATAAATATAAGGGATTGCTATTGTTTTAGCAATAGGTATAAATATAAAAATTATGAAAAGTCTGCCACTTGTGGATATAGCTTTAAGTGCAAGGGGCCCACTCTATTCATAATTACCTAGAAATGAAAAGAACATTTCAGACACCTAGAGTAGACTAGTTCTGTAGACAGCCAGTCTTGAATGAGTTTAAGATTCCAATATTCCCAGATTTATTTACCAAATGCTGTGCTTTTGAAACCATCATTATTATGATTTTTAATGGGTTATTTCAAGAAAACTTTCCTAAGTGATAGCACACGAAGAAAATGCTTGTGTTTATAAAGTACCACGGGCTTTACAAACAAGGCAGAACAATTGCTGCAGGAATTCTGGCCACTCCTGGCCTCTGCAACTACCCCAAAATATTTAGGTGAATATTCATCCAACTTGTAACTCACTAGGAGCACAGAGGTGTGTTAGTCAATGAAGTAAATCATTGGGAGAACATAAAAAACTGATCATTATCTTTCTTTTCATCATCAGGGATTCATTGCCATTTTAAACACTATCATTAAAGAAGAGTGAGCAGGAACAAACAAAACTTTTGATGATAGCTGAAAATTATATACAAGAGCACTGGAACAGGCAACCTTCATGTATATGATGAGTTCTAAAATGTGTGTGCTTCATTTGTATGGATGTACTTGTTAACATAGATTTCAGGGGTGTGTGTGTGTATGTGGGCATTGGAATTTCAAAATGAGGGAAAAGAATCCCAATAAATGAAACCTCTATTTTCTTTTGTTTTGGCCCAGCCCTGGTTTCTGTACCCACCTCTAACATGATCAAAGGTTCTCCAGCACCATATAAACACATCATAATCATGCCTGAAGCTGAGTCTGAGCAGAGTTTTGAAGCTGATGAGTAAAGCATAGACCATTCTAAGAAAAGTGAAATAAAATAAAAGAAGTATTATGTGGCAGAAATGGCTGGAGCTAGGACACTTATAAACAAGGGCATTGAGAATGTCAGGAGAAGGAGGACAGCAACTGAGATTAGATGGCTCCTCCCTTTGGCTCTCCTCACCATCAGCCAGAAACTTTTAAGTAGGCATGAGACTTATTCATGGCAGACCTTAGTCTCAATATTCATTGGTGATAGCACTAAGGGTTATTGAAGACACCTTCATAAACCTACATTACTTTCAAGGATCCCACAGAGGATTGCAGACATTTTAGAAAATGCTAAAATAACAATAGTATAAATGCAGAATTCTGAAGACAATATACAGCATCTTCACATTTCAAGAGGCCTTTGACAACAGAAGTTTTTAAGATCTTGGTAAAAGACAGATTTTTTCCCCCTAGGCCTGCTGTGCTGCAAATTTTTTCAGTCTATTGAAATTTACTGCTCTTTTCACCTAAAATCACTGTAAATGTTGTGACATGTCTAAAAATGTGTCTGCTTCTCTCCTGTTTCTTTTAGCCTCAAACTATTTTTTTTTTTATAATTTGACCATGCACTTACAAAGAGTGTATTACTATTTTTCTCACTAGGGTCTGTTATTTATTTTTCATATGAGAAATAGCTTTTTACTTGGCTTGAGTGAAATGCCATAGATGGAGATAATCTGATCTGTAGATGAAATGCTTTGGTACGTTACTGAGGTTTTAAAAAAATAAAAAAAACCTACCTAAATAAATAAACTTACTTGAATCAAACAAATTTGGGTAAATAAAAAAGTATGAGCCAAGTAGCCTTTTAATTATAATTGTAATGCGAAAGTAACCATATAATATTCATGAGGCTGATTCAATCTCAGTTGATCATTATTAATTCTCCATAAGTAATACTGTTTCCTTCAATATTACTCATGCAGGAATAATAAGTATAAACTGAGATTGCCCAGACAAACTGTGAGATACAGTCACCTTGTTCATAGTCTTTATCTTTCTCTGCCCTTAGCTGTGTGACCTGGTCAAGTTGCTTAACGGTGATGTGAGTTAACCAGTGATTTAGAATGTGAGCTCTGGTGCTGGACTTAAACCTTGGTTACACCATTTAATGGTGGTGTGAGCAAAGGCTTCCAGGTAGAGTTGGGTAGACAGTGAGTTTGCAAAGAATAAAGCAAAAGAAATTGATACTAATAAGAAGTGACTTATTCTGCCTGGGTTTCACCCCCATTAAACACTGCATATAATTATGGAAAATGTTCCTGGAGTTGAATTCCAGGAGACAATAGGCCACTGATTTTTCTCCTAAAAGCACTTCACCCTCAGAATTAAGAAAGGACTAAAGATGTTGATGAGGTGATAAAGTTTACATCAGTCCCCTCAACATCATACCTACTTTCCCAACCATTTTACCCCTACCTTCACTTCATCCAGGCTAAGCTCTTGGGGAAATAAAAACTATGATATACTTTTGAAACTCAAAGAAATGTCTATATAATTCCCTTTTAATATTGTAAGAATACACTATTTATTAATTTTTAAAAATTCATCATAGTGTTGAAAGCCATGCAAAGTTTCCTTCTATCATCCAGTCCTAAAAATTCTTTCATTTCTGTAGAGCAATAGTGACCATGTAAATTTGCTTTAATGGAAACACTTCATTATTTTAAATTGTGTGCAGGGAGAAAAAAAAGTTTGAAAGTTCTTCTCCTAAAAAGATGGACTTATACAACAGAGACATTAGAAAAAAGACAATATAAATCAATTTTTGTCTTCCAGTTAGGTCCAAGTTTTCCAATAAGGGGTTACATTTTCTGAGTTTTCTCTCTTTTCATTAATGTGACAAGAAGCCTTAGCCTTGCTTGTACATATCAGAAAAATAAGTTCGTGGATTACACGCGGGCCTGGCTTAAAGCAGTCATTCAATCAAAAGGAAATGTTGCCTTTAAGTTTTAGTGCTTTGTTATGTTCTGTAAGAAGCCATAACCCACTTCAATAGATAAAAAGGAAGCAAATGGAGACATTGCATGAGTGTGTGTATACGTGTGTGCGTCCATGTCTGTGTTACCCAAAGCAGCTTCCCTCTCCTACATTGTGAGAAGGGACCAAGGAGTTGATACAGGTTATTTATGCAAAAATCCCCCAGTCATACCAAACTATTGAGTTTAATGAGGCCAGTTCACAACCTAAAAAAGGGATTTAATTTTTCAAATAGCCCATGTGAGAAAGTTATATAGTAAAAGGAGGAAATAACAATCCAAAAGGTGATTAGATGAGGAAAAAAATCACTTTCAAATATTTTTCTCCCCCTAAACATCCACCTGTAGATGTAGTTTAAAAGGCTAATTGCTTGCAGACATTTAAAGTCCAGATTTCTGACACAAAACTCAGTGGCCAATGTGTGATATGTTAAACTTCAGAGGGAAATCCAAATTAGGCTTTGCAGAGGATTAAAGAAATGTCTCATGCTCCAATATGAGTGAGTTCATGCCTTGATAAATTATCTAATGAGTTTTCAACATGCAACAAAGTTAAATATAGTAATAGAAATAGTAAGCGAAAAATCTTTTTTTAATATTTGGTTATAGGACATTGAAGCAATAACTTCTTGATTAGATATACTCATAAAAGGCAATACAAAATATAAGACCAATAACTCAAAATAGTGTCTGTTAATTTAAATACATCATACATATTTATTCAAATGTTCTAGATGATCATATATTAAAATAAATAAATAGGGTACAGTACTGCTCAGCTTCTCAAGTCAGGTTCACAGAATGGGACTATCTTGTAAGATACAAGTATTCTAAGTTTTATAAGACTCTACAAAATACAGTCAATTATACTTTTATTCAAATACGAGAAGAAAAGGACAAACCTAAGTCATAAATGGGTTAAATGGGCTACCTATGTGACCAAACACTTAGTTTGAGTCCCAGTTCTGCTTTTTTCTAACTGTATAACCTTGGGAAAGTTGTCTAACTTTTTTGAACCTTAGCTTTTCCCTATGTAACTTGTCAACTTCTTATAAAATTAAATTACAATTATTAATAGAACTATTGACCTAGAAAATCATTTTTTACATCATCTAACCCAACAGTTAATTTATAGATGATAGGTCTAAGGTCCACAGATTTAACTAATTTTCCACAGGTCACACATAGCATTATCCGCAGTGCTGGTGTACAGCCTGTGTTTTCAACATCACCATACATTGTGCTTTCTACTCCAGCATTCTGTCTTATGATACTTTAATAATTACAACTCTACGTTCAGTTTCTGAGACATACATGTTAAAACTTACCTAATATTTGGTTTTTAAAATATGTTTTCTATCAACACATTTCCACAATTTGAGCTGCTAACCACACTAAACGGAAGATCCCAAATGTAACTAAAACTGTAGCTAACTTTAGTTGTATTCCTTAGTTATTGCAATCTGATAATGTATCACAGAAATAATATCAGTGGTTTCCATTTTGTCTAAACTAATGAGTAATTTTCTGAACTATAGAATTTAGTAAGCATAATTACATACTGTCTTCTCATAAACTTTAATATAAAAATGTCAATTTATTATATGATAAAATTCCATAAGTTGTATTTCTTTTTATTAAGATATTAGGCTTAGAAAGTCAATGATATAACAGATTCCATTGAAATAAAAGATGTTCACAACAGGGGAGCAAGTTGTTCAGTTTCCATGTAGTTGAGCGGTTTTAGCATTTGGAGATATACCTAATGTTAAATGACGAGTTGCTGGGTGCAGCACACCAACATGGCACATGTATACATATGTAACTAACTTGCACGTTGTGCACATGTACCCTAAAACTTAAAGTATAATAAAAAATAAATAAATAAAAATAAAAAATAAAAAAAGATGTTCGACTGTTTTGGATTATCCATTATTTCAAATGATTTTTCTTTCTTTTTTGTTTTTAGTTTTTCAAAATAGGTGTTATTTTAAAGAGCAGTGTCAGATTCACAGCAAAATTGAGCAGAAAGTTGAGATTTCCCATGTACCATGTGTCCCTAAACATTCATAGCACAGCCTCCCTCATTATCAACATCCATCACTGGAGTGGTACGTTATTACAATTGATGAGCCTATATTGACACAATGTTATCACCCAGAGTCCTTAGTTCACATTAGGGTTAACTCTTGGTGTTGTACATTCTATGTTTGGACAAAGGTATAATGACATGTATCCACTATTATAGCAGATATGTTATTTTATGTCTTATATTACAGAGTTCAGAGCAGTTTCAATGCTCTAAAAATCCTTTCTGCTCTACCTATTCACCCCTTCCTTCCCCCAACTCCTGTAAACCATTGATCTTTTTACTGTCTCCATCAATTTGCCTTTTCTAGAATGTCACATAGTTGGAATCATACAGTTTATAGCCTTTCAGACTGACTTCTTTCACTTGGTAGTAGGCATTTACATTTCCTCCATGTCTTTTGTTTTGTTTTGTTTTGTTTTGTTTTGTTTTGTTTTTGTTTTTGAGATAGGGTCTCTCTCTGTCACCCAGGCTGGAGTGCAGTGGTGTGATCATAGTTCATTGTAGCTTCAACTTTCTGGGCTAAATCAATCCACCCACCTCAGCTTCCCAAGTTGCTGGGACTACAGGCTTGTGTCACCATGCCTGTACTGTTTTTCATTTTTTCAGACTTTTTTTGTACTGTTTATAAAATCAGAGTTTTGCCATGTTGCCCAGGCTGATCTCAAACTCCTGGGCTCAAGTGATTTGCCCCCCTTGGCCTCCCAAAGCGCTGGGATCACAGGCATGAGCCACCATGCCCGGGCCTCCTCCATGTTTTTTCATGGCTTGATAGTTCATTTCTTTGCAGTGCTAAATATATTCCATTGTCTGGAAGTACCACAATTTATGCATTAACCTACTGATGGACATCTTGATTGTTTACAAGTTTCGGCAATTATGAATAAAGCTGCTATAAATTTGTGTGCTGGTTTTTGTATGGGCACAGGTATTCCACACCTCTGAGTAAATACCAAGGAGCATGATTACTGGACCATATGGTAAGAACATGTGTAGTTTTATAGGAAAGCACCAAACTGTCTTCCAAAGTGGCTAAACCACTTTACGTTCCCACCAGCAATGAATGAGAGTTTCCGTTGCTCCACATTCTAACTAGCAGCTGGTGTTGGTGTTCTAGATTTTGGCCATTCTAATCACTATGTAGTGACAGCTCATTATTCTTTTAAATAAACAGTTTTGATAAGTAATTTAGAAATAAAGACAAGTTTGGGAGTTTAAGATATCAACATCTTGAAAAATTCTTTATAAAACATTTATATGTATTTATATAATTGGAGCTTGAACTGGTACTGGCCAAAATGCAGAACAGGTATTTTTATAGAGCTACCCATAATATTCTATATGTGAAAAACAATACTTCTTCTTTTATTTTTTTTAGAATGAACAGATGTCTTTCAACAAGGAACATTAAGAAAATGAATATTTGATGTCATGAAATTTGATTTCATGGAGCATCAGAAAAGCACAGGTAAATCCTCACAATTTATCTGTCTTTAAGATGTTATTTGATTTTGTTTAAGTAAATAACCAAAAACCAAAATTAATCTTAATTACATAAATTCATACCATCTCCATCATCCAACTTTTCATTTCTGTAAGATTTATTTTATCTGTAAAACATTATCAAATTAACTACATTTCTCATTTCACTCTCCAAATTCCTATGATGTATAAGTATACAAGACATACCACTAAAACTATGCACAAGTTTACACTTTGTCCTTGTTTGTTTTCTAATTTACTCATTAAAAAAAAAAATATATATATATATATATATATATATATATATGTTTTCCCCATAGTGAACTTTGAAATAGTTCAATGGCCAGAATTATATCTTATACTTTCTTTGTATCTTCTTTAGAAAATAGCACAGTAGGAACCTTATAAATGCTTGCTGGATTTTGGAGTTAAATGTGATCATCAAATGATTTTTCAAATTAGTCATTCTGAAACCTGTTGTGAGGAAAAAATATATAAACAAATTTACATAAAGTTACAAATTACAGTTAGTAGCTTAATATATTAGCCTTTCCAAAGTTTACTAGGCAGAAGCAAGCCTTTAGGTAAAGGAAGAGCACTATAATGATTAGGCTGTAAAGAGGAAGTTGAAGCCAGTGAACACACCCTTTGACTCATGCTACAGTGTGACTGCCTCCACAACCCATAGCCTGGACCAGTGGTTCTCTTACTTTAGTGTGTATCAGCATCCCCAGAAGGTGTGTTAAAACACAGTTCACTGGATCTCACCCTCAGAGTTTTTGATTCAGGTCTCAGGTGATGCTAAGGCTGCTGGTCAGTCAGTGGGCCAGTTTAAGAATCATTGGCATACACTGGTCACTGGGTCAAATAATAGCATGATAGTTAATGTGACATTAGCATTACAAATATCGTAGTATATTAATAACATAGTATAAGCATTATAATAGTAATGGCATTAGCATATTAGCATATATGGATCACAGATGTGATACTAGAACCTAGGATCGGTATGTGTCAGGATCAGATCTGTAAGACTGTAAGAAGCTGGCTGGTGGCCACAGAACCTATAAAGTATCCCCAGTCAAATGGAACATAGGAGCAAAACATCAAGTCAGAGAACAGCATAAGATCAGAAGTGAAGGTGTACACAACAGTGGAAAATAGAACAGTTGTACCAACACTGGGCAATGCATACAAACTGATTCAATAGAAATACCACTGGGACATGATGCTATGACCTGAGTTATTAAAGCACAGAAGGTGAGGAGGCAACATGCCCATGTGGTGGGGATATAAAAACCCACTGTACAAAAGCCACTTGTTCTAGAACCCTATATCTCCAGTTGCAATCTCTTTTCTTGCTCTCTTGATCTAATAAGCCCTCACTCACCATGGAACTACAAGTTTGCACTTCCCGTATGAATTCTATTACTCTATCTTATCACCACCTTCAGACCTCAATTATTAACCCTCCCAAACTTTAGCAAGTTAAACTCTAAATCAAGCACCCAGAGAGTATAAGGATATGTCTTCTCCTCTCTGCTTGAAAGGGAAGGCAAGCAATGATTCTCTTTAAGGTCTCTAAGGTGGCAAGCCATAAGAAATAATGAAAGGGAATATCTACCCATGACACTGAATGATCTGTAAAAACTGACCAACCCCTACACACACACACACACACACACACACACACACACACACACATAAACACAGACACACACACACACATTCTACACCCAGGGCTCCAAAAAAATGCCATTATTAACTTTATGGGGAAGTGAGAATATAATCCAGAATAAAGTGCTAATAATGGATTTGGGAGAAAAAACACTTTTCCAGAGAGACCCAAGATTAGCTACATACTTGGAGAGTATTGAGTGCTCTGAGTTTCTTGGAATATTAGATGTTTTCCATACTTTACCTTTAATTTCACAATATTCTTCAAAGATAATTTTTTACCACCACTTCACAGATGAGACTTAGAGGAGACTTGCTCTAGGTCTTTAAGTAATGACAAAGCTGGAATTAAACATATAAATCTGGTTTCCTTAAAGAATTGTCCATGATTATTTGAAAGAGAGATCAAGTATGTAATTGAAATTCATAATTACTATTATCATTCAGATTTTTCTGGAGGTAGAAGAATCGTAATGCCCCAGAAATTCTATTTTCTAAAGCAACTTTCAATAGTAAGAAATACTGCACAAACATTGCTTTAGATATTGTTACATGCTTCACAAAACTAGCAAGGGTTTTGTGTTTGTGTGTGTGTGTTTGATTTTAAGGTTATGAAAACCAACACATCAAACACTTAGAAAAGACATTCAAGTAGCAGATGAAGTATTCAAATCCAGGTCTATATGACTCTAGGGAAAAATATTTTATCCACCCTACTCTTGGACATTTTATAGGTTTATCCATAGGTATCCCTAGAGCTCAGAGTCCAGCAGAAATAATTTACTCCATGAGGACCAATGAATGTATCTTGTGCCAGAATTCCACTCTAGTGAGTCATCTTAAATTGTAACTGTGGTATCTGACATGCTAAAGGGTTTATTGTCCCCCTTCTACCAATTAATATGAAGACTTTTCATTCTCTATAAGGTCCTTTACAGTTTTTCATGTGCCTGCGAGCCCACATCCCCATCTGAAGGAAACTGCCCACTCACAGGCCCTACCCTTTGCTCAGCTGATTGAAAGGGATGTGCATCTGACTCAAGAGTCACCAATCCATAAGCTTTGCAGTGACCTCCTACATTGGATTCTGACAAGCCAGGCCAATCACATTTCTTATTTAAAAATGTACTACAGAACCAAGAAAAGATGCAAGATATCAACAAGGACAGAGAGAGAGTACCATACGAAATGCTGACATGGCATAGGCCTAAGGTTGGAGCCCTGGACTCCATTTGTAGATAGTTTGTAGAGGGACAAACTATCTAGAATGAAACTCTAACCAGGGAATTACATGATTGAACACTCTAGGTATAAAAGATTGCACATTTTATGTTCTCCATTGCATACTTTCAAAGCACTCCATGAGATTCTTACCATATTTAAAAGGAAATGAGTTTCAAAAGCCACATGGAAGCTAAGTGTGGCTTCCGCATGTTTTCTCCACTGGCATCCTTTAAGAATTTCTGTTAAATTAATACAGAAATTAATGGTAACAAGCACATAGAGTTATTAATAATGTTTACTTTTAAGTGATGAAAACTTTCTAAAAGTAGGAAAAAACACTTTATTTATGTTTCCAATGTCTTATAATTTGTGAGTAATTTTTAAGTATTACATACATTTTAAATAATATATTAATGCACTTGCTTTGCCAGTCTCTGATTCTCTGCACGAATTCAAGGTTAAAACTCACAGTGCTGATTTACTCCCAATTGTGGTATAGAGGAAAGCCATAGACTCTGGAGTCAGTCCTGGGTTCAAATCATGATGCTAATACTTATTAAATATATGATGGCTGATGAAGAACATACACTCTGGGCAATATTTCACTCCTCTATATAAGATGAGCTATGTTAATGCATACTTTGCCTATTATCGTTGTCTGGGTTAAAGGAGATAAACCAGAAAGTGCTCTACAGAGTGCCTGGTCTGCCATAGTACTATGAATAGTATAATGCTGTTTTGGTAACCTCATGTTTTATGATGAAATATTACTCCAATATATATATAAAACCTAGGGCTTAAACATCATTTTTATTATATATAGGCTCTGATTTTAGCTGTTATGAAAAAAGCAGGTCTTACATATGCTTAAGACATCAGCTGTCATACTTCTTCCTATATTCAGTGATTTATAAATCTGATATATAGAGTGAACATCAGTTAATAAACTCTTAGTATTTTCCTAGAGTGATATAGCAATGACCTTCAGAAATCAGTTTTAGAAATGTAGCATATTGTTAGAAATCTGGTCAAAAGTTAACAAATTTAAAATTTCTACTATTGATTCAGGTTTCAGTCTCATAAAACCTATTATTTTTGTCTTCTTTAAGAACTCTGATCCGACTTCCAGAACTTTACATTTTCATAACTTTCTCAAGAGTTCCCTATTCTTATGAAAAGAATGTGAGGTAAAATATATTTACACCCCACTTGGAAACTGGAAGCATGAGCGTCCAGTCTCATGTTCCCCAAACACAGCCAGGGGAAGCTGCTCTCACAACACTGTTAATGTTTCATTACCAAGACAGATGTGGGTGACAGCAGCATTCTCTTTGACAGTTCAAATGGTACATTGTTTGAGAAAGTGCTTAATGCAGAACTACAAGTGGACAGAGCTATCCAGACCTCTTCAGCACCCTTATTATGGGTTTCATATTTTTTGCTGGTATTTCCCCCTTTTTTAATAGGTGAGGCCGCTGACAACTGAATTAGTACACTCTCCTTAGTATGCCAGTGGCTCATGACAATAGCCTGAGGGGGAAGATATAGATAACTGAGAAGTTTTCTCAGTGTTGTGATATATTTTTTCATATGGTTAATAAGGCAATTGAAATGACATTCTGTCACAGTGGTATAAAGGCAGTGAGCTTGTGATGATTTCCCATATGCTACCACTAGGAGGAGATGCATTTTGTTCAGAAAAAAAAAAGAAGAAGAAGAAAAAGAAAAAGAAGAAAGGGATAAGATTAAAGATGTGGCAGTCTGCAAACTTGAATGTCTTTTAGTGTAATTAGACATCAGCAGCACCTAATACTAAACAGAGGGCAAGTCTGGGGCTGCTCTGGTGATGAAAACATTAAGTAGTATTAATAAATAAAACAAAAATTTGAAAAAAAGCAGTTTATCAAACAGCAATTAGAAGGCACAAAGCTAAAAATATGTAACATATCCTTCTTAAACAATGTTATAATTTTTTTTTCTCTCCGTAAGTGGGATTTTATAGGCAGGACTATTTTCACATCTTCCTTTGCCCTCAATCTTCTTACTTTATAAGCCCCATCAGCTATTAAAATGTATCCACATTACACATTATACAGGGGTGTGTGTGTGTGTGTGTGTGTGTGTAAAATGTTATGAGCTAAGTTGTAGTTGACTAGTTGGGGTATTACATTTTTGAGACATTTAATTTAACATACATTTATAATAATTTTGATGTTTCCATTTCCATTTTGGAGCCAACATTTTTTCTTCTTTGTCCTTCATATTCTTATTAGCCATTAAAATCTTGCAAGATTTTTATATATTGTAGATAAAACCACATCTTTGAGAAGCATACTTTTCAGTATGGGTCTGTCCAAATTCCAGAAGATAAGAATTCTGAACTGTGGTTAGAAAAATGTTTCTACTAGGTCTCATGATAACGACTCAGGATATAATGTGAAGACTATATCATCAAGTATTAGTATCAGATAAATTTTTTAGTAATATGCTACAATATACTAACATAAATTAACATAGTATCAAATTTGCTACTTTGTTTAAAAATTTCTGTTGGAAAATGGTGAGCAGAAGTGAACTATTCATAGTTACTTATGTAAGCAGCTACCTAATGGAAGGAGAGTTAGGCAGACTTTGTTACCCACACGTGTTTAACTTTAGGCTTCTTGGTCTACTCACCTTTACCAAGTATTTTGCCTGATGAGTCTCTTCCAGACTTATGAAAATAGACATTTGTCATCTGCTGCTAATATGTCACATGTGCATCACTTTTGAAGTTTAATATTCTATGAGACAGACATCATTCTTTTTCAAAAGAATAGTATTTTTCCCCATGTTGGGGAGAACCTCAAAACTCAGGAACAGAGATATAGCTCATAATGTTTACGGAACTTTTTAAACAACTTCATGATTTTCAGCTTGACTCTAAAATTTAGTTTTGTATCATCTTCACTCCAAAGAGAGAAAACTAGACACTATGAGACAGGGTGAGTTGTCTAGCATAACACTATGAGATAGGATGAGTTATCCAGCATAACAGAGATAATGGTAATAATTTACACCTAAATTACATTGACATCCCAACTCTGCTTACTTTTCATTGGCTCACCATCTGTCCCTAAGCAGTCAGAGAAAAAAGGGATGCTTCCTATGTCTAACCAATTTGTCCTCTTATTCCTACTTCCCATTTTTCAATTTTATTGGTTTGTCCCCAAGATATAACACAGCAGAGATGTCCTTGACCATTAAACTAAGCAAGTTAGGAGTCTTTCTGATTTCTGTAAGCAGTATATTAATGTGATCTAGAGAAACTTGAGCCTGGGTGAAGCCATTAGACTCACCCCAGGCACAGGAAAAGGCAGAATCATCCACAGTTCGATTTTTGGAAGCTTTGAGGGCTGTTCAAATGATGAGGTCAAAATAGTTCTTCATGAATGTCAACATTTTGTGGGGACCTCAAACAATAATCACTTGAGGAAATGAGTAAAAAAAGGATAAAATTTTAAAGTAGTGAATAGTTCACTGATTAGTGAACTCAAATATTTATTACTGCCCAGTAGAAATAATTGGCATTTGTCCTAATTCCATGGAATTCCCATGAGTGACAAATAGACTTGCTACAACAAGAGAACTAGATTACAACAAGAGAACTAGATTCTTACCTTGGCTGTAAAAAGGGTGTCTACGTAAGGCAGTAATATTTTGGAAAAGTCCTAAATATGAGATCAAGTTGCTTAGCAAGAGCAGGTGCCAAATTGAAGGTCAGCAGTTCTGTTGTCATCATGAGTTTGGGAGGAATAGCTTGAACTGATATTTTAAGTCCCCAGATTTTTTTTTGACGGCTTACTCAATAGGGAGACAGTTTCCAAGGACTTTTAGCTGCATGACCCAAGATATGCATTTGCTCCGCTACATGGTTCAGGAGAGAGGAGATGGCAGGAGGCACAGTGATAATTACTAAGGGTCCCTCCCATGCCTCTCAAATGGAGTCAATTCTGCTTGCTCATAAACCTTCTGAAAGAGGAGTTTGTAGTACAGGAAACACATGCCTCAGATGACTCAGATATCTGGTAACATAATACATATCATCATAAAAGCAGGCTGGGAAAAATAATGCCAAAGTTAATAACTTTCAAAAGATAGAGAAAAATCATGTTCTTCCAATAAAATTGAATCATATGATCCAGGCAGAATATGTTTACTCTGTCGAATTGGGCTTATATATAGGTAACTTATGAAGAAATTGCCTATAAACTTCATCTTTGGTAAACTGAACTAGAATAAATTTCAATTGTCTATCATTTTGCCACTGTTAGGACCAGAATCCCCTACTCACACTTCAGGGCCAGTGAAACATAAATTGAAAGAGAGCTACCATTAGCTCTCTTAAAAAATATTTTAGCTTCAGGGGTACATATGCAGGTTTGTTATGTAGGTAAATTCAAGCCATGGGGTTTGTTTTACAGATTATTTTGTCACCTAGATACTAGGCCTAGTACCCAATAGCTTTCTAAGGCATGGAGTTTTCTAACACTGGAGTTTTCTACAAATCAAGGGCCAGAACTGCTTTCACATTAGGGAGGCCTGGAGTTCCACAAAGGAGAGGATGGCAGGTACAAAATATTGGAAATAAGATGAGCTGACGTAGATCATAGGAACTGAACAAAAAATGGAAAAAGTGACAGTCATGTTCCATCATTTTGAAAAGAATAGCTATGACCTCTGACAGAGTCTGATACGCTTTTCTGAGAGTTTGAACAATACCTAGGTGAGTTATCACTTCCCAGTTGCCAGTCTGAGGAGGTACTGACAATACCATTGTGGTGTTCTCAGTTAAAGGAATACAAACAGGCAAACAACACTCCTAGCATGATATTCTTAAAGATAATTTGCCATAACTTTTCTCCCTCCCAGGACAGCAATGGACATTAGTTTAAGAACCGCATGTAGTATTCCTTACTACAGTCAAATGTATTTATTTATAGATTCTTCTGGGTGAGTAAAGTAGAGATTAGGGCAGTTTTCTGTCTATTTCTCTTACACAGTTTAGTTTCTGTGAAGGTCATGCAGACCTTGCTCGTGTCTAGCAATTTGGTACCTGTCTGGATGAGCATATGTGTGGGGCTTGAGAAGAAGACAGGATATTAGATTTCATAACATCTATTAACTGTGACAACCCCTTCAAAAGGGAGGAGATTCGAGTCTACATGTAAGTGTAGTCCAAGCATTTTGTGTCACTGGAAAATTGCTTCAACTCATTCCTATGACACAGTAACACCCAGCAATAGTAGCTGCCTTGGTAGTTAATGAAATAATCTCCATTTTATATAAAGTGATTGAGTTACCACAGAAACTTAGCAACATTGCACACAAAACCAAGGATAAAATAAATGTCATCTGAGGAAACTGATGTGCAGAAAATAGTTGTATATTCTGTGCATATTCAAGTACCATTAGGTATTTGATCAATTAGGACATATTTTTAATAAAATACTTAATATATATTTTTAAATACACATTAATTTGTTTAACTAACAAATAGAATCTGAACAGCAGAAGAATACTCTGGTAATTTCATAAGATGAAGTTATAAAACTACTAATGAAATTTGAATGTATATTTAACTTGTATTTAATAAATATTACTAAATTGATTAGTTTTTTCATGGCCTCTGAATGAATCAGAATATCCCATTTAGTGCTTCCTCTCTTCTTGTTATATGTTAAGTGACTATAAAGGAAGCCTTTGTGACTACTTTTTAGTACACTGATAATGCTCACCTGTTGCTCTCAAATTCCACTCCTAACCTCCATCCTCACTGATACGGTTTGGCTGTGTCTCCACCTAAATCTCATCTTGAATTGTAGCTCCCATAATTTCCACATGTTGTGGGAGGGACCCGGTGGGAGGTAATTGAATCATGGGGGTGGGTCTTTCCCCTGCTGTTCTCATGATAGTGAATAAGTCCCACAAAATCTGATGGTTTTATAAAAGTCAGTTCCCCTATACAAGCTCTCTTTGCCTGCCGCCATGTAAGACATGACTTTGCTTCTCCTTCACCCTCCATCATGACTGTGAGGCTTCCCCAGCCCTGTGGAACTGTGAGTCCATTAAACCTCTTTTTCTTTATAAATTATGTCTCAGGTATGTCTTTATTAGCAGCATGAGAACAAACTAATGCACTCATTCACCCCACCATGCCACTTAGCTGCACTGTGCTATTACTTAGTTAATTAACAGAATATCTATTTTCAACAGACGTTTTATTATGGCCACCACCACTCATTCCAAATATTCTAATGTTAATTTTTTCATCAGCTTATGAGGGTCAAAGTTTTGCTTTTAATGAATTCTATACATAAGCAGGAACCAACCTTCAATTTGAAGGTGGAAGATCTAAACCTAAAGGAATGAGATGTGGAAGGAGAAGGGGAGCTCTCAGGAGATTGAGTGCTGAGGGAAATTGCTCTGGATGGAATTACTTAGCAAGGGCTTATCTACCCTCCATTCCAGAGGACATCTGTAAAGGCAGAAGTCTCAGAGACTTGTTCATTTTCTGTTTTCTCGGGAAACTCTGAACTGAATATCACAGAAGTTTGTAATGGTCTTAAGATCCTGCAGACCTGATTTCTGAAAATTGCCAATCCATTTTCTTCTTCTAACAAGGATGCCTGAGGAAGTTATTTTCACTCTTAAGTTTTTCTTGAAAAAAGTAGAATTAGTTAGCTGTTAAAAACAAAATCATTAAGTGTTCCATTGTTGTCTATAGAGTACATAACCTAAGGATAGAACAAATTCTTGCCCTCAAGGATCTTGCAATCTCTCTCAAAACACTGGCTGTGCATTAGCATTTTTATAGTGCAATCATTCTGTGATGTTGTTGGAAATGCTTTATTTAAATGGGCACAACAGTTATATTTTATTCTAATGAAGACTCATTGGCACTATGGATTAGCATTTGCCAGTGGGAAAGTGGCTATTAACCTTGATATATGTGAATGCACCCACATATAGGAGCCATGTCTCTAAATAGAGTACATTTTCTAAGGTAAAACATGGGGCTAGGGGAGTAGTGAGTGAGGAGAGATCATATACATGCTCTATTTAATATAGTTGGTATATTTGGAACTAGAGGAGAATGGAGAGGTGGTTCCAGACTCCAAATGTAGGTGAACCTAACAACTCTTGTTAAAATTCTGCTATCAGTATCAGAAAAAACAAGGTAGTTTTTTGTTTTGTTTTAACTTTTATTTTAGGTTCAGTGGTACATATGCAGTTTGTTATATAGCTAAATTGTGTGGTGCAGGGGTTTGGTGTACAAATTATTTTGTCAACCAGGTAATAAAACAGGGTATCCAATAGGTAACCTACAAACACCTAGTCTTGTTTTTTAATTTTCAACTTATTATTAAATCCCAGATAAGAAAATACTGAGAGTCAATTGAGGTTAAGTAAATCTTACCTTGAAACATCCAGTTGTAAGTCATAAAGGTACTAACTCCTATGATGGTTTTTGATACTACTATTACTAGGTACAAGTTATAGGATTATTAAAATGCATTAGGCATTTCTATGAGAGAGCCCATCTAATTCTCACAACTCTATAATAAGTATTAATATTCCCTAAGATTCCAAAACTTACACCTGTGGGTCCAGGATTCTTTGTTAGTTTTGTCAAACTCAATATTTCTACTCTTTTTACTTTGTTATAAGGTTAATATCAGTCTTAATATCACTAGACTATACCAACTCTCATACATACAAACAAAGTCACATATATGTGTACATATTAAAACCTCACAAATGTCAATGATACATATGCTACAGCCTCCACAAAAACATTTATTACCTACACACATTTGAAAATCAAGATTATGTATACTGTACAGAAATATCAAATCAGAAAGTAATAGAAGATTCCTTTCTCAAATATGCCGACTCTAAGACTTCATGTCTCCACAATTTATCCCAGATTTAGAAACAACAACAGCACTAGCACAAATCCACTTTGGAATACTATATTTCTATGCAAACCCTCCAATTCCCTTGGCACTACCTTCGGTTTCAGTGATGGAGTTCTTTTTGTTTGTTGTTTCTCTGCTTGTCTTTCTTATTTTTACTTGCTTTGATGTCTCTAATCCCACTGATCCACGCAGGTGACCAAACTTTCATCCGTAATCTGTAGCATTCAAATTAAAGGAACAGTTTATAGATTCTAGGATTTTCTGAGCACCTCAAGTAAATCCTTCCTAGGCCCCTCATGAATGGATAAAACCATGAGCAGAGGATGAAGCTAAATTGATCCCAATCAATGTACCACAAAGCATCAAATTGTATTCACTGCCAACCAACAAACAAATATAAATCTATTTCCCCCATTTTTAAAATAAATATATTTATTATGTTTTACTTTTATCCCAGTGCCACTTCATCAAAACTTAGATTTTCCTAGCAGATATAAGATTAATAGAAGTAATGTGTCTTTCATTAGGTAATAAACAGCATTTACAATTGGACACACTTCAGCTTTTTGTTGCTCTCTTCAACTGCAGACTTCTGAAATGCTACGCTGGTCTGTGTTACATTAAGACCAAATATACCTTTTTCATAGAAAAATTCTATACCTCTTTAAAGAAAACATATAGAATGGAGATAACTGAATTTATTTCCTAGTCACATTAAACAGAAAAGGTTAAGCTCCTACTGACAGGAAAGATGTATTTGCAAGTGATTAGTTATATTTCTATAATAGTACTTGTCTGTGTTCTTCCTTTGATGTTTAAGCAAAGCTCTTGAACACGCTGGGTTGTATGCTCTGATGTTGATTTATAGGTAGAACTGAATTCCAAACACTAAGCCAGTAGGTAGGCTTTAATAAAAGGCACAGACTTTCTCCCTGCTGGTTAGTGTGTGACTAAGCTATGTTGTTCTAGGGCCTCAATCTGTCAAGACAGGTGTGCAATGAGGGAGTCCTTTGGCCTCAAAGACCTGAGCTATTCGCAGGGGCCACATTCTGCTGTATAGGATTGGAGGTTTTAAACCCTTAGAAAAAAAAAATAAGCTATGTTAAAAACAAACAAACAAAACAAAACTGTTTTCTGTTCAACAATGATATTGAAACCCTTTTTGTTAGAAGTTAAGGTATACCTACGAGGGAGAAGATAAAGGTAATCAGGCAGTCAGTCATATGGCACATCAAATTCAGGCCAAGCAGTGTCAGTCCTAAAGCAAGAACATCAGAAGGAATGGTAGACCATCTTCCACAGGCTGTTTTATGCCTTGTCGACTGACAACTCTCAGTGAGTTGGAGGGTGGGGATCCAGGAATCATCGTGAGCAGCTCAATAAAGCTATCTGGTTGGGCTACAAAAGGAGAAAAAATTAATGCAATAGAGATATTAGATTAAACAAAGAGAGGCATCCCCATCTGGCCAACCCCAGGGATGTGTGAATTACTGAAGTCATAAAACGAGGGCATGTTTAACTCCTCAGTCTGCTGGTTTCGTGGTCTCAACACATGAAAGGTACAGAATCAAACAACCACACTATCACCTGAAGAGAGAAATGCAATTCACTATTCATTTTTGCCAGAAATGCTTTATTTCCACCCAGATATTTTGCAAATTGAAATTTCTACTTTACATTCAGTTTATTTGGGGATTCTCTATCGGCAAACCCGGAAATACAAGAATGTAAGCTTTTCAAAGCCAGGGAATAGATTTTAAAAGCAAACAACAAACAATCTAGTAACACTAGCATGCATTTCTTTTGAAAAAGACATAAGATCTATGTTGTATAAAATATCTTAAAAATAGAAAATCTACAAAAAGCAATACCACTGGCCAAAGTTAACTACTTTTACATTTCTTTCCAAATTTGTTTCTATCATTTTCAAAGAAATATATCAACATGTACATGTGTAGATATTTGTGCATATGTGTATAAACTTGTGTTCACAAACACAGTATGTGTTCTGTTTTGTAATTTCATTTTTTCTACTTATATTTTAATTGTGAGTAATTAAAAATGCTTTTTAATTTTTTATTTCATAAAAAAGCATGTATAATTTCATTGTAGCAATGAAAGATGATCAACACCTGAAAGTTTATATTTTCTCCAAATATTTGTTATTGTAAACACGATATCTTGAATATAGTAGATTTAAATAAACATTTGCTTTCTCAATTAGTGAATACATGAAAATAGGCATTCTTAGTACATACTTTTCTCATTGCCCAATATATTTATATATATTTAATATTATATATATTTATTAATATTATTTAATATTATACATTAAATATATATTTAATCTTTCTCTTCAGGTGATGTAACACTAACAATAGAGAATTATGAATCTAGACCCAAAATTCAAATTTTTCTTTGTTCTTAATTAGCTCTAAGCAGTTTATTCCAACTTGCATACTAACTCATAATTTTCTTATAGGTGAATCTTAAGAGCAAGAAGAACTTGTATATAACCTTATCTTCACTCAAATAGGTTCAGAAATACTGTAAAAATCTAATGACCACCGAGTGCTCTAATAAAGACTTCGTAAAATTGATATTTGATACTTATCCATCTTGAATCAACACATCTTTGTATAATTTATTTTTAATTTTTTTAACTTTTATTTTAGGTCTGGGGGTACATGTGTGGATTTGTTATATAGATAACTTGCATGTCACAGGTGTTGGGAACACAGATCATCACCCAGATGGTAAGCATAGTAACAAATAGGCAGTTTTTAGGTCTTCACCCTCCTCCCTCCATCCACCCTCCAATAGGCTCTGGTGCCTGTTGTTCTCTTCTGTATGTCCCTATGTAGTCAAGGTTTAGCTTCCACTTACAAGTGAGAACATGTGGTGTTTGGTTTTCTGTTCACTTAGGACAATGGCCTCAAGCTCCATCCATGTCCCTGCCAATAACATGATCTCATTCTTTTTTATGGCTGCATAGTATTCCAGGGTGTATACATACCACATTTTCTTTACCCAGTCTACTTTTAATGGGAATTTAGATTGATTCCATGTCTTTTTCTTTTTACTTTTTTTTTTAAAGATGGAGTCTTGCTCTGTCACCCAGGCTGGAGTGCAATGGCACAGTCTTGGCTCACTGCAACCTCTGCCTCCTGGGTTCAAGCAATTTACTGGCCTCAGCCTCCTGAGTAGCTGGGACTACAGGTGCCCACCACCACACTCAGCTAATTTTTATATTTTTTTTTATTAGAGACAGGGTTTCACTCTGTTGGCCAGGCTGGTCTCAAACTCCTGACCTCATGATCCACCCACCTTGGCCTCCCAAAATGCTGGGATTATAGGCATGAGCCACCACGCCTGTCCTCTATGTCTTTGCTATTGTGAATAGTGCTGCAATGAACATACACATGCCTGTGGCTTTATGGTAGAACAATTTATATTCTTATGAGTATGTACCCAACAGTGGGATTGCTGGGTCAAATAGTGATTCTGCCTTGAGAAATCACCAAACTGTTCTCCACAGTGGCTGAACTAATTTACCTTCCCACAAGTAGTGTAGAAGTGTTCGCTTTTCTCCACAATCTCACCAGCATCTGTTGTTTTTGACTTTTTAATATAGCACTTTTGACTAGTGTGAGATGGAATCTTACTGTGGTTTTGATTTGCATTTCTCTAATGATTAGTAATGTTTAAGCATTTTTTTCTTATGCTTATTGACCACATATATGTCTTCTTTTGAGAAATGTCTGTTCATGTCCTTTGCCCAGTTTTTTTATGGGATTGTGTTTTGCTTGCTGACTTAAGCTCCTTGTAGATTCTGGATATTAGGTCTTTGTTAGATACATAGTTTTCAAATATTTGTCCCCATCCTGTGCATTGTCTGTTTACTCAGTTGATAGTTTTTTTTGCTGTGTAGATGCTCTTTAGTTTAATTAGGTCCCATTTATCAATTTTTGTTTTTGTTACAATTGCTTTTGGTGTCTTCTTCATGAAATCTTTGCCAGAACCTGTGTCCGGAATGGTATTACCTAGGTTATCATCAAGGATTTCTATAGTTTTAGGTTTCACATTTAATTCTTTAATCCATCTTGAGTTGATTTTTGTTCATGGTATAAGGATTTCTAGTGAAATGCATATCTAAATCTATTTTCTAATTGCATAATTATGAAATAAAAGCATTTATTGTTTATTCCTACTGTTTTATATATCAACATTTATGACCATTTAGCCAAAATTCCACTTGGTTATCTACACATGTGTTTTATTCTTTATTAATTGATAATTTTTTTCTCTTCTTAGTCATTATTTTTTATTTGTATCCTCTAATCCAGGGGTCAATAAATTATGGCTCACAGGCCAAATAAGACCTGTATCCTACTGACTGTCAAGCAAAAAACGTTTTCTACATTTTTGAAGTGTTGTAACTTTAAAAGGGAATATGAAACACGTACCATATGTGGCCTATAGATTATAAAATCTTCACTATTTGGCCCTTTATGGAAAAATAGTATTGACTCTTCCTCTAATTCCACCAACAATCTAGGCTAACACTAGAATTTCCAAAGTGATTTGTGGAAACATCAGTTGACTGATATTAATGGTGTTGGCAGGAGAGGTACAGGTGTGGCATTCTGTAGTCAAATAAGTGTGGGAAACTCTATGTTAAACAAAGTTAACCAATTTTGTTATTGTAGTATGTTTTAATATTTTAGTATGATAACATGCATACTTACTTCTAAAAGTAAGAAGAATATACACCAAAATGCTTTGTTTTTCAAGCTTACTTATATGAAAGCTTTGTTTAATATGACTAGTGTTCTATGAAAATTTGCTTACATACATTCCTTGACAATAAGGAGGAAATGATATTAAAGGTGAAAGCATGGTGTCATAAGTTTCATTTTAGTACGATGACAAATTCTCATTATATTCATCCTATTTTTTGGGATTCGTTAGGTTAACATATTTTCATGGTAATAGTTATATCTACACATGAAAATAAAACATATAATTCAGAATTTATTCATGTTTTCTAGGGTTTCTTTTTAACTTAAATTTTCTAATATTCATGCTCAAAATTTGAGATGAGGGTGGAATGAGAGAAGAGAAATATGTTGACTAATGAAAATAATTGCTTATTTTTAAATTATAAGTCAACTTTTACACACTGTTAGAGGTAATATTTTAATCTTTCTAGTTCCAGCCTCTATTGGTACCTCTGTGAGAGGGAAGGACTACATTACGCAGCATAGAAAATTATACTGTGACTAAAAGAAGGTAGCTGTTGAAGTGTTAGCTTTTTCAGTTCTCAGCTGTCCGCTGTGTCTTGAATGAATGTGTTCTATTTATCAGCTTCATTTATAAATTATTGACTTTCAAACCCTGCCTACTACTGAACTCTATAAGTAGGGATCTGTTCCATTTACAACATATTACATTTATCTATCTATATATACATATTAGTGTGTGCAAATTCATATTTTATTCCATTCTTGATATAAATATCAGAACGCTTTAGGTAAACTATAAAAACTTATAGCTAAAATGCATACAAAACCAACGTGAAAAAGTTCTTTAATAATTTCTCCTACATATTTTTAAAAGTAGACTTTGTGATCATTAACTCCTGAATTGTTAGTATTTAACATTGCTTACCTCAAGGGAGTGGACTAGGAGATGTCTAGAATCTGTGCTAGAACTATGATTCCAGAATGTTCTTGACACCTGTGATATATAATCAAATACTGTACATGTAACCTAGCCTTCCATATATCTTTCTACTTTCATCAAACTTAGCACAGATTTTTTAAGTTCTCCAAATTTCAGTCTTCAAAAAAAAAAATCCTACTTTTAGGGTAAGAAGATGGTATTTAACATCTTTTTTATTACCCAACTATTTTAACTAGCATTTTCAACCTCCTGTTTTTATGTGACCTCAGAAATCTTTAATCATAGGGCCCAAAAAATACTTTGTACAATGTCCAAATGCAGCTTGAAAGAGAAAAATAAAAGGTGGAAAGGAAAATTAGATAATCAAAAATATCTTTGATTTGACAATTGTATCACTGAAAAAGAAAACCTACTTGTTTTAACATCCTCATGAACATCCCACTCAGTGCTACAAAAGACCACCTAGTCAAGGCCCTCTAAAATATTAATATAAGAAATTATATAAAATTGATTTAATATTCTACTTGATTGAATAACTGAATACTTTAGTCAGATTCACACATAAAACTGATGGTCACAATAGGAAGGAAATTTGTTTTTCAGAACTACACAAGCCAGAATTTCATTCCAAGACTTTTTAACGAAAAGAAAAATGTAAGTCTAATAACTCATGAAACATCACTAATGCTTATACTTTAAATTCATATCGTAACCCTATTCATTTATGTCCACTTGATAATTCCAGAGTTAACTGAATTTGTATTTTTATCAGATGCTCTGTGTAAGTTAGTGCACGAGTTCCTTCCTCTTCTGGCTTAATGTGGTGTGAAGCAAGCTTCTTTCATCATTCACACCATAAAAGTAATAACATTCATAGAGAGGAAGAATAATGATAAGCAGCAAATTTTGAATTTCTTAATTAAGTACACTCTCTGATTAAATGGTGACTGCTTGTATGTTCTCCTAAAAATTAGAACAATACATACATATATGGAATGAGAAAAAGGCTGCCTGACCAAAACCATAAAATATATTTGAAGAAAAAGAAGATGCCACTTTTTCCTTCTGTTGGTTTTTAGATTCAATCCTTATTTTTACACCAAATATTCATTCTAATACTATTAACACATGTGCCACAAATATTTTTTAATATAGAGAAAAAATTTCTTTAGGAGACTATGATAATCTAGTTTATGTTTCTGCTTTTCATAAGCATGGCCAAGGAGATGACTACCGAAAATTCTTTAGCTGATGGAAATGACATTGACTTTTTTTTTTTTTTTAGAGCTGGGGTCTCATTCTGTCACCCAGGCAAGTGTGCAGTGGCACCTTCTTAGCTCACTGCAGCATCAAACTCCTGGGTTCAAGCAATACTCTCACTTACACCTCCTGAGTAGCCTTCAGGCACATGCTACCTATTCCAGATAGTATTTGTAGAGATGGGGTTCTCACTGTGTTGCCCAGGCTGGTCTCAAACTCCCAGCCTCAAGCAACACTCTTGGCTCAGTTTACCAAAGTGTGGGGATTACAAGCGTGAACCACTGCACCCAGCCTTTTTAATTTTTATAAATTAATTGTGCTATTTTCACAAACTTAAATTTCTAAAAAGAACACATACCAGCCAGTCTTGTTATTATATCAAAACTTCCCATTTTTTGATAAATCCAAAAATCAATCCTATTTCAAAGTTAATTTTAAAATCATAAATTCGGGACTAGTATTTTCTCACTTCACTCTGACTTTACCAGGGCATTATTATCCTCTGTCGATTGTGAAATATGAAATGAGAAATCTGCTTTTATTAATCTAGTTAGAGGAATGAACTTCAGACTTCTAAAATGCAGCAAAGAAATTGAGTCAGGCAGGAAAAATATAATGAGAAAGTTAGGATGCCTTAGTGAGCAGGCAGAGTCATTTTATGTAGAGGTTTCCCTCAAGCAACTAAATCGAGCCCAAACAAGCCTATTTCTCTGAAACTTGCTTTACCCGCCATTCCGTCGCAAAATACATTGTAATAATATCATAAAACAGCTTGAGACGAAGAAAGATTCTGATTGACTGTTCAACATTCCAAAAGGGTAAATTAATATCTGTGAATCTCACAGCTGAAGCATTTTAATGCAAACTTGCACTTTGTGGGAATTGAATCTGTCCGCCAAAATCATTTATTTATATATAGAAAATGGGGGGAAATAGACATTTCATAATAGCAATGAGTCCAGGGGATGCTGTTATCATGAGCTAATCACATCCCATGGGCATGATCGCACTCAGCTGTGTCCCCTGTCTCGTATTGCTCCAGAGGAATGATTATCTCATGATAATAACCCTTATCGTGGCTTAGTGGGTAATAAAAAATATATACTTCTTTCCCAAGTTCTTGGACATTTATTCATCAGCTAACTTTTTCCCTCTTGAGTTCTGGTCATATGTTACTTTCTGCTTAGAAAACAAAAAGAAATCTTGTATTCAGATAACATTTTCTGTTAGCAAAGTGGAAAGAAAAACAATAATAATGTGACTGTATTGATTTGACTGTTTAAGAGTGGCATTGCAGACAAGCCCTGATCACTTGAGACCTGTGCACAGAAGATCCATGCTTGCATTGACATTTGGTAGGATGTCTAGACTGGCTAATCCACTTGGAACAACACATGCATTTGGTAGCATAGAAACAATGAAGGGAAACAGATGCTTATACAATACCATACATATCTTTGTACTATGATGCACAACTATCCAACATGTACATTTTACTGGAGATTATAGACTATGCAGCTTAAAATGTGGTTGTCCCATTTAGACAAAACAGCCTATCAATGACTCTCACACTGTCAAACTGCCAGGCACAGGTATGCCAACAGAAATTCAAGGTAATGCCAGTCACAACAGCAGGAATCCGAGTCCTTTCAGTGAGTATTTGCAGCTTAAGATGCAAAAGCAACAGGAATTCTGAGGCAAAGTCATGAAGAAACAGAAAATCAAAAAGGAATTAGAGCAAAAGACAATTGAGAAGAAGGGAAGTGGAACACAATTCTCCTTGTTTATTTGTTGCCTGTATCATAACTCCAAGATTCTCTAATATGCTCTGTTTATTAATAAGTATTTACCTATGCTTTTTTAAATTTCAAGAAATGTTATGCTTTCTATAAAAAGCATACTATTATAAGGTATACCTCTTTTTATACACTAAGGCCAATGTTTAGCAATATGCAATATTTAATGTTTAAAAAATTAAGGGCAGATCCAATGAAACAGTAAGTGCTCTGTTAAACACAGCATAAGCAATCCAAATGATTCAACTCAAAAAGTAATTGTAGTATATATATTTAGTTACATAACATTGAGTATATGGGAACAGCATTAATAAATCTTGATGCACAGAACTGTCATTCTGCAGAAGGTATAAAACTTTACAGACCATATTACACACATTCACATAGCTCCTTTCTAAGGTATATCAAAATAATATTTTAGGAAAGTTTGGAAGTGGATGTGGGATAGCACAAAAAGGAATAGAATTTATTTAAACTAAAAAATAAAGGGATCCTGGAGAGATGGTAGTGTGACAGCATAAACTTTCTTTTTTTCTTTTTTTTTATTTTTTTGAGACAGAGTTTCATTCTGTCGCCCTGGCTAGAGTGCAGTGGCAGGATCTTGGTTCACTGCAACCTCCGCCTCCCTGGTTCAAGCAATTCTCTGCCTCAGCCTCCTGAGTAGCTGGGATTACAGGCATGCACCCCCATGCCTGGCTAATTTTTATATTTTTAGTAGAGATGAAGTTTCACTATCTTGGCCAGGCAAATCTTGAACTCCTGACCTCACGATTCACCCACCTGGGCCTCCCAAAATGTTGGGATTACAGACGTGAGCCACTGCTCCTGGCCAGCATAGCCTTTCAATCTCTTCAAATCTTCACGTAAAACTGACAAAGCAAGTAGATAGCAAAAGCTAAAACACAAGACAATATTTAAAACAAAATTAGAAAGGAGGGTGAGGAAAAAAAAAAAAACCTCAGTCATACAGTATGGTATTTCTTCTTTAAAAAATATTTTTTATTATACTTTACTCTCTGGGATGCATGTGCTGAACATGCAGGTTTGTTACATAGGTATACACGTGCCATGGTGGTTTGCCACACCCATCAACCCGTCATCTACATTAGGTATTTCTCCTAATGCTATCCCTCCCCTAGGCCCCCATCCCCCAACAGGCCCTGGTGTGTGATGTTCCCCTCCCTGTGTTCATGTATTCTCATTGTTCAACTCCCACTTATGAGTGAGAACATGTGGTGTCTGGTTTTCTGTTCTTGTGTTAGTGTGCTGAGAATGGTGGTTTCCAGCTTCATCCATGTCCCTGCAAAGGACATGAACTCATCCTTTTTATGGTTGCATAGTATTCCATGGTGTATATGTGTCATATTTTCTTTATCCATCTATCATTGATGGGCATTTGGGTTGGTTCCAAGGCCTTGCTATTGTAAAGAGTGCTGCAATAAACATATGTGTGCATTTGTCTTTATAGTAGAATGATTTATAATCCTTTGGGTATATACCCAGTAATGGAATTGCTGGGTCAAATGGTATTTCTGGTTCCAGATCCTTGAGGAATTGCCACACTATTTTCCACAATGGTTGAACTAATTTACACTCCAAGCAACAGTGTAAAAGTGTTCCTATTTGTCTACATCCTCTTCAGCATCCGTTGTTTCCTGACTTTTTTTTTTTTTTTTTTTTTTTTTTTTTGAGACAGAGTCTCTCTCTGTCACCCAGGCTGGAGTGCTGTGGTGCAATCTCGGCTCACTGCAAGCTCTGCCTCCCAGGTTCACACCATTCTCCTGGCTCAGCCTTCCGAGTAGCTAGGACTACAGGTGCCTGCCACCACACTGGGCTAATTTTTTTGTATTTTTAGTAGAGACGGGGTTTCACCATGTTAGCCAGGATGGTCTTGATCTCCTGACCTCGTGATCTGCCTGTCTCGGCCTCCCAAAGTGCTGGGATTACAGGCGTGAGTCACTGCACCCAGCCTGTTTCCTGACTTTTTAATGATCACTATTCTAACTGGCGTGAGATGGTATCTTATTGTGGTTTTTATTTGCATTTCTCTAATGACCAGTGATGATGACATTTTTTTCATGTTTGTTGCCTGCATAAATGTCTTCTGTTGAGAAGTGTCTGCTCAGATCCTTCGCCCACTTTAATGAAGTTGTTTGTTTTTTTCTTCTAAATTTATGTTCTTTGTAGATTCTAGATATTACCCCTTTATCAGATGGATAGATTGCAAAAATTTTCTCCCATTCTGTAGGCTGCCTGTTCACTCTGATGTTAGTTTCTTTTGCTGTGCATTAGCTCTTTAGTTTATTATATCCCATTTGTCAATTTTGGCTTTTGTTGCCATTGCTTTTGGTGTTTTAGTCATGAAGGCTTTGCCCATGCCTACGTCCTACATGGTATTGCCTAGGTTTTCTTCTAGGGCTTTTATGGTTTTAGGTCTTACTTATAAGTCTTTAATCCATCTTGAGTTAATTTTTGTATAAGGTGTAATGAAGGGGTCCAGTTTCAGTTTTCTGCATATGGCTAGCCAGTTTTCCCAACAATATTTTTTAAATAGGGAATCCTTTCCCCATTGCTTGTTTGTTTCAGGTTTGTCAAAGATCAGATGGTTGTAGATGTGTGGTATTATTTCTGAGGTCTCCGTTCTGTTCCATTTGTCTATATATCAGTTTTGGTACCAGTACCATGCTGTTTTGATTACTGTAGGCTTGTAGTATAGTTTGAAGTCAGGTAGCATGATGCCTCCAGCTCTATTCTTTTTGCTTAGGATTGTCTTGGCTATACGGGCTCTTTTTTGGTTCCATATGAAATTTAAAGTAGTTTTTTTTCTAATTCAGTGTAGAAAGTCAAAGATTGCTTGATGGGGATAGCATTGAATCTATAAATTACTTTGGGCAGTGTGGCCATTTTCACAATATTGATTCTTCCTATCCATGAGGATGGAATGTTTTTTCATTTGTTTGTGTCCTCTCTTATTTCCTTGAGCAGTGGTTTGTAGTTGTCCTTGAAGAGGTCCTTCACATCCCTTGTAAGTTGAATTCCTAGGTATTTTATTATCTTTGTAGTAACTGTGAATGGGAGTTCACTCATGATTTGGCTCTCTGTTTGTCTATTATTAGTGTATAGGAATGCTTGCGATTTTTGCACATTGATTTTGTATCCTGAGACTTTACTGAAGTTGCTTATCAGCTTAGGGGTATTTTGGGCTGAGATGATGGAGTTTTCTAAATATACAATCATGTCATCTGCAGAGACAATTTGACTTCCTCTCTTCCTATTTGAATACCTTTATTTCTTTCTCTTTCATGACTGCCCTGGCCAGACCTTCCAATACTATGTAGAATAGCAGTGGTAAGAGACAGCATCCTTGTCTTGTCCTGGTTTTCAAAGGGAATGCTTCCAGGTTTTGTCCATTCAGTATGCTATTTTTGTAGGGAAGACAGAAGTAATGGAGGCAAAGGCTCATGACCTCAAGAATAAGATAACCACCAATTTGAAAACAGCAACTAGAACTGAGTAGAGATTTGCTCCCTCCTACAAAAGGTGAGTGTAAAATGTCCATCATAAGGACAAAAAGGATTGGAGCAGTCTAGCCCCTGTGAACTCAAGATAAAAGGAGAGAGAGGGTCAAGGCCAAAACGGAGAGGAACACAGTGAGGAAATAAAAACAGAAAATGGAGTTTTACATGTTCAAAAGGTTTTCCTAATCTCTCCCTCATTTTAGGAATATGAAAAGTCCAATTTCATATAAAAATTAGCAACAGAAATTGATCAAGTTCATATTCCATGTAAATTTATATTATGAAAAAAAAGAAGAGGAAGAAGCAAACCAAAATTGTTAGAGAAAATAGAGGTATACCAGTGAGATTTGCTGACAAACAGAACAAATTATATTTCAAAGAAAACTAAAAGAGCTTAAGATTTCGATAACAAACATAAAAGAATAATATAAATCAGAATTAGGAAAATTTAGAAAAGAGAATACAAAACAAAGTTACTAATAACAAATAAGAGAAAATCATTTTAGAAAGGAAGACCAAACTATACAGAACACATGAGTTAATAACTACAACAGCTTACATTTTACAGAAAATACAAGATGAAAATAAATAAAATCCAAAATCAAATGAAAAATAGTATTATTTGGAACTAAATTGCAAACCTGATCATTTTAACCTAGACGAACAACACCTTAAAAAATTAACAAACATTAAGAAAAAAGTTTCTTTGTGCATTTAGATAAAAAAAGTACCTAATTTATTTATTTATTTTAAAATCTTGACAACAAAATTTTATTAAGTTTGGTAACATCAAAAAAAACTTTTTTAAAATTGTTAGGTAGTTAAGTCTGACTTATTAATTTAAACTATGTTAATATTAATGAAAACAATTTGCAAGCAAATACATATTCCTAAACAATCAAAATTTTAAGGCACTTAATTAAGAAGACATGGTTGCCACACAGATCTTATGCTTCTCTTTAAAGAGTACATACTAATATACAAACAAAATTTCTGACAAGAAATTATATGTTAAATAACAACCATATTTAATTATAGGATTTAACATTAATAATAATCAGATATACAAATATTTTATGAAGCTTTAAGTGTGTACTTACATTCTTTTTGACATTCATATTTTAAATTTTAACTTTTATTTTAGATACCGGGATTACATGTACAGTTTTGTTACATGGAAATAGTCTGTGATGCTGAGGTTTGGGGTATTGATCCCATCACCCAGGTAGTAAGTGTAGTATGCAATAGGTAGTTTTCAACACACACCTCCGTCTCTCCCTAATCACTCTACTGGTCCACAGTGTCTATTGTTCCCATATTTATCTCCATGTGTGCTCAATGTTAAGCTACCACTTATAAGTGAAAATTTGTGGCATTTGCTTTCCTGTTTCTACATTAATTCACTTAAGATAATGGCCTACAGTTGTATCCATCTTGCCACAAAGGACGTAATTTCACTCCTTTTATGGCTACGTAATATTCCATGGTGTGTATGTATCATATTTACTTTATCCAACATAACAACCTACCATTTATGGGCATCTGGATTGATTCCATATCTTTGCTATTGTGAATAACACAGTGATGAACCTAGGAGACTGCATGTGTCTTTTTGGTAGAATGGTTTATTTTCTTTTGGGTTTACACCCAGCAATGGGATTGCTGGTTTGAATGGTAGTTCTATGTTGTTTGAGAAATCTCCATATTTCCTTCCACAGTGGCTGGATTAATCTACAGTCCCATCAACAGTGTATAAGCATTCCCTTTTCTCTGTAGCCTCACCAGCATCTGGTTTTTGTTTTGTTTTGTTTTGTTTTGGGGGGGGGGGGGCTTTTTTTTTAATATTAGCCATTCTTACTGATGTGAGTTGGTATGTCATTGTGGTTTTGATTTGCATTTCTCTGCTGATTAGTGATGCTAAGCATTTTTTGATGTTTGCTGGCCACTTGTGTGTCTTCTTTTGAGAAGTGTCTTTTCATATCTTTGCCTATTTTTAATGGGGTTGTTTTTTTGCTTGATGATTTATTTAAGTTTCTTATAGATTCTGGTTATTATGGCTTTTTTGGATGTGTATTTTGCAAAGATCTTCTCTGTAAGTTGTCTGTATACTCTGATAGTTTATTTTGCTGTGCAGAAGCTTTTTAGTATAATTAGATCCCAATTGTCAATTTTTGGTTTTGTTGAAATTGCTTTTTAGGAGTTAGTCATAAATTCTTTCCTAAGGCCAATGTCAAGATTATTGCCTAGGTTGTCTTCTAGGATTTTTACAGTTTGAGGTCTTACATTTAAATCTTTAATCCATTCTGAGATCATTTTTGTATATGGTGAAAGGTAGGAGTTTGGCTTCAATCATTTGCATATGGCTAGATGATTATCCTGGCATTGTTTCTTGAATAGGGAGTTCTTTCCTCATTGTTTGTTTTAGTCAGCCTTGTTGAAGACCAGATGGTTGTAAGGGTACAGCTTTATTTATGAGTTTTCTATTCTGTTCCATTGTCCTATATGTCTGTTTTTATACCTGTACCATGCTGTTTTCATTACTGTAGCTTTATAGCATAGTTTGAAGTCAGGTAGTGTGATGTCTCCAGCTTTTTTCTTTTTGCTTAGGATTGCTTAGGCTATCTGAGCTCTGTTTTGTTTCCATATAAATTTTGGAATACTTTTTACTAATTCTGTGAAGAATGACATTGGTAATTTGATAGGAATAGTACTGCATCTGTAAATTGCTTTCGGTAGTATGGTCATTTTAACAATATTGATTCTTACTATTCATGAGCACGTAATGTTTTTCCATTTATTTGTGTTTTCTCTTATTTCTTTCAGCAACGTTTTGTAGTTCTCCTTGTAGATACATATCACCTCCTTGGTTACCTGTATTCCTAGGTATTTTATTTTCTTTGTAAAATAATACCTAATATATAAGGAAAAGAAAATTATATTATCACAAGAATTTTTAACATTTTATCTCAGAAAAAATAGATAAACATTTAAATATTCAAGAAAATGATGTATGGAAAAAGGATTTTATAATCAGTAAAATAAATTTTTAAGTGTAAAGGTGGCTCAGACAAACTGCTATTGGGATGTAAGAACTCAGGGAACTCACATCATCCCTGATACCAGAGAAAATTCTTCAGGAAACCAAACAATTAGAGAGATGTAAACATAGAACTAGCCATGAACATTAAATATATAGTCACCTGTAAACATAGAGCTACAGCTACATAAGAGCTAAGAGGTAAGAGTATAGTATGGAATGACTATAGCTATGACAGTCAGATGTAGTAAAACTGAAAAATACAGGGAAGAATGGGAATAACACTACTGCCATATTGGCAGTAGTATTATATTTATTATTCTGAGATACTTGCGTATGCAATATGAGGTAGAACAATGAGTAATTATGGAATATTCTGATCCTATCATTTCTCTATACTTGAAAACTAAGATCATTACTGTGGAAGAAAGAGGATGCAGATGTAGTACTATGAGATAAAAATCCATACTCCTGAATTTGGATTGGAAGTATTGACATTAAATTTAAAAAAAATTATTAGAGAAGAGGTCGATTTCCAGTTTGAAAATAAAATGTACAATTTGAGCCTGGAACATTTTATCCTATCAGAGAGTAGGAACACTACTGATGACTCCTGGAGAACTTAGGGGCCAAATTAAAAAAGGCTCCTACTGACCAAATACAGGAAATTTTGAACTTCAGTAATGATAAAAACTGCAGTGGATTGGAATCAATCGAAATGTTTAAATCCATACTTACAACAATATTTTTTAAAAATGGCCATCTTTGGAGAATGACAGGGAGCCCATTTATTTCCTTGAAGTCTGGAAAATAATTAATTGTAAATTTTGCCTCCCCAGTTTAAACCATCACACAGGGTAACCAAAGAGTAGCTTAGGACAAGTATGCTTTTGTAAAAGGATTCTCACTGATGAAAGACAAATAAATGACAGAATTAGAATATCACCATTTTTAATCCCCAATGAATAGATATAAACATTAATGGTTGCTAACATCATAAAAAAAGAAAACCAGACCCCTTTTCACTATCGTATTTTTGCCAACTGTCACTTATAGTTGGGCCCAAAAGATTAAACCTGAGTCTGAAACACTTTCAAGATCTCACTACCAAATTGGGAAAAATACAGAGACAGGAACATGTTAAACTGCATGATGAGTATATGATCAATCCGGATTGTGGGAATCTCTACAGGAAATTCAGCATGGGTTTGTCAACAATTTAGTAAAACAAAAGTTTAGCAAGGAAACTAAAGATCAAGAGATTTCAAAGATACTATTTTTTTTAATAGGCATGACTATAACACCTGGGGAGGTGCATTTTGATAATAAAATTCTTTTAAAAATGCAAACACATAAATACTATATAAGTCAGAATACTGGTTGCCTACAGAAGGTAGCGGCTTGTGACGAAGATAGGGCACAGGGATTGGTATTCTAGGGTAGATTACAAAGTTCTATTACTTGACCTGATGATGACCAGGTGCATTTATGTTATAATAACTTATTAGGTTATATAATTACTTAGTGTTTTTTTCCTGAATTTGTATTATTTATTTGTTTATTTATTTTGAGACAAGGTCTCGCTCTGTCACCCAGGCCGGAATGCAGTAGCAAGATCTCGGCTCACTGAAACCTCTGCCTTCCAGGCTTAACCTATCCTCCCACCTCAGCCTCTCCAGTAGCTGGAAACACAGGTGCATGCCACCACACCAGGCTAATTTTTGTATATTTTGTAGAGACAGGGTTTTGCCATATTGCTCAGGATTGTCTCAAACTTCTGAACTCAAGCAATCTGCCTGCTTCAGCCTCCCAGCATGCTGGGATTACAGGTATGAACCAGCATGCCTAACCTATATCTTAATTTGCAATAGAAATGTAGTAAGTATGAATAATGAAGAAGTATAAAATATGAACAGACAAAAAAGAAGTAAAGATATTGAATCAGTAATCAAAGACCTCTTAAAAAAAGAGCCCAGGATCAGTTGGCTTCACTGGTGAATTCTAATGAACATTTAAATAAAAACTAATGTCAGTAATTCTTAAACTTTTATAAAGATTTAAAGAGGAGAAAGTACTTCCAAACTCATTCTATGAAGAGAGCATTACCCTGATACCAAAGCGAGACAAAGACTCTACAAGTTAAAAAACAAAATTGGAAAGAAAAAATGAATTATTTATGTTTACAGATGACCTGATTGTATACATAGAAAAACTTAAAGACTCCACCAAAAAACTACTAAATTAAAACTAATACATGAATTTGATAAAATTGCGGAATAAAAAATCAATATATAAAATCCAGTTGCATTACAATGCACTATCAATGAACTATCCCAAAAACAAATTAAGGAAACAACCTCATTTACAAAAGCATAAATGAAAACAAAATATATAGGAGTAAACTTAGCCAAGGAAGTGAAGATTTGTACACTTGAAACTATGAAACATTGATGAAATAAATGGAAGACAAAAATACATGGAAAGATATTTTATGTTTATAAATTGGAAAAAAATAAATTGTTAAAATGTCCATAGTTCCCAAAATAATCTACAGATTTGATGTAAGCCTTACCAAAATTTCAATACCTTTTTTCAAAGAAGTAGAAAACACAATCCTAAAATTTATATGGAATCACAAAAGCCCCAGAAAAGCCAAAGAAATCTTAGAAAAACAAACGTGGAGACATCACACTTCCTAATTTAAAATGATATTCCAAAGCTATTATGATCAAAAGAGTATGGTACTAATATAAAAACAGACACATAGACCAATGGAACATAATAGGGCCCAGAAATAAACTCACACATACAGTCTATTGATCTTTAACAAAGATACCAAGAATATTTAATGGGGAAAGAATGATCTCTTTAATAAATAGTGTTGGGAAACTCGATATCCTTGTGCAAAAGAATAAAATTGGAGCTTTATCTTACACTAAACACAAAAGAGACAACTCAAAATAATTTAAAGATTAAATATAAGATATGAAATTCTAAAACATGCAGAAGGAAACATAAGAAAAGACCTCCTTGATATTGACTGTTCTTGTCAACAATGTTTTTGATATGATCTCAAAAGCACAGGCAACAAAAGCAAAAATAAATAAGTAGAACTATATCAAACTCAAAGCTTCTATACTGCCAGAGAAATGATCAATAAAATGAAAAGACAACCTACAGAATCAGAAAAAAATATTTTCAAACTGTGTATCTAATAAGGGGTTAATATTCAAAACATATAAAGAACTCATAGAACTCAGTAGCACGAAAAGAAATAACCAAATTAAAAAATGGGCAAATGACCTGAATATACATTTTTACAAAGAAGAGATACTAATAAATAATGGGTATATAAAAAGTGCTCAACATAACTAATCATGAGGGAAATGCAAATCAAAATCACAGGGAGATATCATCTCTGTTAAGATGGCTATTACAAGACAAACAAACATTCATCCAAAAGTATTGGCAAAGATGTAGAGAAAAGGGAATCCTTGTACGCTGTTTGTTACAATGTAAATTGGCATAACCAGTATAAAAAACAGAATGAAGTTTCCCTCAAAAAATTGAAAATAGAACTATCATATGACTCAGCAATCCTACTTCTGCGTGTTTATTCAAAGAAATTGAAATCAGTATTTCCAAAAGATATCTGTATTCTATGTTCATTGCAGCATTATTCACAATAGTCAAGATATGGAAGTAACCTCAATGTTTATGAATGATGAATAAATAAAGTGAGGTATATATATGCAATGGAATATTATTCAGCCTTAAAAAGAAGAAAATCCTGCCATTTACAACAACATAGTTGGCCTTGGATAATATAATGCTAAGTAAAATAAGACAGACATTGAAAGACAAATTATATTGTGTGTACTTACTTGTATATGAAACCTAAAATAGCCAAATTCATATAAATATAGAGTAGAATGATGGTTACCAGGAGGCTGGGAAAGGGACAAATTGTGAGAAGCTAATCAAAGGATACAATGTTTCAGTTATGCACGATGAGTAAGTCCTGGAGATCTAAACTATAGTATGGTGACTCCAGGTAATAATACTGTACTATATACTTTAAATTTGATGAGAGTAAATCTGAAGTGCTCTCACCACACACAGACAAGCAAAAATATAGTAAGTAAATATGAAAATAAATATAGGACTGTACTCATAAACTTATGTAATATGAAAATATTTTTAAAAGATACAAATAACCTAAACCAACACAAGAAAAAAATAAAATAGTAAAATAGCTATTACAGGAAGAAGTATATAAAATACATAGAATTATCTTTAAAATTAACAAATCAAATCTAGTAGTATATACAAAGGATAATATACTATGATCAAGTGCTGTTTATCATAGAAATGTAAGATCAGATTAACATGTATAACTCAAAAAATAACTGACCATATTAACAGATTTAAAATGTAAGATCATATGATTCTCTCAATAGATACAGAACAAGAATTTTACAACTTTCAACAATTGTTGATGAAAACTCCTAGTATACTTATGCCTTGCTTTTTGTCAACATTAGAAGTTTCAATAAATGCTGGCAACATTTCAGATGACATTATTTGGTGCCTCTGAAAAACAACTTTTGACATGAATAGATAATTTACAAGCACAAAAAAGTTAAAAAACTCAAATAATCAATATGATTAAAGTTAAACCATAAAATAATAGAAATAAAACTTTAGACAAATAAATGTCATTTAATTGTAAATATCATTTAAATACCATTTAATATCAATTAAATATTCAGCAATGCTAGTAAAGGTCTAAAGCAATGGGGTGTTTCATATACTACTGGTGGTCATGGTACAATTTTTCCAGAAGGCAACACATATATATGTTTTAAGAGCTTCAAAATCTCTATTTAGACACCCTTTGACTCAGTATTTCCTTAAATTTCTGTAAATAAATCAGAAATGCACACAAAAATGTGCACAAGAGTATATGCAATGCAGTGTTATTTTTAACAGTGAAAAGTTAGAAACCTCCTGAATGTCAGTGAAAGGAAACTAAACAATTACGGTTAATCCATAACATGGGCAAGGAATATTAAGCAGCCAGAAAAACTTATATATCCAAAAATATTTAATGATAAGGGGAAACGGTTATACATTAAACAAAATCAAAGAAAACAATATATACATTACGACCAACTTTTTAAAAAAGTATACACACACACGTTTAATTCTTACCCACAGTTTTCTGCATTTTCTAAAGTTATATAATGAAAATATATTGTTTTTAATAAAACAGAAAATTTTAAAAAGAGAAAAAAAAAAAAAGAACACTTACTGAATCTGTTAAAACAGTGCTTACAAAAGACCTGCACTGTTATGAAATGCTGTTAAGTCAGTGTGACCTTCTACAACTCAAGATTAGAAACGAAAGCATAGATACTCCTTGTTATCAGTTATATTAAATATTCCACTGGAGCTCCTGAACAGTGTGACAAAGATTAAAATAAGTAAGAAATTCACATATTGGAAAGGAAGAGATTAAAATGTCAAGATATTTTGTGGTCGTATATGAGATCACATACGCATAAAAATCCAAGGACTCTCAAAAATCTATTAGATGGAATAAGTGAATTTAGCAATGGGCACAGGATACAAGGTCAACATATAAATATCAATTTTATATCTAATACAAGAAATACACAATAATAAAATGAAATAAAAAATATTTCTAGCAGTGCCAAAAAGCTTAATATATTTATTAAAAATGTATCAAAAAAGATGTGTAATCCCCCTAAAGAGATGGGCAAAATCAAGTGTTTGTAAAGACATGGAGCAATATAAACTTTCATATTAATATAAAATGGCACAATTCCCTCTGAAAACACTTTGGAAATGTCTTACAAAATTAAACATATACACACCACACAATCCAACTATTCCACTCTTAAGTATTTACCCCAAAGAAATAAAGACATAACTTGGCATGAAGATTTGTACATAAATGTTTATCCCAGAAAACTGCTGGGACAAATTATACAATATCTAATTGTGTAGAAAAATATGACATACTCATGGATTAGAAACCTCAATAAGGTGGCAATTCTTCAAAATTGATCTATGGTTTCAATACAAGGCTGATCAAAATCAAAGCACATAATTTTTACAGAAATTGTCAAGAAGATTCTAAAATAATTTAGAAAATACAAAGAACCGACAATGACCAAAACCATTGTGAAAAAGAAGAACAAAATTGAAGAATTCTCACTACCCCATTTCAGTCTTAGTATAAGCATGAAATTTGCATCATGATAGGTATATACCTCAGTAGAACAGAACAGACAGTAGTGTCCAGAAATAAACCTACACGTGTAAGGTCAGTTTGTTTCAATAAGTAAGCCAATGTATTATTGAGGAGAAAGATAATCTTTTAAAATAATGGGGCTAGAAAAGCAGGATAATCTTTTTTGGAAAATAAGTAAATAAATTTTGACCTTCACTTTGCATCATACAGAAATAACTCAAAATAAATTCTACACCTGCAGTCACAAACTAAAAGTATACATCTTCTAGAAGAAAATATAAGGGAAAGTATTAATAAAATTAGGTAGGTAAGGATATCTTACATAGGAAATAAAATACACAAACTATAATGTAAATAATAATATAATGTACTTCATCAAAACTAAGAACTTCTTCCCTCCAAAAGACATCATTCAGAAAATGAGAAGTCAAACTGCAGACTAGGAAAAATATTGTCAATATGTATATCAGCCAAAGCACTGATTTTCAAATTATATAGAAAATTTCTACAATTCTATAATATAAAGACAAATAACCCATTTTTTTTAAAAAAAATCAATATTTGAATAGATATTTCACAAAAGTACATAGAAATGGCAACATGAAAAGACAACATGAAACTGTGCTCAACATCACTAGTAATCAGGCATAAACAAATGAAAACCAAAATAAGATACTATTACACAACATTCAGGATGGTTAAAAATAGAGAGATAGACAAAATCAAGTGTTTGTAAAGACACGGGGCAATGGAAACTGTCATACTAATATAAAATGACATAATTCCCTCTGAAAACAGTTTGGAAAATTTTTTCAAAATTAAAAATATAGTTACCACACAATTCAACAATTCCCCTTTTAGGTATTTATACCCTAAAAATAAAGACATAACTTGGCACAAAAATTTTTCCACAAATGTTTATAACAGCTTTATTCATAA
This sequence comes from Homo sapiens, assembly GCF_000001405.40. Lineage (NCBI taxonomy): Eukaryota > Metazoa > Chordata > Mammalia > Primates > Hominidae > Homo > Homo sapiens. The sequence goes on from NC_000006.12 coordinate 50,174,023, forward strand.
TAACCTTTAACTGGAAACATGTTAAATGTCCATTGTTAAGTGAATGGATAAACACATTTTGGTATAACCCTAGGACAAAATATTACTGAGCAATAAAGAGTAATGAGCTACTGATACCCACAATGGCCTGGATCAATCTAAAAAATGTTGTGAGGAAAAGAAGGCAGATGAAAGAGAATACATACTGTATGATTTCATCTACATTGATTTCTAGTACAAGATAAACGAATCAATGGTGACAAAAAGCAGACTGCTGGTTTCCTGAGGCAAGAGGTTGGGGAACTGATGGCAAATAGATATGAGAAAAACTTTTATTGTGATGGAAATATCTTACTGAATGTACAGTAAACACAACATTGATCATGTTGATGACTAGAAAGGTGCATACATTGGTCAAAACTTAAAGTCTATATTTTATATGGCTACATTTCATTTTGTGTGTTTACTTTAATACATTCTAATTTTTAAAAATCAGTAGCCCAGGCCAGGCGTGGTGGCTCATGCCTGTAATCCCAGCACTTTGGGAGGCCAAGGAGGGCAGATCACGAGGTCAGGAGATTGAGACCATCCTGGCTAACACGGTGAAACCCCGTCTCTACTAAAAATACAAACAATTAGCCGGGCGTGGTGGCGGGTGCCTGTAGCCCCAGCTACTTGGGAGGCTGAGGCAGGAGAATGGCATGAACCCTGGAGGCTGAGCTTGCAGTGAGCCGAGATTGCACCACTGCACTCCAGCCTGGGTGACAGAGTGAGACTCCATCTCAAAAAAAAAAAAAAAAAAAAAAATTAGTAGCCCAACCAAGTAATAAGAGAACAATAATGCACCTTTGCAATTGTTAACTCCCTTGGTACCACTGTTACGCCTTTTGGTAATATGGTCAGAAATCATCATAAATACATTAAATGAAGCTATGCTGCTTAATCTGTTCTACAAGAAAGACATCACTGAAAATTCCAGGACAAGGATAAGGTCAAACCAATTATGGTGGCTTTTGGAAATGTTTTGAGTTCTTAGATGTGTGGAAACACGTTGCTTTCATTTCTTGCTTTGGTTCTTACTGCCATCCCAAGGAAGGAAGTTCTACCCAGCTCAATAGAGATCCTGAATAGAGGAAAAAATTAGTGAGTAACTTAATAACAGCCAAGAATTATCAGACAATTGAGAACAATTGTCATATATCAGAGAACAAGGAATAAAAAAAATTTAAATTACTCAGCAAACAAAAATAATTTTAATTGTACTTTTAAAACAAATTTCAATTATAATTAAAAGATACTCAAGAACGTATTTAATTAACAAATATAGAATAGGACTGGGTGCAGTGGCTCATGCCCATAATTCCAGCACTTTGGGAGGTCAAGGCGGGAGGGATAGCTTGAGTCCAGGAGTTTGAGACCAGCCCGAACAGCATAGGGAGACCCTGTCTCCCCAAACACTACAAAGATTAGACAAACATGGTGTTACTCACCTGTAGTTCCAACTACTCAGGAGGCTGAAGTGGGAGGATCACTTGAGCCCAGGAGGCAGAGGGTGCAGTAACCCAAGATCGTGCCACTGCACTCCAGTGTAGGCAATGGAGTGAGACCCTGTCTCAAAAACAAAAACAAAACAAATATAGAATAGTGTACTACGTAAAATGCACGATCAGAACACAAGGAAAAGCTCATGGCAATTTTAAAACAGAAAGTCAAATAAAAAAATTAAATTCAAGCTTGGAATATATTTAAAAAATTATCTCAAATTTAGCAATTCATTCATTCATTTAGTATTTACTAGACAACTAGTTTTTGCTGGTCTTGACTTTGTACTATAAATAGTGTCATGAAATGCACAAATAATTAAACAGTGGATATGGGACTTATAATTCTGGGACTCCATGGAAACAAATAGACAATTTAATGTACAACATGAGGTCAAAAAGTGATAAGGACTGTGAAGAAAACTAAAGCAGGAAAATGAAATAGAACAAGAAGAAAGCGTTAATTCAAAGAAACTCCGTTAGATGAATTAATATATAAGAAGAAAGCTGCTAGTCATATGAAGTCTAGAGAAGGTGTTTGTTGAGTCATAATCATATTTCAAGAGGAAAAAAATTTCTTCTTACTGAACCAACCAGAAGGTCGATGTGGCTAGAACAGAACAAGCTAAGGAGACAATGGTGGGAGGGAAAGACAGACAGAAAAGCAAGGTATTGAAAAGATTTGTGTTTTCTTATTAGTGTGATGGGGAATCCTTGGAGCAGAGAGTCATGGCCAGTATATGTGTGTGTGTGTGTGTGTGTGTGTGTGTGTGTGTGTGTGTGTATTTCAATGTGTATTTTAGATTCAAGAGATACATTTGCAGGTTTGTTACCTGGGTATTTCGTGCGATGCTGAGGTTTAGGGTATAAATGATCTCCTTACCCAGGTACCGAGGATAGTAGCCGATAGTTAGTTTTTCAACCCTTCCCTTGCTTCCTTCCCCAACTTCTAGTAGTCCCCAGTTTCTATTTTGTCATGTTTATGTTCATAACTGCCCAATGTTTAGCCCTCACTTATAAGTAAGAACATGTAATATTTGGTTTTCTGTTCTTGCATTAATTCGCTTAGGATAATGGCCTCTAGCTGTATCCATGTTGCTGCAAAGGACATGATTTCGTTCTTCATTATGGTTGTGTAGCATTCCTTGGTGTATATGCACCACGTTTTTTTTTTAAATCTCATCCACCATTGATGGGCACCTAGATTGATTCCATGTCTTTCCTGTTGTGAATAGTCTTGCAATGAACATGTGAGTGCATGTTTCTTTTTTGTAGAATGATTTGTTTTCTTTTGAATACATACCCAGTAATGGGATTGCTGGGATGATTGGTATTATAAGTTCTTTGAGAAATCTCCAAACTAATTTTTATAGCAGTTGGACCAATTCATATTCCCACCAACAGTGTATAAGCATTCACTTTTCTCTGCAGCCTCACCAGCATAAGTTGTTTTTTGACTTTTACAAAATAGCCATTCTGACTGGCATGAGATTGTATTTCACTGGGGTTTTAATTCATATTTCTCTGATGATTAGTGATGCTGAGCATTTGTTCATATGTTTGTTGGCTGCTTGTATGTCTTCTTTCAAAGGTATCTGTTCAGGTCTTTTGCCCACATTTTAATGGGTTTATTTGTTTTTGTTTGTTTGTTCAATTGTTTAAGTTCCTTATAGATTCTAAATATTATGCCTTTGTCGGACGCCTACTTTGCAAATATTTTCTCCCATTCTATAGGCTGTCTGTTTACTCTGTTGATAGTTTCTTCTACTGCGCAGAAGCTGTTTAGTTTAATTAGGTCCCACTTGCCAATATTTGTTTGGCTACAATTGCTTTTCAGGACTTAGTCATAAATTCTTTCACAAGGCCAAGGTTCAAAATGGAGTTTACCAGGTTTTCTTCTAGAATTCTTGCAGTTTGAGGTTGTAAATTTAAACATTTAATCCCTTTAGGGTTAATTTTTATATATAGTGAAAGGTATGGCTCCAGTTTCATTCCTCTGCACATGACTAGCCAGGTATTAGGATCCCCATTGCTTATTTTTGTTGACTTTGTTGAAGATCATATGACTGTAGGTGTGAGGTTTTATTTCTGGGTTCTTTATACCTGTTCCATGGTATAGAGACAGTCTATATATCTGTTTTTGTACCAGTACCATGCTGTTTTGATTACTGTATCTTTATACTACAGTTTGAAGTCAGTCAGGTATTACAAAGCCTCCAAATTTGTTCTTTTTGCTTAGGATTTCTTTTGCTATTTGGGCTCTTTTTTGTTTCCATAAGAATTTCAGAATCATTTTTCCAAATTCTGTGAAAAAGTCCTTTGTAGTTGTATATGAATTGCATTGAATCTGTAAATTGCTTTGGGCAGTACAGCTATTTTAACAATGTTGATTATTTCTATTCATGAGCATGATTTTTTTTATTTGTTTCTGTCATCAGTGATTCATTTCAGTAATGTTTTGTAGTTCTTCTTGTACAGATCTTCATCTCCTCGGTTAGATACATTCCTAGGCATTTTATTCTCTTTGTGGCTATTGTAACTGGGGTTGTTTTCTTGATTTTCTTGATTTGTCTCTAAGCTCAATCATTATTGGCATATAAAATGCTCTTGATTTGTGTACACTGATTTTCTATCTTGAAACTTTACTTAAGTCATTTATCAGTTCCAGGAGCCTTCTGACAGAGTCTTTAGGGTTTTCTAGGTAGAGAATCATATCATCAGTGAAGAGAGATAGTTTCACTTTTTATTTTCCTATTTGGATGCCTTTTATTTTTTCCATTGCCTGATTGCTCTGTTCTTTCAGTACTATGTTGAATGGGAGTGGTGGGAGTGGATATCCTTGTCTTGTTCTAGTTATCAAGGGGCATGCTTACAGATTTTGCCCATTCAGTATGAGGTTGGCTGTGAGTTTGTCATAGATGGGTCTTATTATTTGATTATTATACCTTTGTTGCCTCATTTCTTGAGGGTTTTTGTATTAGTCAGGGTTGTCTAAAGCGACAGAACTAATAAGATATATGTATATATTAGAAGAAGTCTATTAAAGAGAATTGACTGACACGATCACATGGTGAAGTCCCACAGTAGGCCCTCTGCAAGCTGAGGAGAAGAAAGCCAGTAGTGGTTCATTCAGAGTCCTAAAACATCAAAAGTAGGAAAGCCTATAGTGCAGGCTTTAGTCTGTGACTGAAGGCCTGAGAGTCCCTGGAAAACCACTGGTGTAAAAGTTCAAGACTCTAAAAGCCAATGAACTTGGAATCTGATGTTCAAAGGCAGGAAGCATCCAGCACAGGAGAAAGATGAAGGCCAGAAGACTCAGCAATTCAGCTCATCTCACCTTCTTCTGCGTGCTTTTTCTAGCCACCCTGGCAGCCGATTGGATGGTGCCCACCCAGACTGAGGGTGGATCTGCCTCTCCCAGTCCTCTGACTCAAATACTAATCTTCTCTGGCAATACCCTCATAGACACACCCAGAAATAATACTTTGCATCCTTCAATCCAATTAAGCTGACACTTAATATTAACCGTCAACAGTTTTAACAAGAAGAGATGTTGGATTTCATCAAAAGCTTTTTCTGCATCTATTGAAGTGATCATATTGCTTTCATTTTTAGTTTTGTTTATGTAGTGAGTCAAATTTATTGATTTGCATATGTTGAACCAACCTTGCCTCCCAGGAATGAAACCTACTTGATCACAGCAAATTAATTTTTTGATGTGCTGTTGAATTCGGTTTGCTAGTATTTTATTGAGGATTTTTGCATCTATGTTCATTAGGGATATTGGTCTGTAGTTTTCTTTCCTTGTTGTGTCTTTGCCAGATTTGGGTATCAGGGTGATGCTGGCTTCATAGAATGAGTTACCAAGGAGCGCCTTCTCCTCAAATTTTTGGAAAAGTTTCAGTAGTATTGGTACCAGCTCTTCTTTGTACATCTGATAGAACTTGGCTGTGTGAATCAATCTGGTCCAGAGCTTTTTTGGTTGGCATGTTTTTTATTACTGATTAAATGTTAGACCTTGATATTAATCTATTCAGTGTTTTAATTTCTTAATTTCTTCTTGATTCAATCTTAGGATACAGTGCGTTTCCAGGAATTCATCCTTTTCTTCTAGATTTTCTAGTTTATGTAATAGAGGTGTTCATAATAGTCTCTGAGGGTGTTTTGTATTTCAGTGGTATCAGTTGTAAATTCACCTTTGTCATTTCTGATTGTGCTTATTTGGATCTTCTCTCTTTTTTTTTTTCTTTGTTAATCTAACTAGTGGTCTATTGATCTTGATTATCTTCTCAAAGAACCAACTTTTGGTTTCATTGATTTTTTTTTGTATGGATTTTGGGTCTCAAATTTTTTCAGCTCCACTCTGATTTTAGTTTTCTTTTCTTCTTCTAACGTTGGGATTATTTTGTTCTTGTTGTTCTAGTTCCTCTAAGTGTGTTGTTATATAATTAATTTGATATCTTTCTAGCTTTTGAGGTAGGTATGTAGCACCCAAAAAACCCAGTTTATAGTGCTTCCTGTTAGCATTGTTTTTGCTGCATTGCAGAAATTTTGATATGTTGTGTCTCTGTTTTCATTTATTTTAAATAATTTTTGATTGCTGGTTTATGTTTAAAAGATGCCTCAGTATGTAGAATTGACAGTAGATGAGCAATAGCTGAAATGTTAAGACCAATTAGAAGGTTATTGCAGTCATCCTGATGACAATTATGTTGACTATGGCTGGGGTGTTAGCAATAGGATAAGTGTGACATAGATAAGTGATGTCAGTCTTTTAAATGTAAAGATAACATAGATCAGATGTAGAATATGAGAAAACAAAGAATACTATTTATACTTGTTAATTAAACAGTAAGGTTAAATTTGTGTTACTGTTGGTAATAGGGAAAATCATAAGTGAAACTCTGCTAGCATAAATTATATTTGTTTTGGATATATAATGTGGAATATAACTATTAGCTATTTAGGGGGACAAATAGAAACCTTATGTAAAGGAAAGTAATTAAGGAAACAAATATATAGACAGAAAGAGAGGCAAAACACGTGGAGAACCAATCCTCAAAACCTAGCATTTAACTCATTGAAGTTCCAAGATAATATCAGCCACATTAATACGATAGTCATTAATGCTAATCAAGAGACATTTAAGGCATTCTGCTTTCTAAGAACTTGTTAGAGTTTCACTTCCTGGCCTCCTTTAAGTTGAGTAGGGGATGTAACCAGTTCAGGCAAGAGTATTACTAACAGAAGTGAAAGGAGTTATTGTGACACATTTAATTTCTGGTGAAAACCATCCAGTGACTTCTTTTCTTCCCCTAGGCATGGCAACTGGCCCAATCTCTGCTGCTGACTGCTCCTGCAGTCTTGTTCTCAGTGACAATAAACAATGCCACCTTCTCTTGTGATTGATCCATGATGGACATGAAGTAACACTGAGAATAAACCTATGTTGTTTTAAGACACTGATATTTGGGACTTATTCTCACTACTACAGAATAAACTCTTCTATTCTGACTGAACCAACTATTACTAAAAAAGAGAAGAAAAAGGACATTTTTGGACTCACAGTGGCTCAGCTATTTTATTTCCTAAGCATCAGTTCTTAAGACATTACTCGAAAATATACTCCAGGGAAATGAGAGAGTAAACCACAAAAGAGGATGACAAGATCTGGAAAAATGTAATTCTATCTCAGCAAAATAAAAAAGGGAAGTCTCAGTATGGGCAGGAGAACAGAAGGTAAAAGAAAAGAGGACTCTGGGTTGGGCGAGGTGGCTCACACCTGTAATCCCAGCACTTCAGGAGGCTGAGACAAGCAGATCGCAAGGTCAGGAGTTCAAGACCATCCTGACCAACATGGTGAAATCCCATCTCTACTAAAAATACAAAAATTAGCTGAGTGTGGTGGTGCATACCTGTAAGCCCAACTACTCAGGAGGCTGAGGCAGGAGAATCACTTAAACCCGGGAGGCGGAGATTGCAGTGAGCCGAGATCGCACCACTGTACTCCAGCCTGATGACAGAGCAAGACTCCATCTAAAAAAAAAAAAAAAAAAAAGGAAAAGAGGGTACTATACCAAATAGAATATTATTGACTTATTAGAGGAACTTGGAAAAATGACAAAGAAAAAAGTGTGTTAAAAAGGAGGAGGAGTGTAATAGAAACACTACTGATATTGTTTGGTTCTCTGTCCCCACTCAAATCTCATCTTGAATTGTAATTCCCATATGTCTAGGGAGGGACATGTAAACCTCACGTGTCGAAGGAGGGAGGTGACTGGATCGTAGGGGTGGTTCCCCCATGGTTCTCATGATAGAGAGTTCTCATGAGATCTGATCATTTTGTAAAGCAGTTTTCTCTGCTTTTGCTCACTTCTCTCTCCTGCTGTTTCTTGAAGAAGGTGTTTGCTTCCCCTTTGCCTTCAGCCATGATTGGAAGTTTCCTGAGGCCTCCCTGTGAGTCAATTAAACCTCTTTCCATTACAAATTACCCAGTCTCAGGGAAATTCTTCATAGCAGTGTGAAAGCTGACGAATACAACTACCCACTCTTCCCCTGTCTTCCAAAAAACTACGCAAATCAGGATTCAAAGATGACTCAAGCAGGAGTTTGAGACCAGCCTGGCCAACATGGTGAAACCCAGTCTGTACCAAAAATGTAAAAAATTAGCCTTGTGTGGTGGCCTCCACCTGTAATCCCAGCTACTCAGGAGCCTGAGGCGGGAGAATCGCTTGAACCCAGGAGGAGAAGGTTGCAGTGAGCTGAGATCACACCACCACACTCCAGACTGAGCGACAGAGTGAGAATCCTGTCTCAAAAAAATAAGTAAATAAATAAATAAATAAAAAGATGACTCAAGGGTTCCAAAACTGGAAGGGAAGGTGGACAATTTCAGAGAGAAGAATTCATGAAATCTATCAATAGAATAAGTAGGAAGTTGACAGTTGACAGTAATAAGATAAAAATGCAAATTTTAGAACATTTAATATATATTAATTAAAAATTTCCACACACTGGTATAAATTACTTATGATTATTTTTTCAATTATTTATGATTATTTATTTTCTCATCACAATAGTCCTATGAAATATTTTTTATTATCAATTCAGTTTTAAAGATGAGGAAACAAATGTCTTGTATAACCATTTGAAAGTCACATAATAAGTGTCAAAGTTATCATTTAAACTCTAAGAGTAGTTACATTTCAAATACTTTTTACCTTGGAGTTAGAAATACGAACAGAAACACAAGAAAAGGTACTGTTTTAATATCAAAAACACTAAAACATGGCATTATTTTAAACATTGTGGGTTTTTTTAAAAAGGAAACATTTATTCTGAGTAAAATGGAGGTGACAAAACTAGAAATATAAAAATAAATATGCACTCAGTACACGTTATTTGCTCTGTACAGAACACTTTACATAATCATAATATAAATTCTGATTATTGTTCAATTATAAAATTGCCCCACGATATAATACCAAAGACTAAATTTTAATTATGGAGCTAAATTTAAATGCTAGCAGTCTATGAATATGTGAACACTTGTTACATAATGAGGGTAGTATTACTAATCAATTAGCAACATGTACTCTTCAATAAATGTTACTAGGGAACTTGGTTGTCCATATGAAACAAAAATAAGTCCAAATAAAATTGGACTTAAAAGAGATGAAGATAAAGTGGATTAAGTACTTAAATGTAAACAAGCAAAACTTCATAATATTTAGAAGAAAATAAAGCAGAATATTATGACCCTATGTTACGAAATTATTTCTTAGCAAAGGTACCAAAGCACACACGATGAAGGAAAGGGTGCTTAATTTGTCCACAATAAAATCAGAAATATTTGCACACTAAACAATACCCGAAAAAAAAGATGAAAAAGCAAATCACAAGAAGTATTTGCAGTGCAAATAATTATTAAAGAATTAGAATGTAGAGTACATAAACAATTTTAACAAATCAATAAACCCATAGAATATTGGGGAAAGAATATAAGCAGCAATTCACAAGACAAAAGCATAAATGGCAAAGAATAAAGGTAAAAAGTATTTTGTTTGCCTTTTGTGTGTGTTTGTGTGTGTGTGTGTGAGTGTGATAAGCAGAAAGAAGTTAAAGTAGTGAGCTCACACTGCAGCTTTGAGGAATTTTATCTAATAGAAGACATCTTTTGTGAAATTTATACTGTGTGTAAAGTATCTGACCTATAGATAAAAATGTACAAAGCGCACTTCTGCTTTCCAAACTGGGATAATAATGGCATCTATGTATAACAGGTTGGTTCCCTGGGAAACAGTTTTCCAAAAGGAGTTTACTTTGCAGGAGATTTATTGAAGAGTGCCCTTGGAATCAACACCTATGAAAAAGAGTGGGGAGAGAGCAGGAGGGAGTAGCAGAAGAAGGCAAGTGACACAGATTTAAGGTTAAATTTGGCCAAGTCCAAGGGGACCTCTGGAGCTAGAATGGTTTTACAGAACTCTCTAAAGTTGGGCTGAAATTATCAGAACTTTTAATGCCGGCATTAAACAGTTATCAGACGAGAGTTATCTTGGGAAAAGACATGGCCTTGGATGAGGCAACTGTCTGCAGCTGAATCAGTTACTGTAGGAGCTGACAGCCGAAGACTTCTGCCTACTGCTACATTTCTTTTACCATGGGCAACAAGTCCTTCCTAGAAAGGAGATCTGGGCGGCACATTACATCTATCTCATAAGATTGTGGTCGCCAGGAGACAGAGAGAGACACAGAGAGAGAGAGAGATGAGAGAGACATTATGAAAAGAATTGGTTTATAGTCAGGCTGTATAAGTGTTGGCTATTACTATTAAGCAAGTAGGCAACCTCATATGAAATGTAATGTCTCCATAAAAGGAAAAGATGAGCCTATAGAGAAATTGGGGGAGTGGAGAAAGAGGTTGGAGTGAACATTTGTTATCATAACATCTTTGGATAATATTCTTCTTCTGTTTGGAAATTGATACTCTCCCATTCCAACCATGTAGTTCCAGAGGAGCTGTGAACCATTACATTCCATACTCTCCACTAACTCCTGCACAGAGAAGGCCCTGACTTTCCTTGGGCTGAGGATAGAACTGCTTCTTCTAATACTGAGCCTCGTCTGATCTGCATGTGATACAATGTGAACCATTTTGTATGGAATTTCATTTCCCAGTTCTTACCTGGGAACTTTCACTGTGGAAAGAAAGGGAAAATTCCTTTCTCTCTAACAGTCAAAAAGATGGTAGGTTATGAATTCCATAGTGTCACTGTAGGTAAATTTACATTTTGGGTCCTAGAAAGACACAGTCATAATAATTCAATGTGGCTGAAAAATTGATTAAAGAGAAAACACAACCCAGGGTGTTGAGGAGCATACTACCTACCAATTCCAGGCAGTAACGTTCTAAGGACTGGGAAACTCTAAGTGTTTTAGGCTGAATTTACTCTGGTCTATTCTCTGTGAAGATCCAGGTATGAGTCTCCCACAAAGAATATTGCTTCCAGGATCAGAAACCCCGTTGGAAAGTCATCTGGTATGTGAGTCTTTCCAGATCGAATATATGAATCCATAAGTCCCCTAACTTACCTTCCTGTCCTCCCTGAGGACTTCTGCTCAACCAGTTTGCAGTTGCACTTGCAGTTTGAGGTATTAACACTAGAGGTCTCTCCCTACTCATGAGCCTTTATCCCCCGCAGACAAGGCTTTGCCTCTCACACCCCAGCCTGCTGTACTTCAGTTTAACCTAATCTGCTATATCTATACCAAATGTTAACCATGCTAAGATTGGAAAATGCCCAAGAGAAGGAGTCCTGAAACCTAAAATCCTTGACCTTCTTGCTGGAGTCATGACACATTCCATGATAGACACACAAAAAGGAAACTTCACAAACAATAACAACAAATGAGCCACCACCACCAACTCTATTAATCTGCTTCTACTAAATCCAAAAAAGAGTCACTAAGGCTGGTTGGACCCAATGAAGTCACAAAGACTCCTTTTGCCGGGAAATCACATATCTAGAGTAACAGCATACTGAGTGACCACCTTAGCTCCTTGTGCCGTAATCTATGATGTTAACACCATTCTCTGCCTTATATGTTTTACATTCTGATATAGTAGAAAACAAACCCAAGGGAAATAAAGGGGGAAAGAAAGATGTTTACCTAAGGCCCAGACTAGAGCATTAAACCTAGCCATCTACTGCAAGCCTATTTTATAGGGGTCTTCATCTGACACTCTAAAGAGGGACTTCTGTCAATCAGAAAAAAAAATTGCTAAGGTGTGTTAAAAAGAAAAGAGGAAAAGAAAAATAATTACTGAGATAGAGAACACAAATAGCCCATGTAGAATTAGAACACCAATTCCTTTTCTATTAAATTTCCTTAGACTTGACCCATCCCATTTCTCCTTCTTAGAGTTGAAGACATCAGAGGGAGTGGTGGAAGAGAGGGATTGAGTAGCACTGGGCTGGAGAGCAGCCTTGAATTTTACCTAGAATCCAATAACATCATGTAGGTTGTCTCAATTAAATATCTGCATCTTTATATGATGCCTATTTATAGTTTGTCCAAAGATTGAGTATGAAGCTTGATTAATTAGAGCATATTTAAATTTAACTCAAGTTTAGCCTTCTCTCTTAAAACTTTTATCACCAGTATCAGTTTCCTTAGCAAGTGAATTGAGATTTGTTGAGTGTGAAAGGCTAGACTTGTGGAACTAAAGTACAAATAGGTTATCAAGGAATTTTCCAAAAACCTGATAAGCAAAACCTACATTAAAATGACAAAAAAGCACTAAAGATTATTGACCTTACTAAGAATTTATTTTACATTTTGTATTATTTAAGTGTCAAAACTCCATATTCTTCTAATGTGATTCAATTTATAACAACTCCTAATTCACACGACTTTTCAGGATCACATAGAGTGTACTTAGTGAAATAAACCTGCACTTAACTAAGAACTAGAAATGTTGTGAACTTGATGCTTTCGTTTAATTGCACACATTGAACAGATGGTCATCATTTAAGAGGAACATTCATTTTTATCAACTAAAGAGTATCCAATTGCGTAACGTAAAACTTGTGTTCAAGTTAGTTTTTAGTGCTCATCAACAAAATATATTCATTCTTATTAGAAGTAGTCTAAAGCTGTAGTATGAGGAATATTTGCTAGATATGACAATGAACTTCCTGACAGAGAAGGGCTTTAAACACTGGGAGAGGTACCAGGTCATTTTTCTGGAAACTTTTTTTTTTTTTTTTGAGGTGGAGTTTCACTCTTGTTGCCCAGGCTGGAGTGCAGTGGTGCAATCTCAGCTCACCGCAACCTCTGTCTCTTGGGTTCAAACGATTCTCCTGCCTCAGCCTTCCGAGAAGCTGGGATTACAGGCATGTGCCACCACGCCCAGCTAATTTAGTATTTTTAGTAGAGATGGGGTTTCTTCACATTGGTCAGGCTCTGGAAGCTTTTAAAAGTTGAATTCATGCTCATCAACAAATATGCTGTAAATATAGTTTTTCAAAGGTGTACTATGTGAACCCAAAACATATTTTTAGACAGTTATTCTGACCTGTGTTGCATGTACTATATAAGTAGGAGGTAAACACATGTGCACATGTATGTTCTTCTGTTTTACTGTAGAGTCAACAGTGTGCCTTGTCAGCTTTTCAAGTGCGATCATTATGCTATTCACTGATGTTCTGCCCATCATCCTCCTCACAAGACAGTGTTACTTGTAAGGGATGTGCCATCACCCTTTTGGCCTAGGAGCCAGCCAGACAATGCACCTCTTGGATGCACCATCCTCATTGTCATTCTGCCTGAGCACTGCCTGCTCCCTCGCCTCTCCAAAGGTCAGCCTGAGGTCTTCACTCCAACGCTAATGGGTGCACACAAGGCCTGCTCACTGCTCCTGCTGTGGCAGAGGAACTTCATCCCTTTATATCTGTCTCTCCCTAGCTCTTTCCCTTCCTCCCTCCTTTTCTCTCTCCTGTGCTGGCTCTCTCTTTCTCTGCCTTGCAAATGACTCTGAGGAGCTATGCTGGTAGATGATTTATATTAAGAAAAAAAAGCACTCAAAAAAAATTTTTTTTGAACTGGGCTCCCTGAGAGCACTCAGGGCTGCCTCGTAGTGCTCAACGCCTACCTGCTCAACTGCAGGGAAACAAGCTTCTGAAGGCTTTAATGGGATTTTGCCTGAGGCTGTTTTATTAAGATGTCGGCTTTTTCTGCTGCCTCTGCAGCTGACACCATTCACTGTCAGCTGTCCCCTCCCCTTCCCACCGCCATTGCCACCCCCCCCAACAATGCACCAAATTATTCGCTTCATTTAGTGCTCATGGCTCAGTGTGGGCAAATTGGGAGAAGGAGCCCTACTGGGCCAGATGAACCAGGCGGAGAGGTGAAAAGCCACTGCGCTACTTAACTGGGAGTTTAAAAGGAGGGGGGAGGCCAAAAATGGAGAGCTAAATCAATGCCACTGGGGCATACTTCCATCCTATTAGGAAGAATCATATTCAGTATCAACATACCCATTTTGGAAGTGCATTTACATTACTAATTTGCATGAAATCTTCATTTGGGAGAGCCTGTGTACAAGGTTTTGTATAATTACCTACAATATATAATGTGCATTGTATACACATTGCAGGGCCAGTTGGAAATTATGTTATTCAATTTTAAAAACTACATACTTATTAAAAGAGAAAATAAGCATGGGATTATATATTTTAATGAATGCTGTGTATTCTTTATATACTATATATGTAATATACTTTCTGGAGAGAGGATTTGACTACAAAATGGAAATTAACATAGGTCGTGGTGGTAATGGTAAAGATAGTAAAGATAATGAGTTTGTGCCTCTGTGTATGCCTATGGATGGAGTGTATGTGTTTGTGGTATATTTGCGGTACAGGGAGAGTATTTAAAGCCAAATAATTCATTCTTAATTACCTGTTATTTTTACAGCAAGAATAAATTAAACACAGCTCAGCAGTCATAGTGGTCAGGCTTTGGTGTCAATGGTGACATCTAATTAGTAGAGGAAAATTTATGTTTATGTATAACAGATCTATTAAGTGCTCAGGATGTATTTAGAGTTATTTATAATGAGTGTTGACACAGGAAAAATGTGTCATGTCCCCATTTTATGGATCAGGTAACTAACAGCATAATAAGACGCAATTGACTCAAGATGATACAGCAATTCAGCATCAGAAGCTGAGAAAAATATTGCACTCTATTTCCTTTGAAAAACCTGACCAATAACCCTGTATAATAGAAATGCTTTCACTTAGAAGTCATTCATTCATTCCATAAATATTCACTGAGTCCCCTATTTTGTACTTACTACATAGTGTTTCATGTACTGGCTAAAGGTAAAAAATCAAAAGCAAAAATTGCCATTATGTCGGCTCTCATGAAACTTCCAGTTTAGTGGAGAGGACAGACATTGCTGGCTGGAAGTGGTACAGTTTAATAAAAGCCTTTATTAGGAGGATTTGAGGCAGTTTGGAGAATCAGATTAGGCTTCCCTGGTGAAGTCGTTTGTATATATGTGTGTTTTGGGGTGGTGGTGTCTGGATATATATGTACAAAAGCCCTCTGGCAGAAGCAAGTTGGTGCTTCTAAGAAAATAGTATGTGGTTAAAGCACAAATATCAAATAGACAGATATTGCAAGGTTTTCCTGGTGAGCTAGGGCTCAGAGCTCACATAGCCTAGGAGGTCTTGTTATCAAAGGCTTTGTTTTTTTTTTTATCCTAAAAGCAGTGAAGATTCTTCTACTGTTGAGAGGTTTTCATTTTAAGCTTTGTTTGAGGGTGGGAGGTGTTTTATAATCCATGTCTCAGTAGTAGGAAGTCTTCTTCACTTCCATATGGAGGACAAATTGGAAAGATGTGAGAGTGGAAGCACAAAAGTAGCTAGGGGACTTTTGCAGAGATCCAGTGAGAGATAATGGTAGGTTGAATTGGATGCTGACAAAGAAGTTGAAGAGAAAGAGACAATGCTAAGAGATATGTGGTAGGTAAATTGGCAGGAGCTAGTAATAGTGAGAGAGATTGAGGTTCCAAGGGTAATTTCTAGGCTTCTGATTTGCAAAACGAATGAATAGTGGCTCAGTTTTCTAACACAGGAACACTGGAAGAAGGTCAATTTTGGAAGAAGCAATCCTTAAATTTGGCTCTGGACATGCTATGTGAGATGACTTTGAAATTTTAAATTTTGAAGTATCAAGTGAGAAGATGTTGAATAACTGTTGATATGGTCTAGTACCCAGAGGTGAAGACGAGCTTGAAGATATATGTAAATTATCTGTGCATTGGTCATATTGATACCAAGGGAAACTGGTGACATGAATTAAAAGGAATAAAGGAAGCACTAGGAATATCCATATTTATCAGGTGGCTAAAAGAAATAAAATTGCAAAGGAAAGTGAGAATTAGCCAGAGAGGGTGGTAAAAATATCCTGAGGAATGTGTGCTGTCAGGAAAATAAAGTTTCTCAAAAAAGAAGAAGTGTGTTCAGCAGTTTCACAGAGAGGTCAAGTGCAAAGAAGTCTAAACAGACATTCACTGAATTGTTCGACATGGGACCCACTGGTTAGTGAGCACTACTAAATCAGTGAGAGGTATTGAAGGCAAACTGGAACGGACCCAGAAGTCTAGCATAGGAGCAGTAACCAGTCTCTCAGATTGCAAAGGACTGTCAGTTTATACCTGTTGTCCCAATACTGTCTTTAGTATCACTTCTTTTACTCTGAAAAGTGTCATCTTTAGATGATACATTCTATGAGCACAGAAATTTTGAGTCTGAGGCCTTACTATGCATTTTTGACACCTCTCCCTCCTTGATTTGCCCTTCTCTGTGAATTAGATATCACCATCAATGGCCAGGATTTCTTTGTTCTGTATTTTCTATCTCTGTGAATATCTCTTATCAATTCTGCCTTGCAGATCTAAAATGTGATGACTCTCTCAAATCTCTGCTGTCATTGCCCTAAATCATATCACTCCTACCTGCTTGTACTTCAATAGCCTTTCCTAATTTCATTCCAATCTATTCTTTATGCAACAGCCAGTTACCATTTTTAAATATAGTCAAATTATGCCCTTATCCTGCAAAAAAATGAATAATAGGATAAATGACAACCTTCAAAAACTTTCCACTGACCTTAAAATAAAAATCAAACTCCTTAATATTGCCTATAATGTTTGCCATGATACTGACTCTGCATATCAGTCAGATTTTATATCATTTCATATGCCTACGTTCTCTCTCAAAACTACAGCAAAATTGTACCATATAAGATATTCAAAGTGATGCAATCCTTCCTGACATGAATGTTGCACAGGCTGTTTCACTGACTAATAATATTGAATTCACTCTTTACTTAGTGAACTCCTAAGCATCTTTTAGGTCTAGGTTTGAAAACCTAATGCTTAGCTATGTCTTCCAATACTTCCCCCCTACTAGTCTCTTATACAATATCTTGTTTTTTTTGATCTAACAATTTTCAAAACTGTGATTATATACTTATTTCTGTTTACTTATTTTACATCTATCTCACCATTAGATTATTATCTCAATGAAAACAAGAATAATACCTGTTTGCTCAATATTGTGGAGCCTAATCATATCACAGTACATATTACATCTTCTAGGTTCACAAAATACGTTCCTGCAAATATTGATCATGTACTAAGTACTATGCTATTGTTCAGGTAAGGACTTCCCGAATTAATGATCACTCAAGGGTTAGGGCCTATCAACTAATGACTATTGTGTTACAAGTAATTCTTAATTACTTAATAAAAAGTTAAAGCTTATAGCTCTCAAATGTAAAGGCAACGAATGCATCTTATTTATGATGCTATAAACTGAATTTAGACATCAAGGTTATCTTTGCAATGAAAGGATGTGATTGGGTTTTAGGCATACATTTTTAAAAGACTGATGACTGTTTTTTGCATAAATATGCTCAATGTGCTTGGATACCCTAAGTCCTAAATACCTCACTCCCTAAAATAACTACTTGAATGCCCTCTACTTTTCTGGTTACCCTGGAGAAAGTCAGGAGGATCAATAACCAACACTCTAGGATAACTTGAGGTCACTAGACACAGCTATGCTATTATTATAATAGCTTCCACAATATAATAATGGAAAAGTCATCTCCCTCCGGCCTGAGAAAGAATGGCTTTCAGGAAAATGTTTATAATATCCCTTACCAGCACCATTGAGGATACCCCACTTTCCTGATTTCTAGCCTTTAACTCCAACTAAAATTGGGATCTTCTCTTTTCCTGTCCACTAAGTCAGGGAGGTGAATGCCAAAACACACTTGCTTAGGCCTTATGAATCTCCTGAGTTATTCCCCTTGTAAAGCTCTATTCATCTATAAGGACCTTTATCCCTGCAGTGAGAGTATTCATTCATAATCCATCAAATGTAAGTGTTATGAGCTATGTACTGGGAATTCAGAAGCAAGAGTTGAAAAGTGTGAAAGTTCAGAAGAAAATAAACTTTGACTGGGATATTCAAAGACTAATTGGTAGGTGAATTGTTCCTCTAGATATTTATAAAAGTAGACAATGTAGACAATTAATACAGATGAGCATGCACACCATATACATATACAAGGACTGGAGTCTCACAAGATTATGTCAAAAAATTTCGCCCATATAAAATAGAAATCATTATCAATGGCCCAGATTTATTTGTCTATTTCCTATCTCTATGAAAAAAAGTTCTAACTAGTCATTTAGAAATATGGGTCAGAAATGTGGGTCATATCTTCAATTTCTCCATCTGTCAACTTCTTTCTATCTGTGCTAGTCTAGTTTCTCTAAGAAGCATACACCAAACAGGATTAAACATGCAAGACACTAGGGGAAATACATATTAGAAAATGGTGACTGGGGTTTAGAGGGCAAGAAATTTATCAGGCATCCATGCAGCTATGATTGCAAGAGAAAGAGAGAGAGAAGCGGGGAAGGAAGGAAGGAAGAAAGAAAAAGAAAGAAAGAAAGAAAGAGAAAGAAAGAAAGAAAGAAAGAAAGAAAGGAAGGAAGGAAGGAAGGAAGGAAGGAAGGAAGGAAGGAAGGAAGGAAGGAAGGAAAGAAAGAAAGAAAGAAAGAAAGAAAGAAAGAAAGAAAGAAAGAAAGAAAGAAAGAAAGAAAGAAAGAAAGAAAGGCAGAAAGGCAGAAAGGCAGGCCGGCCAGTCGGCTGACTTTGGGTGGAAGCATCTTACGTGGTAGTGCAGTCCTAAGGAAACTTTGGCAAGACTGTCAGAGAGTCTTTGAGCCAAAGTTGCACCAGTAAAAGAACCCCACATCTCCTAGGTGTTGGCCTGCTTCACTAACCCCGAGGCACTTGGTTTTTACCTGGTGGTGGCCTGCAGATTTCTAGTCTCAGTGAAGGCAAAGATAAACTTTAGAGTGTGGCCACTAGGGGCCTCAGTCATTTGCAGTTGGAGATCTACTGCCTCCCGCCACACCAACATTTCTTGGCATAATAATTATTCCTCCCTACAACCAAACTTTTGATTTAGTCATTTTTAAAGTATAAATTTAAGTATATTTTGTTTGAAAACTTCAGTGGCACCCTATATCCTATTTAAGTTAAAACTTAAATTTGCTATACTGAACCATAAAAATATTTCTTGTCCTGACATTGCTCATGTAGCCTTGCATTTTACAAACTTTTATTTTTCAAAGACCACTCTGAATAACTTTCCATTACCAGTCCAGCTTGGTGGCTCAGGCCCATAATCCCAGCCTTTTGGGAGGCCGAGGGGGCAGATCACTTGAGGTCAGGAGTTCGAGACCAGCCTGGCCAATATGGCGAAATCAGTCTCCACTAAAAATACAAAAAATTAGCTGGGCGTGGTGGCGTCCACCTGTGGTCTTAGCTACTTGGGAGGCTGAGGCACAAGTATTGCTTGAACCTGGGAGGCGGAGGTTGCAGTGAGCCAAGATTGTGCCACTGCACCACTCCAGCCTGGGCAACGGAGGAAGACCCTGTCTCAAAAAAATAAAAATAAAAAAGTTTTCATTACCAGCCCAACTTATTATCTGTAGCCTGTAAGCCTTTGCAGATCATATTCAGGCTACCTATAATGCCTCTTAAAAACATCTCACTTGAGGGTTTGGCTAATATGCCACCTCCTCTAGGAAATATTTCCTAATTTTGAGGAAAGCTGCTCCTTATATGTGTTCTCATAGAATCTATAACTTAACCAAATGTTCTTTACCATGCATGACAATTGCTTATTAGCTTGTCAGACTCTTCCACTGGCAACAAATACTGTAATATTTCCTCACCCAGATCAGTTTGATTTATATGGCACAATTATCTGTTAAATACATGAATAATCATACTTTATTAACATTATAATACAGAAAAAGGAGTGATAAACTATTGACAATGGCGATCAGTATTAAGGGTTTGGGTTCCAATGAGAAGCAGAGAAATGGGCCATACCACTGTTACTGAAGCTCTAATACATCCACCAACTACAAAGTATGAACTAAGAAAATGCCATACAGTGTCTGCTACTGAGCAAACAAAAACACCTCTTCAATGAATTTTTTCATAATTAATATGTGAGCCTCTGAATTTAGTGAAAATATGTTCACTGATATGTGATATGAAGGAAGCTTCCCTAGAGTTCCAAATATGCATATATATGTGGTGTGATAGCACATTTAAAGTTGTCATATTAATATTTTTCAGGTTAAAAGTGATTGCGGATATCTATGTTGACATGATGTTATGTTTCAACCAAAAGATAATTTTTTTTGATGTGATTACTCTTGGAGATACAGAGACATCCTAATTCCACCTAGAATCTGTAAACTTTGTTTCCCAAGCTTGAAGACCATTGCTACACCCCTATTGAAAGTTTATTACCATTTTTCTCCTTTTTCATTGTCTACTATCTATACCACTTAAAATAACATTGTGGAAAATTCAATAATTTATCCATGCTAAATTTGACTATGTGCAGACTATAAATTTAGAGATTAGATAGGTTTATGGTTTTTGGCCACTGTGTTTTCTCATGACTTCCTAATAATAATAAATCTTATAATAACAACAACATTGCTAACTTTTATTGGGTATGCCAAATTAAAGTAAACTCTCAGTTATCTGATATTTAGAGAATAATTTTGTTTTTTGTTGGACATTAATTACTTGCCTAATATGATAATAAATACTGTTATAAGAAAAGCCATAAATTATGAAAAGTCATTACAAGTTCAGGGGCTAAAATTTGAATATTTAGAATTTGCTCTCCAAGAGGCTCACAGACATGTGTGGGTGTTCTTCTGTTTGTTTGTGTGCATGCCTTCAAGTCTTTAAGATGCATAGAAAAAATATTTGGAACAAATTGAAACAAGAGTTTTTTTATGGTAGGGCTAGAAGTTGTCTACCATGGAAGTCAAAAACTGCCTGTGAATCAATCTTTATCTGAAAAGGAGTGAGACAGTAGAGGGGCACTTAGCCTATGCCAGTACAAATGAAAATCTTCATCAATTTGCTACAGTGTTTATGTAAAAACTCTGTGGTTGTAAGACAGTCGTAATTGTTTCTCATTGTTTCTTTGACTGATTAACTTTCTTATCACTTTCTCTTATCTCCCTAACTTCCAGTCTAAGAAAAGGCATCCAATGATTAAATAAAAACAAACACATGATGAAATATAACTTTTTGATTTTTTTGTAACCTATGCTTTACATAAAAAAATTATTACTGGTCTGTGACTTGAGAACAGGCAGAATTTTATAACTTTTTTCACAAGCACTTCCACTAACTTACAAATAGGTGGTAATATAGACTCTGATAGAATTGTCTATTTTGTGCTGCAATTTTAAGGATTTTTTAATTGTAGCCTTGTCCATCATGAGGTAAGCATGTGTTCTTTCAAACATTACCAAGGTCATTTTAGATGTGAAATCAGAGTACAGTTAGAAGAGGAAGGCTAGCACAATGGGCAGAGGTTTTCTGGGCATGGTTAAAGTAGGACAAACCCATGTGATTTTAAAAAAAATGATTAAAAAGGAAAGAACATAAATGCATTTAGCCACATAAGCTCCAATATGTTTCCCTTATTGTGTGTAGAAAAAGACTATATGTTAACAAGGTAGAATCCCCTGAGTGCCTGTCACTGCTTGGTTAAAAGTTGATTGTTCATAAAGACATAGTCATCTGTTGGCCACTAAGGTACCATGTTATGCCGTGTAACAGTTCTGCCTTAGGCTTTGAGAGAAAAACTGCTTATAATAGTAACTCATTAAAATGTTCTTCAGCCAAGCGAAAGAGTTAATATCCTTCCTTGGCTCCTGACACTCAGAGAGAGTGTGGGTCTAAGAATAATTGGGCCCTCTGAAAATTATCTGTTCAAGTCTACAGTGAATGTATTTTAAATTTTTTCAAGAGAAGAAGAACAAATTGGTCCACATAGAGGTTTATATGAGATTTAAAATACCTGTAGCTGTATCTTATGCCTAAAAAATAACTTTACAACTTTGGAAAGTTAGCAAAGTTGAACAATATTTTCATTAGCTTTAACAGCTTAAACCTGTATCAGGGTGAGCATTGCTGGAATAGTCCTAAGGCAGGACTTAAAAAAAAAGTCTCTGTTACTGACCATAGCTGCTATACTAGGAGAAGTTCAACTGGAAATGTCTTACTTGCAATACATCCTCCATGACACATGTGAAAAAAGTGGAGCAAGGGATGAGGGGGCAGAGAGAGTGAAGGAAAAGATAACTCTAAAAGAACCTGATACATTAGGCAATAGTGCAAATTAAAATATAAACTTATTCATCAAGAGTCATACTTAAAAATTATCAGATGGAAGCTACATACTACTAGATACTAAAGATGTATGAAGTTTATGCCCAACACTTTATATGTTATCCCACTAAACATCATCATACCATTGCCATAACATACACTGTAAACTCTTGTGTCCTCAGTACTGTTCTGCACTGGTTGATCTAAGCCATAGAGACTTTTGCAGTGGCTGGAGAAATTTTTTACTGTCCTGATAAGGGGGAGAGGGAGGCTACTGACCTCTAGTGAGCAGAGGGTATGGATGTTGCTAAATAAACATTCTGAAATACACAAAACAGCCCCCGGCACCCGACCAGAACAAATAATTATCCAATTCAAAGTGCCAGTATTTCCTCTATTAATAAACAATCCTGTGCCACAACTAGGTAATTCAAAGTACTATAAATCACTTTTTTCCTCTTTCTCTAAAACTTATAACCTTTTAAATGAAAATACAGAAACAAGGTAAAGATAAACGATAATACATGGTCACATGAAAAGAGTATCATTTTAGTGATATAAAGAGTGCTTGACAATGTTGCAGAGCAGAGACCTGTGAAGCAGGCATGGGGAGCCTGGAGAGGCTCACCCCTGCAGGGTCTTAATGAAAGCTCGAGAATTAGATAAATGAAGAGTAGGGTTTAGAGCCAACAAAACAAAGATGAGAGGTATGACTGAGGAGCACGTCCCAGGCAACTAGAAGGGAGCAATGACTTGGTGAAATGAGGAATAAAACTGGGGCTGACATGGGAAACATGTTACGTTCTGCTAGGATATTTACATTTCAAATAAATTGAAATTTATTTAATTAAAATTGTATTTAATTTATTTAACAATTCAAATTTATACTTTAGTCTGCAAAATAATGTAGAATTATTTAAGATATTTAAACAGCTGAATGATTTAATACTGTCCAGTTTTATGCTTCATAATTTACTTGTTTCTCTACTTGTTCAAGTTGAATTAATTCCCTGAATTTGTCTCTAGTTTATTTACTTTCCATTCAAACTGTTTTGGAGACTTTTTATTTACTTGAAGTGATCCACAGCTAGAAAATGCCAAGCATGCTCTGGGTCTTTATTGTACTCCTGTGAAATGTTATTCATAGCTGCATGCTTTACTTTTGTTATCTTTTACCTTATATCAGAGTTACTTCTTTTGTGTGTGTTTGCATTTCCACTGAATTCCTGAAAGCAGAGAGTAGGACTTCTCCATCCTGGATATTTCAGTGTTTTAAGAGTTCAGTGAAAATTTATTAACTGAATATCTATTGGAGTCCAGGAGAAAGTGTACTCTGCCATTTTAGGAGATAAGCAGCAGGACTTACCTAATTATTATTTGACAGAAATTATATTTTTACTTTAAAGTCACTAGATTTTGTTGAATTCTAGTACTTGTGTGATGCTTAACCATCAATAGTCAAATAATATTAATTTTACTTTACAGTTAAAAGAAAGGGGAAAAGGGAAAAGAAAGAGAGGTAAAACTAGATAAAAATTGTAGGTAAAGACACCAACAAAGGGCTCAAATAGCTGTGTGTAAAAATGCAAAACTGATTTTTCATTGTTTTTTAAAGTCTTACATCAATGAATAGAAAGGATAGAAAATAGAGTTGATCTAATAGAAACCGTTCTTCTCTACTTCCTTGTACTATCCACCAAAGCTCACTAAGAATCAACCTTACCTGTCTATAGTTCTGCTGTGCAGAGTTGAAAATTAGCTGCTTCCTAATACATATTTGTTGACTGAATCTTGGTAAAAATCTTGGTAACAATACTTCCCTCACCAATGCTGATTTTCAAGTAACTAGTCCAAGCATTTTTCTAGATAATCTATTTCCTTGGATAAAATACAATTTGTGGTCATAAAACAGCAACCACTTTACTATGTTCATGGATAACGTAAATCAAGAATTTGGACAGAACATAGTGGGAATAGGTGACTTCTATGCTTCATGATGTCTTGGGCCTCAGCTGAAAAGACCCAAACAGCAGGGGGTTGTTTGAATGGCAGAGGATTTGTTTCTTGGTAAAGTACTGGAAGGCTGTGCTCAGCTGACCTAAGCCCCTACAGCTGGCTGGTGGTATCAGACTGGTCAGCATTTCTACACAGCAGTTCATTGCTTTTAAGAGTGAATGTTTCCCTAAACAAAATGGAAGCTGCATGTCTTTTGCGACGTGGGCACAGCGTCATTTCCATTACAACTGTGTACTGTTTCTGTAGTCACAAACCCACTCTACTTCAAAATGAATTGCATAGACTGCATCTTTTAATGGGGGAAGTGTCAAAGAATTTGCAGTCATATTTTAAAACCTCCAGGATAAAAGGAGAGTTTGGATAATGATGTTTCCATGCTCCTTTCCTTCTTTGGTCACAGACCTAATTTGAGGTAAATTTTACATATTACCAGATTATTCTTCTTAGGTAAAGAGTCAGTGAACTTCATTCTTAACATTCTAACTTAATTCTTCATTCTTAACTTTATTCTTTATTCATTTCATCCACAAACATGCAAAGAGCAAGCGCCTATGTTTCTCTCTAAGAAGATCAAACTAGTATTGAAATGACTTTATTATGCCTAAGGAAATAGTCACCTTTCATGTATTTCACATAAGCATAATTTAGAGATCTTTGTAGGATTGCAGAGTTGTTGACTTCACTAATTTGGAAAAAGAAGTGTGGATCTACCTTAGGAAAATCTAAAGCAGATTCTAGGGTTCAGATTTTTTTTTTCAAATGCATACTCACTAGTCTCCCTGTGACCACACAATCCTCTGTTACTCACAGGACAACTGGTATGAAGGGTCTTCTAAGTGGTTTACCTCCTATTTTTACATGCATAAGTGGGGTAAAAGGCCTGGGAGGAAACAATTTACTTGGGTATGAAGGTGTAGAACTCCAGGTTTTGTATGCTTTACATTTCTAATATCATGGGAAAATTGTACATTTTATTTGGCACTGAGCAAATGGAATTGTAACTTATGTTTTTCAATGTGAATAGCTTGCTGTATGCTCAAAGTTACTATTGGTTGTCCTTTCAGTAGATTTAGGCTGGATGTAAGACAAAGAAAGCATGTACTCCCAAACTTTTTCTTCTACCCATTGGGAGCTGCTTTCATGTAGCAATTAGCAGACATATTAAATCATTTAACAATGAAGGCATTGGATGGGAATAAAACTTAGATGTCTCTAGTCTTTCTTTCCTCTATCACTATTTAAAGAACCTCCTGGTTCTGTTATTATAAGTGAGTCTATATTGTTTTTCACTCTGAAAACCAAGAGACAATGCTATAAAAACTGGAAAATAGCTCAGAACAAGTTTAACCTGATGGCTTTTAAGTGTCAATTTTTGAATTCTGTCATTGTGAAAACATGGATGAACTTGGAGAACATTATGTTAAGTTAAGTAAGCCAGGCACAGAAGAAAAATAATGCATAATTTCACTCTTATGTGACATCTAAACAAGTTGAACTCCTAGAAGCAGAGAATAGAACAGTGTAATTACCAGGTGCTACAGTGAGGGAGCGTGTTGAGGGTGTTGTGGAGATATTGGGCAAAGGATACAAAATTTCAATTAGATAGGAGGAATAAGTTCAAAACATCTACTGTATAACATAGTAACTGCAGTAAATAATAACGTATTGTATGCTTGAAAATTGTTTAGAGTAGATTTTAAGTGTTCTAACCACCAATAAGTAAGTATATGAGCTAATGCATAAATGTGAGGTGTTAACTTGATTAGCCATTCCACAGTGTATAGATATTTCAAAGCATCATGTTTTAAACCACAAATATATATAATTTTTATTTTTCAGTTTAAAAAGAAAAGGAAGGAAAGAAAGGAGGGAGGGAGGGAAGAAGGAAGGAAGGAAGGAAGAAAAGAAGTCAGAAAGATGGGCTTAATAATAAATCTAGATATAGAGATAGTGGGTTAATATGAGGAAAGTGCTTAGAACACCACCAAGCAACCTGATGAATCAGTTTTGCATTGTTATTATTATCATTACTATTGCTACTCCTATGGCTGCTGCTGCTCATCAAGATTCACTCAGTACTGTGGGTTCAATTTATTTCTTGCATCTTTCCTCAGACTAAAGTTTATTTAGAACTTCTCTAATTAAAAAAATGATTATCTTACATGGCATTCACACCTTGCCATTTTCAGACATTAAATGTAACATGGTGAGTGATATTGTCCTTTCAAGAAACACAAAAAAATGCTTTTTATTTGATTTATTTAAAAGTTGCTTACATTGTTTCATCTGGTTCTACTTGTCTCTCTTTTCCTTTAGATTTCTTAATAATTTTATCTGTGATTTTGTGCAGGGACCTACAGGAGAAGAAAATAATATTGACCAATCTTCAGCACTATTAAAATTTCTAGTTTTCTATAATATTAATATTATGCTGGTGTATATACATATTAAAATTTATTTCATCTATAATATCTTTCAATTAAAAAGACAGGGTTGCCTTCAGCTTTGTGAAATTTATGATGTGAAGCACCTTAGATATGCTACAACTGCTAAACTGAATTGTATTTAGTATTTTGATTATAAATTAGGGAAATGGTACATTAACTCCTTTCTAAGACTAAGATTTAAAAGGCTCCATTTATTTGCTGTTGTTCTAGTGTTTTGCAACATATGTTATAATTATAATTGCCTTATTAAATCTTATACATTGTAAGTGATAATCATATTGCCCAGAGCTATAAAATCATCAAAATATATAATGGCATTTTTAAGTTGTTGTATCTACAAATGGGAATTTTTATTTTTAGCTTTTTAATAATGTTTTCAACTGAGTGTTGGAAAGTCATAAGCTATTCAGAAAAGATATTATTTGGCAAGTGATAATAAGAGGAAATCATAGTCAAATTTCAGTCAGATAAGCATGGACATTATAGAACAATTTTACTGTGGAAGAGAACCGAGTACAGACCATAGCTTGCTGGAGAAAACACAGATGAAATAAGATTCACAGGACTAGCTCAACAATACTCTCTCTACTGTTAGCCTCTTTTCCTACTTTTCTCTTTCCTTCCAAAGTTATGTCCATGAGCTTGAATTATAATATCCCTGTTTACTTTGACCATGAATATACTTCTTTTTTTTTTGGTTCCTTTTTCGTTATTTAACGTACTGGATAACAAATCTAATTCAAATTCCTGGTCTGTTTCATTTGTTTCATGATTTAGCTTTATGTGTTTGACCCTGGATTTTGAAACAATTTCTGCTATTTCCAAATTAGCTCAGTAGAGAAGGCATAAATTCCTTCCCTTGACTCCTGGACTATGCATAACTGCAAAGGCGATCTTATACCCTTAACACCTACTAAAGGAAGGCCCAAATCAAATACCTATTACTGCAACAAAAGTGTTTTAAAATGTATAATAGAGTAGAAAGCTAGTTAGAAATTAAAATCATCAAGATATTTGACAACATACATTTAAAAATATATATTTTACGTGGATTTCGGACATTTTTAAGTACAGTCAAGGTTAATTATTTAATTTTTCAGAATGACAGATTTTTCTGGGAAAATGGTTGATTCCCATTTAATTGGTTAAAAAAAAGTTTTTGTGAGATGCAGAATTATCTCTCTTATAAGAAGGTACTTTGCTCTTCTACCAGTAGAACTTTGAAAAACTAAAAACAAGCATACGAACAAACAAAAAAGTCCCAGACTCTTGGCCCTCTAAAATATTTGCAATCTTGATTATCAAAATGGAAGGTGACTAGGAATGTGAAAAATGAAGTAAATAGGCAATATTTAAGATAATAATATTTAACCACTAACCTAAAATCTTTTGTATTGTCTCCTGACTGGCAAATATAAGGGCTGTTTCATCAAGACATATAAAATTACACTGAGCTTATTTAAATAAGTTAAAGTTTTCAAGTTTTTAGAATGGTTTCCGAGGTCTTTGGCCTCCCAAGTACACATTTTCTTAGGGAAAAGCAAATTAGCAGAGCACATTTTTGTTTTTTTTTTTTTCTTGCTTGAGGTTTTTTAATAAAGATGATTGATATTCATGAAGAGTTTCACTAAATTTATGTGGCTTTTCTTGCTGTGGCGATGGATATTTAAACCCCCGGTTTCACCTCTTCCACCTTTGTTTTTACTTACTCTTTCTTCTCCTCTCTCTCTTCCACCTCCTCCTCTTCACTCTCCCCTCCCACTTAATGAAGATTTTCTCAAAATTTAATTTTTGGAATTCATCTTTCTTTTTAGATTTTTTATAAGTATATTTTTTCCAGAGCATTATAAAAATGGAAATACAAATGTTAAATTAGTAATTTACTTCTAGCCCAAATTTATTTCCCAAGTTCCAGAGCAGTAATGACAATGACAATGACTGATTGGACAAATCCAGAGTTTCTTCCTGATGCCCTACTTGCCCCCTAAAACTCATCATATCCAGAAACAATCCCATTGTCTGTTCCAAATCAGCCCCTTATTATAACCTACTAATTATTTCAAAAGCCCTGAGCTATCCACAAAAAAGCATCTCTGGACTCAAAGACAGGCAGCTGTGTTGGCTCAGACTGCATCATCTCCTATCTGATACCATCAATATCCTGCTGAAGAAAATGCAGTGGAGGAATTTCTCACCATGTTTTTCAAAGAAAACATCTGCAAAAGAAAGTGGAAAGAGATGAGGGTAAGATGAAAAAATGTAGAGTCCTTGAAACCCAAAACATTTGCTTGTGTATGTGTGGTTGTACATGCATGTACATAGGCATTATCATGTTTGAAACTAAAAATTAGAAATATACAATTTAGGCTTAAGTCTATTTTTGGTTAAAGGTTTCCTTTTTTAAAAAACTGTGAGATATGAGAATCCTCTCTAGAATGAGCCATTATTTCCTGTGAATCCTCCTTTTTGCTAGAGCACTCAGCAATGTGTAGCCCAGAGAAAAGGCACCAATACACATCTGGTTAAACTGGATCTTGGGCAAATACAGCTTGTGGAACGGTGCATAGGGATGAGAAGGCCTGACTTGAAAATGTATTACTCTTGCTTTTTACAAACAGAGGATTAACAAAGTCTTCTGAATATTTGAGTATGAGCTGGGGAACTAAGTCAGGGACAATGGGTTACGAGGTAGGAAAAAAACACGACAAAATGAAACAACAAAAAATAAAATATAAGGTAATGTGTGGAATAGTAAAGAAAGCTTGAAATAGAAATCAGTTATCGTGGGTTTTATTCCTGGTTCTACTAGCAATGAAAAACAATCTGTGGAATTTGACCACCACGTACCAATCTCCTAAGATTCTATTATCTAATGGTTTTCTAAGCCATTAGGTAATATAAATTCTGCCCTTATCCATATTGACTTCTTTTTCCTTTGAGAGGATTGTGCTGGTTCTCTATGCAGTGGGAGTAGGAACATGGACTAAAATAAGCAGAACCCTCCATTTACAGAGTAGATGTTCATATCCCTCAGTAGAGATGCAAAGATCATTGAAAGGCCCTTGACTGGTTAAATAAACTGTGGTTTATCCACATAAGGAGGTAAAAAGATAAGATGAAAATGTCTATGTATTGCTATAGCACATTTTCCAAGACATAATACTAAATCAGAAAAAAAGCAAGATACAAAAGAATGTATAGGATGTTACCATTTTTCTAAGAGATGTGTGGGCAGACATATAAATATTTGTTAATTTTTCAAAATGAAATAATGAAAGGGCAAACCAAAGCTAATAAAAAGGAATCTGGAGTTCTTTGAATATATTAAAGTATACTTTTAAATTTGGAAATATGCAAATATTTTACTTATTTTAAGAAATATATTTAATCAAACAGAAAAAAGTTATCTCCAAAAATTAAAAGCAAACTGAAACAAATAAACCTAATTATATTTCAAGTTGGAGGCAAATCTGCACATAGAAAATTATTTCAAGTGATTTTATAAGACATTATTCTAAAGACTCCACACATGCATGTTCATACATAGTAATGCTAAAATACAGTCACTGGATTATTGCAGTAATCTTAGTTTTAAGTTAATGAAATTGAAAACTAAAGTACTCAGAGTAAGAGAAAATAGATGCAAATAGAAAATTTTAAAAAAGGAAAGAATACTGCTAACTTCAAATATACCTTCTTGGTTCTAAATTCCAGTATCAGGGTCATTCATTTAGTTCTACTCTTAATTTTATTTTAAACCCTAGGTGAAATATGTTTATCACATTAGTCAGGGTCAATGAGGAATGCTTGAAGAATGGGAGAAAGCATAATAGAAATAAGTATGGAAGCTATCATTTTTTTCACACACACTTTGTGTGAAAAGTGCTATTCCAGCATTCTCTCATTAAACTTCCCAATAGTCTTCAGATGTTGGTGCAATTATGATCCCCGTCTATGAGCATTAAGCTGTATATATTTTAGGAAAGTTTGATATGAAGAAGCAAAAAAGAAGCTTAATGAGGAGTAACTTAGTATAATTAAAAACTTTAAATTCGAGCTTCCCTGAGTTTGAAACTAATTTTATTTGCCAACATTAACTTATTTGTATTACGTAAACACCCCAGAACCCTTGTTTTATTAAAGCCAAGAATGGGTATTTTAACATCTACACAAAGTTAACATGGGAATCTAGGCTGATGGAGTTGCCTTCTTTTACACTGATGTTAATAGTAGAGTGTTATTAGTGAAAAGACATCACATGAATAACATAAAGAAGCACATTTTTATTGATACATAATATTGGTACATATTTATCAGGATGTGATATTTTATTATTAGATTGATGCAGAAGTGATTGCATTTTTGCCATTAAAAACAGCAAACCTGCAATTACTTTTGCACCAGCCCAATACATGCATAGAATGTGTAATGATCAAGTAAGGATGTTTAGGGTATTATCACCTCGAGTACTTATTATTTGTATGTGTTGGGAAAACTTAAACTCCTTTCTTTTAGCTATTTTGAAACTGGACCCCTTCCTTACACCATATACAAAAATTAACTCAAGATAGATTAAAGACTTAAATGTAAAACACAAAAGTATAAGAACCATGGAAAACAATTTAGGCAATAGCATTCAGGACATAGGCACGAGCAGAGCTTTCATGATGAAGATGCCAAAAGCAACTACAGCCAAAGCAAAAATTGACAAATGGGATCTAATTAAAGAGTTTATGCACTGCTAAAGAAACTATTGGTAGAGTAAACAGACAACCTACAGAATAGGAGAAAACTTTTGCAAACTATGAATCTGACAAAGGTCTAATATCCAGCATCTATAAAGACCTTAAACAAATTTACAAGTAAAAAACCAAACATCTCCATTAAAAAGTGGGCAAAGGACATGAACAGACACTTTTCAAAAGAAGAAATACATGTGGCCAAAATCATATACAAAAAGCTCAACATCACTGATCATTAGAGAAATGTAAAGCAAAACTATAATGAGGTACCATCTCACACCAATCAGAATAGCTATTATTTAAAATAACCAAAAAAAAAAATGACAGATGCTGGTAAGGTTGTGGAGAAAAAGGAACACTTATACACTGTTGATGGGAGTATAAACCATTGTGGAAGACAGTGTGACTTTTCCTTGAAGACCTAAAGTCAGAAATACCATTCGACCCAGCAAACCTATTACTGGATATGTACCCAAAGGACTGTGAAGTGTTCTCTTATAAAGACACATGCATGCATATATTTATTGCAGCACTATTCACAGTAGCAAAGACATGGAATCAACCTAAATGTCCATCAATTATAGACTGGATAAAGAAAATGTGGTACATATACAGTATAAAATACTATGTAGCCATAAAAGTAATGAAACCATGTCCTTTGCAGGAACATGGATGGAGCTAGAGGCCATTATCCATAGGAAACTAATGCAGGAACAGAAAACCAAATACAGCATGTTCTCACTTATAAGTGGGAGCTAAATGATGAGAACACATGAACACACAGAAAGGAACAACACACACTGGGGCATATTGGAAGGTGGATAGTAAGAGGAGGGAGAGGATCAGGAAAAATAACTAATGTGTATTAGGCTTAATATATGGATGATGAAATAATCTGTACAACAACCCCCCATGAACAAATTTACCTATGTAACAAACCTGCACATGTACCGCTGAACTTAAAATAAAAGTTAAAAAATATATACAGTACATTGTTATTAACTATAGTTACGCTATTCTGCTATTGAGTATTAGAACTTATTAAGAATAACTTATATCTATTTAAGAGTTTCCTTCTATGCAGACCCAGAATGAGAGTTCCTGCAGTGGCTTTAAACACTTTTCTACTTGAGAATGACTAAAGTACTAGGTAGACCTGGATCCCAGTAAAATATATGAGTTCACTATTATGTCCAAATGAAGGAGGAAAAGAGCTGAAATACATAAAGAAAATCCACCTCCTTCTTTGGAAGAGATATTTGGGCTTTACCAAGAGAATGTCCAAACTACTGAGATTCCTTTCTTCCTCACAAGTTGTTCCTTATTATGAAAGCTTTCTCATTTTTATCTTCTTAGTTGGGCTCATATGATTTTTTTCTCTTCACTTCATGTTTGCCTTCTCCCTGCTAAATCATTTCCATCATTATAAAAAGCATGATCTATTATCTGCTATTTTCTATGTCTCTTTTTACTTCACATTTTCTTGTAGCTACTGTGTCATTTCTCTGTCCTCTTTGACAGCAAAACCAATCAAAGCATGTATCTGTTTTCCCTTATCCGAACAGCCTCAACATTCATCCATTTCTCTCCTCTCCAATTGGACCTCTATGCTCACAGATGCATGGAATTGTTCTTGGAAAGGTAACCAATAACCTATAAGTTCACAAATTCAAGAAGTTTTTCTCTCTGTATTCCATATTTCGGCTCATTTTATATATCCATGTCATCCCATTTTTCCCAAACCTTGGATCCTTTTGGAAGCAGAGTCAACTTTGTAGGAAGATGTATTTGATTAGCACTGAGATGTGCTATGACATAGTGGCTGCCCTGTTGCATCTCACTCCCATGCCCCAAACCTACAGACTCTCCATTTATCTAAATCCTATTCCTCCTTCAAGGCTTACTTTCATCTCCACCTCTTCTATGTGATTACCTTTGCTTCAAAACTGTGATATTATTCATATGGCTACTTACTTAGCATTTATTATATGCTATCATGCCTAAGCTGCCTTGGAAGTACATGATGTCTATCTATCTATCTATCTATCTATCTATCTATCTATCTATTATCTATCCTCTATCTATCTTCATCATTATCATCTATCATCTTCTATCTCTCCACCCACCCACCCTGACAGACGTAAGTTTCTTTGTACAGAAGTTTTGTTTCTAACCTCTAATGCTTTCATTGCATACGGTTATGGACTTGACCCTGAGCCATATACTGGAAAAAAAAAAACCTTTTCTTATTGCATCACACACAAAGGTGTCATATTGTTTATAAATTAAGTGACCGAATTTGAATTTATCTGCTTCTGGACTGCGACATTTGTTCTACTCTCAATGTGTTTATTCTTGCATAAGACTATTTTGATTCATTGAAGAGAAAGAATAAATATGATTTACTGGTGAGACTGAGGAAAGACAAGTTTTCTTGAATTTAATTCACAGTGACAGTCAGATAAAAAGGTCACTTCTCTCATTTAAGAAGAAGGATACGGGAGGAAGGAGAAACACCTTTTTTTTTTCAGAGGCATTTCTCTTCTTTATACCTTACAAGTGACCATTTTGTGCCTGACAAGAAGGAAAAAAAAAAAACATATGTATTTCTTGTTGTTTTCTCAAACTGAGACTCCACAGTGCTATTCTATAAATTAGAACTTGAGAATAGACTTAGTGAAAATTAACTGTGGACTGTAAGTTTCCCTCTAACAGGGAGAGAAGAGTGTGGTTTTGTATTGCCTTATTATTCCAAGAACTCTGAAAATATTAGAGGAATTTTCCTACACATCTTTATAATACAGCTAAAGGAAGTGATAGAAAGAGAAAGAAAAGTAAGTTTATGGATGTCTCAACCTGCAGGTTATTACACCAAGTGTTCCACACATGTTATTTTAAATTTTACAACAACATTGACTAATAGGTAATATTATATCAATTTTCCACATGAAATAACTGAGGTGCAGAAAAATTGACAGGCTTCTGATTCCAGGACAAGATTTCATAGATCCACTTTTCTCTCCTACTTCCCTCTAAATACAACTAAATTATTAGTAAACAATTCAACAGAAATAATAAAAGGACTCGAAGATACGAAAGGGGAAGGCAGACTGCCTAGTGATCCCAAGATTTAAGAAATGACACCACAGTGATGTTCTTGAGCTTTTTAAAATTTTCCAAATATTTCCAAGAGAGGCCTGTAACCCAGAACTGACCACAGGCATAGGCATAACAAAGAAACAAACAAAAAATAAAATAAGAAAAGCCTATTTTCTTAGCCAAATGACTAGAAAAGGAGAAACTAAGCAGAGACCTTGCCAGGAGCTTCCAACTTCAGACCAAAACTCGGTACCATATGCAAAGTGGATATGCTGGTATTTGCAGGGTGCCTGACATCTCCTAGGCCTCTAATCAGTGGCAGAAGTTATCCAGGCCAACCAAATTTCCTGAACTTCTAATATGTAGCCCAAGTAGCACGTGAAGGAACTGAGAAGCAGCCTCAGAGTCAACATAATAATGAACACCAGAAGAGCATTGCAAGGAATCGAAAACTAAGTTGTCATTGAAGTTACAGCTTTAGCAGTAGGTCAGTACCTACACACTAAACCTAAACAAGATGACTGCCTGCTAAAACACACATCATCCTCAGAACTAGGAAAAACAACTTGAAAAACATCAATTGACAAACACTAAAATGAAGTAGATATTGAAATTATCTGACAAAAACTTTAAGACAGCCATAGTAAAAATGCTTCAACAATTGTGAATTATCTTAAAACAATTGAAAAATAAAATAGGAAGTCTTTTTTTTTTTTTTTTTTTTTTTTTTGAGACGGAGTCTCGCTCTGTCGCCCAGGCTGGAGGTGCAGTGGCGTGATCTCGGCTCAATGCAAGCTCCGCCTCCTGGGTTCATGCCATTCTCCTGCTTCAGCCTCCCCAGTAGCTGGGACTACAGGTGCCCGCCACCACACCCGGCTAATTTTTTGTATTTTTAGTAGAGACGGGATTTCACCGTGTTATCCAGGATGGTCTTGATCTCCTGACCTCGTGATCCGCCTGCCTTGGCCTCCCAAAAGTGCTGGGATTACAGGCATGAGCCACTGCACCTGGCCAAAAATAGGAAGTCTTAACAAAGACATTGAATTTATTTAAAAAAATACAAACAGAAATTATAGAAGTTAAAAAATACAATAACCAAAATAAAAAACTCATTGGATGGGCTCAGAGGAAAGTGAGATGACAAAGGATTGAAACAGTGAACTTGGAAGAGAGCAATAGGGTTTACTCAAACTGAACAACAGAAATAAAATATGCTGAAAATGAATGAACACAGACTCGAGGCTTATAGACCAAAACAAAAGATTCAACATTCATATCATCAAAGTTATAGAACAAGAGGACAAAGAATGTGGGGCTAAATGATACTAAAAAAAAAAAGGCTGAAAACTTCCCAAATTTGATGAAAACTATTAACCTGTAAATTCACAATCTGAGCAAATCCAAATACAATAAACCAAAAAAACTTATGCCAAAACACTTTATAGTCAAATTTCTAAAAATGAATGACAAAGTAAAACACAGCCAAAGAGAAATGATACATTACCTATTGAGCAACATAAATTCAAATGATAGTACATTTCTCATCTAAAATCATGGGGACCAGAACAAAGGAGTACATTTTTCAAATGCTGAAAGAGAACTGTCAGCTATTAACTCTGTATCATGTGAAAATATCCTTTAAAAATGAAAAAGAAATCAAAATATTCTCAGATTAATAAAACAAAGAGAATTTTTCTTACCAGGTCTATTCTTAAAGAATGGCCAAAGTAAGCATCCAGAAACAAACAAACAAAAAAATAGTAATCATAACCGAAGAAGCCTTGGAACTTTGAAAAAGAAAGGGCAAAATGGGCAAAAATAGCAGTAAATACAATAGATTAATCTTTAACTCATAAGTTTCCTTAATATTTGATGGTTGAAGCAAAAATTATAATACCTGTTGATGTGGTGCTCAATGTATGAAGAAGAAATACTTCTTTTTGTAGGTGAGGAAGGACCTAAATGGAAGTAAAATTTTAATATTCATTTAAAGTGGTAAAATGTCAACATCGATGAACTGTGAAAAGTTACATATGTCATATATATATATACAGTAATACCTAGAAGAATCACTAAGAAAATTGTACAGAATAACATACTCAAATACACTATAAATAATTCTAAATGAAACTCTTAACCATATTCAAATAATTTCTAAAAAGTCAGGAAAAGAGTAACTTAGAAATGAGAACAAAACAAACAGCAAACAAGAAATAAAATGTCAGAGACCTATCATATCCATAATTACTTTGACCATAAATAGTCTAAATACACAGGTTAAAATACAGAAATTGGCCTAGTGAATTAACAAAAGAAAGAATACACTAAGATGCACAGCCTCATTATACATTGTCTAGAAGAAACTCACTTCAAATAAAATGATATAAGAAGATTGAATATAAAAGGACAGATAAATACATATCACACAAACATTAACTTGTTTAAAAATCAAGAATAGTTATATTAATACCATACAAAGTATATTATAAAGCAAAATAAATTAGTAGAAACAGAGTGATACAACATAATGAAAAGATCAAGTTGCAAAGTAAATACAGCCATTCTGAATATGCATGCACCAAACAACAAGGTTTCTAAACATATGAAGCAAAATCTGAGAAGCTAAAAGAAGTACACAAATCTATAATTGTAGTTAGGCATTTAAAAACCCCACTCTGAGTAACTGGTAGAACTACAAGAGAGAAAATAAGCAATTATATAAAACTAAACAACACTATCAACCAACAGAATCTGTTCAGTTTTATCACGTGTAACTCTGATGATGATATAATTTTACATTGTGATTATGAAAATAGTCATACAGAGTTACACATGTGATAAAATTGAACAGAATTGCACACACATACATACACACACACATAAGTGAGTGCATGAATAACCAGAGAAACCTGAATAAGTTCTGTGAGTTGTACCAATGTCAATTTCCAGGTATTAATACTGTATTATAGTTAAGCATGATATTAATACTGGGAAGGCTAGATAAATAGTTCATGGGATCCCCCTATATATTTATTTGAAACTACATGTAAATATGTAATTATTTCAAAATAAAACTTTATTTAAGTTACACAAAAATAGTAAGTTGCGAAATATATGCAGAATGATGCCCAAATCCAAATATAACCTCCTGCCTCTCCAGGTTGTACTCACTGTTCTTATTCCTTAAAAACAAATTGAAGTATCTGGAAGGCTCATTAGTCTTTTTCTCAATGAAAATCTGAATAATTATTCAAATGTCTATATAACATAGGGAGGGAAAAGTTGTAACAGTAACTTTTCATCATTTACACAAATATATTTTACAAAGACATCTCAATTCTCTACCACTCTTTGCCAGTGAAGACATTTATGAAATTCCGATCCATTGACAATTTAAAATTTCTAAAGGAAGTCACAGTAATTTAATACACTGAAAATGTAATAAAATCTCCTTACAGATACTATATCATGGAAATTATCAAAACAAGCTGAGCTTTCGTTTTTAGAGTCTAGAGCAAAGTGCAACTTTTAGATCTCATGAAAGAAACAGAGCTTATTTTAATTCTTGTAGGGTCATGTCTAGCTTTAGCCACAAGCTAAATAGAAAACATGTTTACATACCTTATTGCAAAAATAAATAAGATAATACCATAACTTTCCATAGCTTCCATATCTCTCTAGTCATCTTTCACTCATAAAATGGGATTTATTTAAGTAAGGAGTCATTTTGCTGATAATTTTACTCAATATGCTTTTTTTCTAACACAAAGATTTGGTGACAACATATTCAGCCTTTCTTAGTTTATGTTTTTAATTTTATTAAATCAATTGCTTAGGGATCAAGTCCGCTCATAAAAAAATAGAAAAAAAAAAGCCTCAAACACTCCACAAGAATAGATGTTGAGCCAAAATCTCTGTAACTTAATCCATCCAACAGTCCAGAAATGTACACAGAAAGATGAATGCTGTTGTATGATCTATATTTTTAAAATGTTGATTTGAAGTTACAAATTTTCCTTTTTCTGCAATATGTATTCATTTTCCACTCAGACTAAACAGAATTCCACAATTTCATAAATTATCAAGCCATTTAGGATGCATAATTAATTGGATTGTACTGTGCCATATTTATGAGGGTTATTCATGCACAGTATGAGATAATCATAAATTATTTTGTTAACAAAACCTCTTGAGAGAGTTTTTAAAGAGTATTCCCTTGAGTAACTTCCCTCGGTGTGACTGCTGTCTTATTTTTTTTTGTTGGTTAAATCAGGAATGAGCCATTTATTACTTTATGATTTTAAGTCTAGTCTGAAAAATGCTGAAGTAATCTGCAGAGGAGGTGCAAAACAACATTGATATTTAAAATCTTCAAATGTTAGAAATAATTTGAAGAAAAAGACAAAGTGCTATTTGTAGATTTGATGCCTACATTTATATTTAAATGTATCTATGAGTTCCAATTCTCCATTTCTTGAAACAAAATTTGTAAAAACTCTGAGGTTTTTATAATTTTTGGAGCAACTTTTAAAAAGCATAATTCTAAGCAGAGTTCATGACCATAAATATGAGAAGGGAAAGGAAAGTGTTTTCTAAAAAAAATAGAAGGCCAAACACATCAAATGATATTTAATTGGGACTGGAAATATTCCAAGTTTG
Source organism: Homo sapiens (assembly GCF_000001405.40). Taxonomy (NCBI): domain Eukaryota; kingdom Metazoa; phylum Chordata; class Mammalia; order Primates; family Hominidae; genus Homo; species Homo sapiens. The sequence goes on from NC_000006.12 coordinate 50,213,319, forward strand.
ATTTTCAAAAAAAAAAAAAGCTTTCATTACAATAGTTCATGTTGGGCTCATGTTGAGCCTGCCAAAAATTCGAGCTAGATCAGAGCCTTTTTTGAAATAAACACAAGCTTAATCTGATGTAGATATTTCAAAACTCCCACTGCTTTAGTTATAACATCATCTGTTACTGAATGATTTATAAATCACCCTCTATAGACAAATTTCTGCAAGATGGAGGGTGAGATATTTTAACCTGAGGACATAAGGACACGTCTAACTCATACATTAAAGCCACATTTAGAACAACTCTTCTTGGGAATAAACAAACAAGCTTTTTCTGTCCATGCTTTTTTAAGACAGTGATTGTATCTGAAAATTCACAGTACCTAAAATGTTACTCTTTTGTTCCCCAGTGATTAGTCAATAAATGCTCACTGCTGTCATTATTCAGTGCCACTAGAGGACTATTCCTGAGAGCCTGCTGCATGCCAGGATCTCAACTGTGTGTTTTCAAATAGCAACTAAGATTCTGAGCTCTTGAGTCTGACTATGGGGCTTGACTTCCAGCTTCCTGATCCATTGCTGTGGATCTTGAGCCAGTTACCTAACCTGTATGTGCCTTACCTATCTCCCTGTGAAAATGGACGAAATATACTAATGCCTGTCTCTTAGAATTGCTGTGAAGAAATGAGTTAATGCATGTGACTCCCTTACAACAGTGCCTGGCATGAAAGCATTTATTAGATATTAGTTATTATCATTTTTCAATTATTTTACCAATTTTACAGAGGATAAACTTGAAGTAAATTAACTTTCCTAAGGTTTCGTGATAGATATGCGAATACTGACTTATTTGTTAACAATAAATTTTGTGCCTAATAACCTGTATTACTTCTTTGCAATATTACTCACTACTTTATGAGGACAGATAATAATTTCAAAAGTTAAGAGTTTCCATTGCAGGATGCTTTGGTATACGTCTTTAAGTTAAATTTGTACCTTAGCATATCCAGAAAAAAAGCAGTTGTACTTAAGAATATTAGTAGGAGAGAGAACATAATAATTTATATAAATTTTCAAGAAATCACTGAAAATGGACACTAATTTGCAAACTCCAGTGGTATTTATAGGAGCAGATATATCTATCCCCTGACCTTGTGGAAATACCTGTGTAATTTCAGTACATTCAGAAGAAAAGTCGTTGGAGGGTAGTTAAGGCAATTGGCAACAAAAAGTGAAGACTTCTTACAAATATTCAATTTTTAAATTGAGAGTTTTACATTCAAAAACAAAAAGCTAATGGTGTTCAATTGTAGGGAGATCGTTTTTACAATAACAAGTCTGGGATAGACTCTCTGGTTCGAGTCTTTATTCTATCTGTATAAGTTGGGATAAGAATGTAACTAAGCCATGCATGCTACCTACCAGGTAGATTGCTGTAAAACTTAAGTAGGCAATGCTTATAAAGCATTAATCACAGCACCTAGAATATTTATAAGCACTCAATAAAAATCCACTGCTACTGGCAGTGGTGTTGATGGTATTGCCACTTCCTACAGCAAGCAAAATCGTTTTGTCTGACTGCCCCTCTGCCTAAGTCTATTACAAACAGATGCATAAAAAATAGGGACTTCCATGGGTAATCAGAATTGATACATTCTTTATAACAGTACATGGGTAGGATTACAAAAGAAATTCTCTACTGAAACAAGAGGAACTGGCTACCTCATAAAGCAAGCTATTTTCCTCTGCTTTATGGTTTAGCCCAGGGAACTTGAGCCCCTAGGTCTATTGTGGTTTCAGATCCATCCTGTAGCATCTGAGCAAGTGCTGCAGGGAGAAGGAGGATCAGCAGCCGTTGTGTAACCCTCCAGGGATTTTGTGATATCAGTGCACGTAAGAGAGCCCTGTAGAAACAAACAGGGTAAATGTCCCAAGACAAAATTTGAGAAGTCTTAAGATGAGAATGCAGAACAATTATTTATTTTCTTGTTGGTAGCAATTATTCTGTGTGATAATGGACTCAAATCTAATAATTATTATTAAGCAATTATATAGCCCTTTATTTTTGCAAAGTGCTTTACAATAATTTTTATTAGATAGTCATCACAATAACCCTGTGAAAGAGGTCATAATATATTCAAGGAGAAGAAGATAAAGCTATTTTTTCTGAAATAGCTTACAATAAAATGTTCTAATTTTCCTAATTCTAAATACAAAAGTTTTATGTTGTGATTTGTTTGGCCATCTAGCACACGACCTGGTTTAATAATGTGCAATTTGGAATCACCCGGCCTGTTAACTGCCTGATGCAATTGCTGAGAAAGTCCTATATCCTCAAGGGCAATACAAATAATCATAAAGATTAAAAATGTGAGGAGCAGACAATAGCAGGACAGAAATTCAAGAAAAGGAATGGTTAATGGAACTTTATAAATTATTTAATCAGAACAATAAAAATTAATATTTGCTTTGTTTTACAATCCCCCAAACACTGTTAACCAATGTATTTAATAATCAATGCTTTATCACAATTAACTAAGTAAGAATTTAAAAACACTTTTTTAATAGACACAGAAATGGAGTTCAAAGAGGTGAATAACTGGCTGAAGGTCATACAACTAATAGTCAGTAAAGTTGGTCGTTTACAATGTCTTTCTAATCTCAACCGACCTAGCTCTAGTCAACCTAATGGTTTATTTTAAGTTGTGTGACCAATTTACCTACTAACGCTAACAGGCTGCAAAGAAGAGTAGAAGTTACCCTTTTGCAAAATTGTCAGTGTAGGCTAGCTTATTGCATAAATCATCTCCTCCCAAATAGTGTATCACTTCAATTTGTAGAAATGTGCATTCATGCTGCCTTTGGACAGCTCCACGGAGAATGAGAAGTGATGGTATTTTGGAGTCCTGTCACACTGTCACTGGTAGTCAGGGTGATTGTTTGCAGTACCAGTGCCATGGTATATTTATTCGAACAGTGGTCAGAATTATACAGAAATCCATGGCCAAGAAGGGTATTACCTTCTGATGCCATCTAGCACTATTCAAAGGATGCTAACATTACAATAAACTTGCGGCCAAGCACCTGTTATCCTCTGAAAATTCAATCTGTTGCTCTCCAGAACACTAAGGAGAGTGGTATTGTAAGAGGATAGGGAAGCCGAATCAAAAGAAGGGTTTAGTTCCAGTAGCCTAGAGCAAAAGTTTGGGCTTCTTTCTGAGAAAATATACTACTGGCTGCAGCAGGTAGGAGTTCTTGGCCTTCTTTAACTTATGAAGCACTGCAGGCCAACAATGTGTACACATGGGAGACTTATCTAGACAGTGCTGTGAACAGATGTACTCCAGACAGCAGCAAATAGGTGTGAAATAAAGAGAAGAAAAAGAGGGGAGTTCTATTTGTACCTATAGGGAGGAAAAATTCTGTACCCAGCAGTTAAGAGCCAAATCAGACCCAAAGGAGGCACTGCAACAGAAGAAGTTAAAGAACTGGGGCCAGCAGAGAGCTCAGAGGAAAATGCTGGGCTTCTGCCTCTCCCATTTGTGTTAAATGTAGGATTACTCTTTTACGTTCTCGTCATTCTCTACTGCTGCTGTCTTTCAACCCAAGTGTGCTTGCTGCTGTCAGTCTGCAAGGACATGATCTGATTAAAACATCCTGTGGAAGTAGTGACATAGATTTCTGAGGAAATCTTTTGGAAGCTTAAAAATTAAAATATTATGGCTCTATTGGAAGTAGAAATCTCCAACATGAAGTTTCAAATGTGAGCTTCTTTTAGGTCATGAAACATGACTCGGACTTTCCCATGCCAGGTAGTGTGAGGCAGGTACTTAACGTCGACTTAACTGAGGCTTAAACATGGACTCCAGGAGGCAGCAATGCTAATAAAAGTTGCCAGAAGTACTGCCTTTGAAAGGTTTTCCAGAATACTTTTTAAAATAGATGTTAAAACAATAATCCAATAGTAGATCTTCTTGAATAATGAAAGCCTGAATTCTCTCATGTTGTACAGAAGTATTTACTTTATACAGAGATATTTATTTTCTATAAGAGTAATTGTATAAGCAACCAAGAAAGTGGAGTTGTCTAGAAATAAATATGGAAAATTAAATTATGTAGAAATAAATTTATCCCATCTTCCTTGGACAGCATCTAACCATTCATATTATACATATTATCTCACCCCATATAAGGCTGTGGAGCCAGGTAATAAATGGGGAAATGAAGGTTTGTTTGTTTTCCTTTAAGAGAAATAAAACAAAGTGCACATACAAAAAATTACCTTAGGGAAATTTAGTTAGAAAACATATTTAATATTATTTTCTGAATGGTTACTAAAAGTATTTTACAGTGCTTTTTCTGAAAAACAAAACAAAACACTGTTTTTCTATATTACAATGTGCTAATACTAATGATGATTAAAGAGAAATAATGGTATAAAATAATTACCATGACTATGTAAAGTAGATTTGCCTAAGGGCAGATTCACCTTCCAGGAGGCCCTCTTTTCCTCCCTAGACTGTCAGTTTTTCCAACTTCTCCATTAAGGGCTTTGTCCATCTTTGTGGGGGAGATTTGGCCTGGGCAGGGGAAGCAAAAGGGTGGGTAGTAGGGGAGTTAGTCACCAGGTTCTTTATTTTCTTGGTGAGGGATGGAGCACTTTCTCCTTTGTGAATCCTCTTCGTGGGATCAGCGATTAGGCTCTTTGCTCCCTGGAGGCTTGGGGCAGCTGTCAAGAGCCCAGACCACTACATGGCCTCAGAGCTGCATTTTAATTTTGCAGATGAAGGAAGTGGCCTCATAGGAGTGGGAGACTGTGGGGTTGGGGCTGGCTAATATGCAGACTTTTCCAATAGGCTTTATAAGTTAGCAAATCTAATCTTAACTTTTTTTTACTTCAGGTCTAATATCCAAAATGAGAAAAATTCAATTCACGAAGAAAAATTCATCCATTAGAACTTAGAATATCTAGTTAATTAAGTGATCAGTATAGTCAAATTAGTTATTTGATATTTTATTGATAATGCATTCATATACATCAACTACATATCTATATATATGTAGATAAAGATAAGTAGATATATTTTTCTATATGCATGTGCATACATGCAAATGTAGTTTTAAAACTATGTTTTCTTTTTTTATTATTCATCTTATAAATATGAATATATAAAACATATATAAAATTCCAGGAGAATTTATGTAAGGAAATAGTTGCCTATATTTGGCAGAAATATTCTTTTAAGTTGTTACAGTAATTAGAATACTTTTTGCATTTTCAAGCCATGCAAAAAATTGTCACATAATTTAGCATTCAGAATAGTGATATTGAATATTCTCAGCTAGCCTTTTAGCTCTTTGAAAACCTGGATTCTATTTTAATTTATTGCATTTCCAGACAAATTACATTCATAAATATGCACTTTAAATGTTTAACTTGGCTTTGTACAGAAATATGCTGATGTGTACATTAGCACATATTGCCAGATTGAATGAACCAAGGTACCCACCGTCAAGCTTATGGATAAACCATTGTTCTAAAAACAATGGAACTCTGAACCCACAAAAAGACCCACGAAGATCTCACCAGAACTGATCCAGCCCCTTTCTTCTCTTTCTTATTCTTTTCACTTCTCTTAGCCATATCTTTCACTAGGAGGAGTTGGTAAAATAATTAGGTTGTATTTTGACAAATTGAGGCTTGAAGAACACATATTTAGCTAAGAAATCTTATAATATCACAAGAGCTGGAGTTTACCTTTAGGGAATATACATTTCAAACAGGGCTACCCAAAGCACGTAATTTTGGAATTTTAACGTCTCTCTGTTGAGAAAAATAACAAAAAGTTGTATCAAAAGACTTAATTACATCAAACTACTCTTTTTGAGGTACTTATAATGAGTATGTTTGGTTGAAGAAATAAACATTTAATTGAATTAAACTGCAAAAAGCAAACTCATGTGCTTCAACACCCTAAACTATTTTTGGTGATTTTAGTTTGGAGAATTAAACATCATAAAAATATACATAGTAAGTTTTAATTTGCATTCTCTCTCAAATACCTATACTTTTCCCTGAGTGTTCCTTTAACTGCCCCCAAGCTTTTAAAACAAAAACAAGAAGGAAAGGACATGAGAAAGAATTTAGAAAGGAGATGGTTGCTGCAAGTGATTCTGCAGTTGCCTCTCTTTTTACACGCCTTCATTTTCAAATGTCACCAAAATTGAAAGGTGCAAAAGACTGTGCTAATTTTCCTTATAGTTTTAGTCTTCACACTAATTTATTACCCCAATGCCTCAGAAATTGGTCAAGTTAAATATTTTGTTTTCCTTAAACATTTTTTTCCAATGAAAAGAACACATTGCTTACTCATTAATGACTGGTCATTGTTTCAATGAGTAGAATGTACTCTATAAGCAAAATGCAATGATTATAGTGATATGTATAACACACTTTGTCCCCCAAAATTAAGGCAGCTATAGAAATCAAAACTGACCAAAAAAACACTTATATTTGAATGTTGCATCTGCCCAGATATTTGCAACTATATCAAAGCTCCCAGTTGGGGTCTTTGTCAAGAATGTGCAGCACTCTCGTGTTTACAGCACAGATGAATGAATAGATCCTTACTGTAGCTCAGCAATCTTTCCCTTCTTTACTCCCTTGTGCCTCTCTAGTGTTACTTCAATCCCTTTAATCTGAAGTTAGTACCTCCAGTGTTTTGAAATCTTTTATCGTCCAAATTTTGACCACATAGTTGACGCTATAGGTTTCGCCCACAGGTGAGCCTAAAGAAATTTTGAAGAAGGCTGTGTATCCCCAGAGCAATGTACCTCTTCTTCCATTGCCCTCTCTTTACCATTGGTGATCACATGATCCCAAGGGGGAGGCTGCTACCCCTGCCCCTCTCCTATGCCCCATTGTACCCAACCTGGGACCTGGTTCACCTTCCTGCCCCCAAGGTTCTCTCACAATAATAACCTGAAAACTTGTTATTGCATACTAGCTGTGTGCCAGTCCCCATGCCAGGGGCATCAGAGAGTATAGGTTATTTCATCTCCACAACAAACCGATGAGGCTGGTGTTACTAACCTGGGTTTGCAAATGAGGTAATGGGTACTCATAGAAGCTCAGTGTTTCCCATACCCACAGAGCTCCTGATATGCAAATGTAAGTAAATGATTATGAGTAGTTACGGAAAAACATATCAGGGATATTGCAAATAGTACTAAATCATCAACGGCTGGCAGTATCAGACAATGTGTCATGGCAATGCAAGGGGGTATTTCGGTATTTGGCTGTTCTTAAGGTCACACATTAAAATTATTTGTTGGACTATCTTAAACACCTAAAATGTCCATAATATAATCTGCTTTTTTCATTTCTTCATTTTTTTTTTATTCCTAAGAGTGAAGGATTTAGAGCGTGAATCTACCTTGAATGCCTAGAAATCCTGTAAACTGACACAACAGTTAGAAGAGGATTTGAATAGTGAAAGGAGGCTGACCTTTGGAATTATAGACACTTTGATTGTAATGCAAGTTCATTTACTTACTAGCTAAATTTCTCTCAAGTATGTAAATAACTTGCTCTTCCCTGGCTGCAATATGAGGATAATAATCTATTGAGAGGAGTTCAGTTGACACCAGTCATATATTTTGTAATCCTTAGTCTGGATTCTCAAAAAGTGCAGTTAATATTTCTTGTACTCCAGGATTAAACCGTTTTGTAATCTTCTCTCTGCCATTAGGCATTCCCTTACCTAATAAAGGGAGCAACTCACTAATTATCTGAGTCCACTTGTTTTAGAATATTTTGCTGTCACCTTTTCCTTATTGACCTATGTAATTTCAGTACTCACCTAATCTTTCTAATGATGTTGATGCTGGGTAGAGAACCAAATATAGAGATGTTGAGCTGAATGTTACAAAACACCTATAGTTCACAAAAGAAATAAAGGAGAACACATCTCTACTCAAATATATTTGAGTTAAACATAAGGCTCCTGGTGACAAGTCCGGAATAGTTTTCTTCTTTCATGTCTACATCTTATTTTAAATGTCCACTCAGAAACAAGCAGGAGACAATTGTAATCTGTTTATAATTTGTTCAGCTTAGAACCGTGAACTCAGTAATGTCTTCTACAGTTATGTAAGTTAGGTGTACTTATGTCTTTATATAATTTACCCCATTTTCCTAAATCACTTCTGTCATGTGTAAAAATACCCATTTCCCAAGGTGTTGGTAATGTGTTAAGTGGGATAATAAACATGAGGGCAGCTAGCACAGTCGCTAGCACATAGTGATGCTTAATATCTGTTAGTATTTTTCTTTCTGTCTCTCTTCCTTTTATCCTTACCATTGGATTCATAAAAGCCGGATGAATGTGAGGCATTCTAGAACAAAGATCTTTGAGTACACTTTGGTTCTCAAGTGGTAAACCCCATATTTGTACTCTATTAGGCACTCCTGAATCCCTCACCATTTGGAACCACTTATTCCCAGTTTGCTCCAGTTCTGAGTAGAGTCATGAAGAGGTAAATTTTGAGGGCAGAGTCTGCTTGCTGGAAAGTGATTGAAGTGCCATTTCAGCCATGACTAATTTATTTAGTATTCAAAAATCAGTAAAGATTCTTCTGTCACATCATTCGCCCAAATAAAAGGGAATAAAAATAAAGTGGAAACCTGTTTGATGCCTCAGGCATGTTCAGCGTGTTGCTCAGGTCAGTTCATTTCAATACTTAATTTGTGGCACTTCATTTAATGGAATCATTTAACACCTAAAAAGTAATTATGAACATGAACAAATTTGATTTCCTGGGGTTGGTATTTGACATCTCCAAAACACTGAAATCCCTACTGCTGGCTTAAACTATGTTTGGCACTCGGTAAACGATTAAATTAAATTAATTCTTAATATGGTTTATGGATGAGCTCTTACATATCTCAATCTTGATTTATTTATATTGTAATGGAATTTAGCAATGAATAAAGGATTGAATTTCTGCAACATCATCACTCAAGATTAAGCAATGTACCAGAATATTGGCTTGCAGATTGCCAGAGCTGGAAATAAACTAATCATATATTGTAACTAGAAGAAAACTAGAGGTCATCTAATCTGGTTTGTACTTCATATGTAAGGAAACTGAGACCCAGAGATGATAAGGGACTTGGATGAAGTCACAGCTGCTTAGCAGCAAAGCCCATCGTTCAAATCTCCTTTCTTCCAAGTTAGAACTTTTTCTATTAAATTATACAATTACTGGTTGATTTATTATATAAGAATATACGTTCATTTTTGAAATATGTTACTAATCAAGTTGTCAACTTGTTTTTCCAAGTTTCTCATCATATATTTGTTACAAAATATTTATCCAGATTATATTCCCCCAGTTCCCTCCCATGTGTAAGTCCAGGAATGTTGAAGTCAGGAAGAAAATAAATAGCCATGTAAGCCTATGTTCCTCTGTATCCTGGAAATGTGGTTACAACTATGGTTTAAATATGTAACCCTTTCTGGATGAGAGAAAGACATTGGGAAGATGAGTCGGATAAAACAAAGAGGAAAGGTGTTTGGAAATGTAGGCAGACCTAAGAGTAGTTACTTAACCTGGCAAACTTTGCAAACCATTCGAGTTCTGTCATTTACATCCCCAAAGTGATCAATCCACAAATATAGACGGAAAACCCATTTTATGTGAGGAATGTTGGTATGAGCTTGAGAAGTGTAAAGGACAAGTCATGATTTCTGCCAAATGCACATGGAGAGAAGAGCACAAGCAAATAATGAGATAATAATGACTGCATAAAAGAATTTCTCAATGCCTGAAAAGGAAAAGGTGTATTATATATTACAAAAAGATAAAACATAATTAACTGCAGTGTCAGAAAACACCACCTGGAGAGAAGCAGGAAATTCACATAGGTTATACACATAGTAGGTGCTTTATATAGAAGATCTATTTTAATGTAAAAATCCTAAAAAGCATTATTTTTTTAATTTTATTATTATTATACTTTAAGTTTTAGGGTACATGTGCACAATGTGCAGGTTTTTTACATACGTACACATTTGCCATGTTGGTGTGCTGCACCCATTAACTCGTCATTTAGCATTAGGTATATCTCCTAATGCTATCCCTCCCCTCTCCCCCGACCCCACGACAGTCCCCAGTGTGTGATGTTCCCCTTCCTGTGTCCATGTGTTCTCATTGTTCAATTCCCACCTACGAGTGAGAACATGTGGTGTTTGGTTTTTTGTCCTTGCAATAGTTTGCTGAGAATGATGGTTTCCAGTTTCATCCATGTCCCTACAAAGGATATGAACTCTTCATTTTTAATGGCTGCGTAGTATTCCATGGTGTATATGTGCCACATTTTCTTAATCCAGTCTATCATTGTTGGACATTTGGGTTGGTTCCAAGTCTTTGCTATTGTGAATAGTGCTGCAATAAACATACATGTGCATGTGTCTTTATAGCAGCATGATTTATAATCCTTTGGGTATATACCCAGTAATGGGATGGCTGGGTCAAATGGTATTTCTAGTTCTAGATCCCTGAGGAATCGCCACACTGACTTCCACAATGGTTGAACTAGTTTACATTCCCACCAACAGTGTAAAAGTGTTCCTATTTCTCCACATCCTCTCCAGCTCCTGTTGTTTCCTGACTTTTTAATGAACACCATTCTAACTGGTGTGAGATGGTATCTCATTGTGGTTTTGATTTGCATTTCTCTGATGGCCAGTGATGATGAGCATTTTTTCATGTGTCTTTTGGCTGCATAAATGTCTTCTTTTGAGAAGTGTCTGTTCATATCCTTCGCCCACTTTTTGATAGGGTTGTTTGTTTTTTTCTTGTAAATTTGTTTGAGTTCATTGTAGATTCTGGATATTAGCCCTTTGTCAGATGAGTAGGTTGCGAAAATTTTCTCCCATTTTGTAGGTTGCCTGTTCACTCTGATGGTAGTTTCTTTTGCTATGCAGAAGCTCTTTAGTTTAATTAGATCCCATTTGTCAATTTTGGCTTTTGTTGCCATTGCTTTTGGTGTTTTAGACATGAAGTCCTTGCCCATGCCTATGTCCTGAAGGGTATTGCCTAGGTTTTCTTTTAGGGTTTTTATGGTTTTAGGTCTAACATGTAAGTCTTTAATCCATCTTGAATTAATTTTTGTGTAAGGTGTAAGGAAGGGATCCAGTTTCAGCTTTCTACATATGGCTAGCCAGTTTTCCCAGCACCATTTATTAAATAGGGAATCCTTTCCCCATTGCTTGTTTTTGTCAGGTTTGTCAAAGATCAGATAGTTGTAGATATGCGGCATTATTTCTGAGGGCTCTGTTCTGTTCCATGGATCTATATCACTGTTTTGGTACCAATACCGTGCTGTTTTGGTTACTGTAGCCTTGTAGTATAGTTTGAAGTCAGGTAGCTTGAGGCCTCCGGCTTTGTTCTTTTGACTTAGAATTGGCTTGGCGATGCAGGCTCTTTTTTGGTTCCATATGAACTTTAAAGAGGTTTTTTCCAATTCTGTGAAGAAAGTCATTGGTAGCTTGATGGGGATGACATTGAATCTATAAATTACCTTGGGCAGTATGGCCATTTTCACGATATTGATTCTTCCTACCCATGAGCATGGAATGTTCTTCCATTTCTTTGTATACTCTTTTATTTCTTTGAGCAGTGGTTTGTAGTTCTCCTTGAAGAGGTCCTTCACATCCCTTGTAAGTTGGATTCCTAGGTATTTTATTCTCTTTGAAGCAATTGTGAATGGGAGTTCACTCATGATTTGGCTCTCTGTTTGTCTGTTATTGGTGTATAAGAATGCTTGTGATTTTTGCACATTGATTTTGTATCCTGAGACTTTGCTGAACTTGCTTATCAGCTTAAGGAGATTTTGGGCTGAGACGATGGGGTTTTCCAGATATACAATCATGTCATCTGCAAACAGGGACAATTTGCCTTCCTCTTTTCCTAACTGAATACCCTTTATTTCCTTCTCCTGCCTAATTGCCCTGGCCAGAACTTCCAACACTAGGTTGAATAGGAGTGGTGAGAGAGGGCATCCCTGTCTTGTGCCAGTTTTCAAAGGGAATGCGTCCAGTTTGTGACCATTCATTATGATATTGGCTGTGGGTTTGTCATAGATAGCTCGTATTATTTTGAGATACATCCCATCAATACCTAATTTATTGAGAGTTTTTAGCATGAAGGGCTGTTGAATTTTGTCAAAGGACTTTTCTGCATCTATTGAGATAATCATGTGGTTTTTGTCTTTGGTTCTGTTTATATGCTGGATTACATTTATTGATTCGTGTATGTTGAACCAGCCTTACATCCCAGGGATGAAGCCCACTTGATCATGGGGGATAAGCTTTTTGATGTTCTGCTGGATTCGGTTTGCCAGTATTTTATTGAGGATTTTTGCATCAATGTTCATCAGGGATATTGGTCTAAAATTCTCTTTTTTGGTTGTGTCTCTGCCAGGCTTTGGTATCAGGATGATGTTGGCCTCATAAAATGAGTTAGGGAGGATTCCCTCTTTTTCTATTGATTGGAATAGTTTCAGAAGGAATGGTACCAGTTCCTCCTTGTACCTCTGGTAGAATTTGGCTGTGAATCCATCTGGTCCTGGACTCTTTTTGGTTGGTAAGCTATTGATTATTGCCTCAATTTCAGAGCCTGTTATTGGTCTATTCAGAGATTCAACTTCTTCCTGGTTTAGTCTTGGGAGGGTGTATGTGTCAAGGAATTTATCCATTTCTTCTAGATTTTCTAGTTTATTTGCGTAGAGGTGTTTGTGGTATTCTCTGATGGTAGTTTGTATTTCTGTGGGATCGGTGGTGATATCCCCTTTATCATTTTTTATTGCATCTATTTGATTCTTCTCTCTTTTCTTCTTTATCAGTCTTGCTAACGGTTTATCGATTTTGTTGAACTTTTTAAAAAACCAGCTCCTGGATTCATTAATGTTTTGAAGGGTTTTTTGTGTCTCTATTTCCTTCAGTTCTGCTCTGATTTTAGTTATTTCTTGCCTTCTGCTAGCTTTTGAATGTGTTTGCTCTTGCTTTTCTAGTTCTTTTAATTGTGATGTTAGGTTGTCAATTTTGTATCTTTCCTGCTTTCTCTTGTGGGCATTTAGTGCTATAAATTTCCCTCTACACACTGCTTTGAAAGTGTCCCAGAGATTCTGGTATGTTGTGTCTTTGTTCTTTTGGTTTCAAAGAACATCTTTATTTCTGCCTTCATTTCGTTATGTACCCAGTAGTCATTCAGGAGCAGGTTGTTCAGTTTCCGTGTAGTTGAGCGGTTTTGAGTGAGTTTCTTAATCCTGAGTTCTAGTTTGATTGCACTGTGGTCTGAGAGACAGTTTGTTATAATTTCTGTTCTTTTACATTTGCTGAGGAGTGCTTTACTTCCAACTATGTGGTCAATTTTGGAATGGGTGTGGTGTGGTTCTGAAAAAAATGTATATTCTGTTGATTTCGGGTGGAGAGGTCTGTAGATGTCTATTAGGTCTGCTTGGTGCAGAGCTGAGTTCAATTCCTGGGTATCCTTGTTAACTTTCTGTCTCATTGATCGGTCTAATGTTGACAGTGGGGTGTTAAAGTCTCCCATTATTATTGTGTGGGAGTCTAAGTCTCTTTGTAGGTCACTAAGGACTTGCTTTATGAATCTGGGTGCTCCTGTATTGGTTGCATGTATATTTAGGATAGTTAGCTCTTCTTGTTGAGTTGATCCCTTTACCATTATGTAATGGCCTTCTTTGTCTCTTTTGATCTTTTTTGGTTTAAAATCTGTTTTATCAGAGACTAGGATTGCAACCCCTGCCTTTTTTTGTTCTCCATTTGCTTGGTAGATCTTCCTCCATCCCTTTATTTTGAGCCTACATGTGTCTCTGCACATGAGATGGGTTTCCTGAATACAGCACACTGATGGGTCTTGAATCTTTATCCAATTTGCGAGTCTGTGTCTTTTAATTGGAGCATTTAGCCCATTTACATTTAAAGTTAATATTGTTATGTGTGTATTTGGTCCTGTCATTATGAGGTTAGCAGGTTATTTTACTCATTAGTTGATGCAGTTTCTTCCTAGCCTTGATGATCTTTACATTTTGTCATGTTTTTGCAGTGGCTGGTACTGGTTGTTCCTTTCCATGTTTAGTGCTTCCTTCAGGAGCTGTTTTAGGGCAGGCCTGGTGGTGACAAAATCTCTCAGCATTTGCTTGTCTGTAAAGTATTTTATTTTTCCTTCACTTATGAAGCTTAGTTTGGCTGGATATGAAATTCTGGGTTGAAAATTCTTTTCTTTAAGAATGTTGAATATTGGTCCCCACTCTCTTCTGGCTTGTAGAGTTTCTGCCAAGAGATCTGCTGTTAGTCTGATGGGCTTCCCTTTGTGGGTAACCTGATCTTTCTCTCTGGCTGCCCTTAACATTTTTTCCTTCATTTCAACTTTGGTGAATCTGACAATTATGCGTCTTGGAGTTGCTCTTCTTGAGGAGTATCTTTGTGGCGTTCTCTGTATTTCCTGAATCTGAATGTTGGCCTGCCTTGCTAGATTTGGGAAGTTCTCCTGTATAATATCCTGCAGAGTGTTTTCCAACTTGGTTCCATTCTCCCCGTCACTTTCAGGTACACCAATCAGACGTAGATTTGGTCTTTTCACATAGTCCCATATTTCTTGGAGGCTTTGTTCATTTCTTTTTATTCTTTTTTCTCTAAACTTCCCTTCTCACTTCGTTTCATTCATTTCATCTTCCATCGCTGATACCCTTTCTTCCAGTTGATCGCATTGGCTCCTGAGGCTTCTGCATTCTTCACGTAGTTCTCGAGCCTTGGCTTTCAGCTCCATCAGCTCCTATAAGGACTTCTCTGCATTGGTTATTATAGTTATCCATTCATCCAATTTTTTACCACAGTTTTTTAACTTCTTTGCTATTGGTTTGAATTTCCTCCTGTAGCTCGGAGTAGTTTGATCATCTGAAGCCTTCTTCTCTCAGCTCGTCAAAGTCATTCTCTGTCCAGCTTTGTTCCGTTGCTGGTGAGGAGCTGCATTCCTTTTGAGGAGGAGAGGTGCTCTGCTTTTTAGAGTTTCCAGTTTTCTGCTCTGTTTTTTCCCCATCTTTGTGGTTTTATCTATTTTTGGTCTTTGATGATGGTGACGTACAGAAGGGATTTTGGTATGGATGTCCTTTCTGTTTGTTAGTTTTCCTTCTAACAGACAGGACCCTCAGCTGCAGGTCTGTTGGAGTTTGCTAAAGGTCCACTCCAGATGCTGTTTGCCTGGGTATCATCAGCAGTGGCTGCAGAACGGCAGTGGCTGTAGAACAGTGGATCTTGGTGAACCACAAATGCTGCTGTCTGATCTTTCCTCTGGAAGTTTTGTCTCAGAGGACTACCCAGCCATGTGAGGTGTCAGTCTGCCCCTACTGTGGGGTGCCTCCCAGTTAGGCTTCTCTGGGGTCAAGGACCCACTTGAGGAGGCAGTCTGCTCGTTCTCAGATCTCCAGCTGCATGCTGGGAGAACCACTGCTCTCTTCAAAGCTGTCAGACAGGGACATTTAAGTCTGCAGAGGTTACTGCTGTCTTTTTGTTTGTCTGTGCCCTGCCCCCAGAGGTGGAGCCTACAGAGGCAGGCAGGCCTCCTTGAGCTGTGATGGGCTCCACCCAGTTCGAGCTTCCTGGCTGCTTCATTTACCTAATCAATCCTGGGCAATGGCAGGCGCCCCTCCCCCAGCCTCACTGCTGCCTTGCAGTTTGATCTCAGACTGCTGTGCTAGCAATCAGTGAGACTCCATGGGTGTAGGACCCCCCGAGCCAGGTGCCACATATAATCTCCTGGTGTGCCGTCTTTTAAGCCCATTGGAAAAGTGCAGTATTAGGGTGGGAGTGACCTGATTTTCCAGGTGCCGTCTGTCACCCCTTTCTTTGACTAGGAAAGGGAACTCCCTGACCCCTTGCACTTCCTGAGTGAGGCAATGCCTCACCCTGCTTCGGCTCATGCATGGTGCACTGCACCCACTGTCCTGCACCCACTGTCTGGCACTCCCTAGTGAGATGAACCCAGTACCTCAGATGGAAGTGCAGAAATCACCCATCTTCTGCGTCACTCACACTGGGAGCTGTACACTGGAGCTGTTCCTATTCAGCCATCTTGGCTCAAAAGCATTATTATGTAAGAAAAATGCAAGGCATGATATTGTGCTCAAATATAGGGATTTGTATAGAGCTTAGCATTGTGCTTGATATTTAGGAGATACTTCATCAGCATTGGTTGTAACTAAGTCAACTAGATCTACATATCTCATTCTCCTCTAAGTAGAGAGAATGAGATCTCTTTCAGCCACATTCTCTCTTTTCTACATAGTGATTTTTCTTCTTTCTTTTTTCTGCACATTTGCTTTATTGCTTTTTCTAACAGGAGATCAACGTTCTCCTTTTTTCATAGTACAACTGGGATAAGATGGAGTTCCACAGCCCTAAGTATAAATTACTTCAGTTCAAGCAAAGATCTCATAATAATCTACTGTCTTAGTCCCAAATCCACATTCTCGGAAGGAAGAATACAATTAGGCCAGTTTGAGACATGTGCATACTACTGGCCCAATTAGTATTATATTCTACCCCAGGGCAGGAGTAGAATCATATAATACAAATATGACTGCTCAGACTCATCTGTGGTTGAGAAAGTCATTTGTCAGATAGTAAGAGTATACCAGCTTTCCCCCGACAACTGCTGCTTGAGCAGAGAGTATAACCCACAAATTATATAACAGACAAAGGTTATATAGCTATTAAGTGGTGGGGCAAAGATTCAAGCCCAAGTCACAATTTTAAAGATTCTGCAGTTAACCACTATGTGTGCTCCCATTCCCAACAACAAATTGATTAAATATTTTCCCATGTTATTCTAAGAATTACTATTTTTTTCAAATGTCTACTGCTCAATGCTGTAAATACCAATATATTCACTCTAAAATAGGCTAAAATTATCAAAAATTGGTAATTCACTCTTTACTTTTACCTTGGGTTCAACTTAAGGTGTTCGATAACAAAGGAATGCTTAAATGATTATTTCCAAAAGTCTTCATACTATGTCAATACCTTAGCAATATCAAACAGTACCTCACAAACTTGAGTAATGCAGAACAGTTGTGATTTTAAAAGTAAGTCACTTTTATCATACAGGCTATTAAATTATTACAATTATGCCAGGCATGATGGCTCACGCCTGTAATCCCAGCACCTTGGGAGGCTGAGGTGGGCGGATCACAAGGTCAGGAGATCCAGACCATCCTGGCTAACATGGTGAAACCCTGTCTCTACTAAAAATACACAATGTTAGCCGGGCTTGGTGGTGGTCACCTGTAGTCCCAGCTACTCGGGAGGCTGAGGCAGGAGAATGGCATGAACCCGGGAGGTGGAGCTTGCAGTGAGCCGAGATTGCACCACTGCACTCCATCCTGGGAGAAAGAATGGGATTCTGTCTCAATTAAAAAAAAAAAAATTACAATAGCAAAAGTAAGTATAAACTACTTTTTTTCAGTAGCTATTTTATTATAATAGCTTCTGAAGAAAAATAATTCTAAAAAAATACAAATTAAGTATTACTAAAACTACTACAGAAATAGAGTTCAATTTAATACTATAATTTAATCAAATAGATGCATTTAGTTAAAGCTAAGTCAATACTAGCTTCATGAATATGTTTCTTCCTACAATGGCATAGGATCTTTTTAAACATTTACTCATAATATCTCACATCACTAATACTATCTATAGTACCGTGTGCCATGAAGAAAATCAATTCACCCATTCTCTTCACTGTTTAAATTACTTTGCAACTTTTCCTTGTACCTGATGGCATGTCACCATTTGACCTTCAGATGCCCCCACTTCTTTTCTCATTAGCCCAAGACAAATGCATGACTGTATTTGGATATTAGGTGGTCATCTGGATGAGTCCAAAGTTGCTTATCCTACATTTCTTAAATTAGCTATTAAAATAAATACATATAATTTTTAAATCATTGTTGAATTTACTTCTTTGAACTCTCAGAAACACAATGTATACATAATGTAGTGAAAAAATGTAATAAATGTAATGAAAAAAACAAAGCATTATTTGAGGGCAATCAAAGACTGCTATATGCACAGATACTTCTCTCTCGTATGACAGTGTATGAAATAGTCATATTGTGTCATTATTCAAAGGTTAAATTAATCACTTCTTAAAATGCACCTGGAGGGTCACTTGATTATTTTAATGCTTCCAAGATAATTATCCAGGAGCATGACTACCACATTTGCAGATTACCCCAATTCATATAGGGCAGGGAGCACTCCCTGAAAGGCCACACTCCCAGTGCACATTCTCACTTACCATTGGGAAGTTGACAAACAGACTTTCCTCACAATATCTATGTTGTCTTCACAGACTAGTACATGATAACCGATTTATTTTGAAAGGGGGAGCTGTGTTAGCTGCTGAGGTGTAATATGGAGATTAGTTTAACCCTAGTTTAAAACTAGGGTTCGGATGAATTGAATACCAGTTAGTTAAGCTTGGATACATTTAAGGTGATGCATCCATGCATCCAAACTTAACTAACTGGTACTCAATTAATCAAGCTTTCCCCATAGGACAGCAGCTATGGGGAAAATAATAATGCTGAGACTAGCTCATTCTTCTGCATTTCCTTTCTCAGTAACAGCACCATTTTACATGTGGTTTCCCCAGCCAATATGCTGTGCATTTCTTTTTCTTATTCTTTTTCCTACCACATACAACATCTCATTTCTTTTGACTATACCTTTTAAATAATTCCAATCATTCTGAAAGCCAAGCACTAATGCACTACTCTTTTTTTTTTTTTTTTTTTTTTGAGACTAAGTCTTACTTTGTCACCCAGACTGGAGTTGAGTGGCCCAGTCACGACTCACTGCAGCCTTGACTTCCCCGACTCAAGCGATCCGTCCACTTCAGCCTCCCAAGTAGCTGGGACTACAGGCCCACGCCACCATGCCTGGCTGAGTTTTTGTATTTTTTTGTAGAGGCGGTGTTTTATCATGTTGCCCAGGCTAGTTTGAAACTTCTAAGCTCAACCTATCTGCCCTCCTTGGCCTCCCAAATTACTGGGATTACAGGTGTGAGCCAACGTGCCTGGCCCATGCACCTCTTTAAATACCTCACTCCCACAGCCCGGGCCCTGCCCATCATAATCTCACACCTGGATTCCTCATAATAAGTTCTCAGTGGTATTTCTATCACCAAGTTATCCCACTCCTCACACAATCTGTTCTCCAATCTGCCACTGGAAAAATATTCCTAAGCTTATCATGTGTCTGCTCTCAGCTCTTTAGGGACCCATTGCTCATAGGTTAAACATGGTTAATATATCTTGCACAACACTGTATAAACTGGCACTTATATACTTCTGTAGCCTCATTTCTCACTACTTCCATCTCTCAGTTTAATATTTCTTTCAGATGCATTATCTTTCCTCTATCTAAAATGTTACACTTTCCATTCCTCTGCTTGGGATGCTCTTTCTAGTCTCTGCTTCTCTCCACTTCCTTTGTCACTTGTGCCTAGCACAAGAGTGATGTGGATGAGCAGTATAACTTCAGCACTAGATGTGCATGTGGACAAGCAGTATAACTTCAGGCTGTGGAGTGAGACTGATTGGGAATCAAGTCTAGCTGGTCACTAACTGCATGACCTGGAGCACATTCTCATCCTCTGCGCACATTCATTATTATAGATAATAATATTACCTACTCCAAAGAGTTATTTTATGGATTAAATTGTGAAGGCATGGAGCTGAACTCACACTAAGAAGGCAGTAATTGTTAGCTATACACCAATCAAGGCAACAAAAATTCAGGCATTTCCTACTCATGCTTTAAAACTGAGATTAAATGTCACTCTGTAAAGCCTTGAGGTATTCTGATTCCACGTGTGATTTGGTTACTGTCCTAAAAACTTTTTAATGCGTCATATTTTATCTATCATAATATTTATTACATTGTGTTTTAATGAATATTTTAATTGTATTTCTATCCCAACAAACCACACACATATCCTTCTGGTCCACTGGCTAAAAAGTGCCTGGGGGCATAGTATTTGTTCAAAACTATTTCTCACTTGAATTAAAGTCAAGAAGCTTTCACTAAAAACTTCATCTGTTTCTTACCTATACCAGTGCCCTGCATACAGTCTATTCTGTTTTGGCATGTTCCATTTCACAGCTTATCCTTCTCACTTGAGCCTGAGCCTCATATTTTCAGATTTCATTTAAAAAGAGGGAGTAACAGAAGTTTTAATAAATCTAGTTCTACTATGTTTTTTTTTTTTTTTGAAAATCCAAATAGAAGTGCAGGTAATATTGAGCATGCATCAGTTCTAACATATTCACTTGGAATAGAATCACTTTCATTGAAAGGAAGGAGATTTCATACTTAGTTTATTTACTTGTTTGCTTCTACATGAAAACAAGTTTTTTTAGAGCGTTGTCTGTCTATACCATTTGCAGACATCAGTAGCTATCCTAGTTATTGTGGTTGTTTTCTTATATATCTTATTTTATTGACTAAATTGTGGAACCTGGATAGCAGGTACAGATTGTCTTATTTTTTGTTAATTCTCCACAGGTTTTAAAACAATAAATGATTCACTGTAATAGATAACCAATAAATGTGAAATTACTTGTGTCAATTTTCATTTTTCACAGACTTCTCATATTTTAACTGCTATGAGATATTCTATCATTTAAACATTGTATCAGATGAAACAGGTGTAGTTATTCTCACTTTCATTGGGTTGGTGAGAGTGGTAGAGTGCGAGGATAAGGAAGAGCCTGTTTCTAGAGTCCTTATTTCACTTACATCCTATTCAGGGTTGGTAAATCTCCTGTCTAAGCACACAATGGCATTTTAAGTCAGGGTTTCCCACAGGAAGCATTACGCCTTCAAGAGGGGAAAGAAAAAATTATCGTGGCATGCCAAGCAGGATGTCACTTACACTCGATTGGCCACATCGTCAAGGTTCATTTCCATGAACCTTTGTGTCAGTTCAGAAACTTTACACATGAGGCTGTGTGTAGCAGTCTACCGCTGCTGACTGCCCTGGGGCTAGCCCAGAGTCCCAATCTTGTCATTGGTTTTCCAGAATGTCTCCGTGAGAATTAGTTGCATATGCTGGCCAGCCTCACCATTTGAGACAGGACTGTGGTTTGGTTGTATTTTTATAAATCACTTTCTTACTAAACACCTTACCATCTCTGACATATTTAGATAAGGCAAAGATAAGAATAAGAAGAGAGTGAAAATAGTCATAGATGATAGATAGGTAGCTAGATAGACGGGTATAGATGAAATGGATGGATGACTTCTGACATTAATAATAGAAAACAAATGTGAGAAAGGTATTACTTTCAATTTCTGTCCAGTGCTTCTTAAATGTGTCATGAAATGTGCATAACAGAGATATTCAGACTATGATTTTTATTACTGACCATATTAAACTACCTGCATCAGCTTAAAACAAAACATCATTAGCCCAGATTAACACTGGACAAGAGATAAGGTGCATAGGGGTGTGGAGGTAGAATGAGGAAAATAAGCTATGTTCTTTTTTTTCTGATTGGTGTAAAGTATTTGCATACCTCAAACAACTTAACTCTTTAAAGAATAATCTTACACATGGTTGCCATTTACATCATGTTATATGGGAGTGTTAAGAAGTTCTCCTTACAACAACTATCTCACTCATACTAGTTTGCACAGTGACTAAACTTATAGTATTTATTATTGATCCATTTTCATAAATACTGCCAAGAAGTTTCATATTAGAGATCATAAATTTTTAGAAGGCCAATGCATTAATTCAATACAAATCGATACCATCATGTTT
The DNA here is from genome assembly GCF_000001405.40 of Homo sapiens. Lineage (NCBI taxonomy): Eukaryota > Metazoa > Chordata > Mammalia > Primates > Hominidae > Homo > Homo sapiens. The sequence goes on from NC_000006.12 coordinate 50,235,219, forward strand.
TGAATTTGTGGCAGTTAAGTGGAAAAATGATGACATAACACAGACAAGTTTTATAGAAATGAGGAGAGAATAAGGGGGCTACACATATATTTTCACATCTTAAGTAATTTTCAGCCTGATTTTTTTATGTAGGCTGCATTACTAGAGTTAACTTTACAATTCTGTCCATAGTTTGCTCAATGTCAAGAGAGATTTAAGACAGCAGAACAAAAAGTGACACCAAATCTAAATACAATTACTGTTGAGATTTGTGGACACCTTATTTGAGGAAGAGGGTAAGACTATTTATTTGTGTGTGTAAAAGATTAGAAATCTATTTGTATTACAGTATGTTGGAGCAATTTACTGTGTGTTACCATATGTTAGATGAAAAACCAAAGTAGTGGTCAGGCACAGGGGCTTACGCCTGTAATCCCAGCATTTTGGGAGGCCAAGGGTGTGGGGAATCACCTGAGGTTGGGAGTTTGAGACCACCCTGACCTACATGGAGAAACCCCATCTCTACTAAAAATACAAAATTAGTCCCGTGTGGTGGCACATGCCTGTAGTCCCAGCTACTCAGGAGGCTGAGGCAGGAGAATCGCTTGAACCCAGGAGCCAGAGGTTGCGGTGAGCCGGAGATCACACCATTGCACTCCAGCCTGGGCAACAAGAGCAAAACTCCATCTCAAAAAAAAAAAAAGAAAGAAAGAAAAGAAAAACCAAAGTAGTGTAATGAACTGAATGATGGTTCTCTGAGAGTGCTCACGAGAGGATTTCTTTATTATAGAAAAGCCAATATAGCTGAGGTCAGTGTTACATTCCCTATTATGAAAGCTCAAGGTGGGCAGATATACCTTTCCCCATATCCCCGAAAATATAAGGCTCTGAGTAGATTTAGCCAGTTTCTACTGGAATGGAATGTTTCTACCCAGTCTTTAGAATCTTAGAATGGTAATGAAAAGTCATTGAGTTTGTCAGATATTATTTATGGAGACTTCAGCTGAGTCAGTAGTTCAGTAGAGTGGCAATAGGTACAAGGTGGTATAATCTTGGTTTTGCTTTCCTTTCCTTTAGTTTCTGCCAGTTGTCTGTGACATGTTTTCCAGGTGCTCTATGATTTTCCTTTCCTTTCCTTTAGTTTCTGCCAGTTGTCTGTGACATGGTTTCCAGGTGCTCTATGATTTCTGAGAGCTATTTAATGTTGACTCAACATATTACATGTCTACTTAGTGAGTCATGAATGCCTCTTCTTTGGAACTAGATGCTTGATAGATCCATATGTTTTATGTCTTCTTTTTTTCTCCATAGTTATGTTTAACTTTTGTTTCAGAAGAATTTAATACATAGTCCTTACTTTTCAGGAACTTTTAAAAGGAGAATATTAGCTGTTTTCCTGTGTGTTTTTCATTATCCATATTTTTTTCATTGCTTATTCAAAGCAAGAAACGGGTTTTCCCTGTAACTGCAGTAAGATGATCTATCTTGTTTTACAAAAGTTAAAGGTCTTTTATGCAGCCATTTTTTGTGATTGCCTACTGGTACAATTTTACTGGTGCCCCAGCCTGCCTTCAATGTCAATATCCAGCATCTATTTCTTTGAATCAAGTTACCATGTTTTTAAAAGAATGTCCATAAAATGTAAATCTTTACAAGAAGAGCTACATGTAAATGAGTACTAAGAGTTGATATTATCCTGATTCAGTTCACTAGAAGAAAGAAATCCCCCCAAAAAAGTATAAAAAGACTTAAGAAATAAAAACTAAAGTGAAATTAAGTCATGAGAATATTCAACAATTCAGTAGCACTTTTGATCATTCAGATGCATTTTCATAAAAGAAAAAGGGATACATTTACCTGTCTTGCTAAATGGTGAGGAATGTCACCAAAGGGAGTGCTGAACAGTGAAAGCCACTGATATTGAACATAGATAGAATAAAGGGAGCTATGAGGTACTGAGTACAATGTCTTGTAAAGAATGCCTCAGTTTGGCCAGGTGCAGTGGCTCACGCCTGTAATCCCAGCACTTTGGGAGGCCGAGGCGGGCGGATCACGAGGTCAGGAGATGGAGACCATCCTGGCCAACATGGTGAAACCCCGTCTCTACTAAAAATACAAAAATTAGCCAGGTGTGGTGGTGGCGTGCCCCTGTAGTCCCAGCTACTCAGGAGCCTGAGGCAGGAGAATCGCTTGAACCCAAGAGGCTGAGGTTGCAGTGAGCCGAGATAGCACCACTGCACTCCAGCCTGGGCGACAGAGCGAGACTCCATCTCAAGAAAAAAAAAAAAAAAGCCTCAGTTCCAGGTTTGATAAAATAAGCTTTATATCGATAGATTTCCATACACAGATCAATTGGTTGAGGGAATCTTTTATAAGAATACATAATTGGACATGCAAGAGCTCCTTTTGGCTACATTCTTAAGCTGTGAAGCCTAGCAGTTGACCTAACTTTCATAATTTTGAAGGCATGGCTAGAAATTATTATGACATTCTTATGGTCTTATGTATCAAATAGACCTACCTGGTAAAATATATGCATTATTTCTTATGACAAAATGTCCCATGTTCATTTTTTTCCCTACATAGTAGGTAGTAGCTATATATTTTTTTTTTTTGAGACAGAGTTTCACTCTTGTTGCCCAGACTGGAGTGCAATGTTGTGATCTTGGCTCACCGCAAACTCCGCCTCCCGGATTCAGGCAATTCTCTCATCTCAGCCTTCCCAGCAGCTGGGATTACAGGCGCCTGCCATCAAGCCCAGCTAATTTTTGTATTTTTGGTAGAGACAGAGTTTCACCATATTGGCCAGGCTGGTCTCCAACTCCTGACCTCAGGTGATCCACCCACCTCAGCCTCCCAAAGTGCTGAGATTACAGGTGTGAGCCACCGCACCCGGTTGTGTCTACAATTCTTAAAATTCATTTCTTTGAACAATGAATGCTAGACATTGAGAATGATGCAAAGGATATATTTGCTGTCAATGTTGCAAGGTGCAGGATTCAATCTAGAAAATTATTAGTGTTTAGTGTGGGTCCTGTGTGCATTAAGTTCCTGAAACTTCACCCGAAAAATGTGATGTAATTAGATGAGGTTCCTCTAACATAATTGTATGAGATTATTTGACATAATCTGTCTTTCCATTTTCTACATATGCCCCAGGCTTCCAAGGGGCTACAACTATTCTTGGTAAGAAGGATAGTTTCTACCAGAGGTTATAAAATTAATGAAAATTTCAAGCTACAAAGTACTTTTTTTCAATTAAATTGATTGATTTCTCCAACCAAAGCAGTATTTACATTATAATTTGAAGGGTGATAATTTGAATACTGCTTTACAAATATTATAAAGTACAAGATATTAGTATTGTTTTTCTTGTTTCCAATGAAAATGAGTAAGTCTAGTATTTGTTTCCCTGGGGGAGAAAAACCTTTGTGATTGTGTATAACTGAAAAAGCAAAACTAAAGGAAACAAACAAGATGTTAATTCACTTCCAGCATATGTTGACATTAACAAAGCTATTTTTGTTATAGTATTTAAAGATCTAATAGTTTGATAAAAATAGTCTTTGTATTTCAATTACACTAACACTTTGAAACAATTTTCTCTGCCAAATTCTTGGCAAATAACATCGTATTGTCTAGCTGAAATGGGGTCCACATGGTGTTCTAGTTCTATAAGCATATTGCTAGTGCTGCACATTTGTGCTTCTGTGAATATGGTACTGAAAACAGTGCCTCTTTATTAATGGATAACTTACTTTTATCTCACCCATTTTCTATTGTCACCTTCCCAGACTATTTAGGTTGTCCTAAAATCTTTTAAACTGTTTCTCATTACCTGGTCTATAACCTTCAAAGTGCATATCACAGTCTCTAAATGATGACTATATTTTTATTGTTGCTTATTTTCATCACACTCTCCAAAATGTAAACTTACTAAAAGAAGAGCTTTCTGTTTGTTCAGTGCTATATTATCAGTATTTAGCACATAGTGAGTGCTCAATGATTATTTGTTGTAAAAATTGATACTGTCATCCACTATCTTCACCTACTGTAGCGGCACTGAGCTACTTCTCTGCGGGTTCAAATTTAACCAGCTCCTAGATCAATCTGATATAAACTGCTAATGCTTTTTTCCAATACTGACTAGTCTGGAATTAGTTGTCTTGTTATAAATTATACATCCCAGGAGTGTGTGGGCAGTGAGTTTCTGTGAGCCACAGTCTCCCCCTCTTTCTGTGCTCCTACCACTTCTGCCCTATGGTCTGTATGCTTCCTTTCCTATAGCATCTCCATTCCCTGCTGGAATTGAAGCCCCTCTCTGAACCACAGCTCATTTTCTGGGGTCTTGAATATATGGCTAACTTTTGGTATCTCCTTCTCTTGGGAGTCTGACTCTTGTTCCCATTCAGAAAGAGAATTATAAAAATGAAATGGCTTTTGTAATAAAAGTTAGGGATTTTACATATTAATATAAAAATACTGTTGGGTGGTAATAAGAACAAAATACCAAAACAGATTATCAAGAAAAAAAAAGAAAGAAAAACTATCTTTGGTGATTATTAAGTATCAAATTTAATACCTGTTTTGAACAGTTATAGGCACACACTTTCCAGCTTGTTAGGTGTGAAACTGTCACAGGATCCTTGGAGTGTCACTTTTCTGGCCAGAAACTCTGTGGCTGGTGGCACCTTTGCCCGAGTTTTGCTGAGGCCCACTGGGCTCATTGCACACAGTTGGCCTGGCAGGCTGCGCTTGGCTTACGCTACCGGTCTGGATTCCACGCCTGCCAAGGGCGAGCGAGGCGTGGAGCAGTGACGGCTGTGTGAGTGAGTGAGCCTGGGGTCCCGCCACTGCACATAACCAGGCACGCTGTGGCAGGGCAGGCAGCTTCAGGTGCCCGCATAGGCGCTCGTTCCCTGTGAGGTTGTAGATGGACCAGGAGTACCACAAGCAGCTTCCAGGCACCAGGGAATGTGATGGTGGAGCCTGGAAGCTTGGAGACACCAGGAACCACAGAGCTCCAAAGAGGGTGTCACAGCCATGGCTCAGAGAGCAACAAGGTCTGGGCTCCCCGAAGGGCCGCAGCTCTTCTCTCCTTCTCGCTTCTCATCACCTGCAATGTGGAGAGTAAGGGGCGTGTTTCAGCCCTGCTTGCGTTACAGCTCTTTCAGCCCCATCATTCAGCAGATCCCGAGCTCTTGTCCAGCATCCAGGAAGACTGAGGTACGTGGACAAGTGAAGGGTGAGCAAAGCGAAGAGGGTTTTATTGAGCGGCAGAACAGCTCAGAGGAGACTCATAGTGGGTAGCTCCTCACTGCAGACAGGTCGTCTCATCATCTGCTCAGCTTTCAGCAGAGAGGAAACCCACAGTGGGTAGCTCCTCTCTGCAGGCAAGTCTTCCCGTCGTCTGCTGGAGTTGACCTGAGTCTGGGGGGTTTTACAGGCCTCAGAGGGGAGGAAATGTGAGCTGATTGGTCCATGGGCGGCCATTGGCAGACCCGGAAAAATCACTCTAAGTTCTCACTCCTGTGGAGGGAACTAGTAGCCCGGCCTCCAGGCCTCAGGCCCTCTGTGGCCTGAAGGTGGGATTTCACTGGGGACCCATCCCTTTCCACCCAGGAGCCTGTCTACCTCCTACTGCCATTAACCTGCCATCCATGGTGCCCACAGCACCCAGGCTGTTCGTGCTGAGAGGTGCTTGTAGGCCTGCGCTGAGTGGCCTTTACCCCCTCTTGGTCTCCCTGTCTTGCTGGTCAGTGCCCAAAATCCAGAGGGGGCCGAGGCAGCAGGGCCCTGGTGTGTCAATGCTGCCCCAAGCATGTGCATACCTGGGTCATGACAGCACCCTGGATCGTCCACAACTTTGCTCCAAAATCAGAGCAGGCACCGGGAGTGGGGAGAGGCCAGGCAGTGGGAACAGTCACTTGTGAGCCTGCAGGAGCAGGGGCACTTCCTAGGCCTTCAAGAGTGCGGTGATGCCTCAGTCCAGTCACAGCTGGGCGGCTGCAGCTGCACCCGGGAGGGCGGGATTCCCGCATCTCCAACTGGGAAGGGAAGAGGACTTCCACCTGTCCCTGTTTCCCACTGGCTTCCTGGGGCACACAGCCCCGGCCATGCCTCCCCCACTGCAGCCTGGGTCATGGCAGCAGCCACCCCAGACAGGCTGCCACTGCCATCAAACCCAAGTCATAATGTGAGCCTATCCGTGAGCCTGTGTACCTTGAAGCACTTAAGTGATCTCGTCTTACTGCCTCCAGAATAATGAGCAAAAATACTTATTAGGCTAATGTTTTGAACACTTACATGCTGGGCTTACAAGAGCAAAAAGTGTTTTTATTTTTTAAAAGTATAGATACTTCTCTAACATTGGTAATGTTATGACTTTAACACATTCTTTAAAGTTCATGTGTTGGAAACTTAATCCTCAATGCAACAGTATTGAAAAGTTAGAACTTTAAGAGGTGACTCAGTCATGAGGGCTCTACCCTTCTTAATGGATTAATTCCATTATCACTGGAGTGGGTTAATTACCGCAGGGGTTCAGCCCCCTTTTTGTCTCCGCCTCACATGCTTTCTTCTGCCTTTTGTCCTTCTTCCATTCAGTGATACTCACCATATGCTAACACTATGCTCTTGAACTTTCCAGCCTCCAGAACCATAAGCCAAATAAATTTTTATTCTTTATGAATTACCTAGTCTGCAGTACTCTGTTATAGCAACAGAAAATGTATTAAAACAGGCCAAAAAGTCTCCCCCTCACTCACATACTTTCCAATGAAATGTCTTACCAGATACGACTTTCTTTATAAGAAGACACTTGTTTCTTGGTAACACAGTACAGATGTCTTCTTTGTCCATCATCCTGCTTCTTACATCACAAGGCTTATTATTATGTACACTCAGAAGCTCTGCTTTTAGCTACACAATTAATACTTAGATGAGTTTTATCCAAGCATTAATGACAATACCCTGAAATCATATCATTCCCATTTGCCTCTTTGTCTTGGTTGGGTAGTAGGAGAAAAGTGTCCAGGAAAGGCAAAGAGGTGGTTTACTTTTAGCCACTCCCCACTTCCATAATGAAGATAGATCTTAAGGCTCTTCATTCTTTTTCCCCTGAGATTCAGAATTCCTCTGAACATAGCCATCAAGGTAACTGTTCTCAATCAACTAAAACTCTAACATGGAGGTTTTAAAATACTAATTTTTCCATGAAATATTCTATATAGTGACTCCCCCTGGATCCTTTGCCATCTGTACATTTTTATCAATAAAAGAGAACAACAGGAAAGAAAAGCATCAGTTTATATAGTTTCTGTGCTTCACTCTAGTTATATTATATTAACATAATAAACCAGACCACAAAAAAGAGGATTGATTTATTTAAAATTCTACATAGAATTTTTTAAATAATCTAATTGCTGTATAAATTCCTCTTGTGATATTTTCATTATGAAACAATGGCTGAGATCATTAAAGTGTAGCTTGTGTATCATTTTTTTTCCAGCAAAAGTGGGCATAAATACATTAAGGACTTGAAGGTGGCATTGAATCCACTTCAACAAGGATTATGAAGATTGACACATACCTTTTAAAACTGATTCTTCTGTGCAGATTGAAGCCAAGTTGCAAGACCTGATTTACCAGGGTTAAATGAACACAGAGCAAAATAATACCAGTGAATATTCATTTAGAAACAGCATCAAACTGAAAATGTAAAGTAAATGTTACTGTGGTATTTGCCTAATATATATGTACTAACTCCCTATTATTTGATAGATATCATACTAAATGCTAACAATAATAACGTGAGTAAAGCAGAGCATATTATCTTAAAATTCAGGTAAGATAATATTAATAGAACTCTGTACTTATGTACATAGATATAGACATACATAGACACAGTAAAGGCCCAAAATTTTAGAGATAAAGGGACTTAAGAGAGTCCTGTCTTTCTTATGAAACAAGACCTTAGGAATGACCTTGTTCAGGTTCAAATGTCTCATATTTGGCAGAACAAGGCAATTTCTCAGACTCACAACTTTTTGTCCCTAAATTTCTACATCAGAATTTTCTTAATTTATCTTCACAAATTTTTTGAAGGCTCACTATTTTCTTGGCACTGCATTAAATGCTTTCAAATATCTATGACATTCTATGTATGTATATATATAATACAACTTTATATATAAATATTATATATTTATATATTTATGTATAGTATTGTTTATTATAATACTAATCATTTATATATTATATATAACTCATTTCTAATTTACACATTAAAACATATAATATTTATTTGTTCAACTATACTAAACAATTTTCCAACTGCTTAATTATGTCAGATTCTGTGCATTGTATCAGGAATACAAAGGTGAATAGAATTTCCTCTCTGCCACAAAAGAGCAAAGATCTATAGAAGAAAGAGATATATAAAAATATAACTGAAATATTATGTGATGAGTCCCACGGCACAAGTATACACAAGATATGAAGATGGTAACTCAGGCGGCTGTGAGGCCCATTGACATCTCCAGGAAGAGAATAATTCCTGATGCCTTTTATAAAAAATCCAAATTCAGTGTAGTGGAGATGAATGTATATCTAGAATGACTGCAGTGACTAGATGGTGGCAACATTAACTATTAGAACACAGGAGGAAGAGGTATTTGATATTGGTAAAATAGGACTGGTGAGATGGTTTAAGAAAACTATTGATTAATTTGTGGATATGTTGTGTTTAAGGTGCTTGGGAAAAGTGAAATTGATTATCTATAGCAGATATATGAATGAATAACACTGATTTTAAAGGATGTCTGAGCTTGAGCTGGAAATTAGGGAATCAAAATAATATGCCCATAGAAATATATCTAGAAAGAAACTAAATTAAATTAAAGTCCAAGATATCTGGTTTGGAAGTTCAGGATCTTTTCAAAGAGAAGGTATTTATCATTACCTGCTATTCCATTCTAAGTAAGAATGTGATATAACCAGAAATCCTATTTTAAGTAGGTGTGTATATACAGGTGTGGGGTGTGTGTGTGTGTGTATATATTTCTAGGGTTTTTTTTCCAGAAGAATTTCTTGCTCGATACTACAAAATATTGCATTGCTTGAAGGCTTACCCCAGGGTGCTTAGAGAGAAGTTTTGTTTCATTTGAGAGAGGAAAGTATGGAGACATAAAGAAATCCATATAAGAGAGTTTCTGAATCTCCATGTTGAGCCTCCAGATTCACTTAACAAAAATCTCATTTGTCAAATTTTCTCATTGCCAAACTTTCAACAAGATTATTGGTGAACATTTCGGGTAAGGAGAGAAATATTTCTTCCAGAAAAAGCCTACCTCATGTTTGGAGAGCTTTTATTAGTATCTATGTGTTCATTCTTTCATTTATTCTTTTATTTATTCACCATGCTTTCATTAAATATCTGCTACACATTGAGTTCTGTAATAGGTGCTAGAAATAAAGCAGTTCATAAACCAGATAGAGTTCCTGCCTTTATGAATTATTGTCATAGGCTTTAAATAAATAAATAAAGTAAGCAAGTAAATAAATAATTAGATAGACATAACTGTGTTATGTATTGCTGCATAATAATTTATTCCCAAATTTAGTGGCTTGAAAATAAATATCTATTATCTCATTTTTATTTTATGTATTAGTTTCATTTTTGTTCTAAAATAAATATTTTTAAGTAACTGGGTTCTTAAATAAACACAATTAAGCCAAGAGTATGTTGGCATATTTCCACTCCCTATAAATGCGTTTTAAAATAATCCTCTTTCTCAGAGAAAACAGAGCAGTACTCATATGTGGAGAATGAACTGTGTTACTATATAAATTTGTCACTAGAAAATGAAAAAAAAAACAGAAAAATATCTACTGGAATGAAACACATTCTCAATAGCACACAAGAGACTATTTTGTGAAACAAAATTGGGGTAATATACAGAGGGAATAGGCTAAGTGTTAAGAAATTGGATTTTTTTCTTAAATGATCCACTTAAAATTGACATTGATGTGGTTATTTGATTCCTCTGATATTAGTTTTATTGCAAGATACATGGTTGAATAGAGAATACAACTTAACTTTTTTGTCGCAAGTTGAGATGCATAGCTCATATTCTTCAAGGAAGGATATGCAGCCTCAGCTACTAAAGCATATACCTTCCAACTGTCAACTCTTTCCATTTCCCTCAGCTGCAAAGTGATACCTTGTCAAGAAAGAACCCTTATTGAATTGCATGGGGGCAGATGTGTCAAGTGTGGTACAATGCCTAACCATTTCAGACAACCAAAAGCCAAATCTATCAGAGTTTCATGGGGAATATTCCAGATCTTCCCGTGGGGTTGGCCCATGCTTTGTTGGGATTTCATGGCAATTTGTCTTTTTCTTTTGCTTAATCTTGTATGTACTATATTCCTCCAACCCCTGATGTTATCATTCAATAATTATCCTGCAGAAAATCTCAATCTCAACATCTGCTTCCAGAGAACCACACTGTGATATTTCATATCAATGATATTCAAAGAAAGAAAGTGTTATGGTGTGGTTTTGGAGCTAACTCACTTAACTACACATCTGTCAATGAAGATACAATTATTGGTAGTATGTAGAACACAGAAAAATCCTTGGCTTAAGGTGATGGTACAATTATTAAAACTCTCCCTGGTGGTGAATTGAGATAAGATACCAGTGGAGGTAAATGCTCTAGCTGCTGCAAAGTATCAGAAGCTTAAATATTATGAGAAAGGGAAGACAATTGCTAAGCACCACTGCTAACCTAGAAAAAGCTCTGGGTGATTAACAGGTCATTGAAAATTAAATATTGAAATTCAGTAGGTCTCTCTGATAGCCTACCAAAAGGCTTTCATATTCTGGATCAGAAGATTAGAGAAAATCGAGGATGAGGACCAGTACTTAATAGAGTGCCTTAACTCCAGAGAAGGTTAAATGCCCAACCAAGGCAGTTCTGTGATGCAAAAGTGCTGGCTCTTGCCTGGCTGAAAAATAAATTGTACCTTGGCACTTTGGGTAGACACATCTGGGTATATGCCTCTGAAAATTTTCTATATTCAGAATCCTTTCAACTCTTAGCTTGCAGAAACTACCCATCCCTCTATGCTAATAATTGCAACCCCCCACCCACTGCCACTTGCTTAGAAAAAATGCAGAGGCCTTTTGCCCACAATATAGCACATTATCCTCCTCTAGGATCTGCCCCACCTCCCTCCTTCTCCCATTCCACTCCCTAGGCCTATAACACGAACCAGCCCAAACGTTCTGGTGCCAATAACTGAGAAAAGGGACTCCACCTCAAAGAGTATCATGACCTAGTTAGTATGGACCAACAAGGGCCAGAGGAGTAAGGTAGAACTAGATTTCAGGAATGCTTTATTTAAAAGTCTAGTACATAAAATTGAATAGTTATAAGTGGCAGGGTATTGGAAGCACACTCCCATTATAAGAAATATAGCACCCTAGTGAGGACTCCAAGAAATGTTGCTAATTCACAACATTGGCTCCTTACAAGCATAATAAAAGCAATGGCTATTCAAAGTTGAAAAGTCAGGATATCATAAACTTTACCCAGTAGTGGCCTCAATTGCAGGCTTTGTGCTAGATGTGGTTTTATGTAGAGTAGATTACTATGGCCCCAGGTTCCTGTATGCTATAAGGCTATTGATTTGGTAAAGGAGGACTTTCTTACTTTATCCAGAAGGAAAAATTAGAAAATGTTTGCATTCACGTGGAAGGGGCAATAATGTTCATTTACTATTTTTCCCAAGAGCTAGGTTAACTACGGTGCAGTCATAATACAATCTAAAGAAATCTGGGCTGTCTTCATAGTATGAACAGCATATTGATCCATCACATTGTTTACAAGCTCATTAAGCTGGGTGAAAAAGTAGTTGTTACTATTTAGGGAGACACATGTGCTTCAGAAACTGGAGATAAACCCCATGAAGATTGAGGGCCTAGCTAAATTTGCAAAACTTTTAGGGCTACAACAGTCAGAAGAGGGTTGAAACAGCCCTTCCAAAGTAAAAACAAATTATTTAATGTTTTACTTTCCACTATGGTTAAGGAAGCGCAATGCATGATAGAGCCAGTTTTGAGTGGGACTTAGAGCAGGAATGGGTATTACACCAGATTCAATCTTTAAGGCTAGAGGTACTGCCACTTGGGTCATGTGACCCAGCATACCCTTATAATATTAAGAAGTATAGGCCGGGCGTGGTGGCTCACGCCTCTAATCCAAGCACTTTGGGAGGCTGAGGTGGGTGGATCACAAGGTCAGGAGTTCAAGACCAGTCTGGCCAACATAGTGAAAATCTGTCTCTACTAAAAATACAAAAAGTTAGCCAGGTGTGGTGGTGTGCACCTGTAATCCCAGCTACTTGGGAGGCTGAGGCAGGGATAATCGCTTGAACCCAGGAGGTGCAGGTTGCAGTGAGCTGAGATCGTGCCATTGCACTCCAGCCCGGGAAACAGTGCAAGACTCCTTCTCAAAAAAAAAAAAAAAAAAAAAAAAAAAGAAGATCAGTGACTAGAAAGGTTTTATAGAAAGATTACAATGGAGGTCCCTAGGATTCTAAATAAAGGCTTTCTTTGTCATCTACAGTGAAAATGAGTACATAATATGAAAAGCAACATACATCATGCTCTTGGACCCTGGTAGAGATGGACTATCTGACCATGGGAGACCACTTAAACACTCATCTGAAATATCCCATCTTGCATTGAGTTTTCTCAGCCTTTCCAAGTAATAAAACTAGGCCCTTTGGCCTCTCTCTGAAATTGGATATGATATCAATCATTAGCATATGCTAGGAGATAAATTTTTTTCCCTCAAAATTCGTAAGTTAAGGTCCTAACCCCAATACCTCAGAATGTGACTAGATTTAGATATAGGACCTTTAAAGAGGTAATTAGGGTAAAATGAGATCTTATGAGTGGTTCCTAAACCAATATGACTGGTGTCCTGCCAAGAGGAGATCGTGACACAGAAACACAGAGAGGGAAGACCATGTGATGGTATCGAGAAGAAGGCATCCATCTCCAAGCCAAGCCAAGGAGAGAGAACCTCAGAATAAATCAGTTCTGCTGACAATTTGATCTTGGACTAGGACTGCAAGGAAACAAACTTCTGTTGTTTAAGCCACACAGTCGGTGGTATTTAGTAACAACAAATGTATAGCATGAACAGTGGGCATAAGTAAACTGTAAGAGCAGAGTCCAGACACACATATTGTCCACCATTGTTTAACCATGACCTTCTTTAGCTCACACCTATGTTTGTATGAGGCAACCTGAACAACAGCTTACAGAGCAGAAACACATCTGATGGCTTTGTTTCTTTGATTTTGTTTGTTTTATGTCCGAAAGAAAACATTTACCTCTCCACTATTAGATATTTCACTGTCGTTCATGTAGTTTGGGTTTCTTGAGTAGTCATGTAAAATGTAACTCATATTTAGCTAAAGAAACGCAAATAGAATATGAATAAGAGCTTGGTCTTTATAATCAGTTGGACCAGGATCAGGTTAATATCTTGACTCTATCACTTACCACTCTGAAATTCAGTGTCTGCTTTGGTAGAATTAATAGGAGTAATTATAGTCTCAGGTAGTCATAAGTATGAAATGGGATAATTCATATAAATTGTTCACATATTACTTGACACTTAATGATCATGTTATCACTCCATATATATGTGTATCACACACATATATACAGACACACAAACACACACATGCTTCTCCTACTTTAAAGCCCAGTTAAAAAAAAAAAAACCTTTCATCTTGTCACTTAAGTTGTATCTAGTGCAATGTTAAAATTAGGCTCAATTTTCTAGCCTGTTAAGAGCTTTTTTACTCCAAATTCTGTCATCTAACAAGTTCGCAATTTCTTTCAACTTCATATCAAACTCAAATTTGATGTGTGTCATCTTCGAGAAAATAAATCATTATTTATTAAGCAGGTCTATGGTCATTTCCTTTTTTAGGTATTGCATATTTTATTATTCAATTTTATTAGATACAGGTTCTACTAATAGGAATCAGAGTTTGATTCCATAAATATATATTTGGCTTCATGTTACTTCTCTCATTGTTTATTTTTTCATTTCTTGTTCTCTAGAAATTTCAAGGAGATTTCTCTATTTCTATAGACCAAGTTCCAATTTTAGATATAAAAAACATTTCATTGAACTCAGAACATTTTCTTCAGCCATAATATACACCACTGTTGGTAATTTTTAAAATACAATCTTACCTTCTAGTTTACCCTTCAAAAGCCAGATGGCAGAAACATTCTATGAGAAGACAAGGTAATGAAATTAACATTTTTTCTTATGTTTAAACTACCAGGGAAATTTTCCTAGTAACACATAGCTTTATGATGACATCATTATAGAAAAAATAAATAGCGACATAGGTCAAAAGAATGTCAAGCACGATGAAAGCTACCAAAATAGCCTCTTACATGTCAAAGATTTCTGTGCATTTGGTCCCAGCCCTGTCAATCTGTTAAGTTACTGATGCTTCACTGTATGAGGTCAGAGTTATGCTCTCTCACACAGTAATGCCAAATAGCCCAGAAAAGGTTACAGCATTTACATCACAAAATATTTCCCAAAGGAGTTGATGATTCATGTACAGTTAAGAGGGAATAAATGGGACCTACAATTATTACATATTAAGATATTTTTGAACTACTATCTATAACACAGCAAAATTTTATTTTCAAGGAAGAAAAGTCTTAAGGGTTCAAGCAGGTGGGCAGTAGTCGTATTAAAAGTGTCTGAAGCCTGAAGTGAACCTGCATCTCATGTTGCATCTGCCTTTTATGAAGCATTTATGTTGCAGTAACATTTGCTAGAAGCATCCAGGGATTTTGTCAATTATTACACAGAAACCAAGAGGAAATCTCTGATTTCTGTGGACTTACGGCATCTTTATCAGATTTCCCTCTGTCGCTCATCTAGATGGAAGAATATAATTTTTCTTCCTTTCATCAGGACTTAAATCATACATAGTTGGGCCTACCACTAAAAAATTGCAGAAAATAAGATTTTTAACAGTTAATTTTAATAATATTAAATGGATTCTGACTTTGTCAATCTGCTGTATAAATTCAAGTGTTCTTAGATTATTGCCTGTTGATTAATCATGATTTTTTCAGATATAAATTGGAAAAACCTAAATCAAGCCAGTTTCAACAAAAAGGAAACTTCTCGGTAGGAAACTAGAATAGTTCAGAGAATCAAAGGACAATTATCATTGACTAAATGATGAGAAAGTACATCCAATTCTGACCAAAATAAAGTAACAAAGACAAGATTTAATCTCTTATCTGAAAACAAACAACAAAAAAATTGGCAGGTAGATATAGAAAACAACAGTTTTCAAGGCAATAGGTATCAGGCAACTAAGGACAGTGATTCCTGAGAGCCCTATGATTGCCCCAGATAACTGCCTTAACAGGGTTTCTAGCTTTTGGTGCAGCCCAAAGGAACTGAGGCAGCACCAGCAGATTCCCTCCATTGAGGAACTGAGAATCTGGAAGAATCAAGCTACTAGAGGTTGCAGGACAGAGTAATGGAAAGGAGAGAGCTACAAAGAGAAGAGTGTGGAGCATCTGACTTCCATATTTAGCAGAGTACTAATTCTTACATGCATGTAAGAAAACTACCCGAGTTTGGGAAAGAATCATAGATGATTAAGTTGAACACTGCCTGGCACTCACAAAGGGCCAAGAATAGTGCCTGTTCGCATCAGCTAAAATGGCCTTCTCATGAATCATGGCATTGAGCATTCAGAAGAGTCTGGCCTCAGTAATGACAAATAATTAGAACTAAACTAACTGTTTTTATGGTTTCACCTAACAAAACTTAAAAGCAAGACCCTCAAAATTCGAGCTATTTAAAAATAACTTAACAGAGTTCAAGAATATTTCCAGAGACACAAAAATCTCCATCCCCATTGAGTCAAAATTTGTAATGTCTGCTATCCAGTCAATGATTATCAGGATTGCAAAGAAGCAAAAAATAGAACCCATAAGGAGGGCAGAAATCAATCAATCAATCAACACAAACTGAACCAAAACTGACACAGATGTTAGAATTAGAGGACAATAATATTAAAACATTTATTATTCCAAACATTAAATGGAAACAGAATTTATATAAAATACGTAAATAAAACTTTTAGCAAAAAAACTACAATGTCTTTGATTTAAAAAAATACACTGGTTGAGATTATGGCAAATTAGACAATGGAGAAGAAAATATTAGTGACACTGAAGACACAACAATAGCAATTATTCAAAATGAAACAGAGAAAGGAGTTTAAAAAAAAAGTGAGCTGTGAGGTAATTCTAAACAGCCAAATACACATGTAACTGGATTCCCTGAAGGAAAGGAGAAGCAAGAAAATAAATAGCATTTACATATTTTAAATTTGATGAAAACTTAAATCCAGAGGTCCAAGATGCTCAGCAATCCCCAAGCATAAAAAATATGAAGACATTATATCCATCTTTTGATTACGTGATTATTATGTGTACTCATGCTATGAACATGCATATGCATGGACTTGAATACCTGTTTTCACAAATACATATATTTATAACAGCACTATTAATAATAATCAAAAAGTGAAAATAGCCCAAACTTCCATTAGTGGATGAATAAATTGTATTACATACATACAATGGAATATTGTATGTATTCTTCACCTATAAGAAGTAATGAAGTACTGATACATGGATGATCCTCCAAAACATTATATAAGTGAAAAGCCAGGCATAAAAGGACAAATATTATATGATTCTACCCATATAAAACGCTAGGATAGGCAAGTTCATAGAGACAGAAGTAGATTAGGGTCTACCAGGGGCTATCAGTGGCATGGGGATTGACTGCTCAATGGATAAGAGGTTTTACTTTATAGTAATGGAAATGTTTTGGAGCTAGATATTTGGTATGATAATAACTCTTTAACCCTAAGTGCCAGGATGCTGCCAGGTTCTCTGGGAGCCTGTATGCTGGCCCATGATATTCATATATGAACTTCTATACTGAGAAGACATTCATACATAAAACATGCCAAACTTCTCAGGATGCCAAAAAGATAAATATATGTATCTGTCTATCTATTTATCTATCTATATCTATCTATCTATCTATCTATCTATCTATCTATCTATCTGTCTATCCAGATATCTGTCTATGTATCTAGATAGATGCATATAGATAGATAGATATAGGTATATATATATATATATATATAAAGAAAATTATATAGGCAGCAAAAAAGCAATGATGACTGATGGTGTTCCAGTGACGGAACTTAATAAGGGAGGGGGCAAAGGGCAAACTACTTTTCAGAACAAGAATAAAAAACAAAATAGTGGTGAAATAACTATAGAGGTCAGTGCAACAAATGACTCTAAATCTGAATTTTACAGGGAAACTTAAAGGATACCATGACTACAGATAGCACGACCCAACTTTGAAGGGAGAGTATTCTGTTGCAGTCCATTGGAAACCAGTAAATCCAACCATTTTGTTATTAGTTAAACTCACTTTTGGGTTTGAAAGGTAAAAAGTTTGAAAGCTAAAATTATGTTGAAAATTTGCTTAAAATACACAAATTGAGCAACTCCTACCCTTAATAACCTCTTGTTTGTGAAGGCAGGCAGGAAGTGCTATGGGAGTAAAAAACCTAAGATGAAATGATAGCACAGTGGGTGGGGCAATATTCATCAATTTTGAAACCTTCCTCCCAGCCATCAGAAAATAATATAACAATTAAATATCGGTGACCCAGGGCCCCAGTGGGACGAAGGCGAAACTTCCTCAAAGAGTAGCTGTGGACCAGCTTTTCTAATCTTCTGATTTGGGGTTCCACGCTGAGGACACAGACACTAGTCCACTGATATAAATGAATTGTAACCACTTCAGGATTCTTTTTAAGAAAAAGGCATATATCTGCTAGGCCGTGCATGAATTCCTGATACATGTTCCACAGTCACAGGGGATCCTAACTGTGATGACAATGTTGAACAGATGAGTGGTAAGTAAGGTAGAAGCAACTCTAGAAGCAGAATTGTCACCCACAAAGTAAAAGCATGCAAGCCACCCTAGATCTAGGCTCTTTGTGTGATTTCTGCAATACTTGACTGATACTATTTGACCTTAGGAAATAAAGTCCCCAGCTCCGAAAAAACATTAGGTGTTCCAACTAAAAGACTATATTTTCCTCCCACGTGACTGCTTAGAATGGTATTGAACTTTGGAAAAGACTATAAAATTTTCACATAGGGTGAGTGGAAGGGAGCATACTGACTGGGCTTGAACTGGGACTTAGAGATGATGGCATACATCCGTTCTAGAGATAGAGCAGCAGCCCTCCCTATCCTTAGAGTCATGTGAGTGTGTGTGTGTGTGCGAGTTTGCATATAAGTGAGTCAAGCACACTTAAATGTTACAGAAAGCACATAGAAAAATTGAAGCACACACAGACACTTAAATGTTACAGAATGTTCAAAGGGCTCCTAACTGTCCCAGAATGCTTGCATATGTTATACAGATGTCCAGGCACATTCTCTGTTTTACACATGAGCCAAGGGGTACATGGAAAAAAATTCATGCATTCATTCTACAATTCAATAAAGTCTCTGCTATAGACTAAACAGTTCTCCACCAAAATTTGTATGTTGAAGCCTTAACTTCAGTGTGACTGTATTTGGAGAAAGGGATTTTAGGAGCTAATTATGGTTCAATGAGATCACAGGGGTGGAATACTAATCTGACAGGATTCAAGGCCTTATAAAAAAAGGAAAAGAGAAAGACTTCAAGTTCTCATGCACACACCAAGGAAAGACCATGTGAGCACACAGAAAGAAAGTGTCCGTCTGCAAGCTAGAAAGACTGCCCTCACTAGAACCTGACCATGCTGGCACTTTTATCTTAGACTCTAGCCTCCAAAACTCTGAGAAAATAAATTTCTATTGTCTAAGTCACCCAGTTGATGGTACTTTGTTATCACAGTACAAGGAGACTAAGACAGTCCATGTCTTCAACAAGCTTACATTCTAGAAATAAAGGGAATGGAATAGTCCAGTGCATCACTAAATCCAAGTATAATATGCCACATGGCCATAAATGCTACAAAGAAAACTACAGCAAAGAAAAGGGGGAATAAAAAATAATGGAGAATGTTATTTCATAAAATATTAAAAAATTACCTTTTTAAAATAAAATGTAAACTAAGTGAGAGGCAAAAAGAAAAAAAGAATGGAAAAGAGCATGGAAAAAGTTATGCTGCTATCTAAGGCAGAATGTTTCAGAAAAGGACCACATACACAAATGCCCTGAAGGGAGAGCATGGCAGTGGTTTTAAGGACAGCAGAGAGGCTAGGGTGCCTGTAGCAAAGTGGGAGACAGGAGGAATGACAAGAGATATGCTCTATAGTCCCAATCACCAAGGGCCTTGCAAGACATAGTTAGCACTTTGAATTTTACCTGAATGAGATGGGAAGTTTTTGGAGGAATTACTTGATCTGACTTGAATTTTAAATTATTCCATAATTTCTTTATAGGAAATGGACAGTAGAGAGGTAAAAATTAAGGAAGGAAAGGTGGTTAAAATGCTATTAAAGAGTAATATCACCAACATAGCCAAGTACAGTTGGCTGGCAATCATCTTCCCCCAAAAAAGGAACAAAACAGCTATAGGGAAATGAGGGAATAAACAACTGTATTTTGGCTAGAATGACTGAGCAAGTATGCTGAGGAGCACCAAGGGAGTGGTGAAATCCTGATGGAACGTAAAAGCCCAGGATAGCACCATAGAGAGAGGAGTAAGGTATCCTGCTTCTGCCTCTGTCTCCTCTACACAGATCTGCTCAGTCTAGGGGGACCGCTTCCTATTTTTAAGTTCAGGGGTACATGTGCAGGTTTGTTATTAATATGTAGGTAAACTCATCTCATGAGGGTTTGTTGTACAGATTATTTCATCACCCAAGAACTAAGCTTAGTACCCATTAGTTATTTTTCCTGATCCTCTCCCTCCTCCCACCCTCCATCCTCCAATAGGCCCCAGTTTGTGTTGTTCCCCTCTATGTGCTCACATGTTCTCATCATTTAGCTTCCACTTATAAGTGAAAACATGCATTATTTGGTTTTCTGTTTCTGCATTAGTTTGCTAAGGATAATGGCCTCTAACTCCATCTATGTTCCTGCAAAGGAACATGAACTTGTTCTTTTTTATGCCTGCATAATATTCTGTGGTTTATATGTACCACATTTTCTTTATTCAGTCTATCATTGATGGACATTTAGATTGACTCCATGCCTTTGGAATTGTGAATAGTGCTGCAATGAACATATGTGTGCACGTGTCTTTATGATAGAACAATTTCTATTCCTTTGGGTATGTATTCAATAATGATATTACTGGGCCCAATTGTAGTAGTTCTGTTTTTAGGTTTTTGAGAAATCATCACAATGTTTTCCACCATGGTTGAACTAATTTACGTTCTCACGAACAATGTATAAACATTCCTTTTTCTTTGCAACCTCACTAGCACCTGTTATTTTTTTACTTTTTAATGATAGCCATTCTGACTGATGTGAGATGGTATCTCATGGTGGTTTTGTTTGTATTTCTCTAATGATCAATGATGTTGAGGGTTTTTTTTTTTTTTTCATTTGCTTGTTGGCTGAGTGTATGTCTTCTTTTGAAGTGTTTGTTCATGTCCTTTGCCCACTTTTTAATGGGACTGTTATTTTTTCCTCTTGTACATTTGTTTAAGTTCCTTATAGATGCGGGATATTAGACCTTTGTCAGATGCATATTTTGCAAATATATTATTTCATTGTGTAGCTTTCTGTTTATTCTGTTGATAGTTTCTTTTGTTGTGCAGAAGCTCTTTAGTTTAATTAGATTCCATTTGTCAATTTTTGCTTGTGCTGCAATTGCTTTTGGTGTCTTCACCATAAGATCTTTGCCCATTCCTATGTCCAGAATGGCATTGTTTAGGTCGTCTTCCAGAGTTTTTATAGCTTTGGGTTTTATATTTAAATCTTTAATCCATCTTGAGTTTATTTTTTAGATGGTGTAAGGAAGGGTTCCAGTTTCAGTCTTCTGTATATGGCTAGCCAGTTATCCCAGCACCATTTATTGAATAAAGAGTGCTTTCCCCATTGCTTGTTTTTGTCAGCTTTGTCAAAGATCAGATGGTTGTAAGTGTGTGACATTATTTCTGGGCTCTCTATTCTGTTCCATTGGTCTATGTGTCTGTTTTTGTACCACTACCATGCTGTTTTGTTTATGTACCCCTGTAGTATAGTTTGAAATAAAGTAGTGTGAAGCCTCCAACTTTGCTCTTTTTGCTTAGGATTGCCTTGGCTATTGGGGTTCCTTCACGGTTTCATATGAATTTTAATATCGTTTTTTCTAGTTCTGTGAAGAATGTGATTGGTAGTATGATAGAAACAGCATTGAATCTATAAACTGCTTTGGGCAGTATAGCCATTTTAATGAGATTGATTCTTCCTATCAATGAGCATAAAATATTTTTCCATTTATTTGTGTCACCTTTGATTTATTTTAGCAGTGTTTTGTAGATCTCTTTGTAGAGATCTTTCACCTCCTTGGTTAGCTGTATTCCTAGGTATTTTGTTCTTTTTGTGGCAATTGTGAATGGGATTGCATTCTTGATTTGCTCTTGGCTTGGCTGTTGTTGGTTTATAGCAGGGGTACTGAACCCCTGGGCCATGTACTGGTTCGTGGCCTGTTAGCAACCGGGCCACACGGCAGGAGATGAGCAGCAGGTGAGCAAGTACTACCACCTGCTTCGCCACCTTTCAGATCAACAGCAGCATTAGATTCTCATAGGAGTGCAAATCCCATCGTGAACTATGCATGCAAGGGATCCCAGTTGCATGCTCCTTATGAGAATCTAATGCCTGATGATCTGGGGTGCAACAGTTTCATCCCAAAACCTTTCCCCACTCTCTGCCACTCGTCCATGGAAAAATAGTCTTCCGTGAAACCATTCTCTGGTGCCAAAAAGGTTAGGGACTGCTGGTTTATAGGAATGCAAGTGATTTTTGTGTATTAATTTTTTATCCTGAAACATTGCTGAAGTAATTTATCAGCTTGAGGAGCTTTTCGGTTGAGACTATGAGGTTTTTTAGATATGGAATCATGTCATCTGCAAACAGCAATAGTTAGACTTTCTCTCTTTTCTTTCTATTTGGATGCCCTTTGTTTCTTTGTCTTGCCTGATTGCTCTGGCCAGGACTCCCATTATTATGTTGAATAGGCATGGTGAGAGAGGGCATCCTTGTCTTGGGCCTGTTTTTAAGGGGAATGCTTACAGCTTTTGCCCATTTAGTATGACTTTGGCTGTGGATTTTTTATACATGGCTCTTATAATTTTGAGGTATGTTTCTTCAGTTCATTGAGAGTTTTTAACATGAAGGATGTTGAATTTTATCAAAAGCCTTTTATGCATTAATTGAGATAATCATGTTTTTTGTCTTTAGTTCTGTTTATGTGATTAATCACATTTATTGATTTGCATTTGTTGAAACAACCTTGCATCCCAGGGATAATGCCTACTTGATATTGTTGGATATACTTTTTAATGTGCTGCTAGATTTTGTTTGCCAGTATTTTCTTGAGGATTTTTCCTCGATTTTCATCAAGGATATTGGCTTGAAGTTTTCTTTTATTGTTGTATCTCTGCCAGGTTTTAGTATCAGGATGATGCTGGTCTCATAGAACGAGTTAGGAAGGACTCCCTCCTCCTTAATTTTTTGAAATAGTTTCAATAAGAATGGTACCAGCTCTTCTCTGTACCTCTGGAAGAATTTGGCCGTGATTCTATCTGGTCCTGGGTTTTTATTTTTTATTGGTATGCTATTTATTACTGATTCATTTTTGGAGCTTGTTATTGGTCTGTTCAGGGATTCAGTTTCATCTTGGCTCAGTCTTGGGAAAGTGTATGAGATAAGGAATGTATCCATTTCTTCTATATTTTCTAGTTTGTGTGCATAGAGGTGTTCATAATATTCTCTGATGGTTATTTGTAATTCTGTGGGGTCAGTGGTCAGATACCCTTTTGTCATCTCTGATTGTGTTTACTTGCATCTTCTCTCTTTTCTTATTAGTTTAGCTAGTGATTTATTGTATTAGTTTTTTCAAAAAACCAACTCTTGGAGAATCTGATGATTATGCGTCTTGGGGATGATCTTGTGAAATATCTTACTGTGGTCCCCTGTGTTTTCTGAATTTGAATGTTGGCCTCTCTAGCTAGGTTGGGGAAGTCCTCATGGATGATATCCTCAAGTATGTTCTCCGAGTTGCTTACACTATTCCTGTCTCTTTCAGGGGCACCAGTCGGTCATAGATTTGATCTCTTTACATAATCCCATATTTCCCAGAAGTTTTGTTCATTCTTTTTAATCTGCTCTTGTCTAAATGTCTTATTTCAGACAGCCAGTCTTCAAGCTGTTAGATTCTTTCCTCCACTTGGTCCATTCTGCTATTAATACTTGTGAGTGTATTACGAAATTCTTGTAGTGTGTTTTTCAGTTCTATCAGGTTGGTTACATTCTTTTCTATACTGACTATTTTGTCTGTCATCTCCTGCATCGTTTTATTATGATTATTAGCTTCTTTGGATTGGGTTTCAATGTACTCCTGCATCTCAATTATCTTCATTCCTATCCATTTTCTGAATTCTATTTTTGTCATTTCAGTCATCTCAGCCCAATCTAAAACCCTTTCTGCAGAGGTAGCATAGGGGAGAAAAGATAGCACTCTGGCTTCTTGAATTGTCAGAGATCTTTTGCTGGTTCTTTCTCATGTCTGTGAACTGATATTTCTTCAATCTTTAAAGTTGCTGGGCCAGGCATGGTGGCTCACACCTGTAACCCCAGCACTTTGGGAGATCGAGGCAGGAGGATCATGAGGTCAGGAGATCGAGACCATCCTGGCTAATATGGTGAAACCTTGTCTTTACTAAAAATACAAAAAATTAGCCGGGCATGGTGAGGGGTCTCCTGTAGTCCCAGCTACTCGGGAGGCTGAGCTGAGGCAGGAGAATGGCGTGAACCCAGTGGAGCTTTCAGTAAGCCGAGATCGCACCACTGCACTCCAATCTGGGTGACAGAGCAAGACTCTGCGTCAAAAAAAAAAAAAAATGTTGCTGACATTTGGATTTTTTTTCTTTTATTCTATTTGATGACCTTGAGGATTTGATTGTAGTATAACAAAGGTTCAGCCAACTGGCTTCATTTCTGGAAGATTTTAGAATGCCAGCACTCAGCTACCACCTCCTGGACTGTATGCTTTAACTCTGGGGGACTTGTATCAGGGCTCAATTTTGTTCTCTGGCTCCTCGAGGAATCCTCTGTGCTGGTGGAGGAAGTGGGGAGTGAGGTGCTCCTGGACTACTGGTCACTACACTCTGATGGGTAGTGTCAGCCAAAATGTTTCGTAGTGCTGCGACAGTGGGATCCATCTTCACTGGCACATGTCACCAGCAGCATCAGTGGCAGCACAGCAGGGTGCATGCTCATCGAATGTGGCAGGGTGCTAGTGATTGGTGGGGTGCCTGCCTCTGTGTGGATGTTCACCACAGAGGTCCAGGCAGCATGGCTTGGGTGGTAGTGGGGGACCCAGCTGGCAACTATGCATGTGGACATGCTGATGTTAGCGTGGGAGTGGAGTGCTGGCATGTGCAGGACTTTGTGCCACAGGCAGGGGAGTTCACTCAGGGTGAGGAGGATCCACTGTTCTCTGTACCTAGTTTCACTCCTGTGACAGTGTTCATGCAAGGGCAGGGTGCTGGTGGGGGTCTGGCTGGCTGTCTCTGTGTGTGCCAAGGCTCTAACTGCAATGGTGATATGGCAGGGGGGATAGGGACAGAGTGCACCTCCACCAGAGCAGTGGTAGGGTACGGTGTATGCACACATGAGCACTGGTGGGGCAGAGAAGGCTATTACACACACACCACCACCACCAAAGGGAAGGCTATACCACACTCACATACCAGCACACACATGCCAGCAAAGCAATGTAGAGGGTGTCCATGGGCCTGGGGTAGGGTGCAGTGAGGGGAGAGAGTTGGTGGGTTGGTGCATGGCCATGGGGCCCACTCTGCTGGACCTCTCCACTAGTCAGGTAGGGTTCCCCAGTGCAAGAGCTGTGATGTGGATCCCCAGGGCACCCAAGGCTGCTCTGCAGGCAGGCACAGCTAGACTAGGACCCTGGGACAGGCCAGCAGACTGAGGGGTGCTCAGGTCTGGCTGGCCCAGTCTGATGGGCAATATTGCCCAGTAGAATTCAGGTCCAACATTTCTCCTAGGGCTAAAGTCTCCTATGGGAGTAAGCTGAACCTAGGTAGATGGACATCCCTGGTCAGACTTCACTAACGATGCTGTCACATCAAACCCTCTGGTCTTCACATCAGCTGGTGTGCTGCCCCTACCACTTCACTAAGCAGCTCTCCCTGTCATCTTGAGTGTTTGTGGTGGTTGAGGGGTATCTTCGTGCCCACATTCATAGGCCCATGGCCAGAAGAGATTGCTCCTTACCATTTCAACTCACCCATTACCTCAGAATCACTGGGGGCCAGGAAACAGTCCTGGTATGTTGCAGGGTTCCCAGCTTGCTTCCCCTTCCGCTTATATTGTATGTTTTCCCTCTGTCTACTCTCAGTGCCTTCCCTCTGAAGATCTGTTAGGAGTGTGCCAGTCATTTTGGTCTCTTGGTAGCAGCTGTTCCATCTGGCTGTGTCTAGCTTGGCATCTTGCCCAGCACCCAGGACATATTCTTATAGAGAAAAGGTAAGTTGGAGAACACTGGGGGTCCCCATTGCCACCACAGATGCCAATACCAGCTGTCCTTGCTATGGAAGAGTCTCTTATTCCTGATAAGCCCCAAATCTAGTTTGCAGTGTTGCCAGGAGTTTGTAAATTCATGGGGTGACATGGCCTCAGAGGAGAAGCACCTCATCCACAACTTGCACCTTCCACCCCTGCAACTTAATCTGCTAAAGCATGGTGCCATCTTGAATCCAAACTCACTGAAAGAATGTGTCTTGCCCTGGGGGACAGTAACTACTGTCTCTCTTCATCCCTGAGGCCCTGCTGTCATTCCACCATGTTAACATGGTGCATGCAACACACTACCCTGGCAGCCCAGACTTTAGGTCTTTTGGAATGACTGAGTGCATTAGTCCATTTCACACTCCTGATAACGACGTACCCAAGACTGGTAATTTGTAAGAAAATGAGGTTTATTGAACTCACAGTTCCACGTGGCTGGGGAGGCCTCACAATCATGGTGGAAAGCGAAAGGCGCATCTTACATGGTGGCAGACATGAGGGAAAATGAAAACCAAGTGAAAAGGGAAAACCCTTATAAAACCATCAGCTCTCTTGAGACTTATTCACTACCACAAGAACAGTATGGGAGAAACCAACCCCATGAATAAATTATCTTTTACTGGGTCCCTCCCACAACACATGGGAATTATGGGAGTTACAATTCAAGATGACATTTGGGTGGGAACAAAGCAAAACCATATCATTCTGCCCATGGCCCCTCCCAAATCTCATGTCTTCACATTTCAAAGCCAATCATGCCTTTCCAATAGTTCTCCATAGGCTTAACTCATTTCAGCATTAACTCAAATGTCCATGGTCCACAGTCTCATCCGAGACAGGGCAAGTCCCTTCTTCCTATATGCCTGTAAAATCAAAAGCAAGTTATTACTTCCTGGACACAGTGGGGGTACAGGTATTGGATAAATACACCCATTTCAGTGGGAGAAATTGGCCAAAATGAAGTGTCTAAAGGCCCCATGCAAGACAGAAATCCAGCGGGGCACTCAAATCTTAAAGAAGCTCCAAAATGACATCCTTTAACTCGATGTCTTACATCCAGGTCACACTGATGCAAGAGGTGGATCCCTATGGTCTTGGGCAGCTCTGCCCCTGTGGCTTTGCAGGGTATAGCCTCATTCCTGGATGCTTTCACAGGCTGGTGTTGAGTATCTGCAGCTTTTCCAGGCTCAAGCTGTTGGTGGATCTACGATTCCAGGGTCTGGAGGACAGTGGTCTTTTTCTCACAGCTCCACTAGTTAGTGCCCCATTGGGGTTCTGTGTGGGGCCTTCACCCCTACATTTCCCTTCTGCACTGCCCTAGCAGAGCTTCTCCATGAGGGCCCTGCCCCTGCAGCAAACTTCTGCCTGGACATCCAGGCATTTCCATACATCCTTTGAAATCTAGGCAGAGGTTTCCAAACCTCAATCCTTGACTTCTGTGCACTTACAGGTTCAACACCACGTGGAAGCCGCAAGGCTTGGGGCTTGCACCCTCTGAAGCCACGGTCTGAGCTGTACCTTGGCCCCTTTCAGCCATGGCTGCAGCAGCTGGGAGGCAGAGCACCAAGTCCCTAGGCTGCACACAGCAGGGGGGCCCTGGACCCAGCCCACTAAACCATTTTTCCCTCCCAGGCCTGTGATGGGAGGGGCTGCTGCAAAGGTCTCTGACATGCCCTGGAGACATTTTCCCCATTGTTTTGGCAATTAACATTTGGCTTCTCATTAACTTATGCAAATTTCTGCAGCAGGCTTGAATTTCTCCTCAGAAAATGGGTTTTTCTTTTCTATCACATCATCAGGCTGCAAATTTTTTGAACTTTTATGCTCTGTTTCCCCTTTAAAACTGAATGCTATTAACAGCACCCAAGTCATCTCTTGAATGCTTTGCTGCTTAGAAATTTCTTCTGCCAGATATTGTAAATCATCTCCATTAAGGTCAAGTTTCCACAAATCTCTAGGGCAGGGACAAAATGCCACCAGTCACCTTGCAAAAACATAGCAAGAGTCACCTTTACTCCAGTTCGCAACAAGTTCCTCATTTCCATTTGAGACTACCTCTGCCTGGATTCCACTGTCCATATCATTACCAACATTTTGGTCAAAATCATTCAGCAAGTCTCTAGGAAGTTCCAAACTTTCCCACATTTTTCTGTCTTCTTCTGAGCCCTCCAAACTGTTCCAACCTCTGCCTGTTACCCAGTGCCAAATGCTTCCACATTTTTGAGTATCTTTACAGGAGTGCCCCACTCTACTAGTACTAATTTAATGTATTAGTCTGTTTTCACACTGCTGATAAAGGCATACCCAAAACAGGGTAATTTATGAGAAAAAGAGGTTTAATAAACTCACAGTTTCACGTGGCTGGAGTGGCCTCATAATCATGGCAGAAAGCAAAAGCCATGTCTTACATGGCGGCAGACAAGAGAGAAAATGAAAGCCAAGCAAAAAGGGAAACCCCTTATAAGACCATCAGATCTTGTAGACTTATTCACTACCACGAGAACACTATGGGGAAAACTGCCCCCATGATTCAATTATCTCCCACTGGATCCCTCCTACAACGCATAAGAATTATGGGAGCTACAATTCAAGATGAGATTTGGGTGAGAACAAAGCCAGACCATATCACTGAGACCCCTAAATCTGAATCCATGCAGCATCCCCACCCTAGGGAAAAGGCAGTCCCGCATAGCAAGAAAAGTATTAGCACAGCTAGTTCAGCAGCAGACGCATCTCCCACAAGAGACCACTGCACTGCCACATGGCCCACTGGGCCGACACCCAGCCCAACAGTCAGTCTAGCATGAGCCGTCTGTTTCCAGAGAGACTGCTGCACAGTCATTCAGCTCACTGCATCCACAACCAGCCCGACAGACAGTCGAGCCACATCCTTGCTTCCCTAAAGGCACCACAATACTGTTGCTTGGCTCACTGCAGCAGCACAAGCCCACACCCAGTGGTATGAGAAAAACTCAGGACTGTATTGTCTCTCCCAAACTGAAAGGAAACTGAGAGACCAAAAATATTACTAGAAAAGTCCAGTTTGATGAGTAGATGAGTTTATTAGGACTTACATACAGGGCACTCCTGGATGGTGGCAGGACAGCTGTAGAGGTCTGTACCACCTACCATCTCTAAAATGCTTTTAAGCTCATTTTCTGGCTCTTGCCTGCTCTGTTTGAGTGATGAGAGGTAGGTTTTCAGATACTCTTTAGGATGTTTTTTTCTTATATAGCTAAAGGTTTTTTAATTTTTTTTTATCGATTGAAGAAGAGTATTAAATAGGGATGGTAAGACACAGCTCTATTATGGATATATTCCAAAAGAAGAGTCAAGATGATTTGCTGATAAATTTGAGGCTGTAACTGACACGCAGACATAAATAAATCTATATGATTAGCCAAGATAGAGAAGGAGGTCATGAAATAAATGGAAGTCAGAATGTCTGTTGTCAGAGAACAACTTAACATGAGTAGGGATTCTGTTAGAGAGGACCAATTTCTGTAATAACTTCTGGAGTTTGAGTGTTTTCTTATTTCTCTACAGTGAATACTTTGTTTGTCCACTGCACTCCATCCCTTCCTGAAGGAAGAGGAGAAAATTGGACATTGAGACACATGAAAGAACAAGACTCTTGAGACAGAAGTAACAAAAAGAGTAGACACTTCATGCCCCCAAAAAGCAGTGGGGGTTGAGAATTTGGCAACACCTATGTGTGGAATGTGTGGATATGAGAATAACATTGTGATAGTATAAATAATTCCAGAAAATTAGAAGGTGATTAAGAAAAGTGTATAGGAAGTGGGCTGTGGATAATAACAAAATTGGGAGTGAAGAGGAGTCAAGTGGTATGGACAGAACATAAGACAGAGTGATGGAAAATAGAAAAGAACAGGTAGGTAGGGATAGTGAGATTGCACACAGTCTGAGCAGAGGTGCTGCTAAGCATCAAGAAACTCTAATTATATCAAAGAGTCCCCCACATCCCTACTCCCATTCTTGAGGATTCCTGGAGAACACAAGGAATTGGTGAGAATTGAGTATCTGACACTTGGATGCTGCGTGTCTCAAAGCTATCAGCAGAGGGCACACTGGAAAGACTTTTACATGGAGCTCACAAACTGGTGGGGCTAAAGGACAGTTCAGAAAAATCTGACTATGATTTCAGGGATTTTCTGAAATATTTCGGAATAAGTTGTTGTGAAAAACAGTGAGATTCCTTCTCACCAAGCTGATGGAGAGATTATAGCATGCAGTGTATAATTTAATTTCATTTGGAGGGAGGAAGAAAAGGATATCCACTAAGTGGATAGATAAGAGGTTAATGGGAAGGTGTGGATGTGTGGATGAATGGAGGATAGATAAATACCCAGAAGATGGTCACATCAACATATTGATGATGATGTATGATATAGCTGGAGAGGGAGAAAGAAAAAGAAAGAGAAAGAGAGGAACTACTATATCACAGATGAAGAAAGATTTTTGTGTTTTTAAATTTCCACTCCTCCTGTGTTGTTGAGTCTGCATTATTTGTAGTATTTTTAGGTAAGAGAAAGGAAAGTACAATCATTATGGGTTAAGAGAAAGAAGAGTATAATTTCAAAAGCAAATTTAGGCCATGAGAAGAGAATGGAGTATAACTTGGTAGGTATAAATGTCTATGTTTTGGAGATGGTGTGTGTGCTTGAGTGTGTTTTCAGATACATGCATATGACTTGCTGCTTTTTGAATTGTGCTATTCTATTTTTCTTCACCATTCAGATTTCTCAGCCTTAAAGACTTGCTCATATGTCTGAGTCGCTAGATTCTATTTTTGACAGTATAAAAAGGACTTTTCTCACCAAGGTATTTAACAAAGGGAGAAAATCATTCAACTCTGGTTTCATTTGCACATTTGTACAACTTTTTCTCACCACCATCCACGGAGGCACCAGTTATATATTTTTTGATGTTTAAATTTTTTGTGGGTACATAGCAGGTGTATATATTTATGGGGTAGATGAGATGTTTTGATACAGACATGAAATGCAAAAAAAGTACATTATGGAGAATGGGGTATCCATCCCCTTAAACATTTATCCTTTGAATTACAAACAATCCAAGTACACTATTTATGGTATTATAAAATTTATAATTAAGTTATCACTGACTATAGTCACCCCATTGTGCTATCAAATAGTAGGTCTTTTTCTTTCTTACTATTTTTGATACCTATTAACCATCCCCTCCTCCCCACTGGCTCCCTACTACCTTTCCCACCTTCTGGCAACCATTCTTCTACTCTCTATATTCTTATGTTCAATTGTTTGATTTTTAGATACCAAAAATAGTAAAAAGAGGCAATGTTTGTCTTTCTGTGCCTGGCTTATTTCACTTAACATAATGACCTCCAGTTCTATATGTTGTTGCAAATGACTAGATCTCGTTCTTTTTTATGGCTGAATAGTACTCCATAGTGAATATACACCAGTTTCTTTATCCATTCATTTGTTGATGGATGCTTAGGTTGCTTCCAAATCTTAGCTATTGTAAACAGTGCTGCAACAAACATAAGAGTTCAGATATTGCTTTGATATACTGATTTCTTTTCTTTTGGGTATATGCCCCACAGTGAGATTGCTGGATCATATTATAGCACAATTCTTAGTTTTTGAGGAAACTCCAAACTGTTATCCATAGCGGTTGTACTAATTTACGTTCCCAGCAACAGTGTACAAGGGTTGCCTTTTCTCTACATCTTCACTGCATTTGTTATTGTCTGCCTTTGGATATAAGCCATTTAACTTTGTGAAATGATATCTCATTGTATTTTTCATTTGCATTTCTCTGATGATCAATGATGTTGAGCACCTATTTATATGCCTGTTTTCCATTGGTGTTAGGCCACGATGTGCAAAATAAAAATACCGACTAAGTTAATTCTTTACATTCTCATTATACCTACAATCACTAGCTTTTTGTTAACACTTCTGTCACTTTAGAATCCTAAGGAATTAAAAGGGCTAAAATCCGAAAAAAAGTCTCAGAAATTTGAAGAGGGGTAAAATTTTTGTAAATAAAGTAAAAAAAGATATTTTAACTAATAATTAAAATAACTTGCAAGTTATTTTGTTTTTCTTTTCTAAAAAAGTCATTTAATTGGGGAGTCCAAGGGTTAAGCATTAAAATACTTGTTCTTAGGCATCAGAAGTGATCTGCCATGGCTCTAACTACAGCAGAACAAGAATCTAGATTTTCCTGGACTGCCCCTCATTCAAGATTAAGGCCCCATTAATCTAAATTCACTGGAAAGGACATTGAGAACCCTCTTGAAAAGAGTGAGATACTGTCTTCAAGTTGAGACTAATGAGAAACAATATATATTTACAGAAGCTTGAGTTTCTAACACAGTTGCTATTGATTATAAAGAGTTAGAGCAAGAAGATATTCTGTTCCAAAGTTCTTAACAAACAGAATTGAAAAGTTAGAAACCTCTCCTGGATCCTGAATTTATAATGTATCAAGTGCTGACATCATGTTAAAAAGCAGAAAGTAAGAGAAGTGGGTGTTCATTTTACATGGTGAAAAAGCAGTAAATCATAATGTTTGCAGTTTCTGGGGCTTCATTTCAGTGGTTACTTAGTGAGTTAAACATGCTTTCACATGACAGAGGGCAGCAGGCATTCAAACCTCATAATGTTTCCTATTTTGAGGAGTTGCATTACGAGTTCATTTCATGTTGATTCCATGAGGTACTTAGCAGTTTGAATTTGTGAAACGTTAACTTGTCTAAGGCCTTAGGCAACTGAAAACTGTAGCTCTAAAGAAACAGTGGCTTTATTTTCTACATAATACTAGATAGCTGATGGGCAAGTGGAATTTTTGTCTCTATGATGTAAAACGTGTATTAAACTTCTGTGTTTTTTTTCCAAAATTTTTCCTCAAAGTAAGAAAACCAGGTAAAACTCAAACTTAATATTAACTAGCTTGATTTGATTCACTTTATTAAATAACTGAAGGTCCAAAGAGCAATTAGAAGTTATTATAGAAAAATGTCTATAGTTGCTGTTTTCATTTCATTTTGCCATTTATATAAATATCGTGAAAAATTCAGGGGCAAGATTTTTAGACTAGAATTTTTGTTGAAGCTATGCATTGTAAAATTAAAACAGAATCAGAGCTGGAGGGAAGCTTGGACACATTCACGAGCCCCCTTCCCTGTCTTTAAAAGGCATGTTTCTAAGTGCTCAGTAGGGAGTAGAGGGGAGCATAAGCAAGAAGATAAGGATATTTGGACCACATCAATGATCCATTCAATTCAGCGACACAATTCTCATAATGTAATTATAAACACAAATGTTAGTTCTTCTGCTGAATAAGAAGGTGGGAAGAAGAGAGAGCAATGATTTATCATGTAACAAGAATGTTCAAGGTATACTACTGAGAGATTTTTCAGATCATATGCCAAAAAGATGTGATTATTTCTTTAAAAAGAGGCTAAAATGCATTTTTCTCTTATTAAAGTGGGTATTTTGAATGCCATTTGTGGACAACAATAAAGAACTAGTAATAAGAGCATGGAAATTGGTCCAGACATCCAAATTAATGGGGAACAGAAAGCCACAATGTTAAACACCAAATGTGATTTTCAAGTAAAACATGCAACCAAAATTGGACAGAACACATTCTCAAAAATTAAAAAGTTGAATGGATATCAATTAAGTGACTTTTCAGCAAAAATTAACCATAAATACCACAAAATGATTCAGTGGTAAATCAATCCAAAATCATGTGGGTCAAATTGCATAAGAAAATTGGCGAAACCTATGAGAAGAAAAATCCAGAACTGTGAATTTTTTTGCATGCAGATAGGCAGAACCTATGAGAAGAAAAATCTAGAACTGTGAGCTGTGCCCTGAGCCACACTGACCTATGGTTGTCATCAGCTCATCCACAGAGAACATAAAAATTAAAGCACTAGAAAATAGGGTTAAGAACTGGACCCCGACTCTCCATAGTGTTCAGGCTACCTGAATCATCCTTCCTTAGTGGAAGCCCTGGCACTGATCTTTCAGCAACAGGCTGCACAATCTGAGTTCAGGACTTGATGACATGACTGCAATTCCTGTTGCATGTCAAAGTGTCTTCACTTCTGTATTAGTCTGTTCTCACATTGCTATAAAGAACTACGTGGGACTGTGTAATTTACAAAGAAAAGAAGTTTAATTGACTCACCGTTCTGCAGACTGTACAAGAAGCATGACTGGGGAGGCTTCAGAAAAGTTACAATCATGGCAGAAGGAGCAGGAGAGAGAAAGCGAAGTGCTACACACTTTTATACGAGAATTCACTCTCTATCGGAGAACAGCAAGGGGGAGGTCCGCCCCCATGATCCAATCACTTCCCACCAGGCCCCTCCTCCAACATTAAGGATTGCAATTTGACATGAGATTTGACTGGGGACACAGAGCCAAACTGTATCACTTCTTTGAGGTTAATCAGACAAAAATTGTTGATGAAATAGAGATTTCTCCTCAACACTTGCTTAATCTTTGTCAAGATACAATATGTACCTTATGTTTTACAGACATGTAGAATAATTTACAAATTTCAAGGAACCATTTTTAAACAGCTTTCTCAAGCAGCTTAGCTCCTTAGTCTTCTCTCAAGTTCACCCATGATTCCTCTGAACATAATTTTGTTATTAAATTTATATCCGCGTAACAGTCACTCTAATTTA
Source organism: Homo sapiens (assembly GCF_000001405.40). NCBI lineage: Eukaryota > Metazoa > Chordata > Mammalia > Primates > Hominidae > Homo > Homo sapiens. Next base: position 50,269,839 of record NC_000006.12, read on the forward strand.
ATGGCTAATACCCAAGAATAATCTGATATAATTGAATAGGCAAACAGAGAATCATATTTATAACATAATAATCTGATATAATTGAATAGGCATACACATGATATTTATAACATAAATACAATTTTGAAATCCAGTTAATCATCTTGAAATACTTAGAACTTGAGCCTAGTGAACTGCTACTAACTACATTGTTCACAGCAAGACAATCTATACACATTCTAATTTTCCTCCTTTTCTGTTTTCTTTCTTTTGTGCTTCAAGGATGCACAGAACTTTAAGTCTCAGATAAATTCTATTAGAATCCTTCATCATGGTCCCCAATGTGCTTGACCTTTAACCTAACTATTCATATAGCACACCATAAAGGCTTCTAGCCTTCTGCTTCATTTGAGGGAGAACAAATTACATTTAGCTTGAGACTTTTCTTTTAAGCCCTGCTTGTGTTCTTTATGTTTTGGAAAAAAGCCGAAGTTGGTGCTAAGTTAAGATTAGTTTCCACGGCCTTCTAGCAGAAGTGAGTCAGAATATTCCAGCTTGTTCATGATGGTATGCACCAGAAAGGCAAGTATAGTAAGAGTTGTTACTCTGCAGCTGGTAAGTATTAATAGCAGCTTAACATATCCAAGAGGTTGGGGTGAGTTACAATAAACACACCTATTCTAAATAGACCTTTATTCTACCTCCCATGTTGATTTTATAATCAACACAATGCTGTCTGCACTCAAGCAGCTGAGATGTAATCCTTGTTAGACTGCTCAGAGAATGGCTGAAGATAAACATGAGGTCATCACTATCCACCCTGACCTGATTTGGCTCTCTCTACCAGCGTTTACCCCTTTGTCTTCAGGATGCCCATGTAGAGAAAAGTGCCTGGGGCATGAGATAACAGGACCACTTGCCAACCCAGAATTTACCAAAATTGTTTATCCTGTATCTGATCTCTCTCTTTCTCTTTGTTCCCATCCTATAATTTCTTCAGTCCTATTTTTTTTTTATTATTTTGTCTTAAGTCCCTCTTTCTCTTTTGCCTAACTTCCAACAGGAGTCATCACTCCCTCTCTGTCTATTAGTTATTCTGCAAAAATTCTCTGTAGATTCTCTGGGACGGGCAAGAGGAGAGAGGAAGGACTCCGTTTGATCTAATCTCAGGGTGTAGTATGTAAAAACAAGTCAAAATATTCATATTGTAGAAAGCTATCCTCTCTCCAGCCTCCCTTCTGAATGTTATTACACTAAAAGAACATCTATCTACTTTCCTGTGTTAAATATGTTATAAAATGCCCACTATCTTTGGTAGAAAACAGGCACAGATAAGGGTAGATAAGAAAAGAAAACCTTAATTTCTCTGATGTGATATTTTAAATTAAGCCTTTATAATTTATCATGATTTAAATATTTAATTTCTTTCTATGTTAACCTCATATTAGTATGGCTATAAAATGCTATTATTATTATATCAAAGTATTTTAATACTTCTTTCAAAGAAGCTTACCAAAACAGAAGCCCAATAGATATACTCTTTCTATATTCTTCAAAATGCAAGTCATAGTGATGAGTCAGCCTGCTTCTGTTTCTTTCTACTGACCAATGTTACTGCTAATCTTCCAATTTTGATGGGGATGTAGGGGGAGTGGTTTTACTCCGCTATTGTGTCCATTGTTATTTGTGGCAATTGTCAAATTCAATTCATAAATTATTATGTTTCTTTATTTCTGAACAAATGAGTTATCAAATATCTTCCTGGTGACTCTCATAAGGTATATTTCTTACTGTAATTCGTGCAGTGTGATGATCAAGAGCCAGTAAGATGCACATTAGATAATTTCAAGATTCTCTATAGAGACTAGTCATTGGGAAGCCAAAGAAAGATAAGGAGGAAGTATCTCCAGTTATACATAAAAATATATTTTCTATTATGCTTCTTTTCCATTTATAAAAAAGTATCTTATTCAGTTTATTCAATGAGACAATCAGAGAGAAAGACAGGGAAACAGAACAGAAAAGGGAGAGTGAGGGAAATGATAAAAAAAAAGTAGCCTGATGAATAAAAGAAAGAATGGTGGGAAAGAGATAGGAAAGAATGAAGAAAGAGAACAAGAGGGAAGGAAGGGAGGAAGGCAAAGAAGGAGGAAGGATGAAAAGAAGGGAGGAAGATGGGAGAAAGGGAGTGAGGTTTTTCTTTCATTTGGGAAACATTTCAGTGGCTCTTCCTTGCCTTAAATGATGAAGAGATTCTCTCCACTTAACCCACCTCTACCTGTCTCTCTGCCTCCTGTGCACACCCTTTCTTCACCCTCACACTCAGTTCCCATTGGCTATTGAACATTCTCTGCTCTCTTTTGCTCCCAAACATTTGCATATGCTGTTTTCTTAAGTTGCCTTTCCACCAACTTTATTATCTTTGCTCGTTTGTTCCTGGCCTTGGCACTAAGTTTCTTTTTCATATTTATACTAAAGACGTATTTTAATAGATGTATTTATATAGAAACAGCAGTATCCTCACACATCACCAAGATTATGGCCAGGAGTCTTTCTTATTATTTATCTAAAGTCATTTTTTAAGATAAAAAAATACTATCTTCTTTCATAATTTGAAAGGAATTGTTAAAAAGTGCACATATTAACTCAAAGAGTATAAATTTTACCATGTTATTTCAATCAAATAAACAATTTTCAGATTTGACTGCTCATCTTTCTGCAGGGGAAACAAAAATATTAAAGGGATATGAATTCATTGCCAATAAATCTTAAAAAAAAAACAATCAACCCATATGTTCTCTTTAGAAATAAAGATGAGAGGTTAATTCTAAGTATTAATAGAAAACTTTAAGGACACACAGCAGAAGGAGACTACCACAAATGATGGCAGCTGTCAATTAGTCTAAATGGAAAGAAGAGGTGAATGCCTATAAGGTCTCAAAAAGGGAAAGCATGGGGAACAGACCAATGGGGATGTGGTGGAGTGGGAACTGGCCCTCAGGCAAAATTACTCATCCTCATTGCAGCTCCTCTCCTTGGAAATGCTTTCCCATTGTGGCCAATTTTTTTCAATTTATATGCATAGATTTTTCTGTCACTGTAACAATCAGAAATCTGAGACAAAAGATATATTGGGAAATGATGTATTGAGTTTCCATAACCCAATGTCATTTAACATTCAATGAAGTTGAAAATCTCCTTTTATTCTGATTCCTTAGCCTCCAAACTGTCTTCTAATTATAGTTTAGCTTTCAGTGTAGTACTAAGTACAGGTAGAAAGAAGATAGGCTGACTACCCAAACACAAGCATTCACACTTGCATTACTCTTTTATGTCATTGATATTTTGAACATGTCTCAATCTAATGATCTGAATTGTGAGAGTCCAAATGTAAGATACTCACTTTGCTACAAAGTTGACTTTGGTCTGTAGCAAATTTACAAAGTTACCTGCCCAGTGAAGTCTCCGCAGACAGCCAAGGGACTTTACCCAGTGACATCACTGCATAAACTAGGTACAGTTATTATTATTGTTGTTGTTGTTGTTGTTATCAATGCCTATAGAAGTTGTTTATACATATTTTAGGGTGAATTGTAAACATGACTGCTACACTGTCAACAAATTGGGAGAAGTTAGATACACTAAGACAATGAGATATTTGGTCATGTATATGAAACCGAGAATGAAATAAAAGATGAAGCCCAGAATGCCTGAGAACCAGGAAGTTCTGATAAATTACTAGGGTGAGGAGTATGTGTGTGGGAACTTACTGTAGCATGATGAAATGGGTTATTCAGGATGAGAGGTAACAAACATAAAATAAAAATGTGAAAAAGTGGAACAGTTTCAAAGATAATGTCAGCTAATTCAAAATGGTGCCTAAGAATAACATTTACCCTAAGAAATAAATGAGTTATTTTTCCATATTTGCCATTCTTTCTTCCACTTTTATTCCTTCCTTTTTTTTGTCACATGACTTTATCTTTCCAGAAGTAAATATTCTGCCTTTCGCCTTTAATACTTTACTTTTTTAGGCACATTGGAGAGTTTCAACACGGTTACCAAAGAACACTTGTAATTCCAGAAACACCTCCAAATCAATCTTGTAATGTTAAAACAGAACTAATTGTCTTATGCAACTACCCACTACTACCATGACCTTTTGTCAGGTTGTTCATAATTTTAATCAATGGATCATTTCCCATCCAGTAGTCCAAGGTAGACAACTGAGGTTCGTCGTTTTATCTTTCCTCTCCCTCCAGCTCTCAGGCAATAGTTTCTCAAGATTTTTTGTCTCTCATTCTTAATCACCTCTTATATATTCCTCTCTTATCCAGTCACACTGTCCCTACCTTGGAACAAGCTTTCATTATCTCTTGTCTAGAGTATTTGAGTAAGAAGTCAATTGAGTCTAACTGCTCAAGGAGATTCATTTTAATGCAAGATGCAAAGAAGACACAAATGCAACGAATAAATAAAAAATTGATCTCTGGTTTTATTTATTTATTAATTCATTTAACAAATGAATATGAGTGCCTACTCTCCATAGATATGGTGCTGGGCAATGGGGATATATCAGTGACCAAAATAGATTATTTCTCTGCCCTTGGGGAGTTGAAATCTTACTTGAAAGAGATATATGATAAACAAACAAACAAAAAAATATAATGCTTACAGAATGTGGTAAGGGCTAATTAGGAAATAATATGATGTCACAGTTAAAAGTGGGGATGAGGACAAAAGATAAAGACAAGGGACAAAGATCCTTTCCTTGACCGAACTCTACTCTTACTCCCCTGAACTTTTTCAAGGCCTGAGTTTTGGACTTCCATGTTTACCTCTGTATTGTCCAACTGTAGCAGGAATCCTGCTAAGTCAGTTTACCAGAACCTCTCACCCTTGCTATCTAGTCACCCTCCATGTCTAATTTGGTTCCTCATCCTCCACCATCTTCCAGGCGATGTCTGTTTACCCTGCCCTGTCTTCAGCAAAAAATCTGCTAAGTCAGTTTTGCTAGAATTCTCTCTTAACTATGATGTTTCCTCTTAATTATTTTTCATCTACTGACCCACACCCTGCTCTTTGGCTATAAATTTCGCCTAATCCATGCAGTATTTGAAATTGAGTCCAATCTCTCTCTCTCTCTCTTTTTTTTATTACAGCTGTGCATGCAGGTTTGTTACATAGGTATACATGTGCCATGTTGGTGTGCTGCACCCGTTAACTCTTCATTTACATTAGGTATATCTCCTAATGCTATCCCTCCCCCTTCCCTCCACCCCATGACAGGCCCCAGTGTGTGATGTTCCCCACCCTGTGTCCAAGTGTTCTCATTGTTCGATTCCCACCTATGAGTGAAAACATGCAGTGTTTGGTTTTCTGTCTTTCAATAGTTTGCTCAGAATGATGGTTTCCAGCTTCATCCATGTCCCTACAAAAGACATGAACTCATCTTTTTATGGCTGCATAGTATTCCATGGTGTATATGTGCCACATTTTCTTAATCCAGTCTATAATTGATGGACATTTGGGTTGGTTCCAAGTCTTTGCTATTGTGAATAGTGCTGCAATAAACATGTGTGCATGTGTCTTTATAGCAGGATGATTTATAATCCTTAGTGTATATGCCCAGTAATGGAATGGCTGGGTCAAATGGTATTTCTAGTTCTAGATCCTTGAGGAATCGCCACACTGTCTTCCACAGTGGTTGAACTAGTTTACAGTCCCACCAACAGTGTAAAAGCATTCCTATTTCTCCACATCCTCTCAAGCACCTGTTTTTTCCTGACTTTTTAATGATCACCATTCTAACTGGTGTGAGATGGTATCTCATTGTGGTTTTGATTTGCATTTCTCTGATGGCCAGTGAGGACTTTTTTTCATGTGTCTGTTGGCTGCATAAATGTCTTCTTTTGAGAAGTGTCTGTTCACATCCTTTGCCCAATTTTTGATGGGGTTGTTTGATTTTTTCTTGTAAATTTGTTTAAGTTGTTTGTAGATTCTGGATATTAGCCCCTTGTCAGATGGGTAGATTGTAAAAATTTTTGCCCATTCTGTATGTTTCCTGTTCACTCTGATGGTAGTTTCTTCTGCTGTGCAGAAGCTCTTTAGTTTAATTAGATCCCATTTGTCAATTTTGGCTTTTCTTGCCATTGCTTTTGGTGTTTTAGTCATGAAGTCCTTGCCCATGCCTATGGCCAAAAAAGAGCCTGCATTGCCAAGACAATCCTAAGCTGAAAGAAGAAAGCTGGAGGCATCACACTACCTGACTTCAAACTATACTACAAGGCTATAGTAACCAAAACAGCATGGTGCTGGTACCAAAAGAGAGATATAGACCAATGGAACAGAATAGAGCCCTCGGAAATAATACCACACATCTACAACCATCTGATCTTTGACAAATCTGACAAAAACAAGAAATGGGGAAAGAGTTCCCTATTTAATAAATGGTGCTTGGAAAACTGGCTAGCCATATGTAGAAAGCTGAAACTGGATCCCTTCCTTACACCTTATACAAAACTTAATTCAAGATGGATTAAAGACTTAAATGTGAGACCTAAAACAGTCTCTCTCTCTTACTGCAAAATCCCCTTGCAGTGATCCCTATACCTATACCACCCTTTGAATGAAGTCTTCCTTGTTGTCTTAACAAATGTCATGAATTTTTTTTTCTTTAATAAAAGAATAGTCTTCAAAGCAATTTGGGAAAGAAGTTTGAAATTGACACTCTGCTAATTCACTGTAGATGTGTCTGGGATCCTCCTAACACATCATTCTCTCATCACATTTTGAAGGAGCTTAATATACTCAAGCTATCTTCTGCGGTTGCAACCATATACCCCGGCACTGTATTGCTACTGAAGTACATTTCTCCTATCATTTCTATTAGTCACTACATTTTGTGTGCTTTAGTTTTTTTTTTTAATATGTGTTGTTTAATTTGGTATGTAAGAGACTTTCATGAAAGTATACCAAGGACATAAACTTAATTTCATAATTATATTCTAAATTTCATGGTAAAAGAGGCCCTTAGGTACATGTGAGAATAAACAAATAATTGCTTCAAGGTTCATGTCTCTTCTCAAATAATTATATATTGAGCAACCTTGGATTCAGTTTCACAGTGTTGCACGTTTGGACACTAACATTTTTGGTTATTAAACAATATCTTAAATGCTAAAATCGTTGGTTTAGAAATAATTGTGAAAGTGCATTATTGAAAACCAGAGATTAGTTTTAATCATCAGTTGTCCACAAAAGTCAGAAAAACAATTTTTTAAAATAATGAGTTATTATGTAAAAAGGTCAAGTCAATTATAACTTTTTAAATATCATCCACTCTCAAGTTCAGTGTAGACTTGAATCCTAGTGAAGGGTATCGAAGAGCCAAACGTCTCAAAGATTAAAACATTTTTCCAAAATATAACATACGGGAGGTTAAAAAAAGAAACAAAAAACAAGCTCTACTTTCATTGTAACCTCTCCTTAATGTTAAAGGAAAAGGTAATATTTGACCAAGGAAGTTCAAGGGGCAAACTCATGTTAAAATGACTGGCTGATAGAAGTTAACATCACCCCCTTTAATGTCTAAGTGGCTCTTTAACACTCAGAGATTTAAGTGCTGGATTTAGAAAAGAAAAAAAAAAGGAAAGAACTTTAAAAGGTGTTAACTCCATCTTGTGCCATAGAAGAGGAGTTGTTTAATTAAGCCACTGGTAGTTCTTGGGTGATTTTCAGTTTAGTTTTATACTTTTGAGATGAAAGGGTACATGCAAAATTATGTACAAAGTACCTTTTCGAAACTTTGGAAAGGTCAAGGAGAAAATAGCTGGATATCAAAAGCTGAACTTTTCAAGGTTTTTCTCTGATTTTTCTCAAACAAGATAGCCTCCTCCTCCTCCTCTTAATAGTTCTTCAAGGTCTTTTTGGTAGCCAAAATCTTTGTTCTTTTTTTTTAAGCAGCTTTGTAACAGAAGAACTAAAAATTAATTATGGCTATGGAACTTTTACACAGAAGAGTTTAAAAAGCACAGACGTAAAGAAGGGAAAAAGATGAGGGCCCATTTATCTTATATTGACAGGACTAGCTTCAAACGATGACCTTGAATCATAATCATCCTAATGAGCTCAAAATATTTCACTTTAACAAGTGAAACTATAATCAAATCAGTTTCTGAAAGCTCTACTAATGAGCATTTCCTTTGATGAAAACATGGTTAACTGTCTTAGTCTGCAGGAGGTGCACTACAGTAAGGGGCCAGCTCCTGACAACTCATTAGTTGACCTGGGGAGAGAGTAATTTGAATGCTTTTGATAAAAATTTCAAGGCTTTTTTTAACTTAAATTACAATTTATGCACTTTTATAAATAGTATAATTTTTCTAAGTTGGGGGAAACTAGAGAGAAGACTTCAAAGCTGTGGAACAAAGTTTGTTTACCACATTTGGTCTGTTATATCACCAGAATCAGGAAGGGGAAATATGTTTAATTAGCAACTGCTAACTCAGAGCCAATCCCTATATCGTATTTTTACAAGCTTTATTTTTATGCGTTGGTATGATGTTAAATGAACTTGGTGGAGCTACATTTTATAAGATTTAGAATTGAAAATTGGAAGTCATGATTATTTACTATGAGTCTGAAGGAAGTCTTTTTAAAATACTTTCTCCATCAAAACAAATCACTCAATTTACTTAAAGCAGCAAAACAGACGTAAATGAAAACCAAATGCAGAAATGTGGCTTACTCTTTTTTCATTACTCCTCAAAAATCTGCCCCCCCAATAAATTTATCATTTTAACTACTGTTCTGCTCTATTCAGCATCAAGAAATGATCTCTCTCTCTCCTCTTTCTCTACAGAGCAGGCTTGCTGTCAAAGCAGAATGTAAAACAGAAGAATAGTTCAGCTGTTTTAAGTATCACTGGAAGACAGATCTTCGTTGCTTCAGAGAGCCCATTCATTGTCCCCTCCCTCCTCCAAGTTTCCTTTTGCTTTTCAGGGGTGTTCTACTTACTTTATATTTGTCATATTTTCTTCCTGTGTTCTGCAAGGCAAACCACAGAGATGGTTTGTGTCATAGGCACGTGAGACACTGTTCTCAACTTGTCAAGTGTTTAATCTCTTTCTCTTTCTAGCTCTCTCTTGCTCTCTATCTCCCTTTTGCCTCAGATTGAGATAGAAAAATATTTCCAATATTTTGGCATGCAAGTTATTGGACAGAGACAGGACATTGACAAAAAGAGGTTTTTATTTTAACTTCTCAAAATTATCCCTCCCTTTCTCTAAGTAGCTTTAAAAAGACATGCGACAGCATGTAAAAGAAAACAAAGTATTCATTTTGATCTCGTGTATACATATGGCATATGTGATATGTATGGTAGATTCTTGTTATTTGCAGCAGTTCTGTTCTATAAAGTCACAATGCACTCTGAATTAACAAACATTGAATACTGCATCATTGCTCCTGTGGGAAATACAGGGTTAAGTTCCTGCTTACCTCTGGTCAAAACATTTTTGTCAACTGATTAATACATAACCTTGTTTTATGTGTTTCTGTTTAAATACATTGTACTCAATATATATTATTAATATATTAACATTGAACTCATAGCCATGTTAAAAAATATTATTCTGAAACTTGTTAAAATGGTAAGGAAGACTTTATTCAAGATATCGCAGAAGGGGCATTGCAGTAGGGAAGAGAGAGCAGGCTCAATACCAAATATTGCAAGGGCAAGTAGTGTTTTATTGGCAAGGAGGAGGGGAAGAGGGTCAGTGAATGAAAAATTGCTAAGAGGAAACTAAGAGAACAGGAGGATTTTTGCTAAATTGGCCTAACAAGGTTCTAGTTAAAGACAGGCCAAGGACTTATTCATTACAGGTGGGAGACGGGAACCTGATCAGATAGATATCAAGGGTGGAGAAATTCTCCCTAAACTAACTTAGCAGAATTATTTGCTAAGACTGGCCTGGGCAGGCCAAAGATGAGATGGGGCCAACGTTGAGGTCTAATCAGAATGAAGGCTCATATTTGCCTGACTAAAGTTTGGTCATAGAGAATCTTTGTCAAGCCAACGGCACTATAACTTATGCCTAAAGAAAACATACCTAATACTTGTATTTTTTTCCATAAAGCAATTCACAGCCTTCTTGCACTTAGGAAAAATGGAGAGCTCTTCAGCACTGTAATTGAGTGACATTTTAAACAACAAAATCACTAACAAAAACACAAAAATGTGAAAAATGCTGCACTAAATAGACTGACCATGAAAAGGACACTTGTTTACAGTATGAAAGCTGGGACAAGAAGGCTGAGGGTCCTACCTCCACTTGGAAAGTGTGCTTCAGGTGACTCAAGTACTTTACCGCTCTGCACAAAATGTGCACACATGAACACAAAAACACATAGGTATAGATTCGGGGGTTACAGATACATTTTAGCTAGTAGAGGGAATCTCAAATAATGAGGATTGACTGTATACACAAACATGCACACACACATATATCTGTATCTACATCCAAATCTATATTAATATCTATTTCTGTATCTGTACATATATCTGTATATAATCCACATTTGTATCTATTTGAAGTATGTTAGTCTTTTTGATTAAACAATATCAATGTTTAAGAAAAAAAGGTAAGGTTTAGAGTCTGACATTTTTATTTGGGGCTGGGGAGAACCACTTCTGGAAATACTAGAAAATTCAACCCAATATAAATTAAGCAACACAGTTGCAATGTTAGCCTGATAATTCCATAATCGATTTAAGAATATCCTAAATCAGTTTATATTCGACAAACGTCTAACTTTCTAGATTAGAATAATGTATTACTGTTTTTCCTAATAAGTTCCTACAACTATATTCAATACTATCAACTCAGCAAAGTATAAATTAGTGAATGCCTTAAAGTTAAGACTGATATTTATGGATTCTATCCAAAGCAGGCATGGTGGCTCATGCCTGTATTCCTAGAGTTTTCGGAGGCCAAGGTGAGAGAATCACTTGAGGCCCAGGGTTCAAGACCAGCCTGGGCAACATAGCGAGATCACATCTCTAGCAAAAATTAACTTGGTGTGGTGGTGTGCACCTATAGTTCTGGCTGTCTACACAGGAGGCTGAGGCAGGAAGATCACTGGGGCCCAGGAGTTTAAATTTATAGTGAGCTATAATCACACCACTGCATTCCAGCCTCTGCAACACAGCAGCACAGTGAGACCCTGTCTATAAATAAATAAATAAATAAATAAATAAATAAATATTATATCTAATGTGAATGCTGTCACTAAATGCAATAGTGTGAGATTCTAATATCAAACAGTGCTTCAGAACTAGGAAGAGGTTCCTCTTCCACTTGCATCCTGCGCCATCTCTGTGTTGATCTATCCCATTATTTCCTCAGTCAACCTTCTTTCAGTAACTTCTTCTGTAACTTCAATAACTTCTTTCTTTCTTCAGTCATAGACAGAGGGTTTGCTTTCTCAGTCTGTTAACCTGAAGGTAGAAAACAGAGGTGGCCTTTTTTGGAAAATAAGAAAGGTCAGGCAGAAGTCACCTCCTTCTAATAGTCCCACAGTAGTGCCTCTGGAGCAATAGGGGCAGCTGGCCAGACACCCACATCCTGGATGTGCCCCTTTCTGGTCTATAAACAAGATTTTACCATAAGTCTCCAGAGTGTAGAAGCTGTTTCCATTTAATCCAGTAAAACTTGTACCCTAAGCTTCTGCTTCATTACACACAATCAGAACAATTTTGCCAATTCACGTATTATCCTAATTTATTCAAATTCTCAGCTGTATTTATCAACCACGCTAGAGAGCTTTTCTCCCTCATGAAGACTCTAAGCAGTTTATGAAATCATAGAAACTCTACAATTTCCACATCTCCCTCTTTTTTTGGAAGGATGTGCCCTAATGTGAGCAACTTACATTTTCCCTCCCAAGGGGAATGCTATCTAAACAGAATTATTAGAGATGAATGGAAATAGTTTGGGTACAAGGAAGTCCACAAGGAAGAGGGAAATTAGACAAGGCTCTTGTAGAGACTATGGCCACCTCCTTTGTGTGTGTGACCAGACGGGAAAGGAAATTCAACTCTATGGGTGTACAGAATAAGAGACCCAAGATCTTGAGCACACAGTCTTTTTTGTTCTCTGTGTAATTGGTAAAGCACTGGGAAGAAAGGTTTGAAGATTGTGAGATGTATTACATCTTTTGGAATACATAATAATTCTGCTAGTAGTTCATGCAAATCTAACAGAAATAATTGTTGCCCGCTCTAAACATTTTTCATGGCTTTTTCTCACCTTTTTTTTAATTTATAAAAGGGAACCCCTCTGTTGTTATTAAAATTTTTACAGGGGCTTTGAATAAAATAGTTGATACACTTACTAATGTACCTATAAATAAATATGCCTTCTCTTATATGGCAAAAATTTCATATATCAGGAGAAAATATATAAATTCTTATACTGAATTATATTTTATAACCATTTTAAATTTCATAATAAAAGTCACTATGTAGAAAAAATAATACGCTTTAGAAAAATTCACTTTTATGATAAACTTTGTAGGAGTTCTATAAATAGTCGATCTATTGAAATATGTTTGTATTTGGATATTTTCAGCATAAATTATTTACCAGCATTCCTTTATCTTTCAGGTATTTGTTTTACACACTTTTAATAACCATCATGACATTACAGAGTTTTCTTCTCCTCATTTTATTGTGTATATAAATTTACTTGAGTTATTTATCAGGTTCCAAAATTGCCTGGGAGATGTCTTGGTTATGTAAATTCTAGGACAACATATACAGGCATTGCTTCTGTCACATTTCCTGCTAAGTGCCCCATTCTTTTCATTCCAAGTAGTGGCAGTCCAAGAATCTTGCCTGCTAAAAAATTATGTCATTTTATAAAATAGTATTAGCTGATCAGGAGCCAAAGATATAGAACTTTAGCTTAAGGAGACTCAATTTCTGTACACAAAACCACTTTAATTCCTATGCTATGGTTTTCTATATTATTTTTTATTATAAATTAAATAACATGCTTTCTATATTATACTTTGCTTTTTATTCTTAAATCAAATATTATTATGTTTTTGAGTTAAAGTTACATACACTCATTATAAAACCTCTAGACAATATAGAAAATATAAAGAAAAAACTGAAAATGACCCATATAATAGTCACTTGTATTAATATTTTTAATAACCATTATTTGAAATAAAAACCCTTCTATTTCTAACAATACTGTGATAAATATTCTTACACATCTATCCTTGAATGGCTATATAAAGTGGTTTTTGTAACATAAATTCTTCTTCTTGTTCCAGGGATATACATATTTTGAATATTGATAATTTTTTCTAGATGCCTTTTCAAAATGGTTGTATCGATTTATAGTTGTATTAACTTGTACAAAGTTCTAGCTTCCCTATAACCTACCAGAACTTAGTGTCATGAGATGTTTTGAAAATTTCCAAGCTGATAACTGAAGAATGTTGCTTTCTTGCATTTCAAATTTTTATTTAATTATTGTTAGTGAAGGTAGAAAGTAGTTTTGCACTATCTGAAAAGTGAGGCAAGATTACTTTGGGACTAGATCCATAACAGGAGCTCAAGAAAAGAGAAAATGAGCAATTGGTAATGTCCAAATTTTAGCTCTGAATAAACACAGCAAAAATATGTTTGGTTGTATTCTTTATATTTCTCTATGAAAATTTTAACACTCTCTATCCAAACTCCCAACCCTACACCCAGAATTCAATTTCAGTATTTGCCAGACTTCTCTATGTAATGTTTATAGCCTGATATTTGACAGACAATTCCTTTTGTCCTAAACTCAGTGAAAGGAGAGATTAAATTCTCACTGTACTCTACATGTTTACATTTCATGTACTTTTTAATGATAGTACATTATTATCATACTAATAGTTCAACTACTAATACATAAGCTGACAAATAGTGAGAATTCAACTTTAATAAAACTTGCTTTTTTAAAAAAGTCACAAAGTAATGTTAATTATTGAGGTCCTTGATGTATCTTTTTATTAGCATATAAGTATAAAGGAAAATAGATTGCTCCCATTGGCACCATTCTATTCCTTAGCAGTTTAATGGAATTTTTGCAGTTTACTCATTCTTTGGCCACAACCCACCAGAAATGTCAGGTACATAACTTAGCTGTCAGGCAGCACACAAAGACTGACATTTACAGTGTGCCTTGATGTTCTAAAGACCAACAAGTATTAACTGAAAGGTACATAAAAAAACTGCTCAAAAAAATGGAAATTTACATACTTAAGCTAAAACACACACACACACACACACACCATTAATGAAAAATTACTAGCATACATTTTAAACAAACAATAAAAATAAACTGTGACAATGGTAGTAATATCTCCTTTGTCATTTTTGATTATGTTTATTTGGGTCTTCTCTTTTGTTCTTTATTAGTCCAGCTAGTGGTCTATCAATCTTATTTATTCTTTCAAAGAACAGACTTTTGGTTTCATTGATTTTTAATTGTATGGTTTTTGGTATCTCAATTTTATTCAGTTCAACGCTAGTTTTAGTTGTTTCTTTTCTTTTGCTAAATTTGGAGTTCGTTTACTCTTGTTTTTATGAACACCTATATGCACACAAACTAGAAAACATAGAAGAAATGGGTTTTCTGCTGGAAATAGACTATGTCCTAAGATTGAACCAGGAAGAAAGAGAAACCCTGAAGAGACCAATAACAAGTTCCAATATCAAATCAGTAGTTAAAAGCCTATCACCAAAAAAAGCTCAGACAGATTCACAGCCAAATTCTACAAACAAATAAAGAAGAGCTGGTACTAATCCTACTGAAAATATTTCAATAAATCAAGGAGGAGGGACTCCTGCCTAGCTCATTCTATGAGAACAGCATCATTCTGATATCAAAATCTAGCAGAGACACTATATAAAAGAAAATTTTAGGCCAATATTCCTGATGAATACACATGCGAAAATTCTTCAACAAAATACTAGCAAACCAAATCCAGCAGCACATGAAAAGGCGAATTCACCATGATAAAGCAGTTTTTATTCCTGGGGTGTAAGGTTGGTTTAACATACACAAATCAATAAATGTGATTTCTCATATAAGCAGAACTAAAAACAAAAACCACATGATTATCTCAATAGTTGTGGAAAAGGCTTTCAATAAAATTCAACACCCCTTCATGT
Source organism: Homo sapiens (assembly GCF_000001405.40). Classification (NCBI taxonomy): domain Eukaryota; kingdom Metazoa; phylum Chordata; class Mammalia; order Primates; family Hominidae; genus Homo; species Homo sapiens. Next base: position 50,285,044 of record NC_000006.12, read on the forward strand.
TAAAAACTTTCAACAAACCAGGTATTGAAGTGATATACACCTCCAAATAATAAGAGACACTAATGATAAACCCACAGCCAACATCATCTAGATTGGGCAAAAGCCTGAAGCATTCCCCTAGAAAACTAAAACAACATAAAGATGCCCATTCTCACCACTCCCATTCAGCATAGCTCTGGAAGTCCTAGCTACAGCAATCAGGGAGGAGAAAGAAGTAAAACGCATTCAAATAGAAGATTGAACGTCAAACTATCTCTCTTCACAGATGATATGATTTTATACCTAGGAAACCCCATAGTCTCCCCAAAGTCTCCTAATAAACATCTTCAGCCAAATTTCAGCATACTAATCAATGTATAAAAATTAGTAACATTTCTATACACCAATAATGTTCAAGCTGAGAGCAAATCAAGAGTGCAATCCTATTCACAATAACCACAAAAAGAATAAAATACCTGGGAATACAGCTAATTATGGAGGTGAAAAATCTCTACAATTAGAATTATAAAACTGCTGAAAGAAATAAGAGGCAACATAAAGAAATTGGAAAACATTCCATGCTCATGGATAGAAACAAATCAATATATTTTAAATGGCCATACTGCCCAAAGCAATTTACAGATTCAATGCAATTTCTATCAAATTACCAATAACATTTTTTTCACAGAATTAGAAAAAATAATTCTAAAACTCATATAGAACCAAAAAATGCCTGAATACCCAAGGCAATCCTAAGCAAAAAGAACAAAGCTGGAGACATCATGTTACCAAAATAAAGCCACACACCTACAGTCATCTTATCTTCAACAAAGTTGACAAAAATAAGCAATGGGGAAAGGACTCCCTATTCAATAAACGGTACTGAGAAAACTGGCTAGTCATGTGCAGAAGAACGAAACTGGACACCTATTTTTAACCATGTACAAAAATTAACTCAAGAGTGATTAAAGATTTACCTGTAAGACCTCAAACTATAAGAATGCTTGAAGGTTGTGAGCTTTTTTTGGTGGTAGGCTTTTAATTACTGATTTAATTTTGGAACTTGTTATTGGTCTCTTCAGGGTTTCTTTCCTTCCTGGTTCAATCTTAGGACGTAGTATCTTTCCAGAAGAAAACCCATTTCTTCTGTGTTTTCTAGTTTGTGTGTATATAGGTGTTCATAAAAACAAGAGTAAACTAACTCCAAATCTAGCAAAAGAAAAGAAACACCAAAACTAGCATTGAACTGAATAAAATTGAGATACAAAAACCACACAATAAAATAGGAAACACCATTTGGAACACTGGCCTTGGGATATAATTTATGACTAAGTCCTCAAAAGCAATTGCAACAAAAGCAAAAATTGACAAGTGGGAACTTAATAAACTAAAGAACTTCTGCACAGCAAAGGAAACTATCAACAGAGTAAACAGACAACTTACAGAATGGGAGAAAATTTTTGTCAACTATGTATCCAATAAAGGTCTAATATCCAGAATCTGTAAGGAACTTAAACAAATTAACAAGCAAAAACAAACAACCTCACTGAAAAATGGGCAATGGACACATGCCCACGTGTCTTCTCAAAAAAGACATAAACGTGTCCAACAAGCTTATGAAAAAAATGCTCCATATCACTAATCGTTAGAGAAATGAAATCAAAACCACAATGAGACCATCTCACATCAGTCAGAATGGCTAATATTAAAAAGTCAAAAAAATAACAGATGCCAGTGAGGTTACAGAGAAAAGGGAACACTTATACACTGCTAGTGGAAATGTAAATTAGCTCACTACCTTAGTGATGAAATAATTTGTACATCAAACCCCAGCGACGTGCAATTTACCCGTGTAACAAACCTGCCCGTATACTCTCTGAACCTAAAATAAAAGCTGGAAAGAAAAAAAAAAAAAACTCACATGCTTTTGGTTTTTATTTGATACCTGGTCGAAGCCATGATTTTAGATTAAATCCCAAAATAATGTTTAATGAACATGGTAGTCGTAATTGTTTTTGTGTTTTAGAACAACTTACAGATTTATTTTAATAAAGCTCTTTTGTTTGTTTGGTTTTTGGTTTTTGGTTTTTGTTTTTAGACGAAGTCTCGCTCTGCCGCCCAGGCTGGAGTGCAGTGGCACGATCTTGGCTCACTGCAACCTCTGCCTCCCGGGTTCAAGCAATTATCCTGTCTCAGACCCGCGAGGAACTGGGATTACAGGTGTGCACCACCACGCCCTGCTAAATTTTGTATTTCTAGTAAAGTCAGGGTTTCACCATGTTGGTCAGGTTGGTCTCAAACTGCTGACCTCGTGATCAGCCCGCCTCAGCCTCCCAAAGTGCTGGAATTACAGGCGTGAGCCACCACGCCGGGCAATGAAGCTCTTCTTTGTATCTAGAATAATTTTCAAGGAATTTTGTTGTTTCCTTTTAACAGATTTATTTAAAATCGAAATTATTTTTATGAGATGTAATGTTTCCTTTTTAAATATATTTTGATACCCAAAAAAGTGTGGGTATTATTGACAAATGAGAAAGAACTTTGAACTTTCTTAATCAGTTGGCTTCCTTAATTGAATATTACTTTTGTCTTTTCTTCTCATTTTGCTGGTAATCAAAATCAATACAAAGTAGATAGTGGGGACCACTAGTACAATAACTGCATATGAATTAAAAGTCAAATATTAGAAGAGAAAAATTATGTATCACTTAGAAAAATTTTAGAATTCTTAATGAAAAAAATTCATTGAATGTTTTGGAACACAGGACAACCCATTAAAAAATAAACAAAGAACATGAACAGGAATTCATGAAAGAACAAACACAAATACTAAATAAACAAAATTAAGTTTAAATTCGCCATTTATAGAACTCAAAACAGAAAATTTTATTTTACCCATCAGATTGGAAGTCACTGAAAGTAATGATAAAATTCAGTGTTGGTCAGGTAGAGGTGTTGGAATTATTTATACATCATTGGGAGAAGTATCAATTTATAATCTTTCTTGATATTAATTTTATAAAATATATCATCAAAATTATTAAAGCATTTATACCTAGAAGCTTCACTTCTAGCAATTAGGCCTAAGTAAATGAATGATAGACATACAAGAATGGTTATTATAGTCAAGCTTATAATAACTGATGTAAAATAAAAACACTTAAATGTATATTAATATGGTTCTAGGTAGTGGAAAAATCCTAAACAATTTACAAGTAAGACTGATTTCATTTCACTGATATGAAAAGGTATGTTCAAAATGCAGGCACCAGAAAACCATATACAGTATCCCTTTAGTGTTAAAAACGACTTGCACACTTACATATGTGTATACATTTGTTTGTCCATGTGTCTTTGCCATCTCATATATTTACAGATAATTTCTAGGAAAATACATAAAAGATGTTAACAGTGCTTATGTCAGCAATCTGGTGATTGATGGAACAGGGATTGTAAGGGGGAAGATAACTTTTACTTTTTGTCAATGCTCTCCAAATTGTCTGGCAGCCTTAAGCACTATTATGTTCTTCATACAAACTACTATTTAAAATAAACTATATTATTACAAAAAGTAGAAATGGCCACTTACTCTGCATTAGCCCATGTACCTTTTTGAATAGTCTTTTTCTACTTTTTCTCAGCCCATAACTTAAAATATACCTAATACTTTAACTTCTAACCTATTGGATCTACTTCTCTAGAGTTACACTAACTTATCATCTCTCTTCAAGAAAGAGAAAGCATTTTAAAACGTGGACTTTTATAAGATCTTATTATTTTCTTCTCCAGGTTAGATGTGCCCAATTTCTTAAACACCGTGGTTTCCAATCTTTTCAACATTCCAGTCACCCTCTAGGTGTAATCCACCTTTTCAGCAACTCTTAAAATGTAGCCTACAGAAATGAATATAATATTCAAGACACGGTCTGAGCAGTTCAGATTATAGTGAAACTATTACCATCCTTGAACTTGACTCTCTGCCTCTGTTAATGCAGTTTAAGAATGCATTAACTTTTTTAAGCATCTGTTAACACCATATTGACTCACATTGAGCAGGGAGTCAAATAAAACCACAGGAATTTTGCCATAAATTTTCCTATCCTGTAAATGTGCAATAAACAAGAATTTACAATAGCCCAGTAAAATTTCATTTTATTAGTTTCAGCCCATAGTTCCAATCTACAAAGATTTTTTTTTTTAGGCATGCAGCTATCATCTAAACTAATAGCCACCGTTTCCGGCTTTGCATTACCTGCAAAAGTGCTAAGCATTTCTTCTTTCACCATTCTAACCATGGATCGATCTGCTGAACAAAAGAAAGCCAAGTAGGGGGTCCAAATTTTAGAGATCTTCATAGAGTTTACGTCAATCTATTACTAAATACTCTTCAGATATCTGTTCAATTAGTTATGGACAGGACAGGCTACTCATTTTTTCATATTGTCTTTAAGAATATTAAGAGAATCTTCATGGAATGTCCTATATAAATATAGATACACATTCCTGTGGCTTTTTTTAGCAACCATTTTTCAACTGACATATAGGATATACTGTTAAGTACAAACACAAAAATGGAATGTATTACCATTTGGAATGTCTTCTAGAGGTATAAATCCTAACTCTGTGAGCCCAAACTTTTCAGCTCCTATTTGTTAACACAGCTACAATGAGAATTTTATTATCTTCTCAATTCTATTTATATAAGTCAACTTTAGTTGTATATTTCTCCCTCTTGAAGTTCATGAGAAACAATCATTAATGTGGTAGGTAGTGGTGTGTAGTAATTAAAAGCACAGACCCTAGAACCAAAGCTGCTGGTTTTAAAACCCACCTCCACCACTTAATGTTATGGTACCTTAAGAAAATTACTCAAACAAGCTGTGCCTTTGTTACCTTATCTATAAAATGGTGATAACAGTATTTCTGTCAAAGGGATAAAATGTGTTAATATATGTAAATCCCTAAGAAAAAACACTTGTACCTAATAAGATCTAAGTAAGCATAATTACTAACATTGTTTTGACATTTTCAAGAGAAAAAACGACTATAAGAGCAAAGCCATAATTCTGACAAGTTGATATTTTTCTTAAATTAATTCATTCTGTGCCTTACAAACAATACATTTATTTCTGGCTCCTAAATATTTACACACACACACATACACACATACATCTTACCACTTTACAATAATTCTGTCTGTTCACTGAAATAGTGGAGAAACTTTTATCACTATTACCACCATTCTTACTAAGAAGCTGAAATTATTCCTGGACTACTGTTATAAATTCTAATAAGAAAGTTAAGAGGGCTATTGGTGGGGTGGTGAGAGGATGTGTCTAGAGCTCTGAAAATTCAGGGGTCATGTAAAAACCTATACATCCATCTCCATGGTTTTTATAGCTCCCACCATGCTGACCACCATATCACTGGCAACACTATAATTCAGGGACTGGAAAATAAGGCAGAGGTCACCTCCTTCAGCATCGTTTATGATCTCTCCATTGTCCTGTTTTCCAAGAAGATTCTGGACACTGCTCTAATACATCTAGTACACACCACACTTGGCCCAACTTCCACTCACTTCAGTCTCTGACTTCAGTCACTTCCCTCCAGACACTTAGAAATTTTAACAATTCCTCCATTTCCAAGTTTATCTTTCCTAGGACACAAGACTTTATGTTTCCCTTTGCCCCTTTTTCAAAATCCTGCCAATCTCTTTACTTCGCATTAAAACTGACACTGGTTTTGCTCAACTTTGAACATTTCCCTCCTTGGAAAGGTGAGCTGAATGTAGACCAAAGTAGAAAAATGAACCTAAGAGCAACATGTCAGCAAAAGACTCTTTCTAACCCTTAGCAAGTAGGAAAAGGGAACTAAATGTAAGAATCAACAGTGTTAACAATTTCTGCATATATTGAGCAATGATTTATTGATCAGTAAACACTATGGTAGATGATAGAAACAAAAAGTAAATAGAAATAGAATTTAGTGCCAGTTTTCAAGAAAGTTAAATATAGCAAAAGAGATGCATGCAATTAATGATATTATAATGTGATAAATACCATAAAAGCAAAGAAGATAAATCCTCAATTACAAAACTAATGTGTGTAGGTTCTATAAAAATTAATCTTTGTTTGCAAAAGCAAATGCCTCCATTGTATGGGTGGACATACAAACATTCAAAGAAATCACATCTTTAAAGCCCTGTTCCTCAAAGTGTGGTCCCCAGGCCAACAGCATCTGCATCAACCCAGAGCTTATGAGAAATGCAAAATCTCAGGTCCCACCACAGACCCACTGAATATAAATCTGATATTAATTAAATCTCCTGATGATTCCTGGGCACATTAAAATTTGAGAAGCACTACACTAAAGCAAATCTTAACTTGGTACAAGAAGTGGCTTTGACAAAAGCTGAAACCTGACTCCTATTTCAAACGTGCTATATAGGAGAGTGAGTTGGTAGCTTCTTAGGGGAGTATTCTTCCAGTGCTTAGCATGTCGTAGGTACTCAATAAGTGTTTATTGACTAAGTACAAAACTGAAGGACTAAAGCAATGATTAAAATCACTTATGAGTAATGTTTCTAATACTGTTTTGAGCACGGAAGACAAAAGGAAGGAGTGAAGTAATAGCATTAAGTAACCCAGCATGTTAAAGCAGTCATTTTAAACCACACTTTGAGTATTTTCAATTAAATAAGAAAAAAAAAAACATACAAACAGAAGGCATTCAGTGTTGTGTTGATTTGAAATTGAATTTTAGCTTAATTCTACTTATTAATGTAGGAGAACTAAAATTTTGGGTAACATTTTGAAATTTTTATTATCTTTATCAACTATTTCAAAAATATAAGTTAATGCTAGAAGGGACATTGGCTGTTGCTAATTTCATAGTTACGTAAATCAGCAGTGTGGGATTTAAGCTGTCAACATGATAACAAAAACTCAATGTCTTCTAACATGACGTATCAACAAGTGCATACAAATTAGAAAGCCACACGATTCCAAAGAGCCACATTAAATCCACCTATGCTAAAAGAGGGGCAATAAATTCCAGTAAGAAGCAAAGCATACGTTTTAATTATTTCGCATGTTAAAACATAAAATGGGAAGACATATAAAGCTTTTGGTAAAGAAGGGCAATGCTTTCAGAAAAATATAGAGACATTTTTAGAATTAATTGCTTGATTCTAATTAAAAGAATATAACGGTTAGAGGCACAGTGGTTACTAAAACTCTGATTTTATTTGCATACATTAATATGACAACTGAATCTTCAGACAAAGGTTATTTTATTTTATTAAAATACAAAAGATCTTAAACTTTTCCTCAAATATGTGTTTACCTATATCACAAACCAGTTAAATGGTGTTCTTAGTTTTATAGCAACTAAATAGCCATGACGCTTAATATCAACAACCTCAAAAACACCTGAAAGTAGAACCCTGAAGCAGCCTATATATTAGCAGAAGATACAAGTGTATTTCCACCTTTTTAGCAAAGTGACCTATTACAAATTATCCCCAGTGGCACCTGCATCCTAGATCCTCAGGCACAACTTAAGAGGATTGTCATGTAATTATAGAAAGGTAAAAGTTTATCTCACCATTAAAAATGAGCTTTGCACTGGGCAAGGCAGAAGGATCACTTGAGTCCAGGAGTTTGAGACCAGCCTTTGCAAGGTAGTAAGACTCCATCTCTACACACAAAAAAATTAAAAATTAACCAGGCATAGTACCACATGCCTGTGTTTCTACCTACTCAATCATTTGAGCCCGGGAGGTTAAGGCTGCACTGAGCCATGATTGTGCCACTGCACTTCAGCTTGGGTGACAGAGTGAGACCCTGTCTCAAAGAAATTAAAAACAGAGCTTTTAACAGTCAAAGCCATCTAAAAGCAAAAGGTTATCTAATTTGGTCGATATTTTTCTGTAACAGGAAGATTTCACCCAGAAACCACCATGATACTCTGATGTGTATTAAACCACTAGCTTTGTACAAAATAAATGAGTCTTATTTCAATTCTTAAATAATTATTACATCCAGTACACAAAACTCAACATTTTGGACACATGTTTTAACTTAGAAAAACTATAGCTTGTCCCCTCTTTCTGTGTCACACTGTACTTGTTTACTAGAAGTGTATTATTTCTCTATCTTCAGTCTCCATGATTTCATTTAATTACAGGGCTTGATAGCATGATAAATAATAGGTGACTACCTCAATTGTGCTTTTCTTCTCTCTCCTCATCCCAATTGTGAATTAAGGCCAGTATTTCACATTAAGTGCAAATGGATCACTTTATATCTAGCAGATGATTTAGAAAGCTCATAAAAACATGTGTTCACTTCCCTTTGCCCCACCCCTTAGCTGAATTCTAAAATACTCTCTAGAAGAAGGCGGGGTGGAAATAAAGTCCCTTTTAATAAGTAGACCCAAACACTGAATAAAATACGCCTATAATGAAGACTTTCAAAATGATGTCTATCTAATCCTCTGCAATTCTGCAGTTTCTGGATGAATTGTGTGCTTTTATAGATTGCAGAAAATAAACATGCTTCTTTCTTTCTCCTCCTTGTCCTTCTCCTCTTAATCTTGCTCTCATCTTTCTTCATTTTGAAAAGTAGTTGCTGAAAACAGTAAGAGAAAAGAAAGAGAAAGAAAATAGAGTTATCTCTGTTTCTCTCTCTTTGACTTTTAAAATGTCTATTTATAGATAATAAATGTCTCTGTTCACAAATTAGTTAATTGGGCAATGAAAGAGAGATATGTAATTTTGTAAAACCTAATTTGGCCTTTGAAAGTCTCAGCACTCATAGGAAACCCATGTCAAAGTTTCAGAAAAGTCTGTTAACGTATTTAGTATATAAATGCTATTGACAGTGAACTCTTCCAGTGTTGCCATAATTACTGATATTAAAGGTCTTGTAGCTATTTATATACGTGTTTTTGTATAACACATAGTACTTTTTCAATCTAATAGTGATTGTTCAAATCCTTGAATCATAAAGGATGGTTATCTAGCTGCCCTTTCAACATGAGAAATCCGACAATGAAATATTTTCACTTTTAAATACACAATCATGCTTTGAGTGCTAAAAAGCACAAGTAGGTCAGGAACCAGTTATCTAAGGTATTTCTTTGAGGGTGACAGTAAATTCAAGCTGGAATTTAAGGAACCCTTATGCAACCATTCTGGATTTCCTATCTAAGTACAAAAATATTTGGAGAAAAGTTTCATTTTCAATTTTAAATATGCCTTGGGGACTATGACTATCTATTGCTAAACTTGCAAAAAATTTTGAAGCTTATAAACATAAATATTTTGGCTAAATTTTAAACTATATAGATGGCATATATGGTGAGGGAACCCAAAGGAATTCAACTCAAAATTACAAAACTGCCAGAGAGATAGAAATCTACCAACAAAATCTCACCATTAATGAGAATATCATTTTCAATCCCAAAGCTCTTATTTCTAGTACTAAATAACATTATTCTATATTACTAATTGTTTACTGTCCTATAGGTGATGGTGAAAAAAAAAAGGTAGGCAAACAAAAGGTAGTTGGTAAAAAAAGAAAAAAAACATTACCGAAATTACCAAATATTAATATAAATGCATCTATTTTTGGCTTTTGTTGCCATTGCTTTTGGTGTTTTAGACATGAAGTCCTTGCCCATGCCTATGTCCTGAATGGTATTGCCTAGGTTTTCTTCTAGGATTTTTATGGTTTTAGGTCTAATATTTAAGTCTTTAATCCATCTTGAATTAATTTTTGTATAAGTCGTAAGGAAGGGATCCAGTTTCAGCTTTCTACATATGGCTAGCCAGTTTTAAAGCAATCTACTAAGACAAATGGAGAAACTATAGATTTCTCACTGTGGTGTTATCCACTTGCTGAAGGAGTCTCTGGGGATATAGATTAAAGAAACTATGTATATTTAGACCTTTACATCAGTAAAGCTGCCATTGGAAGAGGAAGAATTTGGTGGTTGAAGGGGAGATCACCATGGAAAGTTATTAAGACCAAAGTTTCACTGAAGCAGGAAGGAGTTTTACAAATGATGCTCTTGTTGTCAGAGTTTCTGTTTTCCCAATATACTTTGTCCCCTACTTTACCTTATCTTCCTTTAGGGAAAATTCACCTCCTAGTTGTTACAATTCATTATTTTCAATAGCCTGTGTTTTTTTTAATCTTTTGATAGAGCGAAGCAACCCAAATACTTATTAGAATATATCCTATGCTAGTATCTTTCTGTTCTCAGCAGCTAGTGTGGTTATGCAAGAACAAAATTTATGTAAATGTTAATCTAGGTTCCCTGTTTCTCTTGTTGATGACTGAAGAGCTTAAAAAGCGAAAAATGTAATTCAATTAATTTCTTCTAATTAAAGTACAATATTAAAAAAATCAACAATCACTGTAGCTTAATTGACATTAGTCATTAATTGACAATCTTCCTAAAGTTGCTAGGGATTGGTTTTCAGTCCAATAACTCCACTACAACTAGGGATCTTTGTTCAGATAGGGTCACCTACGTAGACTACAGACCCTTATCTAGACTACATAGCTTCCCAGAAGTCACTCATGTACTGAAGGAGAAAAATGTAAAAGTGTTAATATAAATATAATTAACTTTTCTGAGTATGCTTAAAATAATGTATTTTATATTAGTTTTTTTATTTTTGCTAAATTTGGAATTATGCATTTATTAACTAGTATTTGTAGAAGAGACATGATATGATGTAGGCTTTTTTCCAAAGCCTAGGACAGAGAAATTATACATTCTTCTATTTCTTTAATACTCCTTTTGAAGAAATGGACTATATATTCTTTTTTCCTAGTAAATTGGAACTAAAAATAATTTTTGACTCAATGCCAACTATTTAACAGCATAGTCTGATATCTGTGAGGAAATTTAGTTTATACATAACAAGCTTGATGCGACATAATAGGTTCTCCTCAAAAATATCTGGACATCTGAAATTCAGGCAGCCAGCATTCTATCAGGCTGTGTGCTTTGGACATGTAGCATTTGTAATCCAACTTGCTGATCACGGAAATCAGAATAGAAGTTTAATTGGAACCCCTATTCTCCATCATCAACTGTAATAAGAAAGAAAAGTAGCATCTTTCATGTAAGATCTTTGGTTACAACTAAATGAGGCTTTGGGCTTTGACAAACACAATTCCTTTACTATATTTTTAAAAAATCAGAGTCAGTGATTAGATCTCTTTCTATTAAAAAAGTATCACATTTGCAAACTGCAGTATGCTACTGAGAAAATGGCACAATTTAATAAAAAGGAGATAGAAGTACCCCGCTCTCACTATTATCATCACATTTGGGTTTCTGTAATATTTTGTGCAATCATTAAAAGCAAGGCAACGGTAATATTTTAGTCATCTCAATACCTAGAAGATTTCTATTACTTTGGCTAGGAACGTTTTCCTTGGATGGTTGGTTGGCAATATCCAAAGGATAATTTTAGGTCCTCAAGAATTAAGTACAGGTCTATTTTTATGAGGTGGGACAGATTGGAAACAGTTCTTTTTGCTTGTTCCAATGAAATTGGAAATGAAAAGAATGTGTGTCATATGAGGGACAAGTGTCATGAAGCCCATCTGAATTATACTTCATACCCCTCTTTATAGCCTAATGTTCAACAATATCCATTTTCCTGGCAGTATTGCACCCATCAAAAACAAGTTATTGACACTTATGTCTCATATATAAATCAAATAAGGCAGACAAAGCAAAGAAGGTGGTTTTAGAGAGATTGGATGGTGGAGTCGAATAATGTATTTGTTTTTCACCTCTAGGATATCACTTTAATACCACACTGAAACAATGGCACAAAATCATTCCAATTAAATGGTCTTAAAATAAGATATAAAGCAAATTCAGGTGATCGCATTCTGCCTGGTGTGTCAAGAGCTGACAGCACAAAATTGAGCAGAAATAGTTTAAATTTAGCATTCTTCACATATGTGTACAAGGACTGAGAGAAGAAATTGGATTTGCTTCAGTGGAGTCAATTAAGAAAGACTCAACAAGGAAGGGTTGAAGTGCATTGACAGGGCACTGGGAATTCTATGAGTATTGACTAGCACTGGGTTGGGTACAAATTAAGTAAAGCATTCTATTTCTGACATTAATTTTCTTCAACTGAGAAATTACAATAATAGATGAACGATGATTATGATACTAATAATAATAAAAGACAAATGTAATTAAGAGACACATTCACCAGTGATCAGATACCAGACAGCCATGTCATATTCACTTTGATTTTCAAGGCCTCTGGTCATATAGTTTATTTCACACAGTTCTTCTGCTGAGATTCCGGTCATTATACTTCATTCCATTTCCTGGTGCTATTCGCATAATATAATCTCTGCTCTAATGGATTAAGAATCACCTAAGAATAAAGAAAAGTTTTTTCTTTATCATACCCATGGCAAATTATTTAACCTGCTCTGGCTTTCTCAGCATGGCATTCACTTTCCTTCCCTTGCCTATGAAATCTGTGATTTGAAATGTTAGACAGGAGTCATTTGTTTTATCATTAGCTAATGTTTGCCATGAAATTAAAAGCAAGGAGAAGTTATAAAGGGGAAGATACATTAATCAAAACAAATCAATAACCAGTCTGCAGTTTGATGCTTATTTTATTAAAAATTGCCAGATTAGGAAAAATCTCCCCCCTCCTAAAAATAAAATAAATGTGCATTTTCAAGGATTTGAGGAAGTTAGAATACCCTTGATTCTATAGTTTTGGGAAGGAAAGAAATAAAAGTAAAGCTAAAAGTGAATCAACTTTTATGCTCTCTTCCTACCTCCTATTTCCTTTTATTCTTCATAAAATATTTAAATTGAACATATTGGTAATAATCTTTAAACTGATTATTTTGAAAAAAATATTTAACGCAAAAATATAAATAACCTTGTTTTAAGTAATTGGCATCTCATTTCTGTAAAATATTTTCCAGATTTTGCTTTCTTTTTTTTTTATAAAATTGAAGTCTATGCCATAGCCTTATAAAGAAGATTAATATTTTTTGCCATCCACATAGCAAGAAAAAGTAGGAGGTACAGGCTGATAAAAAATTAACCTGAAGCTACATAACCTAGGAACTAGCTGAAAAAAATATAATTAAAAATCTATTAAATGTTGGCCTATGAAATATTGCTGTAAATACCCAATCTAGCAAATTTTCAGTATTCAGAAAAAGAAAAATCCTTAGCCTTATTCCTTAGGGCAATATTTTTAATTCTTTTGATTTTAGGCATAAAAGCCTAAATTTTACAATTTAGAAAATTTAAAAAAAATGGTTTCTTACATATCACTCTGCCTTCATGGGTTTGTCCTACATTTGCACTCTCCAAATCCAACATTGTACTCCAATAATTGGAGGTACATTATCCTGTAAACCATGCTGAACTCATTACAGTTCTGAAACCCTTATGTTTTCCATTGATCTGCTTAATAGTTTGATTTTGAACCTGGATTAATTGGAACTACCAACTAAAAACCAAGGAAGGAAGGCCTTTTTCCTCCACCACTGGGGAGCTTTGTGTCTCTAGCCTACACTCTCCTATGCCAACATCCACATTCTCTCATTTTGCTTCCTAATGTTAGAAAAGAACAGTGGTTCCTCTGACTATATAATTCAAGTAGTGTCCAACAGACAAGAGGAGAGACAGCAATCTCACATAATTACAGTTATCAGGCAGGCGGCAAAGCAGGTGGAGCAGAGGGAGAGACCCCAGCCTCAAACCACGTGGCACCAGTTGCTTTTCACCATATGGTAATGTGGGACTCTGTATTGCCAAAGCTATTTTTCAAGAGAATCCAGGATTCCTAAATGTTTGTGTCAGTTCACCCAATTTAAAAATTTTTTAAATGTTACCAATTTTAAAATAATGCAGTTTAGTCTAAATTACACAAATCCACAAACCAACAGACATCAGCTGAGAATTGGAACTGTAGAGGAGGGGGCCACTAGGCAAAAGCAGTAGTTATGGAAGAATTAACAATTACCCCAAAGATAAAGCACCAAAGGAGAAGATAAGAAGAAAAGAAATACATGGACCTTTCTTTCCTCCCTCATTGCATCTTCAGCCAGTACTTTTTACTGCCTAAATCTAAGAAGACTATCCGGCAGGACTCTCTAGCAAGAATACAACCTTTGAGATAATCTGGCAGGTTTGGCCTTTTATTGCATGGAGGATAGCAGGAAAAGCATAAATAATGGATTTGCAAAGGGCATACAGAGAGTTTTACGAAGGGGCGAACAGAACATTTTAGTAGAATGTATAGCATTACTTCCAGGGCAGGGCATCTTTTTGTGGATGGCTGGCTGGCTGGCTGGATGGATGGATGGATGGATAAATGGGTGGATGGACGGATGGATGGACAGATGGACATCATGAGCTGAGTAATAACTTGGACATTGCATGCAGCTTACATTGTAGCTACACCACTTTCTAATTTGTCTTGGATTTTTCCTCAATCTCAGTTTATCTGTAAAAACATAATAATAATAATAATATCATCTACATTATAGGATGGTTTTAAATATTAAATTGCATGATATATATAAAATTCTTGGACATAAGCTTGACAGATAATAAGTATTTGAATTACTTGCTCTATTTCACTTTGCCAAAAGCTTCTTTTGGGCTGGATTATTGGCTCAACACAGAATCATATTTTCAGAGGAATAAAATAGAATCAGAGGTACTAACCAGGTGAACCTTCTAGGTATGAGACAAAAAAGAGTAGTCATAAGAGACACTTTCTTTGTAATACTTATCTTCACTGTTGTCAGAATGTATGACACACGGAAAAGGCAATATATATGATTATTTTCTCATAATTAAAACTCTCAATTACAAGACGTCTTGAAGAGTAATTTGGAAACTGCTGTGTAGTTAATTGATTGCATAGAAATATATTTTTAAAGAATTATTAAAATCTGTGCTAAGGTTAGACTAGTTACAGAAGGCATAGATACTTAAAACCAAGAAGGCCAGTGAGGCCAGACGCAAGATACAGACATTAAGGTCAAGACCCTTGCGACTAGAACTGGCTAAAATAAAATGAGGTATTGCGAGGCATGGAGTCTGTCTTTGTGGGCACAGGAGGCTAAAATGAAAATGCAGCAAATGATGCCCATCTTAATACTAAATTGTCTACAGATTATTATTATGTACTTAGGGTACAGAAAAAGTAAGAGATTTCCACTTGATAGTGTTATCCAAGGCATAAATGTGCAAATATAATGACATAGTAATAAATGAAAAAGAAAAGAAAGGCATTAGCACAACTGACAGAAAGCAAGAGTAGCAAACAATTGTATTTCTACTGTTTAAAAAAAGTACATAATTTATTCGTAGTATTAATCTGAGTCCTTTTAATTCCTCTGTGCATGAAATCTCTTTTTAAAGAATTCCACTCTGGTGAATTAAAATAGAAAAAGCAAACTGGCAAGAATATTCTGTCCCAAGAATCTTAGACCTTCAGTTACACAGATGGAAATCATAGAACCTGAGTCTAAAGAAGATTATTTATAAATAACTATGGGCACATAAAATTAGTCTTATATTTGATTTCTGTCAGATGATCTAATTTAGTATTTCTCTCAATGCTGACTGTACATTAGAATTGCCTGGGGAGTTTAAAAAAAAAAACACCAAAGTAATGATGCCAGAGTTCCACTGCTGATCAATTACACAAAAAAAAATGCATCTCCGGTGGTAGAATTCAGGAATCAGTATTTTAATAATGTTCCCAGATTTATTACAATGTGTACTGGTGGAATATTCCTCTAGACTTCTGAGTCACACCCAATTTTTTAAGGTGTCTAGTTCTAGACCCTGCACCCAACAGTACATTTAAGATACAATAAGAGAGAACAAACTTTGCCTTGAGGTATATAACTCAAGATAGATTGAGTTATTCATACAACATTTAATAGAACTTTTTTTTAACATTTAGATTCAGGGGTACACGTGCAGATTTGTTATACAAGTACATTACATGTCATGAGGATTTTTTGTATAGATTATTTCATAACCCATTACCACCAGGTAATAAACACAGTATCTAGCTCCATCCATTTTGCTGCAAAGAACATGATCTCATTCTTTTTTATGGCTATGTAGTATTCTATGCTGAATATGTACCACTTTTTTTAATCCTGTCTTCCATTGATGGAATGTGGGTTGATTCCATGTCTCTGCTGTTGTGAATAGTGGTGCAATAAACATACATGTGCATGTGCCTTTGTGGTAGAACAAATTATATTCTTTTGGGTATATACCCAGTAATGGGATTGCTGGGTCAAATGGTAGTTCAGTTTTAAGTTCTTTGAGGACCTTCCAAACTGCTTTCGACAGTGGCTAAACTAATTTACATTACCACACCCAGTATGTAAGTGTTCCCTTTTCCCCACAATCTTGCCAGCATGTGCTATTTTCTTAGTTTTTATTATAGCCATTCTGACTGCTGTGAGATGATATCTCATTGTGGTTTTGATTTGCATTTCTCTAGTGATTAGTGATATGGGCGTTTTTTCATATGCTTGTATGTTTTCTTTTGGTAAGTGTTCATATCCATTACTCACTTTTTAATGGGGTGGCTTGTTAATTTGTTTAAGTCCCCTATAGATTCTGGATATTAGCCCTTTGTTGGATGTATAGTTTGCAAATGTTACTCCCATTCTGTAAGCTGTTTGTCCCATCCCATTTCTGTTTACTATGTTGATTGTTTCTTTTGCTGTGCAGAAGTTCTTTAGTTTAATAAGGTTCCACTTGTCAATTTTTGTTTTTGCTGCAATTTCTTTTGGTATCTTTGTCACGAAATCTTTGCCAGTTCCTATGTCCAGAATGCTATTCCATAGGTTATTTTGTAGGGTTTTTATAGTTTTAGGTTTTACATTTAAGTCTTTAATCCAGGGGTCCCAACACCCAGGCATGGACTGGTTCTGATCTGTGACCTGTTAGGAACCGGGCTGCACAGCAAAAGATGAATAGAGCACAAGTAAGCATTACCGCCTAAGTTCTGCCTCCTGGCAGATCAGCTGAGGCATTGGGTTCTTATAGAAGCATGAACCCTATTATAAACTGCACATGCGAGAGATCTAGGTTGCATGCTCCTTATTAGACTCTAATGCCTGATAATCTGAGGTGGAACAGTTTCTTCCCAAAACCATCCCCTTTCCCTATCCATGGAAAAATTGTCTTCCACAAAACTAGGCCCTGGTGACAAAAAGTCTGAGGACCGCAGCTTTAATCCATCTTGAGTTTATTTTTGTGTATGGTATAAGGAAGGAGTCTAGCTTTAATCTTCTGCACATGGTTAGCCAGTTATCCCAGAACCATTTATTGAATAGGGTGTCCTTTCTCCATGGCTTTTCTTTGTCAACTTTGTTGAAGATCGGATGGTTTTAGGTGTGCAGTTTTGTTTCTGGACTCTCTATTTTGTTCCACTGATCTATGTGTCCGTTTTATATTTATTTATTTATTTTACCAGTACCATGCTATTTTGTTTACTGTAGCCTTGTAGTATAGTTTGAAGTCAGGTAATGCAATGCCTCCAGACCATTTCTTTTTGCTTAGTATTGCTTTGGCTATTTGGCCTCTTTTTTGGTTCCATATGAATTTTAAAACAGTTTTTTTCTAATTCTATGAAGAATGTCATTGGTTGTTTGATAGGAATAGCATTGAATCTATGAATTGCTTTGGGCGGTATGGCCATTTGCAGTATGGCCATTTGAATGATTTTGTTTCTTCCTATCCATGACCATGAAATGTTTTTCCATTTGTTTGTGTCATCTCTGATTTTTTTCAGTAGTGTTTTGCAATTCTCGTTATAGGGATCTTTCACCTCCCTGGTTAGCTGTATTCCTAGGTAAATTTCATTATTTTTGTGGCTATTTTGAATAGGATTCCATTTTTTTTTTTTTTTGAGTCTTGCTCTGTCACCAGGCTGGAGTGCAGTGGCACAATCTCAACTCACTGCAACCTCCACCTCCCGGGTTCAAGTGATTCTCCTGCCTCAGCTTACCGAGTAGCTGGGACTACAGGCACCCGCTACAAAGCCCAGTTAATGTTTGTATTTTTAGTAGAGATAGAGTTTCACCATGTTGGCCAGGATGGTTTCGATCTCTTGACCTCATGATCCACCCACCTCGGCCTCCCAAAGTGCTGGGATTACAGGTGTGAGCCACCACGCCCGGCCGGATTGCATTCTTGATTTGGCTCTCAAATTTGGATATTTTTGGTGTATAGAAATGCTACTGATTTTTGTACATTGATTTTGTATTCTGAAACTTTGCTGACATTGTTATCAGATGCAGAAGTTTTGGGGCAGAGACTACAGGGTTTTCTAGGTATAAAATCATATAGTCTGCAAACAGAGTTAGTTTGACTTTCTGTCTTCTTATTTGGATGCTTTTTATTTTTCTCTTGCCTGAGTGCAATAGAACAGATCTTAATGGAAAGCAAGTAATTTAAAAATAAAGAGAGCTTTATTAGATATGCATTGCCTTTTTGAACCATAGAATTTTAGAGCTAAAAGAAATGACAAACAGTATCTAGTCAGAAATAATAAAGCATCTTGGATATAAGCTATTTTAAAGATCCTCAGTTCCCCATACTTTTACCTACTACCAACTATTACAAAAATGAGAAAACCAAGGCCCAGTAAAGGAAAGTAAGGAAATTAAACGGATAAAGTTAATTAGGAACGAGACACAATTCCAGTCCAAGTCTCCTGACCCTGAAGTTGGTGTTGTTAAATCTACTTTACATTTTAAGTCAAAAATTTTGAGATAAACATGATGATTTCATATTTAATTGGGGAGGAGGTGATATTAAATTATTCTATTGTGATTTGGGTTATATGGAAAAAATGTGTTTCCAAGAATCTCTTTCCCTGTGTAGTTCTGGGTTTGAGTTGGTCAAAAGGGAAGTTGTGGGGAGGATACAGTGAGGCGGCACATGATTCTCTGATGATATTTAAGTCAGATGTGGTTGACAGACAGGTAATAAATGATGGCAGATTCCATCTTGTTCTACCTCTCCTTGTTTCATGTCCAGCTTTCTCTCTAACTTTTTGACACTTTTGACCAACGGCAACCACAGACACTGGGCCATGAACTCACAGAAGCAGTAGGTTCTTGGAACTACCAGTCCTCTGTGGGATTTCCCATCGGCTCCCCTTGGTGGTCTCATTCTGGCTGCAAGCTCTGACCTATTTACCCATACCAGGGCACCCAGGAGTGCTGGTTCAGAGATGTTTCTCTGATCTTCCAACTTATCTTTGTGGACAATCGCTTCTGTAGTGCCATTCAAGAAAGTGTAAGATTCTATAATAAGCTCTGTATTTTCTAATTCTTATATTATTTCTACTTTCATAAGTGAACCCTGACAGATATGAGTGGATGGGGTAATAAAGTAACACTTTAAACTTCCATGGTGTGGTAACTCAAGAGTAAACTCAAGGTGATGATAAAAATATTTATTCTCAAAATGTCCAAATTTACAAAGTAGCTCTTTATAGGTTCTAATTAATTCCTGTCTCATGAAGAAAAAAAGGCATGTTCAATTCAGAAATAGAGCAGCTTCAATTCAGAGAAACGAAGGTGACTCTACCAAGTCACTGCTGCCTACCGCTCCCACCCCGGGCTCATCTGACTCCCCTGCAGACAGTCCTCAGATGAATGCTGACACTATTGTGAAATTCTGCTAATTATACAAGTCACTTTTGAAATATTCATTTGGATTACTTTACAGAGATGGATATTAATGGCTTGCTGCTTTGAAAAAAAAGAAAATATTTTCTTTGATCTTGGAAAGTTGGGTCCTATACTTTGGTAAACGAAAATGGATTGGAGAGAAAGAAGTCTGAGCATTTCCTATTCATCCAAGTAATTATGGTAAAGTGAATTTTCTTGATTTTGGTGGTTAGATTTAAAGATACAGAGTGAGCAGTTGTAATCATCCTTTCAGGATTCATTCTGAAAATCACATTAGACCACAGATGTCTCAATCTGACCAACTCGATATGGTTCCACTCTCAAAAGTTATATCAAGAAATGCGGAATCATTACAACAAACAAAATTCAAGAAGTCCTTAGGCACTGGAATAGAACATATTGAATAAAAACTGACACTAGTCACACATTAAAGAATCAGGGATATTTAGTAGTGACTTAATGAAGAATGGAAGTCGATTGTTATTTGGAGCTTAAAAGCACTAATAACAGCATGATTCTCCGATTTCAATATGCAAAGATATCATCACTTTTGGAGTGTCCGCTAACAGTGAAGATTCCTGGGTTCTACTTTCTGGATATTCTCATTCAGTAGATATAGAATGAGACCTATATTAATTATCTATTGCTGCATAACAAACAATCCCAAAACCTAGTAGTATAAAGCAACAGACATTTATTGTCTCACACAATTTCTGAGGTCAGAAATCTAGATTTGACTTGGGACGCTGGGTCAGGTTTAATATCTCTCAGATGGTTACAAGTAAGCTGTCAGCTTGAGTTTTATCATTGGAAAAATTGAACGGAGCTGGAGGAGATGTTTAAACATAAGATATCTTACATATTTGGCTGTTGGCAGATGGCCTCAGACCTCATTCATTGTTGCCAGAAGACCTTAGTGCCTGGCCACATGGACTTTTCTGTAGGGCTTCTGTGTAGGACAACTTAGTCACTTAGCCTCTCTGTCTCTTAGATGACACACCAAAGTAAGTCAGGATCTTCCTCTGTCACTTGCCTCTCATCTTGGTTGCTTAGCCTCTCTGTCTCTTAGATGACTCACCAAAGTGATGCATTCTACCAGGGTTTGTCTGTATGGCCAAAGTGAGTCATCCAAGAGACAGAGAGGCTAAGAGACCAAGATGGAAGTTGTCATGTCCTTTACATTCTATTCTCAAAAGTGACCTACCATCACTTCTGCCATATTCTGTTAGTCATATAGACAAACCCTAGCAGAATGGGAGGCAGAATTTCACAAGAATGGGAATACCGTCATGGAGACTAATTTCTACAGGTTCCAAGTGTGGCAAGCCAGGTCTCACTAATGCAGATCTCCATAACAACTGTTTCAGCACTGACTAAGTGGTAAATAAATATTAAAAGCTGAAAGAGGCAGTGCTCTTATACAAAGCCTTGGGAGGTAACGAAAGCCCAGCAAGAGTTTTTCCTAGGCCTTTCCTGGGCATTGAAGCATGAGAAGATAACAAAGGAAATCTTAACAGGACCCATTTAGGATTAAACAAGTTTTATTGGGGGTCTGAAGAAACTCCCCAGGCCTCCACAAACAAGTTTATTGGTGGAAGGAACTCCCCAAATCTCCATGATTTAGCAGGAAAAAAGATAAGGGTAACACTCCAGCATGTGGATCCATTTAGATTAAGTAAATTTACCAAGGCTCCAGAGGAAGGTGTTCAGGACTCAGATCTTAGTTATAGCTTAAAATAAGTTAATTACTTATGTCTTTAGTTGAATGCACACTTGCATGTAGACATATAGCTTTGAAGGCATATAAGCTCTGGAAAACTTTATACTTTTGAGTTGGTCTGGTGATAATTTCCAGTTCTTCTCCCTGTAATGAGCTACAGAAATAAACTCCCTTCTCTTCTAGTTCATCTGTATTTTATTATTGGGCTGTAAAAATGAGCAGCCTGACCCTCAGTTTGGTCTGGGAACACAAGCACACTTTGATAAGAAAGTACCTCTGAGAATTCATTTGCATGTGGCCTGTAGACCATAGTTTGAGTTGGGGAAAAAAGGTCTACAGGGCATACTAGTTTAGTAAAAAGTGTATAATTCATTCATCTATCCATAAATCAACAAATATACATGATTTTCTGAAATTATTCATAGGAATTGTTGTTTATCATTGGGATATAGAGTCTTTGAACTGTAGCTGAACACGCTCCTGAGAGTCTGACAAAGGGATGACACTGAGGCTGATAGAAACTCCTACCTGGAAACTGAATCATCCTTAACAAGGAAAGCAATGACTTGATAACTGCCTGAAAGAGTGACAACTTTTAAGCCAGAATTTGTGAGTGTTGCCAATAAGAGGGCTGCTAGTCATCAGAAAGTGTAGTCACTCATACAGAAGCCCTTCTAGAGAAGGTAAAGTAGAAAAGAACCCAACGAGATTTGCTGAAGTTATGGCTGCCAGATAAGGCACAGCTCCCCAGCATTTTCCAACTAATGAAACCCATACCAGTTAAAGAGAAGGAAGAAACTTCCCGAGTTGGCAAGAAAGGGGGTTCCAGAGCAATTGCAAAAACACCCACTAGGTCTGTGGTAACGAATAGAGGGGGGAATTTAGCCCATCCGATAAAAGCTGGCTTGTCAGAGACAGGGAGCTGGCAGCCTTCCTAAGTCTCTAGAGCAGAATTTAAGTTCAAGATTTTGTATTTCACTTGGTTTAAACCTGTATGCCGGCAGTTGGTGATCCCTTCAAACCTTTCGTGTAAAGCATTGATAACAGGGATTAGAAGCTCTAGTCTAACAGAGAGATGCAGAGAATGAGTCTTTAGCTTCTGCTAAAAAGACACCAGCTCAAAAGTATATAACTTTTCAATGTAAACAGGCTGGTAAGGGGAATGTTCCGGTAGTTTATACTTCAACCAATGAAAACTCCCTCAACTACATGCATATCAGCACCAAATTAATGACAACAAGAAAAGAATCATCAATAGTCTTAGAATTTTTATTTCAGCTTCAGGTTTACTACAGAATATCAAGCAACCAGGATGCTGGAGATCTTTTCCAACACCCCCAAACTCAGGCCCTGAAAGACACAGGGCCCTGGTAACATAGTACAGAAAAATGGGGGCAATCCCCAGAAGACCATGCCTGCAGTTGTTTCAGATAAATCTTCACATCACCTTAGGGTGGTTGTTGAGGACTTAACTGAAACGACAATGGGCCCATGCCAAGGTTGAAGGATTAGCAAATAAAAGAATCTTAAAACCTCTAGCTGAGGGGATCAAAGCCTTTTCCTTTGGAGAACTAATAATAGACTTTGAGATTTATTTGAGCTAAAGCTAGTTAATATGCAATTAAATGGGAGAATATATACCAAATTCAAGGGTAGTAGAAAAATTTATATTTGCCCCATGAGTACTGAGGCTTCATCCTGAGAGTCCAAGCTAGTGCCAGGGAAAGGAAAGAAGCTAGGAACTTGTATAAATCTGTAGTACAGCAATGAAGACAGAAAATGTAAGCTTCTTTGAAATATGTGATGGATGACTAAATATCAGAGGTTAATAAATATTTCCCCAAATCATGTACTATTCAAAGGGCAAGATTATATTGGGCAGATTTAAAATAAACCTCATGGCCTGGTACGGTGGCTCATACCTGTAATCCCAACACTTTGGGAGGCCAAGGCAGGGGATCACTTGAGCCCAGGAGTTCGAGACCAACCAGGGCAACATGGCAAACCTCATCTCTACAAAAAAAATACAAAAAATTAGCTGGGTATGGTGGCACATCCCTGTAGTCACAGCTACTTGGGAGCCTGAAGTGGGTGGATCCCTTGAGCCCTGGAGGTCGAGGCTGCAGTGAGCTGTGATCATGTCACTGCACTCTAGCCTGGGCAACAGAGGGAGATCCTGTGTCAAAAAATAAAAAATAAAATAAAATAAACCTCACAATGAGGGATCAGAAAATTGTGTAAAGCATGCATTGCTCAGAGATTTGAAAGTGTATGATTAAATAGTTCTTAATCTTGGCCCACAAATTGCGTAGGTGAAAAAGAGACCTTTTACACTATCGTAAGTGTTGTTAGCTGAGTGACAATAATAGTTAATACACCATGCTGTAAAATTTCACTGGTGGTAATGATTCTCCATCTTCCCCACCAACCAAGGAGATCTTCCATATGGTATTCTAAAGTAGTTGCCTTTGCTCACCTTTCTAGTGCTTTGATTTTTCATATGAATTTCTCATATCTGAAATTATGGGGACAAATTAAGTTTGAAAGTTTTCAACGCTGCTCCCACCCCTGGACTTCTGATAATATTCTTTTTTCCATTATCTCTAAAAACAGAAACTCAAAAATATACCAACTGACAACTGAAAGGAAGCTTGATGTCATAATTCACAACCATGCTTCGCATCATTAAATCCCATTCTTCTCATCTGCTCATCCATTTGTTATCTGACCAGGTATCATGTTGGGCAACCTGGTTTCCAAAAAAAAGGTAATTTTATCTTTAGAAATTTCACACACTGAAGCAAAATTAGTTTTCCTAAAACTCTTCAACACTGGTTTTTTTCTTGAAATTATATATAAGATAAACTTTCATATATTTCATTTTAATGTTAGAAATCACATTTTCATTGCATCTTCATTTTTCCAACCTTAACATTTGTAATTCCTTCAATTAATTGATTTTTAACTATTTTCTAAATCTGATTAATCTACTCTTGTGTTGCAAGCTTTCTGTTTTAACCTTAATGTTTAAGCACTCAGAACTGAAGGCAGATTTTCCAGGTGGAAACTGGCAACCATTGATTAGAGAGGGATTCTTACTTCCCTAATTGAAATAACCTACTTCTGAGTTTATAAGCTTTGCTGACACCATACAAGGCATATTGTCTTACAAATCCCCCAAATCTGTCTTTAAAATGAGCTCTTCCTCACCTGCTTAATGTTTGTGTTTTTTTAGCAGCATGTGTTTTTTTAGCACATGTGTATGTGTTACCAGGATATTTTCTGATATAGCCATTACTCAAATATTTCAAAACTTTTTTTTAATTCTTGATTCTGTCTTCAATTCTGTCATCTGTTCTTCCTACTTTTCTGCCTCGTAAATGTGATGAGTATCCCTTCTCTATTGGGCTTTACTGAAACATTTCCTAGGGCTTGGAGGCTTTCAGCATTGATCTTTAATTTAACTATATTTCTCTAATAAACTAAACATACTAGTATCTTGTTTATTGAATCCTCTCAACTGTCTGTGAGAAACACATTATTATTTCATTTTTATGGGAGAGAAAATAGAGTTAGAAGAGTGATATGTCTGTTCACAACAGTGATGTGGTGAAGCCAGCTGCTATGGGATCATGCCAGCCAGTTGTCCACATTTCTTCTCAATTCTACATACAGTGATATCTCTTTGATAGCTTGAAATTGGCCATGATAGAATTTATACAGTAAGAACAGAAAACACTTAAAGCTCCCCCCCGCAACCCCCAGCCACCATAAAGAGCCCGTTGTTAGACATTTAGCAGCCCATCACTGGTCCAATGACACACTGTTGGTAAGAAACAAAACCAGGTCTTAATGTCTTCCTTCATAGTTCAATATTCAGGCCCTTTCCATATTATACAATATTTCTGAAATCAGATTTTTAAGTAAAGGACAGAAACAATCAATATTGTGGGGAGCTGGGTTTGCCGAGGTACTACTAAAATAGAAAATTTAGAAGAACAAAGATAAAGAAAGCCACTAGATTAAAAAATCTCACCCATTTCATATCTTACTCTTTTTGAAAAAATTGAAGGACCACTATATTGCTCATCATTTTCTATTCATCATCAACTAATAGTCTTGAAATACTTTTCTATTTATTTGTTAACCTGATTTTTCATAAAATATATTTTATTAGCATTAATATGTTAATATTAAACATATTTCCATACACACACTTGTGCTCATTGAATATCAATTTATTTTGTAAAACCAACACTGAATACAAATAGTTCTTCTTTGTTTCTCTTTGATTAATTCAGAACTAAATTAAATTTGTCAACCTCCAAAAAGTAACAAAGATTTACCCAGTGGAAAATAAAGCAGAAAATTCTTAGAATCAATTGACATTGTATGAAAAGTATTGACACTGACTCTTTTGGACAAGGTGTTCTCCATGGTATGTCTTATAGAAGTGAAAATGTGTCATGAGACACTACAAAGAGGTGTTTTACATGCTGGGAAGAAATTCTGACAAGTAAAACTTTTTTAGGGTAATCATAGCTCTAATTTTCTAACTCGACAACAGAGAGTCTACATTTTGTAAAGCCTGGGGAGAGAGGGACTAAAAAATACAACTCTTTCTTCTTGTTGTCTTAAAAAATATATATCTTCCAGGGGAAAAAAGTAGTTTTCACCTTTGAATGCCTATGTCCTCCTTCCTCTCTCAACTCTTTTCTGTGCTGTGGAGTTATTCTCCATTTGACAGATATCAGCCATATGACAATACTGTTTTTGTAGCAACGTGCAATCTTTCTTTTTACTGGAGAGGCCCAGTAGGCACAATTTTGGACTTGTTATTAAAGGAAAGCTAAAGTCCCCCAAAGATTTTCAAGACATTTCAAGCCAGAATGTGGTATTTTAAAGAATTCCCAGTTCCCATAATTGAATGCATGTGGCATAGCAAGAGAAAGAACATTTCAGCAAATAAAATAATTAATACAAATTAATACAATTTATTCTGGACAGTCTCACAGGATACATATAAATTTTATGCATAATTTTATAGACAATAAAACTGTTCAAACTATTTAAAACTCAGCTTTAAGACCAATGACCCAAGAAAGAGAGTAAAACAGGGAAGGCATTTGAAAGGGAAGAAGGCATCCCATTAATATTCATCTTGTATTTAAATTGGGCACAGTTTTCATCATTGGGAATATGTGCCCTACTGTTATAGTTTCTTGGGATGCTTGATCAAATCATTAGTAAAACTCAATCAGATTTCCACATGAAATAGAAATAATCCTCTCTTCAAAACAAGTTATTAAATCTTGAATGCACATTGCATATATGCTATCAATAGTGCACAAAATCTTTAATTATGATTATGAGTATCTCATAAATATTGGAAGATGAGTAAACTAGTTATGCTCATCACATGCAGAATCACCTTCTCTGATCATTTAAGTTTGAATATAACTTATCACACAGCAACATTTTAAAGTTAGAATTTTTTAAAGTGAAAGGAAGTAAACATCCAATTTTGACATCAATAACAATATACAGATTTATATGACTCACCTGAGTGTTTAAAATAGAATTTATATTTAAAAGAGGTTTTCATAATAATGGTCTTTATTCATCAACTCTGTATCAAAACTGGCTGATTTATGCGCATGTGTCCTCAAATGTAGACATCAGTACTAGTCTCTATAAGAAAGTTTTACATTAGTGTTTGTTAGCATGACAACAATATGCCACCAAGTTAAGAATAAATGAAAAATAATAGCATTTTAAAACTGACAAAAATATTGATATGATATTGCATAATATTATATTGAGATAATAGTTCCTACACTTTTTAATTTCATTTCACATTTTTGTACAAACCTGTAACTTACTATGATTATGGGAAATTATTTAGGGTTGAGGCCAGGGAAACTGTAAACCAAATTTTTCGTCTTAGAATTCTGTTATAAAGGAATTATCTAAACCATATATTTCTGGGAGTGGTAGGGTGAGCAGAGATGCAAGTAAAAATATGCTGGTGCAAACAATTCTTTCTACTCTCTATACCAACCAGCCTTACTTTCCCTTAGTGGAAAAAGGAACAGAGAAATCTGTTTGTGTACATCTGTAGGTTTTTAAAGTCACTGCCAACCCAATTCAACTCAACTGCTGTTTTTTGCAAGCAATGCTTAAAAGTGGAAAAGGCAAAGAACCTTGAATCTGTTAATAATGTTTTTGTTTTAAAAAGACCCTGGCCAACTACTTGTCAGCAGCAAAAATTAGAAACCTCTAGGATCATATAAGTTTTCAAATATGCAAGCTTAAATTCACATTTTTTTTAGAAAAGAAGATCACTTGGTATTAAAATGTTGCAAGTTTTTAGGTTTTGATGATTTGTTTGTAGTTTTTCTTTTCTGTTTGTTTGTTTTTTTCTCTATTTGGTTGGTTGGTTCTATAGGTTTTTTGTTTGTCTGTTTGTTTTCTAGCTTGTTTTTCATTTAAGCCTTTTCCTCTTCAATACTTATTTATTCTGAAATACTATTTAAATTTAAACACAGTAATAAATATTACTACCCATCTTTTTACTCCCTAAATATATGCAAGAACAAGAAAGAAAAAACTAGAAGGAAGAAAATGGAAAACCATTCTCACTGGAATCTAAAGCGACTAAATTATTTTTATCTGAAGATTAATGAAGAGGACACTAACTTGGTACAGGTAGTTTAGCTGCAAATGACAAGAGAGGTTTCTCATCTTTGAGGGAGCAGGGTTTTCAAGTTAACATCAGAAAATCTTGTCTTCTACTCTGTTCTTCCATTGACTTGTTTGATCTTGAGAGAATAACTTATTCTCTATGGGCCTCAGTTTTCTAAACTACAAAATAAAGGGAGCACATAATTTCTAAAGTCTTTCTGCTCTCAAATTCAGTGGGTTTTTTTAATAATTTATTATATACTAGTTGCTGAGAGTATGTAAAGATGAGTCCAATGTTGTTTGTTTGCCCCAGGATCCCCTCACCATCTTCCAAGGGAGATGTATCAGATATACATAAATATGTGACCTTTATTTTGGTGTGAGCATATCTTTAAATATGAATAAATAGTTACCAAGGGACACGACTGGCTTAGATTCATTCTGTTAATTTTTTTTTTTTTTTTTGCCCTTTTAGGAAGCACTGAGAAGGGTTGTGGTAAATGACAAGTGTGCTACTTCTTTAAAACAGAAATGTATAGCCACTTGTTATCACCATGGTTATTGATTGGCCATTTGTTTGGAAAATGATGAGAAAGATTGCCTGTGAGTGGATGAGAAACAAGTGATAACATCCTTTTAACATTTTAAAGAAAGGGACCCTGAAGCAGCGTAGAAGAACTCTGAATGTGCAGTCACTTTCCTAAGGGGTATACTTTATTGGATTAAATAAGTTAATGACTCTCATCTCCTGCTTCCATAAATATAAGCATCATAGAAAAAAATTTGTTTCATGAGTAATACCAGAAATATTTCTCTCATCTAGTGTGTCACCTAATTTTTTATTTTCAAATCTGTTTTGATTTATTAAAATTAAATAGCATTATTATCATAAAATCAACATAGACTCAAAAGACACTTAGGAAACAAATATATAAAGAGAAAAATAAAGATCACTATATCTCACCATCTAGTAATTCCTCAACAATTTACTGCATTTTGTCTCAATATTATATTCTACATATATATTTTTCTAAAATTGGCACTACTCAGTCAGTATATATAGTTTTGAATACGTTTTCACTTTAAACTTTATCATATACTTTTTTTACAATATCAGCAAACATGTATAATTGTTGTATAACATTGTGTAATGTATATGTGTAGTACTATGTCTGTGCCAGTTCTCCTCTTTTTGGATAAATATAGTTGTTTCACATTTGGGGATTTTACCAATGCACTGGACAATAATCAATAAAGTTTCTGGCAAAAAACGAAAACAAAAACTATTTTTCTTGCAAAAGTGCAATCAAGACATTCAAAGAAGTTCAAAATCTCTTTGTGAGGACAGAAACCAAAATAAAGAGAGAAAGTGATCATCAGAATCTGGGTGTAGTAGTTATGAGGAAATGACAAAATACGCAACAGTCAGAATGACAATGAACAAATAAAGCTCCTTAAACAAAAATGGTAACCTGTGGGAGGAGAAAGCAGTGGGCACATGCTGCTAAGGATGAGACAAGATGATGGCTTTTGAAGAACTTCAGCATGTCTCAAATGACCATCCCTACCCCCTTCATTCTAAACCAAATACCACTTGGGTTTAGGCCTGGCCTGGGAAAGTCTGTTTTCTTCTTTTAATCTCATGGCTTTACAACAAGCCCCTAATGCCTGAAGGTAAACTTGTATCTGTTCCTTAAAAGAGCCTAAGTTATATACACTGCTAACATAAAACTTGAGTATGTATTCTTGCCTAATATGAGATTGTATCCTTTGGATGTTTCTGGAAGTAGAATATACTGGTCAAAGCATAAGAATATGCTTAAGGCTCTTGCAAAATGCTAAACTACCCTCCAGAAATAATTTACTAGTATGTGCTATGTAAAACAGTGTATGAAGAGACAATTTTATCATTTTATATAATAACTTAAAACATATTTGCCAAATTGAAAGTCTCAAAATAGTCTCACTGTAATATTATTATAATTTTTTTTTGCTTACAAGAGAGGCTAAGCCTTTTTAATGTTTTTTGGCTATTTGCCTTTCTTTTGCTGTGAAATCTTACTTGCTACTTGTCCAGACTCAATTATCGCTTATTCTTAACTAGTGATAGAATTATTTTCCTCTGACAGAATCAACAAGATCATATTTGAAACTTTAAGTGTTTGTTCTTGAGGATTGTCATATGTATGATAGATTTATTTTCTCTCTTTGCTTTTATCTGAATAGTTTTGGGGATAGAGAAAAGCATGAATCAGTCTGTTATCATGGATTTGATCCCCAAGTGAACTAATTAGTGTCTTCATGTTCTATGGCCACTTAATGCACTTATTTTCAGGTCAGTTCATTATAACAGTACCAGGGGAGGGAGAGAGGATGATTTAATGCAAATCCTTCTTCACAGATAAAAGAGAAGAAGCAGAGCATTTCTAGCTGGTGTAAAGGTGAGGGTCCTAGAGCCCTGCTTGGTCTCCCCTTTGCTTTCCTCCATATTTGCCTCTATGGTGTCTCTGTGAAATCTTAAGTTTTCAAGAATCACAATATAAAAACCAGTATGAAGTTACACTATTTATAAAAGATGCTCTCTCTCTCTCTCTCTCTATATATATATATATATACACATATATATATATATACGTATATGTGAGGCTCCAAAATATAAAGAAAGGTAGTAATACCTGTTCAACACTCACTATATTATCGCTGCTTTGATTAGAGAGAAAAACATATAAGAAAGTTTTTTGCAAACTAAAAGACTCACATATACGATGAATATTTCAGAAAAAAAAACAGTAATATTCATAATGTTCTTTTCATTCTGGTGCATTTTGAGTAAAAAGGGAAAGGCAATAAGAATCAACAACAATTACCTAAACTGCCTAATGTAAGTATGACATATGGCCACTTTCCAATTTGACTATGTCCACTCATTCTGTGCTGTTTTACATTATAGGAAAGAGAATCAAGCATTCTCAAAAAAAAAAAAAAAATGCCAATTTTCTCCATTACTAAAATGCAAGTTTATTGGCTAAGTAAGTTATTTACATTGATGGAATAGCAATATAGCTATGCTCAAAATGACTTCCAACCTTAAGAGATCATGGATTTTGAATATGATGTGCTAAGTGACTCTTTTTAAGAAGCAGGCAAGCCCTAGCAAAATAACAAAGCATTGTCTCTTCAACAGCTCCCTGTTCTCTGTTGTTTCTCTCTCCTTTCCTCAACTCCCTCCCCATTTCTGTGCCTTTTGGGTTTTTGAGCCTCTGCTATGGTGTACAGTCAGGTGTGGTTTCAAGGGCAAGGCCTGAAGATACAGTTCTTTCTTAACTTATATATACACATCTAAGTCCTTACAACTTCCTCTCTTGAGAATATAGAAAATAGTACTTAGCTAGCTCAACTCAAAAACTGGATCAATTTGCTAATCAAAAAAATCATAAAAATTATTGTGTCATCTCAAGGTATTATTCCTTTATTCATTTATGTAATAAACATTTATTGATTCTCTTTCATATTAGATAAATCAAATAAAATGAGGTGAGAGAGACTGACAAAGAGAACAGTATGTGCCAGCCGCAGAAACAGAGATCAAAATTTGCTTTCAAATTAAAGTGGTTCTGGGTAGTGACTTCAGCTTCTAGTCATGATGGAGTAACCAAGGATTTACTGCCCTACCTTCAACCATTAAGAACTAGATGGGCTGGGCGCAGTGGCTCACGCCTGTAACCCAGCACTTTGGGAGGCCGAGGCGGGCAGATCACGAGGTCAACAGATCAAGGCCATTCTGGCTAACACGGTGAAACCCCGTCTCTACTAAAAAAAAAAAAAAAAAAAAAAAAAAAATTACAAAAATTAGCTGGGCGTGGTGGCGAGCGCCTGTAGTCCCAGTTACTCAGGAGGCTGAGGCAGGAGAATGGCGTAAACCCGGGAGGTGGAGCTTGCAGTGAGCCGAGATCGCGCCACTGCACTCCAGCCTGGGCGACAGAGAGAGACTCCGTCTCAAAAAAAATAAAAATAAAAAAAGAACTAGAAAAATATACAAAACAGGCATTTTTAGTTACTTGTCAATAGACATCACAAGACAGGGATCATGAGAGAAGAGACACAAATGAGGTGAGATCAGGCCTACAAGTGCCTTAGCTCACTGCCTAGAGAGAGTTTCCAGGTGACAGTACCTGTAAGGACAAGTTAAATTTACCAGGGCAGTCTCCTTGAGTTGAGGAGTCAGACTATAAAGTTTTGGGAGGGCAAAGTATCTAAAAATAGAGAGTGCTATAGGGCAACAATCCGCTCAGATGAACAAAACTCAAGAGATCTTCAGAGGGTCTCCCGCATCTCCAGCTGAATACCGAACTGCACGTATACACGAGGAAACTATTGAGGCTGGAGAATCATCAGAGAGGAGCAGCTGAAAACATCACTGAAGTTCATACAGGGTGGGGAATAGTGATATCCCCCAGCCACAGTAGTGAGACTTCCTAACACATGAAGAATGTACAGTCTTCAGTAGAGTGAGGTTAAATAAGGCTGTCTTATCCTTCCTAAAAAAGCTTACAAACAAGCCTCAAAAGGCTCAAAATTAGCTGCATCACATAACAAAACCCTAAATAATAAAAGGATTAAAAGAAAAATCCAGCACCCAAAGATATAAAATTTATGTCTGGCATCCACTCAGAAGTTAACAGGTATTCAAAGAAGCAGAAAAATATGACACAAAAGCGGGAGACATCCCAGTTAATAGAAATAGCAGAGATTATACAATTAAACAAATATTTAAAATATTTGTTTTATATTATAAATATATGACACATGTTCTGGGAGACAGAAGACGGCATAAGCAAGATGACGAAAAATGGAAGATATTTTTTAAACCTGCCAAACTGAACTCCTAGCGATGAATATATCTTAGATATAAAAATACGATAGATGAGAATAACATCAGATTAAACACCACAGTAAAAATAAAATAGTGAACTTGAAGACCTAGTAATAGAAACTATCCAAGTGAAAAGCACAGAGAAAAAAATATTTAAAGTAATTCATTGTGGCTGTAGCAAAAACAGTAAGAGGAAGTAGCAATATAGGAGAAATGGAGAAGTAAAAGCCGGCTTATAAAGGAACTACTAAGACCTACTCGTGAGGTTATAGCTATGTGTTTAGCTAAAGACAATTTTCAAGGATTTCCAGTCAGCATGAAGAGTAATGAGGAAAGGTATATTTGGGTAAAGTGGTTTATTTACAGCTCTTCAAAAATTACATTTTAAAACTTTTAAATTCTCACCAAAAGTTGAAATAAGTAAATCATGGGATATTCACACAATGAAATATAGTAACAAGAATCAAAACTCTGTAGTCACATGCATATGAATGGACATATCAATATAATGTTGAGCAAAAGAAGCCAGGTACAAAAGAGAACAAACTATGTAATCTCTTATTGAATAAAAGCAGAGAGGATACTTTTGTGGTGTTGAAACTGAGAATAGAGATACCATTGCTGGTAATGTAATGAAGAGAGTACAAAGAAAATTTCTGGGGTTAACCTACACCCTTGTGATATATGACAGCACTGTATGTATATTACTCTGCAACTGCATGTTTTTGAAGTATACCATTAAGAAGGTGACTATGAGTTAGCCTAATTATGCACACCTATGAGTAAGAGAAAAGGAGAGGAGCAAATAAATAATTCAAAAATCAGAAAATGTTTAGACTGTCATGGCAGTGTTGACAGCAGTGGTAGTAATATTTGTTTTGTTTTGTACCAATCAGAATATGTAAATTGCAGAAAGCTGAGCTGTAGAAATTGCACAAGGACTACCTCTCTCAGTCCGTAATGCCACAGGCCAGGCAGTTTCCTGAGGCATATTCTCTAGGGCTCTGGTGGGCTCTGTTTTCACTCACTCTGTTGATAGAATTCTCAGAGCCCAGGACACAAAGAAGCTTCAAGTGAATGATAACTTCAGCAAATGCTTCATCTCTTATTCCTTCTTTTCCCATTTTGCTTACAGTCAGGCATATCCTAAAGGTATGTGAACTTTCTTTTACACAGCATTTACTGTGTGTCATAGAGCACAGTCCCTTGATATGAGAGAGGAATAACTAACTTATTTATTAGCACTTAAAGGAAAATTTGACAGTTATTTGAAACTTGATTGTAAATGCTATTGAATTATGGCTATTTTCCCTTTTCTTTCTAGCAACAAACTTCATAGTATATATGTATATATATATATATATATATATATATATATATATACACACATATATATATACACACACATTATGTATATACACTATGTATATACACACTATGTGTGTATATATATATATATATACTATGTGTATATATATATATATACTATGTGTGTATATATATATATATACATACTATGTGTGTATATATACTGTGTGTGTGTGTATATATATATATATATATATATATATATATATATACACACACACATAATGTTTGGGGTTAAATTGGAGCAATGTAGCAATTGCAATTTCCCCCACTGTTAGAAATGATACTTTTTTTCCTTTATATTTTGTATCCTCAGTAGATTATTCTCCCAGGATACACTGATAATTATTATAATCACCTAGTATAAAGAATAACCAAAAGCATAATGACTCACATAAATAGTGGTTAATTATAAGTAAGAAGATGATAGTTAGGTACTTCATAAATGATACAGATAGGCAGATGATAAATTAGACAGATAGATAGATACATAGATAGACACATAGATATACATAGATAGATATCCAGATAGATAATTCTCTATTTACCAAATAAATGGGAACAGGAAGCAACTCTGGTTGTTGTCCAGGCAAGAATGGTTAATTTATTTTAGTTTCACATAAATATTCCAAAATTGGTGTTTTAATACATCTTGTGACCAAATGCTTGTTCTCTTTAAATGATTAGGCTTTACCCATGTTGGTGATGCAAACATCACCAATAAAAGACAGATTCTGCTCACACATGCTAAGTCAAACTCCACAAATGGATCAAAGTTATTAGAATTCTTTCAATGTCTATCTTCTTATATAGTTTAGATGGTTTGGATGGTGCAAACATTCAGCCAACTTGTTGCCATAAAAAAATGTATATATTTGTTGGGGAGTGAACGTGTTCTTTGTGATCAATTAATGCCCCTCTCACGTTTTGTCAACGCAAAGGGAGCTGCATATTTTGTAGTTTTTATTTAATGAACCAATTATATTTATGCCCATTAAAAATAATAATAAAGGTCACAATATTACCTTACCTTATATTTGACTTGCAAAGGATATACGTGTTGGTGTCACAATACCATATCCTTCTACAAGTGCCTATTGGCACAGAATGCATGGGCTATTGAAGCTTTATTGAAAATCTGTTCTCTGATCTCCTTTTAGAGGCTTATCTCCCAGAAGTTTATTGGAGGCATCTTCAAGATTTACAACCTCATTTTCTCCTATTGTTTTTTATATATATTGTCTAAGGCCCAGCCTCAGTTTCCCTTTTTCTCTTTCCTCTAAGAAACATTCCATAGCTAAGAGTCTTAAACCCACAGATATCACTCACTCTACTAAATTCATAGCCCCTCCAAATTTTAGAGCTAGCAAAAATCAAGAACTTAACAAAATGCTGATCTAAAGTAAGCATTCAATAAGTAATTGTTGAGTAACTATTAGTTAAATAATTTCATCTAGTCTCCTCATTTTACAAGTGTGGATCAAGTAGGTTAACTGACTTGCTGAAGCTCAGTTAGGCAAGATCTCCTAATTCTTAATCCAGGGTTGTTTCAACCTATCCACAAGTCATTTCTACTTCTAAACAGTTTTGGCTTCTCCATTACTTTGACTACTTATCATATATCTTATCATATGTCTTAAATGAATGTGTTTAGATTTCATAATCTCATCTGCTATCTCTAATAAGCTGTAATCTTCTTTATATCTGTGTTACAATTGGAGCATTCATGGTGTGTGTGTGTGTGTGTGTGTGTGTGCCCATTTGTCTGTGATCACCATGGGAAAAATAAAATGTATAAAATAAAACACTTGAAAATTCTTCCAGAAACTTATATTTAGTGGGAGCCCAGAAAAATCTCCCTCAACACCCAAGAACTCTATTGGTTCTTACCCCTTTCAAGAGGGCTAAAAAGGGGCAGAGAGCACCTGATATACAGGTGTAAAAATATGGAAAATGTATTTCCAAAGTTCGCATGGCCCAAAACTGCAAACTTGGCTAATAGTATATGAACAAGGCTATCCAATTGGTCAAAGAAAGTAGTAAAGGGTAAATTTAACTTGGTCTTAAAAATATGTAACTATTTATAGCATGTTTATGACATCTCATTATTAGGCTTGGTAATTCTAATTGCCTTTCTGGGCCCCCTTAGATACTTCCTATATTTTATCATATAATTTCCCCTTTTAAATAGCCAAGGTGCTATGGGAAGCTTCTCTACAAATGCAGTTAAATATTTGCTTGCCCCCCTAAAAAACTATCCTGCAAAGAAAGATAGCCAACAGCTCCAGAATCCACAATTTTCTGGGTAAAAGCATGTCATATATAGAAGAGAATAACAAGGAAAGTAGGAAACCTAGTCTCTTCTCTTGCAATTCTGACTTTTCAGACTAGGGTAATTTGGGAGAGAGTGAAACAACATGATACATCACTGAAACTCAGCTTGTCTCCCTTTCTCACAAATGAAAACCATAACAAGTCAAAAGGTTATTAAAACTTCAAAATATTCTAAGGTAGTGTGAGGTTAAAAAGGGTATTTTTATTTGCCCCTGTTCCTGCTGGTACAGAACCACCTTAAAGACTTCCTGCATGGGAATATTTGGCAATCTGAGCACAATTAGAGGGTAAGAATCTATTCTTGTCTCCATGAAGAGAGATGTTAAACTTTCAGCTATATTTTTGGAAATTGAAAGGGCCTGGAATGACAGAATTGTACACTGTAGTGACTTTAAATGCCAAGCTGGTTTACCCCTCAAGTCACTTGCCAAATTGTAAAGCTGTGCATGGCAAGACATTAAAGAACTAAGCTGGAAATTTCTTGACACCTATACTCTAGAAAATCAGATGAACCGTGGTTGACTGAATCTTACCCACCTGCAGTTTAGCCTTAACCCAGGCCAGTTCATAGTCTGATTAAGGTGAGCAGATCCCCACCCTAACTGCCTAGCAAAGGAAAAGGAAAATCTTCTCTGATGGTAAATAAGTAATGGCCAAGTATTTTACAGTACTATTTTTTGTTGTTGTTGTTAATCAATGCTCAGATTCAGGAAGTTCTGCAAACCCCAACAAGAATAAGCCCTAAGAAAATCAAACCATCAAACCTAAATACCTCACACATAAACTGCTGAAAACTGAATAAAATCTAAAACACAGCCAGAGTAAAAGGATACATTATTTTCAGAGGAGTACAACAAAACTGACAGTTGATCTCTTAATGAAAATATTGGAATTCAGAAGACAATTAAACCGCATCTTTAAAATGTTCACTTTCACTTCACTTTTATATACTGTGTTAATTTTTAAGATTTTTTTATTCCTTATCTCCAAACCTTCCTTTTTATACTCAATTGTGTGCTACTAGGGCTGGGAGTCTAGAACGTACGTTTCAGCTTTCCAGCTAAGTTTCTGTTAGGTTCTTCCAATAGGAAGCACTCAATGAAGAGTGCAAGGCCAAAGGACAAAGCCTGTTCCTTTCTTTTTGGCTGCTGCCACAGCCACCATACCCCAGCAACAGGTCTCCCCATTAGTGATAGTTCATTTCAGTCTCCAATTTCTTCACTGGATAAGCCTTATTATGCCCCCAAAAGAGGGGTGGCACACCCTCCTAAGAGGTCTGAGTGTCAGCTTTGCAGAGTCATTTCTCCAAGCTTCTCAATGCTAAAACTCCCAATATTCTTCAATACACGTGCTACAAATATACAGATCCATACATGTGCAAGCACCCTGACTATTCACAAAAAGACTTTTGTAGCAATGTTTTTGAAAGTGACCATCTGGTCATAGTAAGGCACTTTGGTCACAATTTTGACAATTGGCCTGCATTTTTAAACAAAAAAAAAGTAAAAATGATCTATCTGCATACTTTTTTAGAATGTGTAGTCATGAATAAAACTGTAATATAAAAGTACCTGTTTAGAAAGCAAAATTCAACACAAAAATCTCAATAAATGGTGGTGATCTCTGGCAAGCAAAACTACAAATAATATTTTTC
Organism: Homo sapiens; assembly: GCF_000001405.40. Lineage (NCBI taxonomy): Eukaryota > Metazoa > Chordata > Mammalia > Primates > Hominidae > Homo > Homo sapiens. Next base: position 50,323,428 of record NC_000006.12, read on the forward strand.
ACATATTCTTAGTTTGTAATGCTACAATCATGAAAACAATGCACATTTTAAATTATTTTAATAATGTTGTTAATATAAAATTAATCAATATATGAGCAGCTTTAAAATAAATGAACACCCTATCTAGACACCTTCACTATTTTTTTTCCTTAGTTATCTTGCTTTGTTTCTCTATTAGTCTATTCTCATGCTCCTAATAAAGACATATCCAAGACTGCGTCACTTATAAAGGAAAGAGGATTAATTGACTCACAGCTCAGCATGGCTGAGGAGGCCAAAGGAAACTTACAATCATGGTAGTAGGGGAAGCAAACACATCCTTCTTCACATGGCAGCAGGAAGGAGAAGAATGAGTGCCCAGTGAAAGAGGAAGTCCCTTCTAGTTTTATAACTAACAGATCACAGGAGAACTAACTCACTATTATGAGAATAGAATGGGGGAAACTGACCCATGACTCAATTATCTCCACCTGGTCCCTCCTATGACATGCGGGGATTATAGGAAATACAAAATGGGATTTGTGTGGGGACATAGCCAAACCATATCATTCCACTCCTGGTCCCTCCCCAGATCTCATGTCCTCACAATTCAGAACACAATCATGCCCTTCCAACAGTCCCCCAAAGTCTTAACTCATTCTAACATTAACTCAAAAGTACAAGTCCAAGGTCTAATCTGAGGCAAGGCAAGTCCTTTCCACCTATGAGCCTGTAAAATCAAAAGCAAATTAGTTACTTCCCAGATAGAGTGGGGGTACAGGCATTGGGAATATGCACCCATTCCAAATGATAGAAATTGGCTAAAACAAAAGGGCTACAGTCTCCATGCAAGTCCAAAATCCAATAGGGCAGTCATTAAACCTTAAAGTTTCAAAATGATCTCCTTTGACTCCATGTCTCACATCCAGATTATGCTGATGCAAGAGGTGAGTTCCTATGGTCTTGGGTAGCTGTACCCCTGTGGCTTTGTAGGGTACAGCCCACTTCTTGGCTGCCTTTACAGTCTTGCATTGAGTGTCTGCAGCTTTTCCAGGTGCATGGTGCAAGCTGTCGGTGGATCTAACATTCTGGCATCTGGAGGATGGTGACCCTCTTCTTACAACTACATGAGGCAGTGCCCCAGTGGGGACTCTGTATTGGGGCTCTGACCCCATCTTTCCATTCTACACTCAGATAACTGCTCTAAAAGACATTCTCCGAGAGGGCTCCACCCCTGAAGCCAACTTCTACCTGGAATCCAGCCATTTTCACACATCCTCTGAAATCCAGGCAGAGGTTCCCAAACCTCAGTTCTTGACTTATGTTCACCCACAGGCTCAACACCACATGGAAGCTGCCAAGGCTTAGGGCTTGCACCCTCTGGAGACATGGCCTGAGCTGTACCTTGGCCCCCTTTAGCCACAGCTGGAGTGGCTGGAATGCAGGGCAACAAGTCCCTAGGCTACACACAGCAGGGGAATCCTGGGCCCAGCCCAAGAAATAATTTTTCCCTCCTAGGCCTCTGGGCCTATCAACAAGGAGGGGCTCCCAACAAGGTCTCTGACATGCCCTGGAGACATTTCCCCATTGCCTTGGTGATTAACATTTGGCTCCTTGTTACTTATGCAAATTGCTGCCACAGGTTCAAATTTCTCCCCAGAAAATGAGTTTTTCTTTTCTATTGCATTGTCAGGCTGCAAATTTTCCAAACTTTTATGCTCTGCTTCCTCTTGAACACTTTGCTGCTTAGTAATTTCTTCCACCACATACCGTAAATCATGTCTCTCACGTTCAAAGTTTCATGGTCTCTAGGGCAAGGGGAAAATGCTGACAGTCTCTTTGCTAAAGCATAACAAGGGTCACCTTTGCTCCAGTTCCCAACAAGTTCCTCATCTCCATCTGAGATGAGGTTGGACCACCTCAGCTTGGACTTTATTGTCCAAATCACTATCAGGATTTTAGTCAAAGCCATTCAATGAGTGTGATATGATTTGGCTGTGTCCCCACCCAAATCTCATTTTAAATTGTAGTTCCCATAATTCCCATGTGTCATGGGAGGGAGCTGGCGGGAGGTAATTGAATCATGGGGGCAGTTACCTCCATGCTGTTCTCATAACAGTGGGTGAGTTCTCATGAGATCTGATGGTTTTATAAGGGGCTGTTCCCCTTTTTTACTCATTCTTCTTCTCCTTGCTGTTGCCATGTGAACAAGGACATGTGTGCTTCCCCTTCTGCTGTGATTGTAAGTTTCCTGAGGCCTTTTTAGCCATGCCTAACTGTTAGTTGATTAAACCTCTTTCCTTTATAAATTACCCAGTCTTGGGTATGTCTTCATAGCAGTGTGAAAATGGACTAATACAAAGTCTCTAAGAAGTTCCCAACTTTCCCACATCTTCTTGTTCTTCTGAGTCCTCCAAACTCTTCCAACCTTTGCCCGTTACTCAGTTCCAAAGTCGCTTCCACATTTTCAGGTGTCTTTACAGCAGTGCCCCACTACCTGGTACCAATTTACTATATTAGTCTGTTCTCACACTGCTAATAAAGATATACCTGAGCCAGCGTGTGCAGTGGCTCATGCTTGTAATCCCAGCACTTTGGGAGGCCAAGGCAGGCAGATCACAAGGTCATGAGATCAAGACCATCTTGGCCAATATGGTGAAACCCCGTCTCTACTAAAAATACAAAAATTAGCTGGGCATGGTGGCATGTCTGTAGTCCCAGCTACTTGGGAGGCTGAGGCAGGAGAATCTCTTGGACCAGGAAGTCAGAGGTTGCAGTGAGCCGAGATCACGCCACTGCACTCTAGCCTGGCAACAGAGAAAGACTCCGTCAAAAAAAAAAAAAAAAAGACATACCTGAGACTGGGTAATCTGTAGAGAAAAGAGGTTTAACTGACTCACAGTTCAGCATGGCTGGGGAGGCCTCAGGAAACTTAAAATCACGGTGGTAGGGAAAGCAAACATGTCCTTCTTCACATGGCAGCAGGAAGGAGAAAAATGAGTGCCCGTTTAAAGGGGAAACCCCTTATAAAGCTATCAGATCTTGTGAGAACTAATTCACTATCATGAGAACAGGATAAGGGAAACTGCCCCCATGATTCAATTATCTCCAACAGGTCCCTCCCATGAGATGTGGGGATTATGGGGACTACAAGATGAGATTTGGATGGGGACACAGCAAAACCATATCAGTTTCCTAGAGAATGAATTCATTTTTCATTTTTGGACACAAGCTTTATACACAAGGCTACATTTATTACCTATGCACCAATATGCCTACACTTATTATTTATAGCCCTTATCCATATGGTTGGTTCAATAATTCTAATGTCACTATTTTTCAGTAGTTTGAGCCTTTGTTCCCCTTGTTTCCCTGATTGGCAAAAAGCATAGGTGTCCTTATTAGAAAATATTTGTCTATTGACAATTAAGAGTTGATGATAGGTTTTGCTAGTAAAATATCTCCTTTATCATTTGTGATTAGAAATTATTATTCATAGTATCTGTCAAGATTTCCCTTATCATCTTACTAATATAGTATTCGGTTTGATAAAAATTGGGAGAACAGAGAGAGTGTTTCTAAGGAGGAGAAGAAGAAAAAGTGGTGACTGCTCTGGTCAGTTGGTTCTGCTATTTTTCCTATACCAGTTTTTATCTCCTCATTCCATTAAACTTGCTTCTATAAAACCATTCCACAGAATCACACACATCAAGATATATGTGACTGCTATGACCTAACTTATTCTTTTTCTCAAAGTTACAAATTTCCCCACAATAAAAAATTGATTTGCTAAAAACTTCAGAATTTGTGTACTGATTCTATTGACCTGTTTATTATATCCTATTTATTTAAGTCTGATGTAATATTATTATTAAATAATTATATTTTGAGGTGATTTTTCAACTTCAACATCTAATTTTCATGATGTTTTCCTGGTTCCTCTGCATGATGTGGTCTGGGTATAAGATGAATAGTTTACATGACCTCATGGCATTGGGTGAAAGGGGAAATCCACCTCATGTGCACCAGTTAGTAACCTTTCAACGATAACTGATTCAATTTCTGTGCATTCTTATGGTTCAAACTGCCACTATTTGCAGATAATAGAAATCATTGTGTGGTCTTTCTCTGGCCTTTGGTGTTTGCCAGTACTATACACTTCTGCCTTGTCTTCCATAATGTCTTCTGTCCTAAAATAGCCCACCTCAGCCTTTGCATTGTATTATCTCACTTTCGCTACTGCTTTCCCCACTAATGAGTGAGCAAGCACACTCATTAGCCACACACTAATTGGCTGGAATTTTAAACTTGAACACTGTAGTCCTGGAATGCAATTCCATGCTCTTCACTAGATGGAATCATCCACTGTCAGTACTGGATTGCTCTGCACACTTATCTTTCCTTATCGCTCAAGATGGAAGAAGACTAGTGCCCTTCACATCTTTATTTCATAATATACCTTCTCATTCCAGGTGGGAATTAGCCACGTTTGTGCATCTAATGTCTTCTACTCCTTTTCTTTATCCCTTAATTCCCTGTGTGCAAGGGTTAAACTTCTTTCATTTCCTTCCTTTTGGTCTTTTCCCTAACTTCTTCTACATGTGCCATAGAGAAAAACATGTTGTCTAACATCCAAACCAGCCAGGTGCCATAGCTCATGCCTGTAATCCCAATCATTTGGGAATCTGAGGCAGGCAAATGACTTGAGGCCAGTTTGAGACTGACCTGGCCAACATGGTAAAAACCCATCTCTACTAAAAATATAAAAAAATAGCTGGGCATGGTGGCGCAAGCCTGTAATCCAGCTACTCAGGAGGCTGTGGCACAATAATCACTTGAACCTGGGAGGCGGAGGTTACAGTGAGCTGAGATTGCACCACTGCACTCCAGCCTGGGTGTGATGGTTAATACTGAATATCAACTTGATTGCATTGAAGGATGCAAACTATTGTTTCTCAGTGTGTCTGTGAGTGTGTTGCCAAAGGAGATTAACATTTAAGTCAGTAGATTGGGAAGGGCAGACCCAACCTCAATCTGGATGGGCACAATCTAATCAGTTGCCAGTCCTTCCAGAATAAAAGCAGGCAGAACGTGGAGAGATTAGAATGGTTTAGCCTCCCAGCCTACATCATTCTCTCTTGCTGGATGCTTCCTGCCCTCGAACATCAGACTTCAAGTTGTTCAGCTTTGGGACTTGGACAGCTTCCTTGCTCATCAGCTCTCAGATGGCCTATTGTGGGACCTCACCTTGTGATCATGTAAGCTAAAACTCCTTAATGAACTCCCCTTTGTATATACATATATCCTATTATTTCTGTCCCTCTAGAGAACCCTGACTAATAAACTGAGTGACAGATCCAGACCCTGTTTAAAAAAAAAAAAAAAGAAAAGAAAATCCAATCTGGCTGTTGATATGCTAAAGGAGATCACATCAAATCTGACATTGAATGTCAGAAAATGAAGATGAAATATTTATCTTTCCATCCCCTCTGTCACATTCTGAATCTTGTTCTTGAGGCAGAGGGCTGCTTTCACCCAACTATAAATATGCTATGTGCAAAAGTGCAAAAGAAAAATATACATTAGCATTTTGTCGAAATATTACCACCACCATCCCCAATATGCATATCTCTTTTCCTAATGACTACATAGGATAGATTCGGAGGAAGTTCCTAATTGAAGGGAAAGGTGAGAACCATTTCCTATATTTCCAAAGTAATTTTCCAAAATTAACAGAATTTTTATGGTGTAGAAATATGAAACACATGTTATATTAGGTAATCTTAAATCATGTTCTTATTTCTACATTGCAATTCTCTCTTGAGAATTGAAACATACCTGTATTAGAAATAAATATTTTCTTCTTTTTATTCATCTATAGATATGCATAACCTCCACAGGCATTTCCTAAAACTTTTCTCTGGCATTCAACAAATCAAAGTTAAATAAATTAATAGGGAGATAATAATTACTTTGTATTATCTGATTGTCTGCTTCTGGAGGATAGGAGTAAGAGAATTATGTTATTGATTAATTAACAAATAAACAATCAGGCATTTTACTTGGCACTTTCATGAAATTGCCAAGATAAATACACTTGTATAAAGACAGACGGGTCAGTGGGTCTAGCTTTCTTTTTTCCCTTCAGTTTTTACTACCTACTTCTATGGTGTCTCTTTCCTTATTCTGCCTGGTTCTTCCAGTCTTTGTTCCCACACTAGCTATCTCTCACGTTCTTTCTCTTGGGAGATTTTCTCTCAGCTTTATAGTGACCCAATAAACTTGTGAAAATAAGGAAAAAAAATTGTAACAAGCTTTAACAATGCTTAAGGATTATACAAAGTAGTTCCAGAAAAGATCTCTAAAACTGCATGATATAACACTAAGTATAATGAAGTCCCAGAAGCCAATAGAACAGTTACATATAAATAGCTTAACCTCTTCTCTTACATGTGAGTTATATTTGCGATATTGGAGAACTCCAGGGTAGGTTGAATGTGATACACATGGGGTGAGCCTTAAAGATATTAATAAATTCTCAGGTGGTGCAGAAGACCTTCAGCTTGTGTTCAATGAACTTTAGGGCAAAGATGATAGCATTTGTCCATAAGTGGTTTTCTAAGGTGTTTACTCAAAGTGCTACTGAGGTATCTACTGCCCCTGAGTGTTCAAGGAAAACAACTGACAGTGATCTCAGAGTCCCAGTCCCACAAAGCTCTAGGAAAGTACTTTAAATAAAATTTACACACACACGCAAGTAGCCTTAGAAGTGATTTTTGAATGTTTTCCTGGGAAAACACATAGGGGAGTCACAAGAGTTGAAATGCAATGAATACTAGTTTTGTAATATGACTCATTACTATAGTCGATGGGTCTGATATCTATCAGTTCGTGACTCTTGAAACAGAGAGTATTTAATCAAAACCCGATATTGAATTGGTGGCAAGTGTATAAGTTCTGCCTTTCTCCCTTCGGTCATCTTACCCACATGTGTGTTTCAAAGACACAGCATTAAAATGCACCCAGTGGTCTAATATAGAAAAGATAAAAAAAAAAAAAAAAACTAATCAGTTTAGCTGTTCAAACAGTCCCTGCTTTATGCCTCTGGTTTACAGATATGTTTCAATAAAATGTGCTGAAGTAGCTAATTATAGTTAACAGCAGACAGATCTGAATATTTCTCTGCTCATCAACTTACTACATGAGGACCTCAAGCTTCAGCTTTCTCATCTTAAAAATGGGAACCATAGTGTCTACTTTAAAACGCCATTATGAGTATGAAAGCAAATGTACACAAAGTACCCAGCACATCATTTACTCTCAGTAAGAGAGATGTTATCATACATGTCATGTTTATTTTCTCTGCTAGGATTAAAATATATGGCACCAAATGTATTCCGTAGTTTTAAAAATAAGTAACAATATTATCTGTCTCTTGATTTGGAGGAGATACACCATTAAAAATAAACAAAAACTGGATCAAGTCATATTAAATAATATAATAACATCAATCCGATTGCACATGAGACCTATTTCTTCTCTACATTAAAAAAAAATTCAAAGCAAAATTAGGCCCTATTTATTTACTGATGTTCCCTGGATGTTTAGAATAATATGGTTTTGCACCCAGAAGGCTTTTGAACTGAATCTACAGCCATATTCTACCCAGGTTAAAATCCCAGTGGGCAATGCAACTGCAAACTTTGCTAAGCTCAACTTAGTCAGAGTTAAAATGAGATCCGCGTGGGAGGCAGTGCAACTTGGAACATTCACATTCAATACAGGATGCATCTTTAATGCAAGGAAAGGGCTCACTGGGAGCACAAGGCATGAAAGCTTGAAATACCAGAACTGATGTTGGGAGCAAAGCTTCTCAGTGAAAGTAGAGCTGATTTACTTCTGCAGAAAGATACTAAGGGAAGAGTACATCCCAATTTGCTCTTGAATTGGAAAGCGTGTTGATTGCTTGCACATCAGTGCTAGCTCTTAAGATCATTACCACTTATATTTTGGATTACCTTAGGAGGAATTTCTGACAGATTGTAACAATTGGATCCATCATTGTTTCATTAAACCAATATTAATTAAATGTTTCCACCTTTTAGTGGGACTTGTTAGATTCTTATTAGCCATGACAGATCATTATTTTCAGCAGAACATGGTCAAGATCCTGCAATGAGCACTGAGATGTAATCAGGCACCAATGTATTCTGGAATTAATAATTATACTAAATTGGATGTAATTAATAATTTATGGTGTAAATTCTTATGCAATTTGCTATGGTAACCTACAAGAAGAAGAAATCTGCTGTATTTTAACAAAGCGCAAGTTACCAGGAGTAAAATAATGAATAAAATAATAGAAAACCCACTTCAGGGGGAAAAGGCTTAGAGACGGGTAAAGTGCAACATGGTAAAAACATGAAATGCTATTGTCATTGTCAACATTAATTAACATTCATTATTCATCCAGAGGTGCAAAGACCTCAAAAATGTCTTTACCGGTTGTATAGAAAATTAACTCCTTGCCCTTCAAATGTTTACAAAGACAAACTACATAGGCAAAGGCTATTTTTTATTGAATAGGGTACTACAGAATATGTTACTTGCTTTAGGGTGTGAGTTGCTTCTGAACAAGGGGAAACATAGTCAAACTTTTATATAATCTATTCTAATAGAAAATACAAAATTAAAGGTGATTTAAAAGAGGGAAATTGGTCTGGCGCAGTGGCTCACTCCTGTAATCCCAGCACTTTGGGAGGCTGAGGCGGGCGGATCACAAGGTCAGGAGATCGAGACCATCCTTGCTAACACAGTGAAACCCCGTCTCTACTAAAAATACAAAAAATTAGCTGGACATGGTGGCAGGCGCCTGTAGTCCCACCTACTCGGGAGGCTGAGGCAGGAGAACGGCCTGAACCCGGGAGGCGGAGCTTGCAGTGAGCCGAGATTGCGCCACTGCACTCCAGCCTGGGCTACAGAGCGAGACTCCTCTGGGGGTAGGGGGGTGGGGAGTGTTGCTAAGCAAATTGTTGCCAAGCATGGGCACTTTGAGGAAACTGCACTTTGCACATAGCAAGTACCATGTTATAAACACAACATTCGCCAAGTATTGACTATGCTCCTATATCTAACATGTTACCCAAATTCTCCTTTTATCCTAAGGTCAATCTTATAAAAATGTTAAGTGAGGAAACTTAGGCTCTAAGCAGTCAGGCATGCTCACTCAACTAGAAAATTAGTAAAAACATGGCTCCAGAAGACTATAGTCTAAATAAAGTTTACAGAATGTTCCATTGCCTCAAAAATTTTGAAAAAAAAAAAAAGGTTGAGTTTAACAAAATTATTATTATTCTTCAATGATTATATGGTATGTAGTCTTGAATATTAAAGATCAGATCATTAAAATCCAACAATCTAATTTTTTTTCTTTTTTTTTAGTTTCTTGAATTTTGACCTGGCCAAATTTGATGCGATATGTTACTTTAAAAGTTTTATTTTTGCTGACTCTTTTCACACTAACAAAACCTTTTTTAACTGGATAACTAATGTTCTCAATTTAGAACTATATTTATTTGACGGAGTGTTTATATCTAATTAAGAGCAATCACCTTTGGAAACTATCCTCATTCACTTTTATCTCAGTGTGAATGTGGAGGTAAAGGCAGCATTTGATGCAGAAACAAAACAAAACAAAACAAACAAACAACTGAGCACAAAGTAAAATAAAAATGAGATTTTTTTATCGTCTTAAAGAAGAATAAAGTTCGCTACTTACCTTTGCACATGCCCAATACTCACCCAGTATGGGTGAGAGTTAAATGTGCAAATACTAAGCATCTTTAAATCACAGCTGCCTAGAAGACCGTCACCTTCTTCACAAATGACCACTGTAATATCTGAATTTCAGTGTAGTAGTTCAGCCCACTGGTTATTGTGGCTCAATCAATGTTGAAATCTCCTGGTTTTACAAATATTCTATGAGGAGGAAGGAAAAAAGGTAGAAAGAGGGTAGGAACTCTCTACCAAGCAATTCCCTCTTTGAAGGAAAGGGTCAGATTTTTTGTGTGCTTAGGGTCTCTGCTTTCTAAATTTCCCTCTTTTTTGTAAATGTTATACACGTAGTTACTGTTGGCTAAGATGATGGTGATGGTGATGCAACACCCTAGAATATTATTTTCACAAGAAAATGAAAGTAAAGAGGCAAATCTCAGATTTAAAAAAAATGGAATCCTTAATCAAAATTAAATGTTGCTTCTTTTCTTAGCTATATTAGTGTATCCTCTTTCAAAATGAAATGTGTTCTCAAGCGGTCATAGAAAATTCCATGGAAACAACAGAAAATGACACTGTTTTTTCCCCTCTTCAAACATGTTTGAGTTAGCAATACTATGATCTTCAAAGACTAGTATTACCAATGAATCACCGTACTCACAGATGCCGAGCAAGATGGAACATGGGGCCACCCAGGCGTACATTAAGACAATAGATGCCTTAGCAACAGTTTAACTGTTCTGCAACAGATTATGCCCTAAAGCAGTAAATAGCCTGTGCACAGGAGGTTATTTAGCTCTTGCTTTTTCTAAGTAAATAAATAGGTGGACAGACAGACAGAAATATAGACAGAGTTTCATCATCATCATTGTATATTGCTCTTAGGTTTGTGAAAAATGGTTTGTGAAAATGTTAGGCAACACGAAGCTCTTAAGATGGGTACAAATCCAAAAACTGCCATGTTTTTATTATAATTTAGAGGTGATGTTCCAAACAAAAGGGACCCTTGCTAAAGCACAAGGTGAGGCTGAGAGCATAAGAATCAGCACTCTCAATCTAATGAGACCCGAAAACCTGTGTGTGAGTGTGTATGAGTGTGAGTGTGTGTGTATGTGTGTTTTGAATTCCACATTCTCATGTTCTGTCTCATGTTCTGACATTAGATAAATTCCACCCACCAAACATGCTTTTAGCATTTCCAGAAACTAACAAAAATGCACATTAATTGAAACACAACATAACCCCAGGTGGAGCCATTTCCAGCTGAAATTAAAAAAAAAACAAAAAACCATACATCTGCATTAAGGGGTAGGAGGATAAATCATTTTTAGCATCTTAAAAAAGTACTGTTGCTTCATGGTTTTTCCTACATCCCTGAATGCAGAGGAACAGAGGCCCACTCCATTTCAGCATTCCCAGTACTCCAGGAGTGACTTGCCTGATCTAGGGAAATTCATTCAAGAACTTTCCCTTTATACTCTAAGAACAACCCTCTAATGTATTTCTCACTGATTACCCAAGGACTGCATACATATTATACATCTGCCAAGCTAGCCTGAGACAATCTTGTGAGATTACAGAGTTCAACTTTGACTTTGGTGGTGCTCTTGTATTTTTACCTATCACCTCTGTGCCCAAATGTGAGAAGAATTAAAGAATTTCATTCATTCATTCTCTTTCTCTTATTCTCATTATAAGGAAAATTAAAATCTATGTGCCCATTCAATGGGAATGATAATGGTAGCCACAGTGTAGGTTTGTTGTGATAATTAAATGATATAAATCTTGAAAATTGTATCAGAAGTTAGAGAGAGAGAGAGACAATTATTCTCCCTTTTCTCTCTAAATTATTTCCCAAGAAAAGCTGGTATACTGTTTCATCTGAGAAAGGACTAATATCCAGGCTCTACAGGGAACTCAAACAAATCAGCAAGAATAAAAAAAATCCTGTCAAAAAGTGGGCAAAGGACATGAAAAGACAATTATCAAAAGAAGATGTACAAATGGTCAACAAACATATGCAAAAATGTTCATCCTCACTAATTATCAGGGAAATGCAAATTAAAACCACAATGAGATACCGTCTCACTCCTGCAAGAATGATCATAATTAAAAAATAAAAAAATAACATATGGCGTGGATGTGGTGAAAAGGGAACACTTCTACACTGCTGGTGGGAATGTAAACTAGTACAACCACTGTGGAACACAGTGTGGAGATTCCTTAAAGAACTAAAAGTAGAACTACCATTTGATCCAGCAATCCCACTAAGGGGTATCTACCCAGAAAAAAAAGAGGTCTTTAAATGAAAAAGACAATTGTACATGCATGTCTATAGCAGCACAATTAGCAACTGCAAAAATATGGAATCAGCCTAAAAGCCCATCAGCCAAGTGAATAAAGAAAATGTGGCATATATATATATAGTATATATGGATATATTATATGTGTATGTATATATATCATGTGTATGGAATATATACACATATGGTATATATATTGTGTATATGGAATACTACTTAGGCATAAAAAGGAATGAAATAATGGCATTTGCAGCAACGTAGATAGAGTTGGAGATCATTATTCTAGGTGAAGTAACTCAGGAATGGAAAACCAAACATTGTATGTTTTCATTTATAAGCTGGAGCTAAGCTGTGAAGATACAAAGGCATAAGAATGGTATAATGAACTTTGGGGAATTAGGAGGTGGGTAGGAGAAGGGTGAGGGATAAAAGGCTACACATTGAGCACAGTGTACACTGCTCAGGTGACAAGTGCACCAAAATCTCAGAAATCACCACTGAAGAACTCTGTGCAACTAGACACCACCTGTTCCCCAGGAACTATTGAAATTTTTTTTTAAATAAACCCTGGTACAGACAAAAAGGCAGATGTTTCCATTCACTGATTCTCCTACTCTTGTCTTTACTCCTTCAACAGACTAGCCCTTTACTCATCATCACTAAGGTAATTTCTGAAATGTGATTGTAAGCTTAAGAAAAAAGAAGAAACTCCAGCCCTTCTCAGGTGCATTTCAGATTTTAGGGCTGTTTCAGATCAAGGTACAGAAAATGTCCCACATGAACAGGATGGCTCACCAGTGGACTCCTTTGGGTCCCAGACCAAGTCTTAGGTTTTCTGGCCTTTTCTGATCTGTATAGTTCCTTCAACAAGAGGCATGTGGTTAGCCTAGGGCAAAATCCCTTGGTCAGTAGACCCTGTACCCTAGCCATAGATCTAGATATCGATCTTTCCCATCCTCAATCTCTGTCATTATTTTGGCAGGTTGAAGATGTATGTAGGTGGGCTTACTGGGAGGAGACAAAGTTCTACATGAAGAAATAGAGACTCTGAGGTTGAGAGATTTTGAGAAAGGAACTAGGATTCACTGAGAGGAGTGGAACCAGTTTATGTGGGATGATGGACTTTTTGAGACAATATTAACCTATCTTTGCCTTCAGGAAAGAGGACATATCTGTCTCAAACAAATTGGATGCTGACAGGGAGCCTGTGGAAGTTATTAGAAAGAACAAATAGCGGCCGGGAGCGGTGGCTCACACCTGTAATCCCAGCACTTTGGGAGGCCGAGGCAGGCGGATCACGAGGTCAGGAGATCGAGACCATCCTGGCTAACATGGTATAACCCCATCTCTACTAAAAATACAAAAAATTAGCCGGGCGTGGTGGCGGGCGCCTGTAGTTCCAGCTACTCCGGAGGCTGAGTCAGGAGAATGGCGTGAACCCGGGAGGCGGAGCTTGCAGTGAGCCAAGATTGCTCCACTGCACTCCAGCCTGGGCGACAGACTGGGTGACAGAGTGAGACTCCATCTCAAAATAAATAAATAAATAAATAAAGAGAGAACAAATAGCAAAAATGTGAAAATAAAAAAGGAAATGTGACTGGGGTGGGTAAAGAGGAAGTAGTCTATATTACATATTAGGGGATTCCAGCATGTTTCAGAAAAATAATTCTCTACTCTGGGGTATTCATGGGATGTTGGGGTATTTGGGACACCATAGGAATGGGCTTCATTTTAGTTCAGTGTAGAATAGGCTGAACCAGAACCAAGGGTCCTTGGTCTTCCCCTAGAAGGTCAGCGATCTTGACCTAACTCCAGAATGTCGGGAGTTGTTTATAAATCATATTGGCATGCAAATGAACATATATCAACATAGAGATTATTTGCTATTAACATAGGAAATTATAAATCTTTTAAGAAAAACAGAAGCTGAAACTCAACTCCATCCAATTGCTGTATACAATTCCAAGTTCAGCTTATTAAAAATGGAAAGCCAGCAATTTTGAGGAAGAACTTGGAAAGTATTCACAGTAAAATTCATTGCCTTCAGTTGCAGTGAATTTTAATAATTGAGGCTGTCATTCTGTTTGACCCATAAAGAGTAACCTTGATGGTTATTTGTTATGTATTCAGTTTTGTCTGCCTTAGTTTAAGCTTAAATATTAATGGAAAAAAGAAAACCTACAAAATCCCTCAAGCTACACTCTAGGAGTCCAATGCTTTTTAGCTGGTGGCGATGAATATAATCATCATTTCTGTGCTAATTTTTAAAGACAGCAACAAACATTGAAGCAAATAATTTAAAGAATGCAGGATAGAATATTTAACAATTTACATATGGAAAACATACAGCCTAGATTCTGGAAATTTCCTTTCCTGTATAAACATTTAAGAATGTGGGAGATGGTAATCTATGAAATATGGGGAGGAACTTTTTGGTTGTTCTGGGGTAGTAAAAGTGTAACATTAGTGGTGACTGATGTTGAGCGCACTCCTTATTCAGGCTACTACAGGCTGGTTTGCCTTGCTGCAATGTATCTGTGGTTAAAGTAAAATCTGCATCCACAGACTTTCTACGTTTTGATCTTTGCTCCACCAGTTACTAACTGTGTGATCAAGGAAGTTAAAATGTGTGTGCCTCAGATATTTAATGGGAATGAAAATGATAGCTACATTGTAGGCCTGTTGTGAGAATTAATTTAGGCAAACCTTGAAAAGTACTTGTAATATGATAATTGTTTCATCTATGTTAGCTATTAGTATTTGGTCATAATGGGGATGGCTGAAGGGCATCCCATTAGACATTCATGGCTTCACAGATAAAGGTCAAATAGAGGTCTATATACTAGGGGAAAAATTAAGTTTAAAATAGAAAATTCTTTTAAAATATTCAAAAGTTGCTCCAAACACTTAACAAGTGGTAATTAAACAAGTAATCTTAGATTGTCATAGGGAATCTGTGATAGAGGGAATACTTAAGAGCTTTGAAAGCATTTGAGGATATATAATTCATCAAATATTTATTATATACCAATTAACAAGCAGATATCAATTTCTTTGTGGGCATTTTTCATTAACATTTCTCTCTTCTTGATTTTACAACTAAAATTCTTGAAGAAGATCATAACTTAGTAAATAAATAAGCTGACGTGAATTGCAATATGGTATGATTAATACAATAATAAGCTCTGTAAAAGGCTAGATGGTGATATGAAGTAAAAAGCAGTAATTTTGTTTTATTTTATTAGATAAGGCTTTAGAAAAGTAGAATCTTTGAAAGACCCAAGAAATTACCAGATTGATCAAGGAGCAACATGTACAATGACTTAAGGTATAAAATAAATACAGTGGTATGTTTGGATTGTAGAATGTGTAGGAACAGTGAGGGGAAAGGAGACCAAAGAAAAGAGGCTGAGAGATTTTTTTAAACTCAATGTAGACTACAGAGAGTCTGCTCAGGTTGTTCAGCAGCTGATAATCTTCTCAGAAGTACATTTTAGAAAGATTACAAAGAGAGTAAAATATAAAAATTAAAACTCTAAGGCAAGAAACAAACTTGGATTAATTTGCATAATTTTGAAAATAAAAAATAAATGTGCCAAAGTAACTTGTTGAAAAGCACAGGCAAAACAGAAACAGTTCAGGTATTGATAGAGGTAGGGCCTGATCAGGATAGAAGAAAGGAAGGATGAAACCAAGGACTAACTTCATGAAGGAACTCTGACTGCTGACTTACTGTATTGTCATCCTTTACTCCTCTTCTCCTTGTTTTTACCTGTCTTCTTCCACATCAATTTTCTAATAGGTCTTTATGTTTTGCCTACAGAAGTGGAGGTTAGTTATAAAAATAACAATATCCTATTTATTGGCTGCAAATAATGTGCAGCCACAGAACTAAGTAGTTTTGGGTCTATCTCATTTAATACCCATAACAAGCCTTATGGGACATTTGTTATCTTGATTTTATATACAAGGACACTGATGTTTATAGAGTTAGGTGATTTTTCTAAGCCACATAGTGAGTGACAAAATTTAGATGGGAACTCAAGTTTCCGTTTCCATGGCACAGCTCATGAACTCCATGCTGTACACCTTCACTTAAGTCTGCTCTTAGGCTAAGACTTTTCTACTTGGAAAATCCATGAAGCCTCTGTGGAGAAGACACTTGTGGGTAAGATTATGCTTCTCTGATCAAACTGGACAAATGAATGCACAAAGGACAAACAACATATATGGGCAGCCTGTCACTAATTATCCATGTCTCTCATTATCTCTAAATCAAGCCAACAGACCCATGGTTGTTTAGGTTCAGCAATACAAGGACTGGGAAAAGTAGGAACAGAGTATTTATAACAGGAAATTAGTCTGAGCCAGCAAATGAAGGGGCTTAAATTAGAGCACAAGATGCTGTAAACATTTTGCATAATTTTTTATCTGATTTTTCTTACGCTTACTAGCCCCTTTAACAAGTCAAATAACAAAAATCTTCAATTATTCCATTATGAACACAGGGCTTCCAACACTCCAAATAGGACCTTGCATGAATTTCACCAACTTTGGAAACATTACAAAATAAATATTATTTCAGAAATAATGGGGAGTTCTCTAATTTGTCTCATATTCCTCCTTCTTTAACTTGTCTTGGAGAAATTACACTCCAGATCTGAGAACAGAGTGGGACGACAACTAATCAATTGCCTTGAAAAGAAACTTCTCATTTTTTTTTCTCTAGAAGGAATGACCATTTCTTTCTCCCTCCAGGTGTGTTGAGCACTTTGACTTTTATTTTTATCTACTAAAATAGATAACTATTCAATTTAACATTTTTTTGGCAGGTAATGGCTAAATTTGGGTATACAGTCCTAATTATTCCTTCAAATTCTGATTCTATTCTATACACTAACTGACAGGTAACTTTTGTCTGAATGGTCTCATATTCAATGTATTCAAAACTGCATTCACTAAGTGCCCCTTCACCAGTAATTTATTCTCCTGACTTGGTTATTTCTGTTAATGTTACCACCATTCTCCCAGGCACCCAAGCTTGTAAACTTCATAATCTTTGGGAACAATTTTTTTTGCTGTGTGGATGTTTTTTTCCCTCTATAGACCTTGTTCATTATCCATGGCTATTTCAAATAAAAGACATGGAGCTTCCATAAATCTATGTTGAAGGAAGGGAGATTATAGGAAATATGAAAATTAATACCTAAACACCTGATACACCCTAAGCACTCAAAAGTATTTCTGAAAAAAAAGCTTAATCAAAATTTTAATTACATTTACTTTCATGAGTAAATATATTTTGTAAAGAAATATTTATGTGAAAATATTTCCTTGCCTTTACCATCCCACACAAGAATTTCAGGAGCCTAGTGGACAGTACCACATGCGCAGGTATATTTGTTGGCAACAGTCTGGAATTATATGGAATAACTTAATAATAAAGACAAATGCATTTTTGCCTTTAAATTATATAAATAATATCCCCTTTTATAATTCTTGATTTATGTACTCTAAATTTGAAACCTAGGCTCTTTTTATGTCATGCACAAGATTAAATTTTGCATTTAGTCCATATTTCAATCCCTAATTTTCTCTCATTAGCTATGATTGGTCATACAGACAGCGTTGTCTTTGTCCTTATATTCATCTTCAAAAAGACTGAATCTAAAAACACATTATTTATTTGCACATAATCTCCTATTACAGAATAAAAACTATATGGTGATTAAAAATATATTACAACTTTAAAATAATTTCAATGATTATATCACGTATTTGCATCATCTAATTTGGGTGACCTTTTACACTGACTAGGAAAAAAATACAAAAATAAAAAACAAAAAAAGGGAAACTAGTGCTTGATTGTAGATATAGTGGAGCTTTGTAAGGATGAGAAAATAATCTTAACTCACAGACAAAGCTAACATTTTACATAAGGAAAATGGAATTGGAAGCTTATTGTATTTTATTAAGACCTAAAAAAAAAAGCTTCAATAACTTCCACAAGTAACCTTTTCTTTCTGTGAAGAGCTCTTATTTCTGGGGAATTCTACCCAGGGCTTCACTACCTCTCTTCTGGAGTTAGGGGGAGGGGTCCTGCTTAAGTCTCATTTCTCTACATGTTAATTTTATTATCCAGTGAGATACACTGATAATAACTCTGCCTTAGTCACCTCAGAGGACTTGTTAGAGTATGAATTAAATGGCTTCTTTAAGGAATTTCTTGCTTCTAGAGAAAATCCTCCACAAAAAAGAGAACTTGAAATGCTGAGTAAAAATACCATATAAAACATTTGCTGCAGCATTTGAAACCATCTTATCAATAATAAAAAAAGGCAATGCAATCTACATAATGGGTCAATAGCGTTTGAAAAGAATACAAAAATGGGGGAAAGAGAACATTTTTTAAATTTGATTATGTTCAAAATTGACTATGATTTATTCCTGTCTGTCACAGGACAAAAATGTGAAAGGCTGAGAATTACATGCAAAACTGAGAAGAATTGAATCTGAGGTATCTGATTTTGATTTGGCTAGCCCATGCTGCTGTACAAAAATAGCCCTGGGCATTAATCTGTCAGGTCCATTATTATGCCTATTTCTGAGATTTATACATTGGTTTATGGTAGCAATAGACATTTATTGAGTGCTGATCACCTGCCAAGCTCAGTGCTGCACACCTTAGTACTGATGGTCCCAACCTAGGGGGTTTTCAATCTAATAAGACAGGCAAGGCAATTAAGACACAGATTCAGAGGAAGAAAATGACTAATACATGCAGAGGAGACAGAACAGCTTTCCTTTCCTTTTCTACACCTTGTGTAGCCCACTGTGGTGTCTTTGTTCAAGGAAGCTAAAAAAGTATTTTAGAGACCAAGAGGGTGTGAAGTTGGATGCTAGCTGCATGCTTAGATCACCTGTTCACTTCAGATTTTTTGACATTGATGCGAGTAGTAGATTTTCAGATGTTTTACTGGTCCAGTTCACTTCCTTGTGTGTGCTATTTTCTTATCTTCTTTGTTTCCTCATATCTCATATTGTTCTCCTGCATATATACCATCCTTGCTATCTTTCTCCACTAATTTCTCCGTTAATTATTGAATGTCTCCCTTTGAAATGCCATAATTGTCCACTTGCCTCATTCTGGGGGATAGCAGTATCCTGCTTTTTATTAAAAGCATTTATCAAGACTCTTCATGTACTTGATAATGAATTTCAGAAATTAAGTTGGTATGGTCCTTGGCCTGAAGTCAAATAATATTTAACACGGAAAATACTGAATCACTAATAGATTTGTATAGCCTTAACAATTATTATAGAACAAATGCATTCATTAAATATGATATGCTAATAAAGGCTTAAGCAAATTTAAAGTGAGAACAAAAATATGGAAATTACATATTTTATAGGGTGGAAGTCATTGTAATTAGGTTATTCGCCTTAATTAGCTGGACCCACCATATTATTCTGCTTCATCTCTGCATGAGCATATAAATTCAAGTTACCTTGCTTAGAGTATAAACTTCAGTCTACGAAAATTTTCTTCACTAGCTGAAGGCTGATACTAATAATTTCAAGACGGGTACATATTTCTTATAATCAAAAACAAAGATAACATTCTATAAATGCATTTCTGTATTTGTGTTTGATGATTGACTATATAAAAAAAGACAATGATATATCAAGACATTTCAATCAGCAAAAAGTGTGGGAAAGCAGACTGCAGGGAGAGCAACTGCCCATTCCATAAAGTGCTAGATGAATGAGTGTTTCCAGAGATGATAGGATGCTCACATTCTCTGCAATATGCTATATATGAAGTACTCTAGTGGTTGCTAATATAAAACTGTAAAAAATGCCTGTTCTCAGTTCAGCCAAATTGGGAAAACTTTATACACATGAAAAAATAACCTAAAAACTAAATAAATGATAAATCAATGAGATCAACATGTAATTATAATTGAAGTGTATGAAAGGTTGTGGTTATGGCATACTGTAAGTAAATACAAGCTTCATTTTTTTCTGTGTTAAATTAAATTTTATTTAATTTTTGACCTCAGATTCATAGACTAGAATTGGTCTTAACGTACTCTCATCTTTGGTCCATGCATAGTCTCCTTTTATTTCATGCATTGAGAAATGAGTATTTGATAGAAAAAATCAAGGATCTTTTGCAGGCCAGTAAAAGAGGGATTTAGAGGCAAGAGTGGTTCAAGGCCTATTAAAACATACTTTATCGAGGAGGGTGGAGACAAGATGGCCGAATAGGAACAGCTCCAGTCTACAGCTCCCAGTGTGAGTGACGCAGAATATGGGTGATTTCTGCATTTCCAACTGAGGTACTGGGTTCATCTCACTGGGGAGTATCGGAAAGTGGGTGCAGGACAGTGGGTGCAGTGCACCAAGCATGAGCTGAAGCAGGGCGAGGCATCACCTTACATGGGAAGTGCAAGGGGTCAGGGAATACCCTTTCCTAGTCAAAGAAAAGGGTGAAAGATGGCACCTGGAAAATCGGGTCACTCCCACCCTAATACTGCACTTTTCCAACAGTCTTAGCAAACGGCACACCAGGAGACTATATCCCGCATGTGGCTCGGAGGGTACCACACCCACGGAGCCTTGCTCATTGCTAGCACAGCAGTCTGAGATCAAACTGCAAGGTGGCAGCGAGGCTGGGGGAGGGGCGCCCGCCATTGCTGAGGCTTGAGTAGGTAAACAAAGCAGCCAGGAAGCTCGAACCCTGTGGAGCCCATCGCAGCTCAAGGAGGCCTGCCTGCCTCTATAGACTCCACCTCTGGGGACAGGGCATAGCCAAACAAAAGGCAGCTGAAACCTCTGCAGACTTAAATGTCCCTGTCTGACAGCTTTGAAGAGAGTAGTGGTTAACCCAGCACGCAGCTGGAGATCTGAGAACCGGCAGACTGCTTCCTCAAGTGGGCCCCTGACCCCTGAGTAGCCTAACTGGGAGGCACCCCCCAGTAGGGGCAGACTGACGCCTCACACGGTCGGGTACTCCTCTGAGACAAAACTTCCAGAGGAACAATCAGGCAGCAACATTTGCTGTTCACTAATATCCACTGTTCTGCAGTATCCGCTGCTGATACCCAGGAAAACAGGGTCTGGAGTGGACCTCCAGTAAACTCCAACAGACCTGCAGCTGAGGGTCCTGACTGTTAGAAGGAAAACTAACAAACAGAAAGGACATCCACACCAAAACCCCATCTGTACGTCACCATCATCAAAGACCAAAGGTAGATAAAACCACAAAGACAGGGAAAAAACAGAGCAGAAAAACTGGAAACTCTAAAAATCAGAGTGCCTCTCCTCCTCCAAAGGAACATAGCTCCTCACCAGCAATGGAACAAAGCTGGATGGAGAATGAATTTGATGAGTTGAGAGAAGAAGGCCTCAGATGATCAAACTACTCCGAGCTAAAGAAGGAAGTTCGAGCTCATGGCAAAGAAGTTAAAAACCTTGAAAAAAAATTAGATGAATGGCTAACTAGAATAACCAATGCAGAGAAGTCCTTAAAGGACCTGATGGAGCTGAAAACCACGGCATGAGAACTATGTGACAAATGCACAAGCCTCAGCAGCCGATTCGATCAACTGGAAGAAAGGGTATCAGTGATGGAAGATCAAATGAATGAAATGAACTGAGAAGAGAAGTTTAGAGAAAAAAGAAGAAAAAGAAAAGAACAAAGCCTCCAAGAATTATGGGACTATGTGAAAAGACCAAATCTATGTCTGACTGATGTACCTGAAGGTGAACAGGGAGAATGAAACCAAGTTGGAAAACACTCTGCAGGATATTATCCAGGAGAACTTCCCAAACCTAGCAAGGCAGGCCAACATTCAAATTCAGGAAATAAAGAGAACGCCACAAAGATACTCCTCGAGAAGAGCAACTCCAAGACACATAATTGTCAGATTCACCAAAGTTGAAATGAAGGAAAAAAAGTTAAGGGCAGCCAGAGAGAAAGGCCGGGTTACCCACAAAGGGAAGCCTATCAGACTAACAGCTGATCTCTTGACAGAAACTCTATAAGCCAGAAGAGAGTGGGGACCAATATTCAACATTCTTAAAGAAAAGAATTTTCAACCCAGAATTTCGTATTCAGCCAAACTAAGCTTCATAAGTGAAGGAGAAATAAAACACTTTACAGACAAGCAAATGCTGAGAGATTTTGTCACCACCAGCCCTGCCTTAAAAGAGCTCCTGAAGGAAGCACTAAACATGGAAAGGAACAACCAGTACCAGCCCCTGCAAAAACATGCCAAATTGTAAAGACCATCAATGCTAGGAAGAAACTGCATTAATTAATGAGCAAAATAACCAGCTAACATCATAATGACAGGATCAAATTCACACATAACAATATAAACCTTAAATGTGAATGGGCCAAATGCTCCAATTAAAAGACACAGACTGGCAAATTGGATAAAGAGTCAAGACCCATCAGTGTGCTGTATTCAGGAAACCCATCTCATCTGCAGAGACACACATAGGCGCAAAATAAAGGGATGGAGGAATATCTACCAAGCGTATGGAAACCAGAAAAAGCCAGGGGTTGCAACCGTAGTCTCTGATAAAACAGACTTTAAACCAACAAAGATCAAAAGAGACAAAGATGGCCATTACATAATGGTAAAGGGATAAATTTAACAATAAGAGCTAACTATCCTAAATATATAGCCACCCAATACAGGAGCACCCAGATTCATAAAGCAAGTCCTTAGAGACCTACAAAGTGACTTAGACTCCCACACAATAATCATAGGAGACTTTAACACCCCACTGTCAACATTAGACAGATAAACGAGACAGAAAGTTAACAAGGATATCCAGGAATTGAACTCAGCTTTGCACCAAGCGGACCTAATACACATCTACAGAACTCTCCACCACAAATCAACAGAATGTACATTCTTTTCAGCACCACACCACACCTATTCCAAAATTGACCACATAGTTGGAAGTAAAGCACTCCTCGGCAAAGGTAAAAGAACAGAAATTATAACAAACTGTCTCTCAGACCCCAGTGCAATCAAACTAGAACTCGGGATTAAGAAACTCAGTCAAAACTGCTCAACTACATGGAAACTGAACAATCTGCTCCTGAATGACTACTGAGTACAAAACGAAATGAAGGCAGAAACAAAGATGTTCCTTGAAACCAATGAGAACAAAGACACAACGTACCAGAATCTCTGGGACACATTCAAAGCAGTGTGTAGAAGGAAATTTATAGCACTAAATGCCCACAAGAGAAAGCAGGAAAGATCTAAAATTGACACACTAACATCACCATTAAAAGAACTAGAGAAGCAAGAGCAAACACATTCAAAACCTAGCAGAAGGCAAGAATTAACTAAGATCAGAGCAGAACTGAAGGAAATAGAGACACAAAAAACCCGTCAAAAAATCAATGAATCCAGGAGCTGGTTTTTTGAAAAGATCAACAAAATTGATAGACTGCTAGCAAGGCTATTAAAGAAGAAAAGAGAGAAGAATCAAATAGATGCAATAAAAAATGATAAAGGGGATATCACCACCAATCCCACAGAAATACAAACTACCATCAGAGAATACTACAAACACATCTACGCAAATAAACTAGAAAATCTAGAAGAAATGGTTAAATTCCTCGACACATACACCCTCCCAAGACAAAACCAGGAAGAAGTTGAATCTCTGAATAGACCAATAACAGGCTCTGAAATTGAGGTAATAATTAATAGCTTACCAACCAAAAAAAGTCCAGGACCAGATGGATTCACAGCCAAATTCTACAGAGGTACAAGGAGGGGCTGGTACCATTTCTTCTGAAACTATTCCAATCAATAGAAAAAGAGGGAATCCTCCCTAACTCATTTTATGAGGCCAGCATCATCCTGGTACCAAAGCCTGGCAGAGACACACAAAAAAAGAGAGTTTTAGACCAATATACCTGATGAACATCAATGCAAAAATCCTCAATAAAATACTGGCAAACTGAATCCAACAGCACATCAAAAAGCTTATCCCCCATGATCAAGTGGGCTTCATCCCTGGGATGCAAGTCTGATTCAACATACGCAAATCAATAAACGTAATCCAGCATATAAACAGAACCAACAACAAAAACAACACGATTATCTCAATAGATGCAGAAAAGGCCTTTGACAAAATTCAACAACCTTCATGCTAAAAACTCTCAATAAATTAGGTATTGATGGGATGTATCTCAAAATAAAAAGAGCTATCTATGACAAACCCACAGCCAATATCATACTGAATGGACAAGAACTGGAAGCATTCCCTTTGAAAACTGGCACAAGACAGGGATGCCCTCTCTCACCACTCCTATTTAACATAGCATTGGAAGTTCTGACCAGGGCGATTAGGCAGGAGAAGGAAATAAAGGGTATTCAATTAGGAAAAGAGGAAGTCAAATTGTCCCTGTTTGCAGATGACATGATTGTATGTCTAGAAAACCCCATCGTCTCAGCCCAAAATCTCCTTAAGCTGATAAGCAAAGTCTCAGGATACAAAATCAATGTGCAAAAATCACAAGCATTCTTATACACCAATAACAGACAAACAGAGAGCCAAATCATGAGTGAACTGCCATTCACAATTGCTTCAAAGAGAATAAAATACCTAGGAATCCAACTTACAAGGGATGTGAAGGACCTCTTCAAGGAGAACTACAAACCACTGCTCAATGAAATAAAAGAGGATACAAACAAATGGAAGAACATTCCATGCTCATGGGTAGGAAGAATCAATATCATGAAAATGGCCATACTGCCCAAGGTAATTTATAGATTCAATGCCATCCCCATCAAGCTACCAATGACTTTCTTCACAGATATTGGAAATAACTACTTTAAAGTTCATATGGAACCAAAAAAGAGTCTGCATTGCCAAGTCAATCCTAAGCCAAAAGAACAAAGCTGGAGGCATCACGCTACCTGACTTCAAACTTTACTACAAGTCTACAGTAACCAAAACAGCATGGTACTGGTACCAAAACAGAGATATAGACCAATGGAACAGAACAGAGCCCTCAGAAATAATGCCACATATCTACAACAATCTGATCTTTGACAAACCTGAGAAAAACAAGAACTGGGGAAAGGAGTCCCTATTTAATAAATGGTGCTAGGAAAACTGGCTAGCCATATGTAGAAAGCTGAAACTGGATCCCTTCCTTACACCTTACACAAAAATTAATTCAAGATGGATTAAAGACTTACATATTAGACCTAAAACCATAAAAACCCTAGAAGAAAACCTAGGCAATACCATTCGGGACATAGGCATGGGCAAGGACTTCATGTCTCAAACACCAAAAGCAATGGCAACAAAAGCCAAAATTGACAAATGGGATCTAATTAAACTAAAGAGCTTCTGCACAGCAAAAGAAACTACCATCAGAGTGAACAGGCAACATACAGAATGGGAGAAAATTTTTGCAATCTACTCATTGGACTAAGGGCTAATATCCAGAATCTACAAAGAACTCAAACAAATTTACGAGAAAAAAACAAATAACACCATCAAAAAGTGGGCAAAGGATATGAACAGACACTTCTCAAAAGAAGACATTTATGCAGCCGTAAGACACATGAAAAAATGCTCATCATCACTGGTCATCAGAGAAATGCACATCAAAACCACAGTGGGATACCATCTTACACCAGTTAGAATGGCGATCATTAAAAAGTCAGGAAACAACTGGTGCTGGAGAGGATGTGGAGAAATAGGAACACTTTTACACTGTTGGTGGGACTGTAAACTAGTTCAACCATTTTGGAAGTCAGTGTGTTGATTCCTCAGGGACCTAGAACTAGAAATACCATTTGACTCAGCCATCCCATTACTAGGTATATACCCAAAGGACTATAAAACATGCTGCTATAAAGACACATGCACACGTATGTTGATTGCGGCACTATTCACAATAGCAAAGACTTGGAACCAACACAAATGTCCAACAATGATAGACTGGATTAAGAAAATGTGGCACATATACACCATGGAATACTATGCAGCCATAAAAAATGAAGAGTTCATGTCATTTGTAGGGACATGGATGAAGCTGGAAACCATCATTCTCAGCAAACTATCACAAGGACTAAAAACCAAACACCACATGTTCTCACTCATAGGTGGGAATTGAACAATGAGAACACATGGACACAGGAAGGGGAACATCACACTCTGGGGCTTGTTGTGGGGTTGGGGGAAGGGTGAGGGATAGCATTAGGATATATACCTAATGTTAAGTGACGATTTAATGGGTGCAGCGCACCAACATGGCACATGTATACCTATGTAACTAACCTGCACATTGTGCACATGTACTCTAAAACTTAAAGTATAATAAAAATAAATAAATAAATAAAACATATTTTATCGAATATTTGCTTATACTGTGCCCTTGCCTGCCACTATTAGATCATGTTATAACCAAATGCTCATGGCAACTTTTCACAGAGAGCCTAGATGAAGAAAGGTATTTCGGGGAAAAAGAGAGTGACAGAGAATAAATTTTGGATTATCAGATGTAGCTAATTACAGTCCTATATTTATTTTGTATTTGAGACCAGATATCTCATTACTTCCTTGTCCTTAACTTGTAACCTAAGGCTCTAATTTTATTTTTCTTCAGCTGAAAGTTGTCCTTTTTCAACTTACTGCTCACACAAAAAGTGGTGTGTTTTTTAACTTGTAAACATTCACTCAAGGAGAAAGTATTCTATTGTGAGAGGTGAGCAATTCAGAGGCTAATGTGAGATGCACATTTTGCTGATACTAGTTCAAGGCTGTCATGGCCTCCCGAGGCCCATCCCATGTGGTGGTAATTAACTTTTAATGTAAGCCTGGAGGGCAAAACACTTAAGAGTTATCCAGTTTTCTCCAATAGAATGAATAGGTAAATGCTAACATATGTTTATCAATAGCCGATGTATTTAGAATAGGTAAGTATTATTCCAAGAAGAAAAATCTCGATTTTCAATTATGTCTGTTCTATTTCTCATACTCCAGTATTATAAAAAATTGAGTGGCTAATTTTCAGAAATATGTAGTGAGTTCATAGAATATTAGAGATTAGATGGGTTAAAGCAAGTACAAGTCACACCTGCCTGCCGCAACTCTCATTTTTATGTTCATCTTTGACTGGTATTGCTAATTCATTAAATAATTTTATGTTAAAAGCCTTTTTAATACAGCATTGAAAGTAGAAACCCACACTCAATGCAAAAATGTGTTATGTTGGCATTAGACCATACATTTTCTGATTACAGGCAGCATGGCTTCCTTGCTTCATTTATCGGTTTGTCCCCAAACCATCATGTTCTTATGTTCACCTCATTAAAGGTGCTCAGTAATATGTTCAAACCAATAAGAGAAGAGAGATCTAAAGAAGCATTTTCCGTAAACTGTGTGTGTGTGTGTGTGTGTGTGTGTGTGTGTAACAGTTTAAGAAACTAGCCTTTGTATATTAATGTCCTCAAAAATTGGAGGTAATTCAGGGATTCAGTCTTCTACTCAATTAAGTGAATTAAATGTTCATCCTAAGACATCCCTTGTAAATTTAAATTTTGCCACATTCAGTTACGAAAACATTTCTACTTTATTTACTGATAAAGCTTACAATTTTTAAAAGTTTACTATTATCTGTGTTTTTACTTTCTACATCATATATTACTAATACGATGTAACTTTGTATACATGCATGGGAATAAATATATATTACTTAATGACTAAAATTTTTGAACTTTCTGATATTTATGACTAAACAATGTAATAGTAATTTCTGTACATCTAATATATGGCTTACTTGAGATATCCAGCCAAATATTATGTCACATAAATTGTTAACCTGCATGAAACAATCAATAATTAAAATTGAACCCAGTTTTAAGCAGTTTTCACAGGATAGTGTCTAGGGACCATTAAAAAAAAATGAGTGGCTGAACTCCCTGCTCAATTCAACCCTTGAAATGTACAAAGCTAGTGAGTGCTACATGAATGGAAAGTCTAGATATATAAATGACTATGCAAGGATGCCCCAAATCTGCTAGGACATTCTGGAATGGCCAACTGCTATTCCATTTGTCACACTCAATGACACTTCTTACAAGTTCTTGAAGGGTCTGTGTATACTCCATAGGGGGTATAAATGTACTCTTTGCCAGAAGCCAGCTACCTTAGCTCTAGGACAAGAACTTAAGGTCTGCTTCCTTTTGTTGAAAAGGCACAGACATGGAGTTACTCCTCTAAGCTTAGAGGCGAAAAGAAACCCTGCAGAATAACCAGCTCTCCAGCTAAAATGTTACAATCTGTATAAGGAAAACTATTATGCATGAGTACTCACATAGTAATTTTATAGATGTTTTCAATAAATAATGACTTTAAAAAAATATGATTACATCAGAAAACTCCAGTGAAGCGATAACAAATGCATAATTCAAACTCACGTTTCTCAATCCTAAATCTTGATCTTTCCATTGAGAGACTTGAAGCCCAGTAGATAAGATGGGGAAAAAGTAATTGGTCAGAAATAAAACTAATAATAAAATGAAATATTGCAACTTATATTTCAGACTATATATAGGAAATAAGTAGATCTAAAAATCATTAAAAATAGTTTTACACCGGGCAGGCATGGTTGCTCATGGCTGTAATCCCAGCACTTTGAGAGGCCAAGGCGGGTGGATCACGAGGTCAGGAGATCGAGACCATCCTGGCTAACGCGGTGAAACCCTGTCTCTACTAAAAATACAAAAAATTAGCCGGGCGTGGTGGTGGGCACCTGTAGTCCCAGCTACTTGGGAGGCTGAGGCAGGAGAATCGCTTGAACCCAGGTGGTGGAGGTGGCAGTGAGCCGAGATTACGCCACTGCACTCCAGCCTGGGTGACAGAGCAAGACTCCATCTCAAAAAAAAAAAAAAAAAAAATAGATTTACACAAAAAGTAAACAATAAAAAGGTAATGGGGAAAAAAGAAACCAATAGAAATCCCACTGGTTTCTAGAAAATAATGAAAAGTACGATCAGATTTTTTGAATAGCTACGATATCAGAAGGTAATATGGTTTATACAACCTTGAGAAGACGCAATTAGCATTAATGTTCTTATCAAGAAGGCATTATTGGATACCAAACGAGGTACTTTAAGATACCAGAGACTATGGGAAGGGGTTCAAGATGGCTGACTAGAGAGATCAGATGCAATGCTCCCTAGAAAGAATAAAAATTATGAAATAAAAATATTTCCTCTAACAGAATAACAAGGAGATAATACTAGAACCCAACAGAGAACTCATGGGAAAAACCTGAGACACAGAACAAGAAGGAGGCGAGAGGCCAACTTGACTGACCCAGATCAGCTAGGAGCCCAGAGGGACTGGGTATTACATATGAAGGGCAAGTGGGATTGTTTTGGCTGCCCTCATCCCTGCTGTAGACTACCATCGTCAAAACTGTAGGAGAGCTCCTCTGTACCAACAAATCCTGGCATTAGCATGGGTGGTGATTTGGAGGCCCCTTGAGAGCACTACATCAGACTGCAAACTCACACTGGGTCACTCACAGTCCCACTAGACTAGAGCAGGTGCAGAGAACATTATTGTGAAGATATAGTCATCAGGAAATTTTATCCTGCCCTGGGAACCTCTGCCCTTTTGTCTTCACATCCTGGGGGCAATCACTCACTAACATTCCCCAGAACTTGCTTAGAGGGCTGCAGCAACACAGAAATATCTGGACACAAAGGAGCTGCAGGCTTCCCAGTATATTCCCCAGAGAGTCCTATTCCCAGGGGAAAAGAGAGTGCAGTGTGCCAAGGGAGCAGCCCCTGGAACAAAAAGGAAACCAACGCACATGCTTACCAGAGCCCCAAAACTCCCTGCTTGGGGCTGAGAGGGGTGGACTTTCATCAGGGACAAGAACTTTATGCTCCACTCTGCAAATAAGCAAATCCTCTCCCACAGCTTGAGTGGTGTCTGCTCAAGCCCAGGTGTAGAAAGGGAAATTTCTCCTCCCCTTCCACACATTACTGCAGACAAAGCTGCTACTGCTGCCGTGGAAAATTTTTGTGGGCAGCCAGAGGGTTGTCTCTCCTGGGTTGTGAGTGATGACTGTAACCCTGCTAATGATATGGCCTCTAGTTTGGGCTTACATGAAGGGCAGTTTCTCTCCCTCTCTGCACAGAACTGCGGGGTTGCTGACACAGACAGCAGAAGAGTAAGAGATGTTTGTGTTTGGGGATGTAGGGCAAAACTGCACCACAGCCACCACCAGATGGCTCAGAGGCTTGGAGTTGAGCTTGGAGTTGAGCTGCTGGGAAGGCATCTCCTATGTCATCCCTCACCCATGTGCACAAGTGCACAGTGCTTAGGAAGGAGACAAGCTTCCAGCAACCTCTGCTACCACCATTGACTACACAACCTCAGCTTCTCAGGAAGCAGTGAGCTTGCTCACCCACCCAGTACACCACTACTATAACTGGCCACTATAACCACTACTATAACTGAGAAAGATTTCACACTAGGCCATTTATAACAAAGAAAATCGTACAGAGTCTTTGGTACTGAATGCAATCAGAGGCAAATCCAAACAGCCCTAGTCAATATACATCACAAACACTTCTCGAGAGAGAGAGAAAAATAAAACAGTCCCACCCTAATGAGAGTAAAATCAAAAATAAGAAGAAGCAACTGTTTCCCAGATGAGAAGAAAGCAGCACAATAATTCTGGAAGCATGACAAAGCATAGGGTTATGACATCTCCAAACAAATATAGTATTCTCTAGCAATAGATCCTAACCAGAAATAAATATTTGAAATGACAGATAAAAATTTCAAACTATAGATTTTAAATAGGCTCAATGAGCTATAAGAAAATTTTGAAAACCAATACAAGAAATCAATAGATATGCTTTTAATGCCTAAGGCTGAATTACAAAGAAAAAGAAATTAAAAAATCAATTCAAGCTATGAATGAGCAATTTACCAAGGAAATATATCTTTTTAAAAAAATAGAACTTCTAGAAGTGAAAAATTCATTGAAGGAATTACAAAGTAAAGTTGAAAGCTTCAAAAATCAACTAGACCAAGCAGAAGAGAGAATCTCAGAACTTAGAGACAGGTCTTTTGAATTAATCTAGCCAGAAAATAAAAAGAAAAAAATTAAAGAATGAATAAAGTCTTCAAGAAATATGGGATTACATAAAATGAAGAAATTTATAAATCACTGGTATTGCTGAGGAAGAAGCAAATGCAAAAAAGCTTGGAAAACCTATTTACATAAATAATTGGTAAAAAAAATTTTCTAGTCTTGTGTGATTGTTAATATTGAATGTTAATTTGATTGGATTGAAGGATGCAAAGTGTTGTTCCTGAGTGTGGCTGTGACAGTATTGCCAAAGGAGGTTAACATTTGAGTCAGTGGACTAGGAGAGGCAGACCCACCCTCAATCTGGGTGGGCACCATCTAATCAGCTGCCAGCATGGCTAGGATAAAAGCAAGAAGAGAAATGTGGAAGGACTAGACTGGTTAAGTCTTCTGGCCTCCATCTTTTTTCCGTGCAGGATGCTTCCTGCCCTCAAACATCAGGCTCCAAGTTCTTCAGCCTTTGTCTCTTGGACCTATACCATTGTTTTACCATGGGCTCTCAGGCCTTCAGCCACAGACTAAAGGCTCCACTGCAAGCTTCCCTACTTTTGAAGTTTTGTGACTCGGACTGGCTTTCTTGCTCCACAGCTTGCAGGTGGCCTATTGTGGGACTTCATCTTGTGATCGTTTGAGTCAATATTCCATAATAAACTCCTTTTCATATATACATCTATCCTATTAGTACTGTCCCTCTAGAGAACGCTGACTAAACATCTTGCAAGATAATTCGTTACAAAAGACCCAGAAAGCACCAGAAGAAACATTGTAAGACAGACTTTACCATGACACACAGTCATTAGACTCTCTGAAGTCAATGTGAAGGGGGAAAAAAATTCTAAAACCGGCACAAGAGAAGTATCTAGTCACCTACAAATAAAAACCCATCAGACCAACAGTGAACTTCCCAGCAGAAACTTTACAAGCTAGGGGAACAGGAATTCAATTTTCAGAGTTCTTAAAGAAAAAATATCTATCAAGCGTAAGTTTTATACACTGCTAGAATAAGTTTATAAATGAGATAGAAAAAAGTATTTACTAGAGAAGCAAATGCTGAGGAAATATGTCATTACTAGACCAGTTCTACAGGAAATGCTCAGAGAGTTCTAAGGTTGATATTCATTATCATACAAATACATGAAAGTATAAAAACTCACAGGTGTTATAAAACAATTACACAAAGGAGGAAATGAAAGAAATTAAATGGCAACACCTCCACCAAACAACAAAGACAGAGGGAAAAATTAAGAAACAAAAAATCTACAAACAGGTAGATAAAAATTAACATTATGACAGGAATGAAACTTCACATGTCAATATTAATTTAAACATAAATGGAATAAATGTTCCACTTAAAAGAAATAGGTAGAAAAATTTTTGAGATGAACCAACCATCTGCTTCTTACAAGAAACTCACCTTACTAGTACAGACATTTATATTATAGACTGAAGGAACAGAGGTAAAAATGAATATTCCATGCAAATGAGAGTCAAAAGAGGGCAGAATTAGTTATTCTTATATCAAATAAAACAAACTTCAAATCAAAAACAGTAAAAAATACACAAAAGGATATCATGTAAGAATAAATGAAACAATAAAACAGAGGATACAATATAGACAGCAATACAAAATAATGAAACAAAAGATCACTGGACTTAAGTAAGGCTTTGGGCCAAATGCACTTAGCAAACAGACATTTAAATGACATTCTACTGGACAACAACAGAATGTAAATACATCTCATCAACACATGGAACATTCTCCAAGATAGGCCATGTATTAGGGCACAAAACTGGCTTCAATGCATTTTAAAAACTTGAAATCATACCAAATATCTTGTCAGACCATAGCAGAATAAAACTAGAAAATGATACAAAAGGGCATTTCTCAAAACTATGCAAATACATGGAAATGAAACAAAACACTCCTGAACAATTTTTGGGAAGTGGCTCAAATGCTCATGGTCTCCCACTCCTGCTACCCTGCCTTCTGTCTCCCAACCTGCACTGATGGCCTCCTGGGGAGTTCACTATGAGTAGTTGACAGAGGAAGAGAAGACTAGGGCCTGGTGCACAGATGGCTCTGCACGATAGGCAGGCACCACCCAAAAGTGGACAGCTGCAGCACTACAGCCCCTTTCTAGGACATCCCTGAAGGACAGAAGTGAAAGGAAATCTTCCCATTGGGCAGAACTTTGAGCAGTTCACCTAGTTGTGCACTCTGCATGGGAGGAGAAATGGCCGGATGTGCAATGATATACTGATGCATGGGCTGTAGCCAATGGTTTGGCTGGATGTCAGGGACTTGGAATAAGCATGACTGGAAAATTGGTAACAAAGATATTTGGGGAAAAGGTATGTGGATGGACCTCTCTGAGTGATCAAAAACTGTGAAGATATTTGTATCTCATATGAGTACTCCCCAACCACCCCTGTCACCCAGTGGGCCCATGAACAAAGTGGCCATGGTGGCAGGGATGGAGGTTATACATGGGCTCAGTAATGTGGACTTCTACTCACCAAGGCTGACCTGGCTACAGACATTGTTGAGTGCCCAATTTGCCAGCAACACAGACCAACACTGAGCCCTCAATGTGGCACCATTTCTCGGAGTCATCAGCCAGCCACTTGGTGGCAGGTTGATTATATCAGACCTCTTCCATCATGAAAAGGGCAGCGGTTTGTCCTTACTGGAGTAGACACTTATTCCAGATATGGGTTCGCCTATGCTGCACAGAATACTTCTGCCAACACTACTATCTGTGGACTCACAGAATGCCTTATCCACCATCATGGTATTCCATACAGCATTGCCTCTGACCAAGGCACTCACTTTACAGTTAAAGAAGTGCAGCAGTGGGCTCATGCTCATGGAATCCACTGTTCTTACCATGTTCCCAGTCATCCTGAAGCAGCTGAATTGATAGAATGGTGGAATGACCATTTGAAGTCACAATTACAATGCCAACTAAGTGACAATACTTTGCAGGGCTGGGGCAAAGTTCTCCAGAAAGCTGTGTATGCTCTGAATCGCATCCAGTATGTGACACTGTTTCTCCCATAACCAGGATTCATGGGTCCAGGAATCAAGGGTGGAAATGGAAGTGGTACCACTCACCATCACCCTATGACCCACTAGCCAAATTTTTGCTTACCGTTCCATGACATTATGTTCTGCAGGCCTAGAGGTCTCAGTTCCAGAGAGAGGAGAACTGCCACCAGGAGACACAACAATGGTTCTATTAAACAAGAAGTTAAGATTGCCACCTGGACACTTAGAGCTCCTCCTACCTTTAAGGCAGCAGGCTATAAAGGGAGTTACAGCGTTGGCTGGGGTGATTGATCCTGCCTATCAAGATGAAATCAGTCTACTACTCCACAACAGAGGTAAAAAAGAGTATGCATGGAATACAGGAGATTCATTAGGGTGTCTCTTAGTTTTACCATGCCCTGTGGTTAAGGTCAATGGGAAAGTACAACAACCCAATCCAGGCAGGACTACAAATGACCCAGATCCTTCAGGAATGAAGTTTTGGGTCACTCCACTTAAAAAAACAAAACAAAACAAAACAAAACAAAAAAACAGGACCTGCTTGCTGAAAGCAAAGGAATAAAAAATAAGTAGTAGAAGAAGGTAGTCATCAATACCAGCTATGACGACCACGTGACCAGTTGCAGAAACGAGGACTATAGCCGTCACGAGTATTTTCTCCTTCTTTTGTTAAAACCATGTCTGTGCATGTATACACTTGTACTAAGAAAATATCTTCATTCTATTTCCTTTTCTTCCTTTATCATGTGACATAAGATTTATTGACTTCATATCAGCCTATAAGTGTGGTTAATTTTATGTAATAGTATTTGGGTTGGGGATTGGCATGTTTCCGGTTGTATGAATTGATAGTTGTATTATGTGGGCATAATTATGACTTTATTAGTGTCTTTATTTGAAGATTATGTATGATTTCAAGAGATGGGTATGTTCAAGTTGACAAGGAGTGGACTCGTGATGATTAACACTGAGTGTCAACTTGATCGGATTGAAGGATGCACAGTATTGTTCCTGCATGTGCCTGTAAGTGTGTTGCCAAAGGAAATTAACATTTGAATCAGTGGAATGGGAAAGCAGACCCACCATCAATCTGGATGGGCACAACCTAATCAGCTGCCAATGTGCCCAGAATAAAAAGCAAGCAGAAGAACATGAGGAGATTACACTGGCTTAGCCTGCTTGCCTACATCTTTCTCCTGTGTGGGATGCTTCCTGCCCTCGAACAGTGGACTCCACATTCTTCAGCTTTGGGACTCAGACTGGCTTCCTTGCTCCTCAGTTTGCAGATGGCCTATTGTGGGACCTTGTGATCTGTGAGTTAATACTCCTTAATAAATTCCTCTTTATATATACATCTATTCTATTAGTTCTGTCCCTCTAGAGAACCCTCAGTAATACACTGCCCAAAGCAATCTACATATTCAATGCAATTCCCATTTAAGTACTGACATCATTTTTCACAGAATTAGAAATCATAATCCTAAAATTAATATGGAACCAAATAAAGAGCCTCAATAGCCAAAACAATCCTAAGCAAAAAGAACAAATCTGGAGCCATTACATTACTGGACTTCAAATTATACCACAAAACAGCATAGTACTGGTATAAAAGTAGGAACATAGGCCAATAGAAAATAATAGATTCCAGAAATAAAGCCAAATACATACAGCCAACTAATCTTCAACAAAACATACAAAAACATAAATGGGGATTGGACACATTATTTAATAAATGGTTCTGGGAAAACTGGCAAGCCACATGTAGAAGAATAAAACTCGATTCCTATCTCTCACCTTATACAAAAATCAACAAAGATGGATTAAAGACTTGAATATAAGGCTTGAAACCATAAAAATTCTAGAAGACAAAATTGAAAAAATTCATCTTGATAATGGTCTAGGCAAATAATTCATGACTAAGACCCCAAATGCGACAAAAACAAAAATAAATAAACAGGACCTAATCAACCTAAAAGCTTCTGCACAGCAAAAGAAATAATAATTAGTGTAAACTGAGAACCCACAGATTAGGAGACAATATTTGCAAACTACACATCTGACAAAAAATATAGTACCCAGGATCTACAAGGAACTCAAACAAATCAGCAAGAAAAAAAATTCCATCATAAAGTGGGAAATAGACATGAATAGACATTTCTCAAAAGAAGATATACAAAAATAAATGATCAGCAAACATGAACAAATGCTCAACGTCACTAATCATCAGGGAAATGCAAATTAAAACCCCAGTGGAATCATGCCACCTTACTCCAGCAAGAATGACCATTATTAAGAAGTCAAAAAACAATAAATATTAGCATGGATGTGGGGAAAAGGGAATGCTTACACACTATTAATGGTAATGTAAATTAGTATTTACATTAGTATTTACATTAGTATTCCATAGTATAACCTCTATGGAAAAACCGTATGGAAATTCCTTAAAGAGCTAAAAGTAGACCTAGCATTCGAGCCAGAAATCCCACTACTGGGTATCTACCAATGAAGAGAAGTCGTTGTATGGGAAAGACACTTGGGAATACATGTTTATAGCACCACAATTCACAGTTGCAAAGACGGGGAAGCAACCTAAGTGCCCATCAACTAATGAGTGGATAAAGAAAATGTGGCATTTGTACACCATGGAATACTACTCAGCCATTAAAAGGAATAAAATAATGTCTTTGCAGCGACTTGAATGGAGCTGGAGGACATTATTCTAAGTGAGTTAACATAGGAGTGGAAAACCAAAAACCGTATGTTCTCACTTATAAGTGGGAGCTAAGCTATGAGTAAGCGAAGGCATACAGAGTGACATAATGGACTTTAGAGACTTGGATGAGGGAGGGTGGAAGGAAGGCTAGGGATTAAAAACACATTAGGTACAATTTACACTCCTTGGGTGACAAGTGCACTAAAATCTCATAATTCACCACTATATAATTCATGCAGCGAAAAATCACTTGTACCTCTAAAACTATTTAAATAAAAATTTTAAAAATGAAATAATAAAAAAAAGGATCAAATGTTGTCACTGGAGACAAGGCAAGATATTGCATGATGATAAAAGGGTCAATTCAACAGGAAGAAAATTATAATTATATAAGCACCCAACTTTAAAGCACCTTAGTATATAAAGGAAACACTGACTGACAGATCTGAGGGGAGAAATAGAAAACAATACAATAATAGTAGGAACATCCAGGATGTAGGAACATCCCCTTTTCAATAATAGGTGGAACATCCAGACAGAAAATCAGTAAAGAAACTGTGGACTTTAATAACACTGCAGACCAAATGGACTTAACAAATGTATACATAGAACTTTTTACCCAACAGAAAAAGAATACTCATCCTTCTCAAGTGAACACAGAACATTCTCCAGAATAGATCACGTTAGGTTACGAAACAAGTCTTAATACATTTAAGAGAATTGAAATCATATCAAGTATCTTTTCTGAGCACTATATGATGAAACTAGAAATCAGTAACAAGAAAATGGGGAAATTCACAAATACATGGATACTAAATAACACATCCACGAACAACCTCTTGGTTAAAGAAGAAATCAAATGGAATTTAAAAAATATCTCAGGATGAGAGAAAATCACATGTATCAATTAAGCTTCAGTCAGAGAAACGTAGTCATTATCAATGCAAATAATAATGAAATCGGTAAAAGAATTAGATCTTGTATAATTGTAAGTGTTGCTATGAAAACAAAGATCCAGAAGGTGAAGTTAGGATTCCAAAAAAAGAGGCAATAACCAGCACCCCTAAAGCACTGTGGCCATTTTGAGAAGAAGGAGCTTACAGAAAGGTCTATAGGACATGGTTGCCTCTGGGTGGCTGTGCCTCCGTGTGCCTGCAGAAAAGCATCCACTGTCAGCACTGGGGCTGCAGATGGAAAGAGGAGCTGCTCTGAGAGTGGAGAGAGACAAGCTGCAAATCACCAGGTACCTATTTGTCAATCTGAGAGTAGACTTTTGGGGACTAAGGCCCACTGGACCACTGCTTCACTCTGCCTCTCAAATGTTGAGCAAGTCCTTTGGGCAACCGTAACTTGAAACCATACAGAGTGGAGGATTTAGGAAACATAGTGCCCAACTTAACCAAGTTGACAATAGAACAATCCAGCACATCTGGCAAGACAGGAACTGACAGGCCACTGGGATTAGGGTGAAGCAAGTGAACTGAGTCATCCAAGTGTAGAGTCGAAGCCTGTCTTTAATTAACATTTTGATTTTTTTTTACCATAGGATTTTAATTTATTTTTATTATTTTTAATTCAATGCTTTTAAAAATATTGAATGAAAATATGGTTTACCTTGACTCCTGAAGTTTGGAGCGACTCTTAAATTTTATGCTTGAGATGGGTACCTCACTTACCTCACCCTGGTTCTGGTCATGCCAGCTGGTCATGATTTCTTAACAGGTTGGTGACTCAAACCTTTATTCTTGTCATTAGCAATCCAGCCTGCTTTGTGATATTATATGTATTCATTATCTTTTATTAAAGAACATGAAACTATAAAAAAGTGCCCTAGAGGAACATTTGCAATCCATATATACTCCGGTCACCATTGTGTACTAACAACCCAATTTGTCTTTGATAGGTTTATCAATCACCTCATTCAGTAAAGCAACCCCCTTATTTGCATACTGGGTCACTAATAAGAGACCAGGTAATAGTTTCCAGTTTAATGAAACCATTGCTATGTCTTTCAATGGAATTTTCCATGGTTCTTCTTGTTTAGTAGTCTAAACAAGGTTATAGGGACAGGAAGCAAAAGTTTTACTAGTGGATCATTAGAGGTAACAGTGATAGAAGTTATTCCCATTTCCACCCCTGCGTCTTGAAGCCATAAATCTAGCTAAGGGAGAAACAGTGCCACATATTGGTTGCTGATTTAGAACATAAACTACCTCTTGGAGAACATTTCTCCAGTCCTACAAAATGTTGCCACCCAGATAGTGCCATAACTGAACCTTAAAAAAAGTTATTCCCTGTTTTATAAAGCCATCTGCTCCAAGAAGTTTGGAAACATGCTATTTTAAACTGTGAAATCTACAAACATGAGCCCATTGCCATACTTCATTTATTGTAAAATCAGTTTTTGGTCAGGAGCAAAGCTGGGTGGAATTCCATGATGATGAGTATGTCATTCTGCCTTCCATGGATGATGCTTTGGGCAGAAGCCTTGTAATCAGGGATGACAAAGCCAAATAGAGAGAAAGTTGTGTCTCATTGAGAACAAAGCACTATTCTTTCCTGATGGAAGTTGTCCAAAATAATCAACCTGCCATCAAGTGGCTCGCTATCACCCTCCCTGTAGGAAATTCTGCATCTGTCTATTATTTTTCCTGACTGCAAAGAACTTCAAAGGGTCTGCTGTTTTACTTCTGTCTCCTCAAACTCACTAATTCCTTTAGCCAACTCTAACCTGAAACTCTACAGGGAAGGAAATTCCAGAAAGCATAGCCCCAGTTTAACCACTTCAACAATAGAATTATCTAGCACATCAGAGAAGGTTCTTGGACAATCATAACTTACAAAGACAGTCAGGATTCAGTAAGTGAGGATGAAAGAGGTCATTTCAGGAAATAATTTTCATACTGGCAAAGATACAGAAAGTGAAAAACAGTTTATTGTGAGAAATGGCAAGTGTTCAAGCTTAGTTCAAACTTAAGATATTTGGAAATGGTAGGAGTAATAGCTTAAAAAGCAATTGTTTGGTCACAGTCATGAAGTATCTTGAACTCCAGACTAAGATGGGTGGATTTTAAATGAATGATTAAAAGGGTGGCAGAAGAATTTTTAAATAATGAAAGGAGTATTTTAAGAAGAATCCCACCATGCCATCTGGGGATGTACAGCACGAATTTAAGAAAAGGCAAGTCTGTAGGGGAAGACATACAAGGAAAATTACTGCAATTGTATAAGCTTAAAGTATTAAATGTTGAAATAGAGTGGTGTTCTATTTTCTCTTCCATTCAAAGGCAACATTGTGAAACTGAAGCTTCAGTCTTTTTCTTCCTTAACACATTTTTATGTCATTTTCTTCATAAAGCACAGTTCTAATATTCTCTTCTAATCAAAAGTTATTGGTAAGAAATCATTATACATTATTTTCTATTAATGCATAGATGAGAAACACTTTAACACCCTAAAAATAAGAAGTACTTCCGCTTCATATAAGTTTTTTGAACCACAAACACCTTTGGAAATTAAATGAAAACTAAGAGATTTTTCCTTAGAGAAAAAAAAAATTTACACTGAAGCATAAAATACTGCAAATAACTTTTTGTAGTTTCACATATATACTAAATTTTCTACATGAATTCCTAGAAGTACCATGATCTTGAGGTCAAGTCCACTTACCTAAAAGAAAAAAGTCTTTCTTTTGGCATTTAAATATCACTGTGCAAGTGGGGACACATTTTGAGAGAAGAGATATCAAGTGCTCCTGAAACCACACTGCTTAGTTAGATACCAACATCCATTTTTCCTATGAGAAATACCCCAGAACATAGAAGTTGCTGGTCATGAAGAAAATAATACCTGCTTATTTTCTCCTTATTTTTCTGCATATTGAAAACACATTAGCAATTTCTGAAGAAGTGTGTTAGAGTTACAGTTAAAAAATTACACATAGGAATAAAAATGGAAATAAATTTACTTTCTAGTTGCATTAAAGACTCAATCCCAGACCAGACACATGGAAGGGGGGGAAGGGAGGCCTGGGGACAGGCAAGGAAATACTTCTTATTTTGGAGGGGTCCCACTAAGGCCACTTGTTGTGCTTTCTCACATATGCTCATAATGCCAGTGACCCACTAGTAGCAAAAAACATGCCGTGAGCTGTTCTTGGGGATAGAAGGGGTGCAGTGATGATCCCCGGGTCTCTCTTTTGATCTCAAGCATGCATATGAGTTCTGGCTGAGCAAGTTTGAATACAATGTTACCATGAAGTAAATAATATATAACTATAATTCGGTTTTATGATAAATTATTAATACATATTACCATATAGGCCAATTTCGTTTTACTA
This sequence comes from Homo sapiens, assembly GCF_000001405.40. NCBI lineage: Eukaryota > Metazoa > Chordata > Mammalia > Primates > Hominidae > Homo > Homo sapiens. The sequence goes on from NC_000006.12 coordinate 50,364,756, forward strand.
GCACATAACTCTAGTTATAAGCATTAGGGTAAAGCTACAGATATTTTTCTTGGCTTAGCTTATATCACTCTCCCTTTACATCATAAGAACAACTTGGTGACATTTAATTGAAATGCAAAAGCAGCTTACTTGAAAAGGGCTCAGAAAGGAAAAAAACAAAAAATTGAACAATCTATATTAAATGTCTATTGCATTATTTAGGGTCATGCTACTTGACAGAAATTCATGGACATTGATGAATGTCACTTGGGAATTTATTACAAATGCATTGTCTTGAATCTCACCTGAGACATCCTGAAGTACAACCTAGATTTTTTAACTAGATCCCCAGGTGATACTGAATTAGGGTACAGCCTAGACTACTGCAACAAGGCTAAAAATACAGTGACTTAAACAACACAGGAACTGATGCTTCTGTCACTGAACAGTCCAATAAAGGAAATAGTAAAACTCAGGTGGGAAGGTTCTGCAACACACAAAACCCAGATTGTATCTCTGGGTCTAAAGAATCTGCAGCGGTTTTCTCTTGCCCTCTCTTCTCCCCAGGGCTTATGTGTAGAAGAAAGGGCAAGAGAAATATAGATTCATTCCTTTCCTTTACTGTTATGACCAGAAGTGACATAATTTATGTGTAGAACTCAGTAGCATGACTAAAACTACCACAAGGGAGACCACACACCACTGTCTTAAGCCAGGTGGCCCCGTGCCCTTCCAACATCGGGAGTCCTATTATTTAATTTAAAAAAAAATGGGAAAAACAATATCAGTAGGTAACCAGCAGTATCTGTCACACCTCTTATATGTCAGGTTCCTTGCTGTCTGACCTTAACAATCCTATGAAGAAGAAGGTATTAACCCCACTTCCCATATAAATAAGTGCTACCAGAACCATGACACAACTTTTAATAGTCCTATTAAAAGGACTATTAAATTCCATTGTATGGTTTGGAATTGTGTTATGTGGAAATAAAGACTAGTCTGGTTTATATATTTGAGGGTATTTGATTAATATAATAATGCCTCTTATCTCTGAGTTCTGGGATGAGAATATCTCCCACTTAGCATTAAAGTGTGCTTTTTGAAAATGACATCTAAATGAGGAAGACTGTATCCCTGCCAGTCATCCCCTCTCCTCCAAGTAGCCACCAGAGTTGCCAGGAAGATGTATGACTGCGACAGAATACTTGGCTCTTAATGTTTATTGAAAATTATTTCTTGATGTCTCCTCATGAACAACTGGTTCTCAAATTTTCAGTTCAAATTCATCATAGCAAGGCTCTTGCTTGAATTTTCACTTGTGTCCGGCAGCAATCAGTTGATCAGATAAACACTGAAATCTCTCTCCTCAGAATACTATATGCTTGGCATCTAGTATATGCTTTAAATACTTACTGAATGAATGAAAGGTGGGACCATCAGTGTATGATAATGGTTCTCAGTGATTAGCTTGCATCATTACTAGTTGGAGTGTATATTAAAACTCAGTTTCCGATTCAGTAGGTCTTGGGTGGGGCCTGAAAATGTGAATTTCTATCAAGTTCCCATTGACATTATGCTGCTAGTCCAGGGACCACACCTTGAGAACCACTATTGTTGGATTAAATGGAATCCATCTTATCACCATAGAGGTCTGTTAATAGATGAAACACAGACATTGACAAAGGATGGTAACATTGCCTTGTACTACATACCAAAGTCTAGGCACTTCTATGGTAGACCCATGCTGGAATATTGCCTACATATTTTGCCATATGCCATCGGTATCTTATAATGAATATAGGAATAATAACACTTTTCTGTTAAGGTTGTTCTGAGGATTAAATATAAGTAAGTTGCTTGGCATCTGGGACACACAGAGTTCTCAGTAAATTATAGCTATTGTAATGATCACAACTGTATACACAAAACAATTAGCAGTGTAGATCATCTGAACTGTGGAAAATCAGCAGAAAATCTTATTTCAAGATATAGTTTACTTATTACTCACTCTTACTAAAAGCTCTATAAATATTTTTTCCAGAATTATACTGTACAAACCATAAAAAATTGTTTACTCCTACTATGTAGATGTAAGTCACTATGTAATATGGGTCCATTATTTTGTTCTAAATGTTGTAAAATATCTGATCAGATAGGCTAATGGGATATATGATTGTAAGAACTTTATTGCGAAATTAATTTTAGAGTGACCAACCCAGACAATTGAAAAGGTAAAAGTATAGTTCTAAAAATCAGCCCACAGTCTCTCTTAACTGCAATAATCAATCTTCAAATTTTTCAAGTTAAACTTTACAATTTAAAAATTTCTGCATATAGAAATGGATGTTTAAGTAAAATTCATGAACTATAAGAATAGTTTTACACACAATACCATTTGCAAGATGCCTTATAATCAGTTTTTATCAGTGTCTCTTAATAAAAGTTCTACAAACTAGGTCAGTAATATGTTCATAATTTTGCAAATGCAAAGTCTGAGGTTATACTGCACATTGGTAGAAGCATCTAGATCTCTGAGTTTTTAGGCCTTGACATTCTATTCTCCCACACCTAGCCACACTGCCTCACCACATCGTGAATTATTGATTTGAAACCACACTGCTACCTTTATGAGCATGTAGGGTGTTATAAAACTTTACGGATTGACTTATGCTGACCTATTTATATTAATAATGCCTTATGTTTTTATAGCACTTTATTATGTTCAAAGCCGTTTTACGTAATCTGCCCATTTGAGCCTAACACTCACACAAGAAAGAAATTAGATTTGCTGAAGAGAAACTGTATCCAAGTATAGGGACAGGAGTGACTTTATTTTAAATATTAATCTACCATGTAACTTCTTACTAACCCTGAGCCTAAGAATGCCTCCAAAATGTACAGATGGTGTGTCACCCTTTCTGTAGGAACACCTACTAACTGTAAGTTTCCTCCCAAACAACCCTTGATGCCATAGCAGAAGCCATAGGCTGTGATGCCCCTACCATCTACACATTCCTTCCAAAGCACAGATATTTTCCCCAAGATGTAAGCCCTGAATCTGGGGGGTTGCAGTGTAGAGATCTACCTGTCTTGCAGCCGCCTGCGACCACACCTCTGTCAGTTCTCCCTGATAAACCACCTTATATTGACAAACAGGATTTGTTTGCCTCCCTGCTTTGGTTTCTTGGGTCCTTTGGCATTTGAGGGTCACTTTGCATATACAGCCTCTTCATAGAACACCAAGATAACCACTTATAGGGATGGGACTACAGCCCAGTCCCTATAGCTCCCTGGTTTCTACCTCACCACTGCTGCCTCTAGTTTATGCTAAGATCCTGTCTCTATATTGAGACACACTTATAAAAATGATCAAGTGTTAAATCAAAGGAAAAATAGTACAAATATTTCAATCCAAATTACATCCCCTATCATTTGGATATCTTAAACTTTCTGAGATTTGGTTTGTTCATTGTTAAAATTGAGATTATAATAATGCTCTTATCAGTAACTCAGGGAGAGTACCAGTGAGATGACATAGGTGAATAACTTAGAATTGTGCCAGTACATAATAAATGCTGTTTGAAGAATTTGACACCCAGCTCTGACCATATGATCTTAAGCCTTAGGCAAGCTATTTAACATATCTATGTATTCAGTTTTCTCATCTGTAGAATGAGAATAATATTAACTTTGTATGATTTTCTTGAAAATAAACATAGAATAAGATGGTATATGTAAGGCGATTGCACCATGAATGCAACCATTAAATTTATTTCTTTTCTTGGTCTTATTATTTGTGAAATAATAAAAAATAGGTGTATATTAGTCTCTGCCCCTGGTTCCTGACACAGCTCCTAAAATCCTTATAAATAGGGTTTATAGGAAAATGTTTTATTAGTATACTTGGTCTTTGACCCCAGTGCCTGACAGAGAGCTCCTACAACCTTTGTGATTTCCCATAATTTCCTAAGTGATAGTAGCATCTGACACAGAGCTTCTAAATCCCTTGGAATTTCCTGGGTGATTGGAGCATCGTTTGTTCCAATGAGGCAACTCTTGGTGGGTTCCCAAAGGGGGGCTGGTCAATTGAAAGACTAAGCCATGATTAGAAGCATGAAGCTTTCAGTCCCACCCCACTCCCATCCTTCAGAATGGGAGAGAAGCTGGAGATTTAATTAATAATTGATTATGGCTATGTGATTCAGCCTCCATAAAAATTCCTGAAAAACAGAGTTCTGAGAGCTTCCAGATTGTTGGACATCCTACATGTTTGGTGGGGGTGGTGGGGAAGGGTGGACACATCCCAACTCCAAGAGGAAAGAAGCTCCTGAGCTCAGAAACTTTCTGGTCCTCACCCTATGGATCTCTTTATCTGGCTGTACATCACCATCCTTTATCATTTCCTTTATTATATGATAAATGAGTACATGTAAGTGTTTCCCTGAGTACTGTGAGCTCTTGTAGCAAACTATCAAATGCAAAAAGAAAAAGAGTCATAGGAACCTTGATTTATACCCGGTTGTTTAATAGTACAGGTGACAACCTGGGGCTTGTGATTGGCATCTGAAGAGGGGCAGCCTTGTGATACTGAGCTCTCAGTTTATGGGATCCACCACCAACTCCAGGTAAACAGTGTCAGAACTAACAGAATTGTTATGTCGTGATTCTGCTGGTCTCTGGGAAGTTGGAAAATTTGCTGGTGTTGGAGAAAACCCACACAAGGTTAGATGCTCTGTCAGGGTAAACCAGATACCTGAGCAGTCACCTTGGTTGGTTCTTAAGAAAAGGAAGTTAACTTCCTACTTATAATTTTTCTGAAGCTGGGCCTTACTAATGACATTGGCTACCATTTATAGTTCCAGCAAATTGATGGCCACAACTTCTTCCCTTTTAAGCAGATTTCTCGAGACATAATTCCCAGATACCATACAATTCACCCATTTAAGTGAACACGTGAGTGGTTTCAGTTTATTCACAAAGTTGTGAACCCTTCAACAAAATCTAAATTTAGAATATCTTCACCACCCCTAAAGACAACTTTGTATTCATTTATATTCCCCATTACCTTTCTCACTTCTTCCTCCTCAAACCCTGAGTAATCACTAATCTACTTTCTGTCTCTCTATATATTTACTTATTATATAAATGTATATAATTATATAAATGTATCCGTATACAATATGTGGTATTTTGTGCCTGGCTCGTTTTACTTAGCATGTTTCCAAGGTTCATCAATGTCACTACATCATTTCTTTTTATTTACAACAATTTTTTATAGATACTCCATTTTTTTCTTTATTCATTCATCAGTTGATAGATATTTGATTAGTTTCCAATTTTTGACTATTACAAATAATTCTTCTGTGAACTCCTCTTGGGTATATCCTTAGGAATGGAATTTCTGGGTCACAGTCTATGTTTAACATTTTGAGGAATTTTCAAATTGTTTTCCAAAGCAGCTGCACCATTTCAAATCCCCACAGCAATATATGAGGGATTCAATTTCTCTACAGCCTTGCCAACACTAGTCATTGTCTGTTTTGTTTATTGTAACCATCCTAATGTGTATGAAGTGGTGTCTTGTAGTTTTTATTTGTATTTCCCTGATGAAAAGTGATGTAAAACATATTTTTATGTATTCATTGGCCACCTAAATATCTTCTTTAGAGAAATATTTATCATATTCTTTGTTTATTTTTAGTTGGATTATTAATCTTTTTATTATTCAATCATAGCAGTTCCTTTTATATTCCAGATATATTTGAGATATGTTATTTACAACTATTTTCTCTCATTCTATAGTCTTCCTTTATGTTTTCATGATGATATTGCTTGCAGCAAAATGATAGTAATAATAATAATAAAATTATCAGGGCGTGGTGGCACACGGCTGTAGTTCCAGCTACTTGGGGGGCTGAGGTGGGAGGATCGCTTGAGTCCAGGAGTTTGAGGCTGCAGTGAACCATGATCATGCCACTGCACTCCAGCGTGGGAGACAGAGCAAGATTCTGTATCAAAATAATAATAATAATATTTATGGAATATAATTTATCCATTTTTTTGTAATTTGTGCTTTTGGTGTCATACTTAAGAAACCATTGCCTAATTCGGTGTCAGTAAGGCTTGCTTCTATGTTTTTCTCTAAGAGTTTCATAGTTTGAACTCTTACAGTTAGGTTTATAATTTATTTGTGAGTTAATTTATGTGTATGGATTGAGAGAGTTATCCAAATCATAGTTATGCATGTTGATATCCAGTTTTCACATCACCATTTGTTGAAAAGACCATTCTTTCTCCATTTAATTTACCATTTACAAAGAATAGACTATTCTTTCCTCATTTGCAATTGACTGTAAAACAATAATTTATTTCTGGATTCTCAGTTCTGTCTTATTGATCTGTGTGTCTATTACTTTTGATTGCTATTGATGTTAGAATGTTTTGAAATTGAGTAGTATAAATTCTCTGACTTCATTCTTTTCAAGATTGGTTTGGGCTATGCTGGGTATTTTTCATTCTACATGTATTTTAGGATTAGTTCATAAATTTCTGCATAAAAAATCCATCAGAAATTTTAATAAGGATTATATTGAATCTGTAGATAAATTTAGGAAAAATTGCAATCTTAACTTAAATTTTCCAATCTATGAACATGGAATGTCTTTTATTTTCTTAGACCTTCTTTAATGTCTTTCAACAATATTTTGTAGTTCTCCATATACAATTATTTAGTTTTGTTAAATTTACTCCTAATATGTCATTCTTCTGTGCTATTTTAAATGAAATATTCTTTTAATTCTGTTTTTTGATTTCTCATTGCCAGTGTATGAAATGTTTTTGGTCTAATATCCTTCAATCTTACTGAAATTGTGTATGTTTCCTGTTACTTAGTAGATTTCTTAAGATTTTCTGTATAAAAGGTCATGTCATTTCCAATGAGAGAGAGCATTTTTCTTCCTTTCCAACCCAGACATATTTTATCTTATGTTTTTTTTTTCTAATTGTGTTGGCTAGAATTTATAGTACAATGTGCAATAAAAGTGAGGAGAGTGGAAATCTTTATTTTGTTCCTGATCTTAGGAGGAAAGCAGTCTTTCATTATTCAGTATAGTGTTAGCTATGGGTTTTTTGGACACTGTTTCATCACATTGATAAACTTCCCTTCTTTTTCTAGTTTGTCGAGTGTTTTATCATAAAAAGAGTACTGGATTTTGCCAAACAATATTGAGATGATCAGTGTTTTTTGTTCTGTATTCTATTAATATGGTATACTATATTAATTAGGTTTGAGATGTTAAATGAATCTTGAATTTCTATGATAAACCCTACTTGATTCGGATGTATAATTCTTTTTATATGTTGCTGAATTGGGCTTGCTAGTATATTATTAACAATTTTTACATCTATATTAATAAAAGATACAGATCTGTAGTTTGTTGCAATGTCTTTATCTGGTTTATTTATCAAGGAAATACTGACCTCATCAAAATAGCAGGGAAGTGTTTCTTCCTCCTTTTTATTTTTTGGAATAGTTTGAAAAGGATTAGTACTATTTCTTTCTTTCTTTTTTTTTTCTTTTTTTTTTTTTTTGTAGAAACTGAGTCTTGTTATGTTGCCCAATCTAGTCTCAACTCCTGGCCTCTAGCAATCCTCCTGCCTCCTCCTCCCAAAGAATACTATTTCCTTTTAAATGTTTAGTAATATTCATCAATAAAACCATGTGATCCTAGGATTTTCTTTGTGGGAAGTTTTAAAACTACTAATTCAATCTTTTTACTTGATATAGAGCTATTCATATTTTTCCTTTACTCTTCCATTGGTTTCAGTAGTTTGTATATTTTTAGAAATTTGTTCATTTATCTAATTTGTTGACATAGAGTTGATGATAATATTCCCTTACAATACTATTTATTTTTGTATGGTTGGTAGTGATGTTCTCTCTTTTATATCTGATTTAAAAAATTTCAGTCTTCTCATTTTTCTTCTTTATCACTCTAGCAAGAAATTTGTCAATTTAGTCAATCTCTTTAAAGAACCAACTTTTTGTCTTATTGATTTTATCCCTTTTCTATTCTCCATTTCTTCTATTTCCACTCCAGTGGAAATCCTCTTATTTTTCCAGTTACTTAAGGTGAAAAAGTAGGTTATTATTTGATTTTTAATTTTTTTTTAATATAGGAGCTTGCAGCTTTAAATTTCCAACTCAGAGCAACTTTGTCTCCATACCTTAAGTTTTGGTTTGTTGTGTTTTTATTTTCATTTCTCTCAAAAGCATTTTTTCTCTTATGATTTATTATTTGATCATTGGTTATTTATGACAATGTTACTTAATTTCCACACATCTGTGAATTACTGAAATTGTCTCATGTTATTAATGTATAATTTAATTCTTCTGTTAAGTGAACATACTTTGTATGATTGAAATCTTTTAAAATATATTAAGGCTTGCCTTAAAGCCTGTTATATTGTCTATTTTGGAGATTGTTTTGTTTGTGCGTGAAAAGGATATGTATCCTGCAATTGTTGGGTAGAGTATTCTAAAGTTGTTTGTCAGGTCTAGGTGGTTTACATAGAGTTTTTAAATGCATTTTATTTTCCATCTAGTCTTTCTATCTAATGTTGAAAACCAAGTATTGAAGTTTCCAACTCTTACTGTTGAAGTGTCTATTTCTCCCTTCAAGTCTGTCAGTTTATGCTTCATGTATTGTGGGGCTCTGTTGATAACTTTATCATTGTAATGTTTTCTGGAAGAATCAACCCTTTTATCTTTGTAAAGTACTCCTGTTTATCTCTAGTAACATTTTTTGTTTCAACATAAATTAGGCTTGGTATTATAGTCACTCCAATTCTTTTATAGTTGCAGTGTGTATGGTATATAATTTTTCCACTCTTTACTTTCAAACTGTGTATATGTTTAAATTTAAAGTGTCTTTTGTAGATAGCATATATTTGGGTCCTGATACTTTAGTAAGTATGACAATCTCTGTCTTTTAATTGGATTGTTTTATCTGTTCACAGTTAATGTTATTCTTTATATGGTTGGATTTATCACTGTCATTTTGCTTTTATTTTCATTTTGTCTGATGGCTTTTTTTTCAACTGTTTCTGTTGCATTAGGTGATACTTTCAATTATAATATTTATTTACTTTATTTTTATTAATAGCTGCATTTTTTAAGTTTCCCTATGGTTTATAATCTTCATCTTAACAGGCTGCTCTATTTACTTTTGTTTCAACTTTTATTTTAGGTTCAGGGGATACATGTGCAAGTTGGTCATATGGATAAATTGTGTGACACTGAGGTTTGCGGTATGAATGATCCCATTACTCAGATAGTGAGCATAGTACCCAATAGGTGGTATTCCAATCTCATACTCCCTGCTTCCCTCCCTCCTCTGGGAGACTCCAGCATCTGTTATACCCACCTTTAAATCTATGTGTACTCAATGTTTAGCTCCCACTTATAAGTGTTAAATATGTGGTATTTGGTTTCCTGCTCATGTGTTAAAATGCTTAGGATAATGGCCTCCTGGTGTGTCCATACTGCTGTAAAAGATGTGATTTTGTTTTATCGTATGGTGACATAGTATTCTATGGTGTATACATACCACATTTTCTTTATCCCATCCACTATTGATGTGCATCTAAGTTGATACCATGTGTTTGATATTGTGAATAGTGCTGTGATGAACATACAAGTGAATGTGTCTTTTTGGTGGAATGATGTATTTTCTTTTGGGTATATATCCAATAATGGGATTGCTGTGTCAAACGGTGGTTCTCTTTTAAGTTCTTTATCTCCAAAATATTTTTCCAGTAGCTGAACTAATTTACATTCCAACCAACGCTTTGTCTTTATACTACTCTAATTTCAGAGAGATATAAAATTTTACTTCTATGTAGTTCTTCCCGTTTTTTGTGCTACTATTGCTATACATATTACATTCATATATGTTAAAAGCTTAAAAGTTAAAAAAGAAAATCCAAAAGTACACTTTTATTATTACTTTATAGGATCTTATACCTCCTAAATAAGCTGAAAGATCAATAATATATTTATAGAGCTTTACATTAACTTTTTTATTTACCCATTCTTGTTCATTTCTTCTGTAGATGCTTTTTAGTGTCATTTCATGACAGTAGCCCTTTGTTCCCACCTGCCTTCTTTGTGCTATTATTTTCAAACATATTGCATTCCTATATATTACAGACTCCACATTTCATTACATCATTTAAAGGTATTGCTTTTTTTCTTATAAAACAACTAAGAGAAAGAAAGAGAAGTATGCAAATTAATGTGTATTTTATAAAATTATAAAATAACTTTTTCAGTGTTTTGTCACATGAATTCAAAGTACTGTCTGGTACCCCTTGTTTTCACCCTGAAGAAATTTAATAATTCTTCTAAGATGAGTCTGCTAGAAACAAATTCTCTCATTTTTTGTTATTTGGGTATGTATTTAATTCATAAAAATGTCTCTTCCAGTTTATGACTGATATTCCTTCTCTTATTCCATGCTCAAGTCAGCATATATCTTACAACTGCCTTCTGGCCTTCATTGTTTCTGATGAAAAGTCAGCTGTTTTATCATTAGGATTTCCTCAAATATGATAAGTCATTCTTTTCTCTTACTGCTTTTATGATTTTTTTCATCTTTGTCATCCAACATTTTTATTATGACTAACATTGAATCAACCTGTGAATATCTTTGAGTTCAGATTGGAGTTTGCTTAGTTTTTTGACTATATGGCTTAATGTTTCTTTTAACCAATTTTGAAATGTTTTAGCCATTATGATTTGAATTTTTTTTCTGCTTCTTTCCCTTTCTTCTCTATTTCTGGTATTCTTATTATGCAGATGTTAGTATGTTTATGGCATTCCACAATTCTCTGAGGCTCTTCACATTTTTTATTAATTTTTATGTCAATTTTTCACTCTGTATGATCTCTGTTGATTTATATTCAAATACAATGATTCTTTCTTCTGCCAGGTGAAATCTACTTTTTCCCCCTCTAGTAAATTTTTTACTTCACTTATTAAAGTTTTCAATTCCAGAATTTTTTCAAATGTTAATTTCCTTATTGATAGTCTTTCTTTGATAAGACGTTGTCATTATTCCTTTCTATAATTCTTTATACGTTGTTTCCTTTAGTTTATGAGCTTATTTATAAAAGTGGCTTGAAAGACTTTTTTTTAAGTCTAGCAAATGGACTCCCCAAAGGCTATTTTTATTGCCTGATTTTTTTCGTCTCTCTATGCATCATGCTTTCCATTTCTTTGTATATCTTATAGTTTTTTTTTCTTTTGTTGCTGAAAACTGGACATTTTTGAAAATACATTTTAGTAATTCTGGATATAGATCTCCTTCTGGAGCTTGTCATTTGCTCTGATCCCAGAAGGGCTCATTTTAGCTATCTCTTTCCTTAGGTTCCTCTGTTAAACTTCTAGCTGGCCAACTGCTTGGCTTATTTCTACAAATATTATGGACCTGGCAGCCTTCTCTTTATTGTTCACCACCCAGACCTTTATTGCTTTTGACAATATCCTTAGGCATGTACTTCCTTACGGTTTCTTTCAATAATATAATTTCCCTTCAGTAGAGCTGCAGATCTCTCTGCCTCTTCTTCTAGGCTGAATCTCTGCATAACTGCACCAGAGCTGGGGTAAGGAAGAACAACAATCTTTACTCAGAAAGGCACTTCTTTTTCATTAATGGGTTACTCAGAGGAGATGTTAGGCTTTAGTCTTCTGAGTTTACCTCTACTAGTATAGAACCTCTACCCTATGAGCTATCTGGGCAAGGACAATCAGGGACCAATATTCTTGGCCTGCTAAGCATGGGTTTGAGCTTCTGCCCTACAAGTGGGAGATGTGTCAGGGAAAGGAGCTTCATTCCTCTCAAATGGACTGGAGCTATCTGCAATAGAGAGTCTGACATATAAAATTGTAAGCAAAAGGAATGAAAGCTACTTGTGGCCTGCTTCTCCAAAGGGGAAACTATAGCTCTAGTCAAGGAATTTGAGGTAGAGTGAGCTCTGTTCTTGTCTACACGAACTCAGTGTAAGGCTTCTTTTACACAGAACTTACAAATGGGGAGCAAAGGGAGCAGGTAATAGCTCAAATGCTACCAACTTTCTGTTCTTATCAAGTTTTAGTCAATTTTCTTCAATCAACATTTTTCTGTATGGTTGCATGATTTTAAGACAATTTCCAGATATATTAAATGATTCTTAGTGCTTTTTTTCTTTTATACTTTTAACCAGTTAAAATGGTTGTTTGATTGGTGAGAGGGTACACCAGCCTTCTCATACATACCACCTTACTGAAGTCTTACTCTCACCACCAAAAACAAAGGGGAACTCAGGTCCAATTTCAAGTCCTTTCATATCAGATGTTCTAATTCTTTTTTTATAAAAACATGTAGATAAACTTCATATCTGTGCTTTTTGATATCACTGCATTGTCCTGTTGTCAGTCAGTACAAGGTAGTTAAGGAGATGGCTAGAAAAGCTATTTACTTCTTCAAAGATACTTGAAATATACTGCAGATGGCAGTGGTATCTGTTATCTGAAAGAAACCTCAAGTGAGTCACAGATTGGAAATCAAACGGAACAACTAATTTGGGGTTTTAACTGTCTTCTGTTGTTTGATTCAGTAAGTTTTCTGTTCCACATAAGTCCTCTTTTTCATCCACAGATACCCACTATAATCATTCCCATCTTGCTGATTACTGGCATTTAAGGAGGCCCTATATCTAAGACGTACGGATTCATATTAAAAATACTTGCTGACATTGTTTCCTTGACATTGAGATACTGTGTTTATTGTCTCCAAAAAAGATTACTACCTTTCTTTTTCCTCTGCTCTTTAGGATAACTAATTTCTTTAAATGCAGCCTACAGGAAACATCGCTGGATGAATTCTAACAGAATCCAGGTCTTCTGAAAAGTTGATTTCCATTTAAATTCTCATTAGTGGATTTCCATGAGGGTTCAGTTTTATGTTGGGGGACTTTAAGGCCTTGGAAACACTGGGCCACATATTCACATTTCTAATAATTTCCAGTGATCTAACAATAGAGAATCACTGTTCTATTAATAAATAACATTGAAATCCACATTTGAAAAAACACTTGCCATGCTGTGTTAAGGAAACTTGCTGTGTGAGACATAAGTTTAACACTAGGAAAATAAATACAATCATGCTTTTTACATGAATCTCATGGCCAGTTGCTTTGGAGTTTTTAAACATGATATATGTCAGTAAAATAAGTACTTAAACTGTCATTTTAGCCATTGGTGCTATGATTATAATTGTTATAAAATATACACGTGTTTGAAGGTATAACATAATTTATATTAAGAAACTACATTGACTAGCATAAAGGAAAGTGATTACAAATATTTAGTAAAACTCCAGTAGCAGCATGAAATTTACACAGTACTTTTAGTATTCATTGAATGTATACTTTTTAAATTTTCCCTTCAACTGAAAGGTGATTTGGGCTTAGTTAGAATAGTCTCACCTTAGATAATCCAATTAGATAATAATGAGAAGTAGGTTCACTTATTTTATTATCTAAACATATCTCTATGAAGTAATAACAAGTATAGAAACAGTATTATAGTAATGTCATGATGACCATACCTGTGCAGGAAACATAATATTCAGGTATTTATCAGTCTATTTTATTTACCAATCTCTTCTAAATCAAACTAGTAATATTTTATACTGTTTCATATATGTCAAAAAAAATTATTGTAGTCCAGAGAAATCTTGTGACTTTACACATGCTTTTCCCTTGTCTGAAATGCCTTTTCTTCCTTCTGCAATTTCCTGTTTCACAACAGATACAGGTGTATCCCACCTTCTCTATGAAGTCCACCTCTTCTCCAAATGTAATTGCCTCTTTCTCTAACTTACTTTGGCATTGTGTAGGCAACTTTGGCTTTAAGATATTGTATTATACTGTAATTTTTTATATTAAACTGTACTTTTTTACTCATGCATACACATTGAACTTTGTCTTTTAACTTCAAATTCCTAAATGTTAGATGCTGCATTTCATTTTATATCCCTAAATAGCTTCAATGTCTGACACAGTAAAAGTGCACATTGAATGTTTGTGAAAATACTTTCTTCATACACTATATTTAAATTTTATTAATGTATTCTATCTAGTGAAAATAGTTTTTTGGACCTATTTCAGTTATTGTACTCCTTAACATTTACTGATTGTTTGCTGTTTGCATGGGGACTTCACAATTCCTCTTCAGATAGTTTCCATGGTAATGTTTTTAATTATTGCTGTTTATTTGAAGGCCAGCTATAAATTTAGTATCATGGAATGCTATGGATTACTCTTACTCATCATAATTCTCAATTTTTTTCCAAGAGTACATAAAAACTCCTTAATATTCTATTCTGCCTCATGTTCCAGGTGGCCAGCATGCCAGGAATAGTCGTAACTTACATTAAGTCTATTATAAACATATTTTAAAATTGCCCACCTCTATTGTTAAGTAGTTTGCATTTTGCTGCTCATTATTTCAAAAATATTGAATACTTATTCCTTTGTTTACACTTTCAATGTTATCTCTCAATATCTGAATTAAATTAAGCAATAAGGCATATGCATTTAAGTCACAAGATGCATCAAGTTGGGATTGGACACCTTGGTTAATCAGACTCCTTAAATGTATGAAGTGTGTAAGTGGGAACTGTGTGCATATGAATGGACTGAATTGAGATGAACACTTTTCTTCATATAACTTTATGTACCATTAGGGAAAACATCATAACAAATTGAAGCATTCACATGGTTCATAAGCGTCAATTTTCTTCCTTGCTCTCTACTAAACAAAATACAGGACACATTGTTAAAAGCAGACTGTAGGAGAAGATGAGTTCTAGATTACCCAGGGAAAAGAGCAAGTGCAATGAGCTTTAGAAACAGCTGATATTTGGGATGGTTGTACATACAACGCTGTCTGCAAGGAGGGTGATATAATAAGTGTTTTCTCCAATCTATAGGAATAATATTTTCCCTTTCAATTAATTTATTGTTACCTTGTTCTGAAGCAGCAGCAAAAATCAGGAAAAACTGCTTATAATCTGGAGGATACTTGTTTTACCCTTAAAGTACTCAGTGTTTTCAATACCATCAGATCATCACCTGTACATAGCAGAATATATGCCATACTATTTTCTGTATCTTCAGATTTGTGGCAGTTTTTTGATGTAATGCCTTACATGTAGTTGGCACCCAATAATATTTGCTGAAATAAACATATGAACTTAAAATATTGGGGAATAGATACATTTTAATTTGGCAACACTAAAAAATACAGAATAGGATTTAAATGCTGCTTCTCCTCATAGTCCAGATTACTAAAGTGTGTTCCATGGAACACTCCATACCCATTCTTCAAAAAAGAAGTATCTGCATTCAAAGAAACTGCAAAATTTCTGTATATCTGTTACCTGTTTATAGATTTTGGTCCAAAAATATCACTGAAATGTCCTAAAATGAAGAAACCACATACACTGTTTTATTTAAGACTTTCCAAACATTATTTTGATTATGAAAAAAATTTTTTCAAAGAATTCCTGTTAACAATCTACATATATTCTGTAGCACTCAGTTTAAGAAAGGCTATCTAAACCATCCATTTTTGAAATACAGGGCTGGACTATTTAATGTAGCTCTGCAATTTCGAAGCATCTAGAGAGGCCTGAAAAATTTCTGGCTCATGATTTGCAAAGCATAAGCTTCTGTTTTCAAAGCATTCTCCTTCTAGGGCTCCAAAAGGATCAAACATTCCTGGTTTGGCTGCCCGATGGTGGAAATCACACCACAGATTGCTGTGCTGCATTAAGTCAGTTCTGTCTCTCTTCTCCTCCTACAGTTAAGAAGACTTGTTGGCTTTTTTCCACATTCTGCTCCCATTCACAGATGAGCATTAGAGAGAATTTGGAAATGGAAGGCCTTTATGTCTGCCGTGAACAGGGTCAATTCAGTGTGGCAGCTGTGAGCTGGTGACATAGACTTATATTGACACAACCCACTTTTTGCTGCAGAATCACAAAGTGAAAGCACCCGGGGCTCTTCTGCCGTTTTCAGTAAGATACGAATTTTTCTCCTCCTTATATTAAGCAGAGATCTGTCATCTTGACTTGTACACTAAATGGTCCATTCTGACTGCCTTGTTTGTGTCCAATCCCAGCCAGAATCCAGAAACATGTGTTAACATTCGGCATGTTTGGGGGCTAGTTGGAAGGGCCTGAGGCAAGACTCCCTGATGCCTGCTGGAGGCTAGTCAATAATCATTAGCCCTTCAAGTGGTGGATGCCCAACATAAACTGTATTTATTTATTTAAAAAAATCTTTAAGCCACAGGGAAAGACATTTTAGAGAAAGCAGTTTCCCAGCAGTTACTAGATTGTAATAAAGATACAGTTATAAGGGAGTGGGAGGCTGACAGAGGGGGCGCTGTTCTCAACAGAAATAATGTGAAACCACCAAAGTACATTAATTAGGCTCTTTAGAGCAATACCACCCAGAATCTTTGCAGTTATTTTTTTCATAGCCAACATTCCAAAGATCATCACTCAAGCCAAAAAAGATCCCTTAGCAAAGTGGAATCACCACTATGCACAATGCGTCAAGCTTTTGGGTAGTATGAAGCACTGCATTGGTTACATTAGCAGGTTAAAAAAATCTCTGACTTCTTAGGCTTTTCAGTCTGAAGGAGACAATCTGAGGATGTTGCAATTCATAAAAGAATATGCAGAAACTTTTAAAGGAAGCTTTTAAAATATTGACTAAATCTAAGTCAAATAAGGTAAGTATTTTGTATGCAGCGCAAATTTTTCTTTATTTCAGTGGTGGAAAGCAAAGAATGCCTTTTGCATGGATAACTCATAAGATTAAAAATGAAGCATTTATTTATTGATATACTTCTTCTAAAATTGACATCTGTCTCCAAATTCTAATGCCCAAATCTACACTATGCCCTTTGGAAGACAGTGAAGTCCGTCAAGTGAGCTCTGGAGCACATGCACATTCATTCATTCATCCTTTAATTAAAACAAAACAAAACTAATCAAAACAAAAAGAAACACCTTTTCAACTCCTTAGGTCAATTCACTAGGTTGAAACCAGTTCTGTGCCTGCCAGAAACATATCTCTTAATGTAGAGTCCACCACTTCCAGCCAATAAAGACAATTAGCAGCGCAACTATTAGATTAATTTCCCAAAGATTAGATGACCATTTGGAACCTCAGATAGAGGTCCATTATTCTCTTGTCTTTTATTTATATACTTTATTTATAATATTGGCATCAATTTTGAACCCAAGGATCTAAATTATCACACATTTCTTCTTGTCATTTTAAGGTTCTTACTCAGCTTACATTTCCACTTGAAGCATTGCTTTAAATAACATTCCATGTGCATCTATTGATACAGTTACCATGCCTTCAATATGTTGATGGTTTCACAAGAAATGGAACAAATGGAATATTTGTAATAAAAGGCCCTATTTTTCTTGATGATTGTTTCCCAAGGAAGTTATTTCTGTACTGAGGGAAGTAGCTGAAAATACCCATGAAGTAACTGCCTTCCTGAAAATAGTACTTGTTATAGTATAAGTAGAAGGGGCCTTAACATATACTTTTTTAAATTGTACTTTAAGTTCTAGGGTACATGTGCACAACATGCAGGTTTGTTACAGATGTATACATGTGCCGTGTTGGTCTGCTGCACCCATTAACTCATCATTTACATTAGGTATTTCTCCTAATGCTATCCCTCCCTCATCACCCCACCCCACCCCATGACAGGTCCTGCTGTCTGATGTTCCCTGCTCTGTGTCCAAGTGTTCTGATTGTTCAATTCCCACCTATAAGTGAGAATATGTGGTGCTTGGTTTTCTGTCCTTGCGATAGTTTGCTCAGAATGACAGTTTCCAGCTTCATCCATGTTGCTACAAAGGACAGGAACTCATCCTTTTTTATGGCTGCATAGTATTCCATGGTGTATATGTGCCACATTTTCTTAATCATTGATGGACATTTGGGTTGGTTCCAAGCACATCAAACGTTTTAATAGTTTGACAAACTAGAGTGTAAGGAAAATGAGTTAGAGCCTACTCTCAAAGAGTTCTCTGCCTAATAAGGAAGACATAATACTCAAAGTCATAATACTACATATGATGCTACAGGAACTCAGAGGATAAAGAACCAGAGGCTTCTTGGAAGATAATGTCTGACCAGATTCTGGAAAAAAAAATCAGTCACAGAAAGAAGGCGAGGCTGAAATACATCAGTGGTACTACTATGCCACTTACCACTTATAGCAATAGTGGTATTATATCTCTTGTGCATCAGTGATTAAATTATACCTGTGTGTACAGGTGTCACTTGGCCCTCTTTGCATCACCTTGTGGGAATTGGGGTTTAGAAAACCAGCACAAAAATGTGAATACTTTGGCTACGGCTATGGTTTGATTAGTAAATTTTTCTTCATCCTTGACCTGGAAGTCTTGGGTCTTCCACCAGGATTCATGAAACTGTGGCAGGCTAACTTGTTAGCTTTCAAGAGGAGTCAAATTTCAGCCTTTTCAAAGTTCTTGACAGTGACTGTGTCACATATTGTTACATTTTGCTGTATAACAAACCAATACAAAATTTAATGGCTTAAAACAGTAACAACTAAAGATAGACATATACATCAATGAAATGAATTAGAGAGTCCAGAAATATACTCAGGTAAGTAAGATCGAATTATTTTTTTACAATGGTACACAGGTAATTCAATGGAGTTAAGACAATTTTTTCAACAAACGATCCTGGAACAAATGACTATCCATATGCCCCAAAGTAAATATCAACCTATATCTCTCACCTTATATAAAAATTAATACAAAATAGACCATAGATCTACTTTAAAATGTAAAACTATAAAACTTTAAAAGTAAACATAGGAGAAAATTTTTGTAACTCTGGGTCGTGTCAAGAGGTCTTAGATATTACACCAATAGCACAATTCATAAAAGAAAAAAAGACAATCTGGGATTCATAAAAATTATAAATATTTGTTGTGTGTAAGCCACTGGTAAGAGAAAAGCACTGTTAAGACAAACCACAAACTGAGAGAATATGTTTGCAAATTCTATATTTAGTAAAGGACTTGTATTCAGAATTTATTGAGAACTCTCAAGACTCAAAAGTAAGAAACCAAATTTTTTAAAGTGAGCAAAATGTCTGAACAGGTACTTCACCAAGAAGATATATATCTATATATATGGGCTGGGCGCGGGTGTCTCACTCCTGTAATCCCAGCACTTTGGGAGGCCAAGGTGGGAGGATCACGAGGTCATGACATCGAGACCATCCTGGCTAACACGGTGAAACTCCGTCTCTACTAAAAATACAAAAAAAAAATTAGCCGGGCGTGGTGGTGGGCCCCTGTAGTCCCAGCTATTCGGGAGGCTGAGGCAAGAGAATGGCGTGAGCCCGGGAGGCGGAGCTGGCAGTGAGCCGAAATCGCGTCATATATATATATGGCAAATAAGCACATGCAAATATGTTCAACATCATTAATTATTAAGGAAATGCAAATTAATACCACGATCATATACCACTATATACCTATAAGAATGTCTAGGGTTTGTTTTTAATGACAATACCAAGCTCACATGAGGATATGTGACGCAATTGGAACTCATTCACTACTGGTGGGAATGTAAGGTAT
Organism: Homo sapiens; assembly: GCF_000001405.40. Classification (NCBI taxonomy): domain Eukaryota; kingdom Metazoa; phylum Chordata; class Mammalia; order Primates; family Hominidae; genus Homo; species Homo sapiens. The sequence goes on from NC_000006.12 coordinate 50,384,494, forward strand.
AGCCACTTTGGCCACTTTGGAAAACAGTTTAGCAATTTCTTATAAAATTAAATTTTAGGTATTTTATCCAAGAGAAATAAAAAGTGATGTTCACACACACACACACACACACACACACACACACACACTCCATGTGAAACTAAATTTCCACTTGGACCTGGGTTGAGAAGTAAATAAAGCTTAAAAGATGAAATTTAAAGATTCAGGAAAGTCTGGAGGTTATAAGTACTCAGGACAGGGACAGAAAAATTTAGGACTGCCACTGGGCTGAAGCCCAGGATACAGTTAACTACCATCTGAAATATAGAGCCTGAGAGAAAAGCCATAATAAGTCCAAGCAGAGTCCCCACTAAGTATTAATTCAAAGGGCAAAAAGATGGGAGAGAGATACAAAAAAAAGACAAAAATGAGAGTTATCTGACCAAAGGGATGGGATTTGAAAGAGAAGGAAATGGGCAGAAAACAAAGGGGCTCACTAAGACTTCGGAGTGGCACTCCCACGTTATTCCAAGGTGGCCCTAAATTGTTAAGGATGCTAAACTGGTCAAAAATAAGTAAGGCTGTGTCAAAATAGAGGTAGCATTAAAGGCATGGGAGGCACAAAACTTAGATTTGAATATTATTTTCAATCCACTGATTATTACTTATGCTATTTGAGTCAAATTGGTTAACATCTTTCAGGGTCTTCAGTTTTCTTATCTGGAAAATGGTGATAATATAGCTTACCTCATTGACTATGATAGGATTAAATAAGGCAATGTATTATAGCGCAAAACACAGTGGTTGGGATAGGTTTTCGGTAAATGGTTAGTGGGTGTTGGTAATATTATTAATTTGGTACTAATAATATCTTAGAAGAGCTTTTACTTCCTACAGATGGCTATGACAAAGTAAGAAGAAAGTAATTATTCCAAAGCCAGAGTCAAGTCAGAGCAAAACATAGCTTTGGATTTCATTTGCTTGCATTTTCTTCCTCTCTTCAGTTGTGAAAATGTGTAATGATAGTCGGGGTGAATGTTGCATGGAGACCTGTATATATGGAAAAGCATAATAAGAGTCATCAGAGAGCACCATGTGCAGGTCTATCAGGAAGAAGTGAAGACCTTCCCTTATTATTCTAAGGCCCTGATAATAAAATGCAAAAGTATCCAGAGTCTACAAGCCCACAATATTTAAGAGTCACTTCAAAGCAACTGTCTGTATACGTAAATGACTGATCCTGGGAATCTTATGTCTAAATTTGACATTTGATGAAAAAATAATTGAGAAAATGTATTAAAACACTCTATGTCTTCTTGAGTTCCTTCAGCTCTAGCTCCCTCTGGGCAGATACTTCACTTTTCTTGTTGGGATCACAGATTTAATATTCCAGGTATTCTTATTTTTTTTTAAAACCTGTGCATGTTTTAAAAGTCTTAAATTAGAGGTGTTAGTTCCCCTTCTCCTAGCAGAATGGTTTGCATAGAGTAAGTGCTCAATCAAGTTTGGTTGAATAAATTAATAAATGAATAAAATGAATGGAAGAGTTTGTAGATAACAGGATCCATCTCTTACTCTTTTTTATGTAACTCTTGAAGTTTTGCATATGGAAAAAAAGTGTAAAAAATCCCAATTTAAATTTTATGATGAGTAATTGCTGCTGGTTTTTCTTTCTGGCAGTTAAATTTTATTTGATTTCACATTCCTATAATGAGGTTCAACATTTCTACCACTACATTTGAGTTTCTCCAAACATATTTGAATCTATCATGATCTTTTCTTTTTGTTGACAAATTCCAAATATATCCAACATGTGTAATTTAAGACTTTATTTTTATAAGCTATGACATAATTTTCAAACCAATGAATGTTTCCTTAAGTTTGAGTAAACAGCTCTTCTGCAATCCTAAAAGTTACTTTTTTTGTTGTTCTTTATAAACACACACACATAACACATACATACATGCATACACATGCATGCACACACACATACAGCATACTACCTGAACTATGGAGCAAGAAGTCATAACCTTAAGTCAACCTGGGCCAATTAGAGTGCTGATAATGCAGACGTGTTTTGTTGGTATACTCTCTCATGGAGTTTCCTAGGAAAGACTAAATTGCAGCACATTTATAATTTAGTATTATTTTATTATTTTCACAGATTAGAATTGCTTTCCCCACACGTCAGAATAAAACTGCTAACGGAATAGAGAACAGCCATTTAGCTACTGAGAGAAATCTTCTCTTATGGACATCATACAGATGCCCTGCTGGGGACAAATCCAATTGAGAGCTACAGAATCAGTCTGGAAAACACACCCATCCAAAACTGTTTGCGGAGATCAGGATGTGCTAAAAGAGGAAACTACTAGAAAAAAGACTTCACAAGCATATCAAAACATAAAGCAATAGTTCTACTTAAACAGATAAGGAGTTTTCTTAGTTTGTGATGGAAACTCCCAACCCTGTTATGCTAATTAAAATTTACTGGAGAGCAAGGAAAGGCAATGATACTGCGAGCAAGTAGTGCCCAGAGACCCTTAAGAATATAAGCATGATGACAGAGGTTGAGAGAAGGAGGCAATGAGTGCCTTCAAGGTAACAGAATAGGTGTGTCATGGAAAATGGTCTGAAGCAAGTGTATGACTAGAATTTTTCTTCAAACCATGAAGGGCTAGCAGGCCTCTGTGGGGCTTTCAATATCCACAGGTAAAATAGAAGAGGTCTCCAGTTTTCCAAAGCCTCAAGCTGAGCTCACATATTCTGGTCTTTCCTGGGGGGTTGTTTATTATACTATTATCTCTACTTCTTCTTCAATTTGATTCTTTTTCTTTCTCTGCCTTTTCTTACCACTTCAGTTCTTTCAATTCTACACCCAAGCAGTTTTTCCTCCCTATAATCCAGACCTGTGCCAGAAAGACCCCCAACTGAACACCATCCACTCCCCAGCCCCCACCACCAGCTCAATGCTCTACTTTTTTCTTTCAGGGAATAACTTGATTGCTGGGTAAAAAGACTGCAATAAATAATAGAGCAGAAAAGAACTACTTATTGGAATGTTAGCTATTCAGGCACTGAGATTCTATGTTTACTTTTCACTTTTCTCATCCTAAACATATTTGTGAAAACCCAATTGTGTGAACAGTTTTCTACCTTCCTTTGAGGTGGGCCAGCCCCAAATTAAACAGCCAAATATCCTAAATACCCCCTCCTCTCACCATGTCTACAGAGCCCAAATCAGGTAATTATAAAATTAGAATGAACAAAGGTGAACATGGTAATGCCTTTACTGTTATTTAAAATTATCCAATCAATAAATCATCATTTATCTCATCTTGGTGGTGGTGTCCTGGTTTCTTCATCACAACATCCTAAAAGGAGTTTTCTTCCTGACCCTCAGGAGGAAACCAGAGTGTCAACATGTGACTCACATTTGTAAACTGCCTTAGTATTTATGAGAAGCTTCAAATAAACTATTATCTTATTAAAGATTAAGATTGAGTTGGTTTCAGGAAGACTAGAACACGTCCTTTTAGATCATTTTTTCCCATGCTCTTCTATAAAGCAAGCATTGGCAAACATTTTCTGTAAAGAGTCAAATAGGCAGGTCATGCACATTGTTTCAAATATTCAACTCTACTGTTGTAGGGTGAAAGTAGCCACAGACAATATAAAAGCAAATGAGAGTGACTGTATTCCAATAAAATTTTACAAAAAGAGGTGGAAGGCAGTTTTGGTCTGTGGTCTGTTGTTTGCCGATCTTTGCTATAAAGGGTTTGTTTAGGAATCCCTAAATAAATCTTGAGCTTTTCCATCTCTTTGTACTTGCACATGGCAGTTACTCAGTGTATATGTCTCTGTACAAATTTGTAAAAAAGGAAATGTGGGCTGGGTGCAGTGGCTCAGGCTTGTAATTCCAGCACTTTGAAAGGCCAAGGTGGGCAGATGGCTTGAGCTCAGGAGTTCAAGACCAGCCTGAGCAACATAGCAAGACCCCATCTGTACAAAAAACACAAAAATTAGCCAGGCGTGGTGTTTCACACCTGTAGTCCCAGCTACTTGAAAGGCTGAGGTGGGAGGATCACTTGAGCCCAGGAGGCAGAGGTTGCAGTGAGCCAAGATCGCACCACTGTACTCCAGCCTGGGAGACAGAGGGAGATCTTTTTTCAAAAAAAAAAAAAAGAAACAAGGAAATGTGTGCCTTTTCTGAGACAAAAATGTAGAGAAAGATGAGCCCTTCATTAGGATAATTTTTTTAAAGTACTTCATCTGGGAAGATTAATTAGAAAATGATGCTGCCTCTGGGCTGAAGGAGACCTAGGTGTGTGGCTTAGTTGCACCATTTTGTTAGAGATAAGAGACAGATCCCAGGCTGAATTTCAACTCCCAGGTGCCTCCTTTGCAGGTGGCACAAAACAGAGCCATGTGAGGCAACCATGCCTTAGAGTAGAGTATGCCCTTCCTCCAATCTGTAATAAACAACTCCCTTTTCCACTTTGGCGATTAAATTTTATCAATTCATAATTCAACTTTAATCCCATTCTCTTGTAAAAAAGAAATGCCCCCCAGCCCCAGCCCACAGTCATTTTTCCTACCTCAAAATACCCATTGCTTTATTTCATTTATGCTATATTTTGCAGCATAGTTAGCACATTGTATTTGCTGTATTCTTATATTCTGCATTGTGTAAATATTACTTCTGTGTGTGTGCCTCATCTTCAGTCAAAATTCTGGAAATGCCCATGTTGGGTAGGAATTAATCCCTAGAGTATGGGCAGACATAAGATGATAGTTATGTCAACAGACTATAACAGACATCACCAGAAAGTTGGAAGTATTCATTCAGGTAAGTTTTCATACTGTTGAGAAATTTTGTTTTGGGTCACAGTGACTGCATCATATTGAGTCTCAGAATTCTTCTGTTTTAAAAAGTCCCATATGTGAAGAAGCAGGTCAGTAAACTTCCAGCCAACTTCCGATGACCTATTGCTATGACTGTTTGGTTTGAAACTGTAGTCTTGAAGGTTGGTATGGTTTAGCTTTGTTCCCCACCCAAATCTCATGTTAAATTGTAATTCCCAATGTTGGGGGAGGGACTTCGGTGGGAGGTGACTGGATTATGGAGGTGGATTTACCCTTTGCTTTTCTTATGCATGAGTTCTCATGAGACTTAGTTGTTTAAATGTGTGTAGCACATCCCCCTTTGCTCTCTCTCTTTCTGTCTCTGCCATGGTAAGACATGCTGGCTTCCTCTTCCCCTTCTGACATGATTGTAAGTTTCCTGAGGCCTCCAAATCATACTTTCTGTGCAGCCTGTGGAACTGTGGATCAATTAAATCTCTTGTCTTCATAAATTACCCAGGCTCAGGTAGTTCTTTAGAGGAGTGTGAGAATAAGCTAATACAAAAGTCAGTCATGTGTTTTACTATCTCTTGAGATGTTAGGCAAAAGACACCAAAAGTGCAAACTTTAACCAACACAGAAAGTGTCCTTGTTATGTATCTTTAGTAGTGTAGCATACATGTGGGGATGAGATTTCTCATGTAAGAACATGTTACACTTGACAATTATTTCATAATGGGCTGAGATAGGAGTCAATGAAATATGATAAATGAGTATAATTTAGTATTGATAGACTTTATTTACAAGCTAAAATAACTACAGTCAGGTGATAGTGATCTAAGCAGGACATACTGAGCAAAGAATTCCCCCTAAAATTTGCGAAGAAATAATATTTTCTTAGTTTAATAGAGAAAAATATCCTAATACTAAGAAATAAGATCACTACATGATAAATGGTGACTCTCTCGAGAAAAAAAAAATAGTATTTCCAAAGGCAATTCAAGAATCTGCCTAAATAAAGAAAATTACAAATATATTCAAGAGAAAAATAATAAACTTTAAAAACATCTTTTCACAACTTTTAATTAGAGCAGAATAAAACTTGGCAGCTTCATCTGAGATACTTCAGATGAGGTGAAGGCCCTAGGAAGAATCCAGTCCCCAGATTGACAGGTCAGAGAGTGCTTTTACTTAATTAAACCCATGGAGGGAAGTTCTCTTTGGGTTTATGTGAGGACTATTGAGAAGGAAAATAAAAAAAAGGATAAGAATGTCTTCCCTCATTGTGCTCATGTGAAGGGCTGCTTAAGATCCATGGCACGCAAGTTATCCCCACTTCCTCACCCCCAGGCATATACTCCTACTGGGGGCAGATCTGGAGAGAATCTGGCAGAAGGTGTTGCTTGAGTCTGTTTTTGTTACCCTGATAATTTGCTTTTTTGCAATACTTGTAAAGCATCAGTTTTAGGTTTGGAAGCATACAGCCCACCCACTGAGGCAAAGTGTTCTTTTCTTAACTAAGCATATGCCTGCTTCTTGGAAAGAATGTGAGAAGAGGTGAAAAGGCTCCACACTTGGGGAAATAAAGAATTCTTTAATGTTGAAAGACAAAATTGAGGCTTTTGAATACTAAAGTTAAAACTACATCTACATGACACCCAAATATGGATGTTACATAGTTATTTCATTTGTCTATTGATTCTGTTCATTCATTCATTCCTACATGCATACAACTAATTTTGCTACCCACTTACTACCTATTACATATAAGATATACTTTGGTTTTGGCCGGGAGCTGTGGCTCACGCCTGTAATCACAGCATTTAGGGAGGCCGAAGTGGGCAGATCACCTGACGTCGGGAGTTCAAGACCAGCCTGACCAACATGGAGAAACCCCGTCTCTACTAAAAATACAAAATTAGCCGGGCATGGTGGCACATGCCTGTAATCTCAGCTACTTGGGAGGCTAAGGCAGGAAAATTGCTTGAACCCAGGAGGCAGAGGTTGCTGTGAGCTGAGATCACGCCATTGCACTCCAGTATGGGCAACAAGAGCGAAACTCCCTCTTAAAATAAATAAATAAATGTATATATACTTTGGTTTTTGGTAATTAAATGGTGAGGAGAGACAGAGTTCCTGTTTTCATAGATTTTGTATTTGTCACTGGTAATGACACTGGTAGAGGTCATGACAGTGGTAGAGGATTGCCACTGGTAATCCTCTAGTTTAGAAAGCCCACATTTCATGTAAGCCTTAAGTTAGAGTATCTTAAGTCCTGTAAGTAGGCATTCAATAATTATAATCCAGGCATGTGGATTCATATGATGGAAGAGATAAGGTGTGAAATTCAGATTAAGTTTTTGATGATGAGGCCTCCTGGGTTCTTAAAGGATAAAAGCCAGATGGCAAGGAGACTCAGTCATCCTTTAGCCTAGTGAAACTCACTCAGTAGCTGTGCAAGACATAAAATGGGCATCTAGCGGCCATGCATATTATACCACTTGATTTATCTTTTGCCCTAGATTGTTAGATTGTATCCATTACTCATGATTACTAAACATACACAAATGCCACAACTGTGCTCCCAAACTTCACATTCCTGCTGGGTCACTTATACTGTACCTCTTGAGGCTCACATTCTCTAATCTAGAAGGCAAATGGAAAAGATACAAACAAACAAAATTAGGAGATAATTACAGACCTTGAAAAGTGTTATAGGAGCACCAACAGCTTAATGATATGGATATTAAAGGCAGGGAATTAACTTAGGTAGAGTAAGCAGAATGGCCTCTCAGAGAAGGTGGCATTTAGATAGAAACTTACCAAGGATGATAAGAAATCTAACATAAGAAAAACTAGGGGGAAGATTATTCAATTTAGAGAAAACAGGAAGTGAAAAGTATCAAAAGCCATGAAGAGTTAAGGGGTCCTAGGAATAGAGTAGCTTAGTGTGGAAGAGGGTGGGGATCTAAGACAGTAGATGGAGATGTTGAAACATTGGCAGGGACCAGATCATGCAAAGACACAAATACAATGCTTTATCTTCCAGGTTATGTTCTTGTTTGTGGCTATTCAGATGGAGAAAAATAAGCTAAAGTTATAAAGGACAAAATGAATAAAGTCAAACAATACAAACTAGGCTAAGCAAAAATTAAAATGTTTACTAAATATTCAAATGGAAACCAAACCACAAATAATTATTTTCCCAATAACTGCTCTCATTATAACACAGATATGAGAAGGATTAGTGAATCCTATGAGACTCTTCATGAAGAAAAATATACAGACTCTTGTTAAGGTACTAACAATTCAATTATAAATAAGTATAATAAGATGATGTTGATTTTCTTTTTTTCCTTTTTATATTTTTTTATTTTATTTTATTTTTTCTGGAGACACAGTCTCACTATGTTGCCCAGGCTGGAGTGCAGTGGTGCAGTCTCAGCTCACCACAGCCTCCACCTCCTAGATTCAAGCGATTCTCCTGCCTCAGTTTCCCAAGTAGCTGGAACTACAGGCATATGCCACCATGCTCGACTAATTTTTGTAATTTTCATAGAGATGGGTTTCACTATGTTGCCCAGGCTGGTCTTGAACTCCTGAGCTCAAGATCCACCCACCTCGGCCTCCCAAAGTGCTGGGATTGCAGATGATGTTGATTTTTTATCAAAGTTATTAATGTTTTTTCTGGAATTATGAAAAAATGCATAAATTTTAAGTAATTGCGTTTCCAAACTTAGTAGTAAAATAGAACAATCTACTAAATTTGGTTTCTGGACATTTTCATTCTTCATGGAACCATTCTTAAAATGGAGTCCACAGGTAGAAAATGGGTTTGCCTTTGATAACCAGCTATCCATCTTGAACATACTTCTATCAGGCTATCAAAACAAAAAGAAACCTGGAAAGAATACAGAAAGTCAAAATTTGTTGGAACAGAAACCATTAAAATGTGTCTATCACCAAAAATCTGTCACAGAAGGTTGGTGAGACAATTGCAAGATGGTTTAGTATGAAAATTGTGGTACCAACACTTGCGACATGAATTAAACACAAGAGAAAGACTCCGAAATAGTTTAAGACTGAGGAAATGTTTTAGTTTGGGTTATTCATTGGAGAATAGGAAGATAAACATATATTGAATTATATTTGTGAACCCTATTATTATTCTGTGGGAAGAGACTTAGTTTTATAAAGTCTCAGGATAGTACTTGTATGATCAACTCATTAGATTTCTGCTTGTAGATTAATCACCTTCTAAATTATCTGTGACCAATCCTTTAGCAGTCACGTGCTCTTCTGGGCTCACACTCCTTGCAATCAGTTAGCTGGTGGTCAGGGAATGAAGATTAATTTTAATATTTGCCTTAGGCAAACAATTCAGAAGGCAGATCTCCTGTTAAAATGTTATGTATCCCTAAACCAATTATGAAATATAAATGATTTCTGGATTATTTCAAACCAAAAACTTGTTACAGACCTTGATTTGCTACAGGATCTTTTCATCTAAAAATAATTTCTCAGAAGAAATTTATCTCTTCTTCTTTTTCATTTTATAGGACTACTATATTTTATATGTAATTGAAGCATTTATAATTAGAAAATGTGCAGGGTTTTATAGTCCCTTCAAATGTACTCAATGAATACATTTTTGCTGACTTTTCCCAACTCTATGTAAATTCTATGTTATTTGTTTTTTGGGTACATGTGCACTAAGCCAGGCTGGACAGACGGAAGATATGTTGGGCATAAGTGTCTATATTCTGTAGTGTCAGAAAACTTGGAAGTTGTTGGACCCAGAAAAAATATTGCATTGGTTTATTTATACAAAGAGAGCATTAGGAGATATACCTAATACTAAATGACGAGTTAATGGGTGCAGCACACCAGCATGGCACATGTATACATATGTAAGTAACCTGCACATTGTGCACATGTACCCTAAAACTTAAAGTATAATAATAATAAAATAAAATAAAAAATTTTAAAAAAGGAAATAAAAATTAAAAATAAATAAATAAAATAAATAAATAAATAAATATCTCTTAATATTCTAAAGAAAATTATATTTCCCAAACTGAAAATCTAGCAGACCCAGCTCAATTTATGAACTTAAAGTTACATTTCAGCAATGTGGAAACTATCTAATACTGTTTGCTGTTATAATCCCAAAGTTAAGATGACTGTCATTTCAGGTCATTCTAATAATTTTGAAAAATTTCCTAAAATAATTTCAATGTAAAAATGTAGAGCAAATGCCTGCTGACAATGATTTAGTAAGTTATTGAGCATTTTAAATAGAAGTACCTAATTGTCTTTTTATCACTGAAATTTCAGTTTTTGTTTAGATTTTAGTCTAAATTTAACCTTTATTGATGGCAATATGATTGTCTCAAAAAAATCCAAAAACACTAAGACTATTTAATCACCCAATTTACCATGTTACCGTTTAGATTAATAGAGCAAATGATTTTGTTTTTAGGAAGTCTGCTGGATAAGAATTAGCATTACAAAAAGAGTATAGATCCTCTAATGGGCGTAGAGAGAATGCTCACGTATCACATTTTCTTTTTGTAAAATAAAAATGAACATTCTTCAAGATGTAAACCAAAAGAGGAGATTTATAAGGCAAATAAAAGCCTTAAATGAGAAACTTGTACGTTTATTTGCTAAAGAATAACACAACAATGTAATATAAGGAAAGAATTGGAGGATAGTGTCTTATAAAAATTAAAATATTAAGATTTGCTATAAAATTGTCTTTTTATATTTATTTATTTATTTATTTATTTATTTTTTGAGACAAAGTCTCACTCTGTAACCCAGGCTGGAGTGAAGTGGCATGATCTCAGCTCACTGCAACCTCTGCCTCCCGGGTTTAAGAGATTTTCATGCCTCAGCCTCCCGAGTAGAGACGGGATTGACTGTCTCTACTAAAAATAAAAAAAATGCTGGCCAGGCTGGTCTTGAACTCCCGGCCTCCCAAAGTGCTGGAATTACAATATGAGCCAAAAGGCCCGACCTGTCCTGTTGTTTTTCAATGAACTTGAGAATAGATCAGGATGAGAGGAGTGACACACATGCCAGAAATGATCCATCTAGCCCCCAATATAGGCCAAGGCCAGATATATAAGTCCAACATTAGGGAGAAATGTGGTTTCTTATTTTCTGTCTGTGTTAAGCAGGTCAAAACATTTCAATCTGAAATCACACAGTTAAATATCCTGTTACATATTACAGAAGATATTCACACAAATAATTTCAAATGAAAAAAATTATATTCCTGTTAAGTAATCTGGGGGGTTTGCAAAGCATTGAAGACACTGTAAGCTTTTCTCTAATATTTCTTGAATATTCAACAAAATTCCTCCCTTGAGGGCAATTTTTCTGGCTAACTTGTCTCTCGTTCAGAAAAAGGTCTACTTCATGTTGGATGCTCAATATATTTAGTTTTTATTAAAAGAAATAAAATAATAAATATGCATTATTCAATATTCTCAATATGCAATGTGAATCCCAAGTCAAAAGCTCTTAAATTTTTACTTTGTTACCACTTTCTAATAATTATGGTAGTGTAGTAGTGGCTAAGAGTTTAAGTTCTAAAATCTGACAACAATTATGAGTCATATCCGGTTTGTTATTTACTAGTTTTATAAAACACAGCAAATGCTTGACCTGTATTACAAAGCCACTTTTCTTATTAGAAAATATATAAAATAATAGATGCTAACTTACAGACTGATTTTGGAGATCTAAAAACTAAGGGACATTATCGTAGCAATATGGCCAACTCATATTGTGTGCAATGAAAAATTATCTATTAAAACAAACAAATGAACAGACAACCATTATTCAACAGGTTACTCAACAGAAAAACTATGTCTATATTGTGCTGTCTAGGTTACTTGTTTACATCTCTAGAGTTTACATTCAAAGAAATTTTTTTAAGTCAACACTCAAAGAAATTTTTTTAAGTCAACACATAAGGCCATTAGCAAATGGTGCACTATAAACATATAATGATAGTTAGCATCGTCTACAAAACCAAATGCTTTGTTTATTAATATTTGAGGGAATATAATCAATGATACCAATAATTAGGATATAAAGTCAATCTATTTGATTAATCATGGCTTTATTTCCTTACTAGCCTATGATGCCGTGCATTGCCCAAGCAGACTCTAAGACCTCCGAAATTGTTTTATAAGAACTACTTTGAGTTTTTTCTTTATTCTGCCAGAATCAAATGTGAATTATTCCACTCTCATTAGATTATACCTAAAACAAATAACCTTAAGTAGTTTCCAAAAATAAATATTATTTCTTGTTCATGTTACAAGTCAGTGGGTGTGGGTCTGCAGCTATGGGTCTGTTTCAAAATAATAATTGAGTTCAGGTCTGCCCCATGGTCTTCTTCATCCTGAGGGTTCAGGCTAAAGTAGCAGCACTTTTGTATGAGAGGCCCATTCTTGTGTCAGAGGGAAATGACTGAAAGAGTTAGAGTGTAAACTGCAGATTTCTCTTAAATATTCATTTCATACCTGATCATGAACAAAATATGTCATATGGCCGAGCACAAAGTCAGAGGCAGGGACCTATATTCTTCCCATACATGTTACATGATCACAGGCAGAGATCTATAATCACTTTTTATCAGAGGACAGAGTGATAGAACAGTGCTAAATATGCTTCATGGAAATCAAGATTCAAAATTTTACCTCCTATAGACATAATCTCAATGAAACATAAATCAAGTGCATATTTCTTCTAAAAAGCAGTGAAAAGATTTAAAAACATTTTCTGAATGAAGATTGAAAGTAAGAACTTAATCTCCCCATCTATTTTATATGAAAGTCTATCTGATGGAAGAATAAATCCATAATCTCCATGATTTCTTGATGGGAAACAGATGAAGACAGCATGAAGCACACATGAGAATGAAGCCACGGGGCATCACCAATTCATTTGGCCTTTCTGATACGATTTTTCCTTTATAAATAGAAGGAAGTGGTTTTCAAAAGGAAGATGAAAACCAGTCCAACATAAAGCCATATTCAAATTCAATCAAAGAGGCTAATCTCCCAGGAAGGACATTGGATTAATAAACTGAAAGATCAATCAAACAACATCCAAAACTGAGAAGCAACCCTGCGATCTGGCAATCAATGAATCACTGACCACCTGATAAGCCTGTCTTCTTAACACATCATGATCTAAAAGCAAGTCGATAGCAGTCAATCACATTATGATCTTGCTAAAGTGATGAATGAAGAGTGAGGACAAGCCAGTTGAAATCTTTCTATAATATTGCTTTGGGCAATGAAATTTAGGGAGTCTAAGGAGGCAATCATGAGTTGGAAATAGGAAACAGGTCAGCCTCTGATAGTGAACATATCTAATATAAAAGGCTTGTTAAGTTAGAAAGACCTGAGAAAGTAACTTAATCTTATTTAGCCACAGTATCCATACCTCGATTTACTAGTATCTACTCCATGGAGAGGTTGTGAAATTTAATAGCACATGTCCAACATATATTACTGTTTTGTTTGATTTTGCTGTCATAATGATGATAATCATTTATATTTCAGTCTCTTTTGGGCAGCGACATAATGAAGCATGAGTAAATTCTCTTGAATTAAGCCACAGAGATTGGAGGATTGTTGGTTTTCACGATATAGATACAGTGTATGTTGTTTATAAAACTTGCCTCTCTAAAAAAAGGAAACATCTAGAATCAGTGCCTAGGGAAGGCTGGAAAACTGGTGAGCCTTCCCAGCTGGGGAGAGTGGAGGAATGGCTCCTCGCATGCATGTGCTTGTGTGTATGTGTGTGTGTGTGTGTGTTTGCATGTGCATGCACACATGTGTGTTTATGATATGACTAGGTGGACTGCACATGAATGGATAGACAGCAGGAGACCTAAAGTGTGACAGGCCAGGACTTTTATTCTTCTCCACCCGTTTTCTAGGGCCAATCCTAGAAAGGGGGAGTGGATGGTGTGTGCATGTGTATGTTATAATAAAAAATATTAGAAAACCCCGAATTAAGCTCTTCTAGTGTTTCCATAGTTTTTCTTTCTATAGAGAGCTGCATTCCTTGAATTTTGAACTTTCACGTGATTTAGTGCAGCAGGCTCCTTATGGTATATACTTTTGATTTCACCTAATAGGGATTGCCCATGCTTCCAGCACAATATTCAGTCAACCAAATCCATCTGGAAAGTAAGGGCAATGACATACAAGGAGACAGTTGGTGACTAAAAGTGGAACACATCATATGCTATTCACTGACCCTGAATAAAGCACACAGGGTTGTTTGCTGGGACCATACACTTGCTAAAAGGCATTCTTACAGTCAGTAATATGGCTAAAGTTTGCAGCACTTATGTATCTCCAAAGTGGTGCATGGTGAATGGGATATGATTTGATCAGGGGCTATGTGTAAGAACTTTTGTTTACAGATAATCAACTTAAACAGAGAAAACTGGATCTTTGTTGCTGGCTAATCTAAAAATGAGTGAATATTAGTAGATCCAAAGCAAAACTCTACTTAATTTTGGGGGTAGAGGGAGGAGAAAGCCCAAACAAAATGAAATAGTACTGTGACAGCTCCCTCAGAGTGAAAATGTTAAGTTCTCTCTCTCTAACCACTAGCTCCACCCCCAAAACCTAGCCCAACAGGAAGAACTAGGAATATAGTAACATAATTATGATTTCTATATAGCATATGCCTTTATCATTAATATTTGCCAATTAATAAAATCTTCTAACTGGGTTTAGTAGTTTATTGTTTCTGATATTGACATTTGTCTTTGGGAAAAAATTTTTATTCAGATTCTATGGAATAGATAAAATTTTGTTTGATAAGAATAATTGATATGCTAAAACTTGTTTCTCTAATTTGTAGTGTTTTAGGGGATTTATCAAACAGAAATGAAAAGGTCAATAATTTTTCCTAATAATTTTAGAAGCAAAGAAAGTTTAAGTCAACAGATGTCAATTAAATAATAAATATTTGTCTAAATAGAGTCTATTCTTAAAAAGTCACAAGATAGTTAAAGATGATGAATTAATATACTCCTTTTATTCTGCCTTTTCTCTGACTTATATGATTTCTTCCCTTGATCCCAGCCCTAAAATAATCTCACTCTGTCTACATCTTGATCATGTTCAGCCTTGATAGCTTAATATCAAAAACGTCTGAAGAAAGCATTAAGACATGTGCCTTATTTTCCTTATGCAACAAAAACATACAGTTATTTATAACTACAGATTTAAGGAATTCCCCAAATCTGAAACAAACATTTGCAACAATATAAATAACAACCCTTATCATTTATAGATTATTCATTTACCTCATGCCAAGTCCTTCAATTGATCACTTCTAATCATTACAAAAACCCCACAGGGTGGTAGTTAGTAAATTAGGAAAATAAGGCTAATTTGTTTGGATGATAAAACATCTGCTAGCTACCAAAACATTTAATTTGTCACGTGTAATTTAAAATTACATGTTTTATGTTTTCTTTTTTTTAAATTGAAAGATAAAGTTGTATGTATTTATCATGTACCACTTGATGTTTTAAAGTAAACATACATTATGGAATAGTTAGATCTAGCTAATTAACAAGCTCATTACCTCATATTATCACTTTTGCGGTGAGAACACTTAACATTTAACTCTCTTTGCATTTTTCAAGAGTATAATATATCGTCATTAACTATAGTCACCACACTGTACAATAGATCTCTTGAACTTATTTCTTCTAGCTAACTGTAATTATACATCCTTTGATCAGCATTTCCCCATCACTACCTCTTTTCTACCCACCCCAGCCCCTGGTAACCATTATTCCACTCTCTGCTTCTATGAGTTCAACTCTTTTAG
Source organism: Homo sapiens (assembly GCF_000001405.40). NCBI lineage: Eukaryota > Metazoa > Chordata > Mammalia > Primates > Hominidae > Homo > Homo sapiens. The sequence goes on from NC_000006.12 coordinate 50,400,205, forward strand.
ATTCCACATGTGGGTGTGAACATGTGGTATTTGTCATTCTGTGCCTGGATTATTTCACTTAACATAAAGTCCTCCAGGTTCATCGTGTTGTGGCAAATGGCAAAATTTCATTCTTTTTTATGGCTGAATAGTGTTCCATTGTGTATATATACCACATTTTCTGTATCTGCTCATGGACGTGTAAGTTGATTTCATATCTTGGCTATCGTGAATAGTGCAATAAACATGGGAGTGCAGATATCTGTTTGACATATTAATTTTATTTCCTTTAGACATGTATATGCAGTAATGGAATTGTTGATTATATGATAGTTCTATTTTTAATATTTTGAGGAAACTTCATACTATTTTACAAAAGGGCTGTACTAATTTACATTCCCACCAAAAGTGTAAGAGTTCCCTTTTCTCCACATCCTCAGCAATACTTAACTTTTGTGTTTTTGATAGTAGCCATTCTCAAAGGAGTGAGGTGATTTGTAATTGTCATTTTTATTTACACTTTCCTAATGGTTAGTGATGTTGTTTATTTTTTAATATAACTGTTGGTCATTTGTATGTTTTCTTTTGATAAACGTTTATTCATGGCTTTTGCTTATTTCTTAATCAAGTTATTTGTTTTCTTGCTATTGAGTTGTTTGAGCTCCTTACATATTTTGGATATTAACCAAATATATAGTTTACAAGTGCTTTCTCCCATTCTGTAGATTATCTCTTCACTCTAATGATTGTTTCCTTGGTTGTTCCCTTAGTTTGATGTAATCTATGTGTCTATTTTTGCTTTTGTTGCCTGAATTTTCGAAAACATATCCAAAAAATCATTGCCCAGACCAATTTCTTGGAGTTTTTGCTCTATGTTTTTTTTCTAATAGTTTTATAGTTTTGAGTCTTCCATTTAAGTCTTTCACCTGCTTTGAGCTCATTTTTGTGTATGGTGAGAGATAAGGATCTTATTTTCTTTTTCTGCAAGTGTATATATAGATTTCCCAACACCATTTATTGAGGAGACTGTCTTTTCCCCATTGTATGTTCTTGGCACCTTCATCAAAAATCAGTTAGCTCTAAATGTATGGATTTATTTCTAGGCTATCTATTCTGTTCCATTGGTTGACATGTCTGTTTTTATACTAGTATCATGCTGTTTCGGATACTATTTCTTTTTTGTAGTATATTTTGAAGTCAGGTAGTTTAATGCCTGTAACTTTGTTCTTTTTCCTAAAGATTGCTTTGGGTATTTGGGGTCTTTTAGGGTTCCATACAAATTTTAAGATTTTTTTCTATTTCTATGAAGAGTGGCATTAGTATTTTGATGGGGATTGCCCTGAATCTGTAGATTGCTTTGAGTAGTATGGACATTTTTACAATATTTATTCTTCCATTTCATTAACAGGCAATACATATTTTATTGTGTGTTTTTCAATTTATTTTATAAATGTTTTATAGTTTTCAGTGTACAGGTCTTTCACCTCTCTAGCTAACTTTATTTGTAAGTATTTCATTTTTTTGTAGCTATTGTAAATTGAATTGTTATATTTGTTTCTTTTTCAGATAATTTATTATTAGGGTAAAGAAATATTCCTAATTTTTGTATGTTGATTTTGTATTCTGCAACTTTATTGAATTTATTTATTAAATTTAACAGTTTTTCAGTAGAGTCTTTAGGGTTTTCTATATATAAGATCATGTCATCTACAAACAAAGATAATTTTTCTTCTTCCTTTCCAATTTGGATGCCTTGACTTTTATTTACTTCTCTTGCCTAATTGCTCTGGCAAAGACTTCTGGTACTATGCTAACTAAACATGATAAAAGTGGGCATCCTTGTTTTGTTTCAGATCTCAGAAGAAAAGCTTTCAACTTTTAGCAGTGGGTTTGTCATACATGGCCTTTATAAAAATTACATTTTAAATTTTTCAGTTTTCACTTGTCTATTTAGCTATAAGATTTAAGCTGAACTTTCTGGGTCCACAGAAAAAGTTATGTTTTTATAAAGATTTGTATTTTTAAAATAATTGTTTAAAAAGTCAACTATGGGAAAAGGTGAAACTGTTGGATAAGTGAATTTCAGTGGAATCTTCTTATGAATGTGTATTTTATCTTTTTCTTTCATTTTCTCTCCCTACCTCCATCCTACACACCTAGATAATTCAGAATTTGTCAATAGGGATAAACATTTCTGTGTCTTAATATTGTGTCCTTTCTTCTAATGTCTCCAGTCTTCCCTACAATTTATTCTCTGAGCTTCTGTTAAAAAAGGGACTATTTTCAATTCATCTGTATTTCCTCAATGTGTAACAACATGCCTACCATGTAGCAGATAATTACTAAGAGTTTGATAATTTCTCATTTTAACCCTTTCTTGTGCTGGAGGTACTTTCTTTAAGGGGGTTTTAATAACTAACTCACCTTTTCCTGTCCAAAGTCTGAATAATATGAAATATAGATCCACTGAGACGTGTGGATCATTTGAGGCCAGGAGTTCGAGACCAGCATGGCCAACATGCTGAAACCCCGTCTCTACTAAAACCACACAAAAAAATTAGCCAGGCATGGTGGCGGGCACCTGTAATCCCAGCTACTCAGGAGGTCAGCTACTTGGGACACCATTATTACTGATAAGGATTTAATTGGAGAAATAATTTTAGTGCAAGAACACAAAGGGCCTCATAACTGAATCCAAGAATTTTTAATCCCAAAGTCCAAGCAAGGTGGGCCCAAGCTGACTTCACACTTCCACTTCCTGCTCCAGAGAATAGAGATACTCGTGGGAGAGTGGACAAGAGAGAGTAGAAAGATGGAGCTAAGCCACATGTGCCTAGGTATTACTCCCAAAGTTACCAGTCAAGTGATTATCTTCATTTCCCCAAGGGTGAAATAAATAGTGCATTGGAGAGAGACTTGGAGTTATACTCCTAAAGCTCCCTTCACAGGAAAGAAAAACATCAGGAATGAGGAAGAAGTAGTCCCAACTAATATTGTACAGCTTTCATCGGTACTTCCAAATTGCATTTTAGCTTGTAAGTTAAATGATGAACTGCAGGATCAACTTTATTCACTAATTTTGGTAGGAGAGCTCTTCATAGGAAGAGAAAGTTTAGCATAGCATAGTAGCAATAGTTGATGGCAAAAGGAACTGACAGAGTAGGAAGCCTTTCCTAGTTTGTATTTAAGGACACACACACACATATACACACACACACACACACACCCTGGAACTAAAAGTGGTTGTGTGTGGGAGGTAGAGAAAAATCAAAATGATGAAATACTTGTCACTGCCTCCCTTTGGGTAACTGTGGAAGTTCCCAGGAGAAATGGCCAAAACAACCAAGTGAGGCTCAGGCAGCTTATGTTAGAAATAGTTTAGCAAAATAGGAAGAGCTGATCCAGGAGTTTTCAGGAAAGGTCTAAAATCAGGTCACCAAATTTTGTGTGAATAGAAAAACTTGGGAGTTGAAGTTACCTTAACAGGAATATTTGGAGTGTGTTATTGAGAATGGCATATTTTAAAGATGACATACAGTTATTCTTGGATTTCAAATGAGTACTTCAGAACCATACTTTGAAATTTACATAGACTATTTGCTTCAGTAGCTGCTTGATACCTTTAAAGGTTGATAGTCTATCTGAATATACCCGATAATAACAACTAGCATTTATTTATTGTGATTCTTGAACAAATGGTGACTCTTTAAGGTAATTTTCCAACTATTTGAACTAACTTTATTTTTAAAGGTGGCAGAAGGTAGCATGAAATAAAAAAGGATACACATTGTAGTGAGAGTCAGAGAATCAGGTACTGGATACTCAACCAACCCACCTGGGAGATTTCCACTTCTTTAGATACATTGTACAGAATTAAAATGGAAAGAAGTCTTGGAGAGAAACTATTTACATATTATCATCTTATAGAAGATGCCTCTGAAACTTTAGGGAAAGTGTTTTCCCAAGGAACTGCAGTGAGTCAATGGCAGAGCTAGGATTAGATTCCAGATATTCTGGCTGCTAGTTCAGTTATTTTCCTCTAAATAATCTCTATGATATATTTTAGCTCTACCATTCTGTGTTTATAGTGACTTCCTCTTCGGCACTTTTCATCCCTGAAGTGTGGTTAGGGTATACATTCTTACTCTTCCCACCACTTCACTTTACAGATGTGGAAGCAGAACTGAGAGTGTAGGAATCACTTACCGTGTACTGGGAGGTACAGGTTAGCCATTCTGAAAACAAAGATACAAAGTTCAAATTTCTCTTAAAATAATTTAAAAGAAGAGCTAAACTTCAACTGAACTCTCTAGTCATATACCTAATCTCCTACCACTATCCTTGTCAGCATAGAACAACAAAAGATGTAGGTGTCCCTCTCTGAGAGGTGCTGGCATGATTCTCTTTTAAGGAGAAAAGAGACTTCAAAAGAGACAGTTTTATAAATGTTTTTATTCCCAATGTCTGACCTACTGCCTGATAAGTTAATATTAAGGAATACATGGTAAAATATTCTTAAGCATAATTCTTGAGTCCCTCCAATCCTGTGGTTATTATTTATATTCTACCATTCTTTTTCAAAGTTTGGAAAGCTCTAATGTGGGATTATCCATATTGTAAAGAACAGCCAAATAGTACTGCTACATTCCTGCATAGGAACTGGACGTTTACTCCACCCTCCCTCCCCCTGGAGTGTTTATGACAACTGGCCATCCTGTGTCCTAAAGAACAGTTATCCCTGACTTAACTCTTATTTCCCTATTACCTCATTGGTTCCAGTAAACACACATCAGTATTTAGGAGTATCTTTATCAATAACAATGGCTACGTCCTGGAAAGATCGTTTTATTTTGACTCTTGAGTGTACTACATGAGATATGGGTTAGAAGCTGCCTGGACATCAACATGTGCTATTTCACAATTCCATTATTCTTATTTTGTTTTCTCATGTGCAGCAAGAAGCAGCAGATGCTAGAAGTGGCCATCCACTCCTCACCTGTGCAAGATTGCCCTGCCTATTCTAATATTACACAGGCTCCACAGTTACCCCCTGGCATATAACTTCTTGAGACAGGAGGTAGAATTATCCAGTGAGTCTTCCTGCCTCCCCTGTGGAGTCAGGGTTCCCCTTTCCCCTTTCAGTTCAGCTCTCCTTGTTATCTTCATAACACTTAGCAAAATATAACAGATTAAGCCAAGTGCAGAGATAATGAAATATAATTAGTAGGTTTTCTAGCCTTTATCCACAGCCCTGTCAGAGTGTATTATCTGATAGATTGAGTTCACAGCAAGTCAGTTAAATTTTCTCTTATCAGAAACTGAGTGTGAAGTGTGGTAATGTTGCTAAGTGCAGAACAAAAATCTCTCTCTTTTGCATCCCTTGACTGCTCCAGGCAACATTCTTGGAAACCTCTGACTAGGAAGGAAGAGAAGACCCTGAGATATATACAGTGTGACAAGCCAGGAGGCTATGCTTCTCTGGTAACCATCCTATGAACGGCAGTCGCCTGTGGCTGTGACATTACCACACTTTGCTCAGCTTCAGAAAGGGAAATTTAACTGACGACTGCTATGAACTGAAGCCACAGCCTAAACCAGGTAATATACCCTGACAATACTGTCAGGCAAAAAAGGCTGTGTTCCCATTGATTTCATTGCATTAGAGACATATTACCCTGAGCAGTGTGTGTTCAAGGGTATATTGTGCACACTGTGGGAATATCAAAGGGGATGCACATCGATTCAGGCAGAAACAGGCCTCCAAGAGAAGAATCTCGGAAGTGGCCTGGCTGAAACATGCAGCATTTGGTACAGTGGAGAAGACGATGCAATTGATGGTAATTATAACTTGGTTCTCCATCTGTGTCAACTGTTACCTGCTGGGTTTATTTGAGACAGGAAACCAAATTTAAATGTATGAAGAGCAACGCCGAATCTCTGTTTTTTGCAGAAAGGTTGCCGATATACTCTAAAATATGCAGGAAATGAGGAATGTGAAAACAATGTTTGAATCATCTCAAAGTTTACTAATTGCTTCATTTGATTCCACTTGTAGATACGAAGCTCTCTAGAAGTTTCTTATTGTTTTAACTATCACATATCAGCCTTTACCACAAAACAATGGCACATGTTCACACAAATAAGTTAACATTCCTATTTCAAATGATTAATTTGGCAAAACATTAAAATTCACACACTAATGCAAAGACAAAAGGAATCAGAGAAAAGTCTTTCATAATTTATATTTTTAAAAATCATAAAGGTACCTTAAAATTTTTTAAAATGCATTATTATTGTTTGTGTATGCCCTATATGGATCAGGAGGGCAAAAAAGGCAAAAATGCAGCAGAAAGGAAATACATCTTTACTTCTTATAAAATAAAAAAGACTAAGTTCTAAAAATATCTTGAGACTCAGGCTCGAAAAATCAATTCATTAATACTTTCTTTAAAAAAAAAGTATTAAGTAATCTCTAATTCAGGCTTCCCGGAATCTTTCTCTTAAATCTTTTGACTTTAAAGTCGTCCAAAGTACTGATCTCAAGATGATTCACCTCTCCCATCACTCTGATCATAACTCTTTCCATCTCTAAGATCTTTCTTTTTTTGTACACCATCTGAGTTTTGGACTTCTGTAGCTCATTTGTTTTAACCATGGCCTATTGACATATGGGTGGTTATCAACATCAAAGCCTTAGTCACTTTCATCCTTAATTGTGTTTATGGACTCTTTCAACTTAAATCATCTATACAGTAAGTTAACAATTCACTGGACAAAGCTGTCCATGCCTTTCTGAAGGAAGGATTAACTCATAATCAGGAGGGTGATTTATTGTTCAGAAGCCTCAGTTTTGATGACATTATTTTTTATTAGAATAATGGACTAGTAATGTGGAAAAGGAGAGCAATTGGTAAAGTGGGAAAAAAAAGATTTGAGCATGCTTGTCATTTATACCTTGTTCCCTCACAGTTAAAGAATGACATCACTACTGAAAAACAAGATGACCAACTTCTCCTTTACTAAAAGCCAAAATGATCCACTGAATAGGGAGGAAGACAGGGAGGAAAGAGCCCTGGAAAGTTTGGGCTCAAATCACTTCTCTTTCTCTCAAGTCCTGCCTTGGAGCCCTCAGCCACATTTCTGCAATCTATATAGACTTTTACTCTCAGTACCCATTTGTATGAGCAAGTACTTTAATTTTGAAATTAAAGTATATTATATATAAATGAGCAAATAAACATATTAAATTATTAATATAAAGATAAATTGTTACTACCGTAAAAAATATTAAATTATTAATTTTGGCTGGGAGTGGTGGCTCACACCTGTAATCCCAGCACTTTGGGAGGCCGAGGAGAGTGGGTCATGAGGTCAGAAATTGAGACCAGTCTGGCAAAAACAGTGAAACCCTGTTTCTACTAAAAATACAAAAAATTAGCTGGATGTGGTGGTATGTGCCTGTAATCCCGGCTAATCGGGAGGCTGAGGCAAGAGAATTGTGGCAACCTGGGAGGCGGAGATGGCAACATTGCACTCCAGCCCGGGCAACAGTGCAAGACTCCGTTTTAAAAAACAAAAATTATCAATATTAAGATAGCCTTCCTTAATTTAAAAATTAAATTGGTATAAAGAGTCAAGATTCACATAAAGATGAATTATATCATTTATGACATACTTTAATGATTTCAATTTTTTGCATTGGTTTCTACATCCAACATTAAAGCTACTACATTTACTTTCTTTTCTTACTATTGCCTGATATATTCCCTATACCCCTTTATTTCTAAATTTTATTGTTCATTTGCTGTGTCTTTTGTTAATAGTACACAACCAAATCTTTTTTGAACATGTTCTGTTTCTTGTCTTTTAAATGTGTTAATTATTGCTACGTTTGAATGTATCTTGCCACCTTTTCTTCTACGATCTTTGCTTTATGGCCAAATTGACAGACTTTTCGTTTGCTAAGTGGTGCAGAAATTTTTCTTATATACAAACTATAATAGTGACCATTAGATTTTGAGCAAACTCATTAAAGTGCTACCAACATCTAGGTATTATCTGTAGCCTCTCCCTCAGCCCAAGTGTGCCTAGGGTTGTCATGTCTAGGCCAAACACCTTCCAGGTATAGACCTTGGATTTTATTTTCCAGTTTTACTTTTGATTTTTGGATGTGTATGTTGGCATGGGAGAAAGAGATATTGTGTGTGTGTGTGTGTGTGTGTGTGTGTGTGTGTGTGTGTGTGTATGTGTGTGTGTCTATAGTCACTTTGGATTAGTAAAGTATATCCTCCAATAACCTTTTCAAAGGAATGTGCAAAATGACAAACCTTCTGAATTCAATGATACTTTAAAAAGTCTTTATATTTTCAAAATTAAATCTAATTTTAGGATTCTGTGTTTAAACTTTTTTCTTGCAGAACTTTTGAAAAATCATGCCATTTACTGAGAGTATCTAGGGGGTCCATGGGTAATTTTTTTGTTAATATCACTATTATTTCTTTGTAAATTACCTCTTTAGTCTCTCTTGGAGCATTTATGATTTTCCCTCTACATTTTTAGAATTAAAAATTCTTTAAAAATTTACAGTTCCTTGTTACAAATTCTGGTTAAAGCAACAGCTCAAGTGTCAAATACGTCTTTGCAAATCATTCACAAAGTCAACAAGTAATTTTATATACATATTTATAATCTAAACAACATATATATATTGTTTGTCGCTATGGGTTATAATATTGAACAATATATATAGCTCCATCCTGGCTAAGTCCACAATTTCCTGATAGTGACACACAATAAACTAGTAATTCAAATATGTGTATATTATACTTTGGGTAAGGGCTACAAAGGCAAAACACAATATAGGAAGAGTATGAAATGGCCTGGGCAGAACAGAGTGAGGATTAGGGGACAAGTCAGAGAAAGTTTCCCCAAAGAAATAATATAAAACACCACTTCTGAAACAGAGAAGGTATGCAGGTAGGTAGTTAGGTAAGGGGAAGAGAAGATGAGGAGATCTTTATCATTAACTTTACCCAGTAAATGTATAAATGACACAAATAATAAACTGGAAAAAGTCACAATCCTTAACTAAAAAGTACCACTGATTTAAGCTGTAAGCTATTATTTATAATGCCCTTCACATGCTCCTATTCCACAAATTGCTTTATCCTAAATTCTTGTCTATAGGATGAAACAAACACTGTAGAAAAATGAATAGTCTGGTGTTTTCAAACAACTTAACTGATAACTCATACCACAGCCCACTTCACTCAGTGGTTTGTGCTCTATAAAAAATTCTCACACCTCAAAGCACCTTATATAGGAGCCTGGAGGGCATAATAGTATCAGAGTTAATCTCCCACTTGTAGATTAACAAATTTAAAGGTAGTGACTTATTTCTCAATAGAAAAACACTTATTTAAAAAAGACTAATGAAGAAAGAGCAAAGAGTGAGAATCTGAGATACTCTCCAGACTAAAGGTGGGGGACTCAGTTACACAATTTTGCAAGAATTTATTTGATTCTGCAGCTCAAACATTGGAGTCTGGGAAGCAACAGAAGACTCAGAAGCCAATCTGATATAAAATTTACTTGTGTTTTTTTCTTTCCTGAACTGTGAAGGTATGCTCCTAGATGTACCATTACATGGTTTTATAACTAGGACAATGAGAGGTATAATGAGATAACTCTATGGGGGTGCAATTCCAGGATTCCCCAAGGGTATGTGTATTCAAATCAAATTTCACAGTTTAAATGTGATGTGGTATGTTCTCACTCATAAGTGGGAGTTGAACAATGAGAACACATGGACACAGGGAGGGGAACATCACACACCAGGGCCTGTTGGGGGATCGGGGGCAAGGGGAGGGATAGCATTAGGAGAAATCTCTAATAAAGATAACGGGTTGATGGGTGCGGCAAACCACCATGGCACATGTATACCTATGTAACAAACCTGCACATGCTGCATATGTATCCCAGAACTTAAAGTAGAATAATAAATACATAAATAAATAAGTAAATAAATAAATAAATGTGATGCAGTGGCAACACAGTACACAGTCCAAGGTCAGATAGGCAATTATTCCTTTGCTCCATCCCCACGGCTTTCTCTATGTAGTAGAATCACACAGGTCACAAATTGGAGAATGGGCAAATTTTGCTTTTGCTCCCTTACTGGAATAACCAGAGTAATCAAAAGGTAAAATCAATGGCAAAATTATGACAAAAATCCTGTAATTGGGACTTAATTTTTTTGTGGCTCATCAGACTATATCAGCAACTCACAAAGCTCTTAGTGTTTTCGGATGTAATATAATTTCTATATATTAAATAATCATAACTATGCCCCATCGAAAAACAATTTTTCTTTCCCATTTTAATAAGGAGAGAAGTGGTAGAAGCAAACCCTTCAATTTGTTCCATCTGTTATATTCATGTGACTGTGCTTCTTTTTTCTTTTTTTCCTTTTTTCCACAGATCAACAAGATAAACCTAACTGCCTAGCTGCAAAAAAAGGGATGAAAGGGGCTCCACTGTGAACTGAAGTTTCAGTTGAGATGCCTTATACTGGCTGATGTTCTGAAATTAGCATGAAACAGCACCAGAGGAAACAGAGGGATTCTTCCCTGTTGTACAAAGGACCCTGTGAACTTTCCAAATGCCTGAGATCTCATTACTGACAACATTTTTTTGCCCTCCAAGTTTTCACATAGTGACCTTATGGCTTCTATTGGAGCACGGATGCAGATTTCCTCTCCAGTGAAATGGCATGAACAGAGTGAAAAACATAGTCTTTAGGAAGGCAAGCTGTGCACCACCGACATAATTAGGAAAGCTGCTTGGGAGGAGAGCGGTGGACATCTAATGGGCTAGCAAGGATAAGGTGGAAAATAAGAGCTTGGTTATGTAGTGGAAGCACTGTTTGAGTTTTCCTTTAGGTAGGCTGAAAAACAAAATATTAAGCCTACTGAAACCCTTTCAGAGTTTGGGGATTAAAAGCTCTAAGGAAGCTTACACCACTGTAGAAAGGGAAGAGAGAGGAGTGTTCTGCCTTCAGTAGTTGTGTCTGATTACTACTCTTTTGAGACAAATTTACTTCAAAAAGCAGCATTAATGTCAGCAGGAGAGAGTCCTAGAAAATGTTGTTAATTATTTTAATACAGGACGCGGGATTTCAAGCAGGCTTTGTGACATATTTTCATTAAAGTTCAAGAAAAATTTTACAAATAAGTATCTGATTTTAAGAGTAAAAATCACAAGATCAAGGACTCTATTAGTCATTGTATTTTAAAGCCCTTATAAGAATGCATGAATCCAGTGGTAGCTGTCAGTTTGGACACATTGCTAAACTTTCTTCATCTATTTAAAGACAATAATAATAGTCCCTATTTCAAAGAAATTTTCTGTAATAATTAATCAAGATAATACATGTAAAATACTTAAATGTGTACTGTACCATAACGATGCTAGCTGTTTTTTGTTGTTATAATTAGAGATGAAAACCTAAAGTGAGGCCAAGGTAGTGGCAACAGAGGGAAACATGATATTTGAAAAATATTTAGACAGTAAAATTAATTGGGAAATTCTGGAGACTCACAGGATACATGTGTAACAAAGAAGGCGGAATCAAGGATGATTCTTAGAATTTATCATAGACAGCTGAGTAGATGGAATGTCAACAATTGAAACAGGGAGTACCAAAAGAGGATAAAGATTGAATGGGAAAGATAATGAAGGCAAGTTAGGAAATCCTAAGGTCCTCATGGATTTTACCAGGGCAGGACAACCAACTGCCTGGTCTTAGAAGGCAAAGAGCTTTTAAGGAAAAAAAAAAAAATGGCACCAGAGGCCTTCAGATAATCTGGCTAAGTTTAGTGATATGGAAACAAAATATTAGAGAAGGTGGAAGAGAATGATTTAATGGTGTCAAGTACAACAAAAAGAGGGAGGAAAACAATTTCAGAGAGAGGGAACAATGTGAATAGAAGCCTGAAGGACAGAATGGGGTTCTGTGGCTAATACTAGGGAAAGATAAAAGGAATAATGTAAAATGAAACTAAAGATGAAAGCATAACTATAATGAAGGGCCTGTAATACTCTGATCTTTGCTTGAGGACAATAGGTGGCCACTGAATACCTACAGACAGCAGTGTGATATAATCACAATTGGTCATTAGGAAGACATTTTTAAAAACATGAACAATAGATTAGAGTGTAACAAGCCTGGAATCGTAATGAGCATTTAGAAGGCTATTCTAAGAATCCAGGGTAGGAAATGATAGCAGCCAGACAAATTTGTGGCCCTGGGATAGTTAAGCAGAAAGATCCAAGACATCTTTTAGAAGGCTGGGGATATACAGGTGATAAAAATGAAACCCAGTTGGGACCAAGCATCTGAGTAGAAAATAGTGAACACAAGAGGAGAGGTAGGTTTGCTGGGGAAGAAAAACAGTTCCAGTTTAGATGGATTGAAAATTTCTATTTCAATTAAACATCTGATTGGAGATGTTGGCAGATGTGTATACAGATGCTCCTTAAATTATGTGGGGTTACATCTTGATAAACCTATTGTAAGCTGAAAACTTTTTTTTCATTTATTTATTTATTTTGAGATGGAGTCTTGCCTGTCACCCAGATTGGAGTGCAGTGGCGTGATCTCGGTTCACTTCAACCTCCGCTTCGGGGTTCAAGCGATTCTCCTGTCTTAGACTACCAAGTAGCTGGGATTACAGGTGCCTGCCATAACGCCCAGCTAATTTTTGGTATTTTTAGTAGAGACAGGGTTTCACCATGTTGTCCAGGCTGGTCTCGAACTCCTAACCTCAAGATATCCACCTGCCTCAGCCTCCCAAAGTGCTGGGATTGCAAGCATGAGCTACTGCGCCTGGCCAGAAAACTTTAGACTTACAATATTTTCAATTTATAATAGGTTTATCTGGACCAACTCCACTGGAGGTTGAGGAACATACTCAATGTTTATTGTTTTCATGCCATCATAAAGTTGAAAAGTTTTGAGTTGAACCACCATGAGTGGAGACTCTGTATAGATTTTGGTTTCAGGACAGAGAACTGTATTGGCAACATAGATATGGAAGCCATTTGTCTATGTATTAAATTTGGGGTCACAGGAGAAGGTGACAAACTATGGAGCATGATAAAGAAAATAAAGCAGCCCAGGAAAGAACTTGAGGGGCACAAATATCAAGAGCAGAAGAGAAAGAGTCTGAAAAAATAACTGTGAAGGAATGACTATTAATAAATGAGGAAGATACCGTCCTGGCTAACACAGTGAAACTCTGTCTCTTTTAAAAAATACAAAAAATTAGCCGGGCGTGGTGGCAGGCATCTGTAGTTCCAGCTACTCAGGAGGCTGAAGCAAGAGAATAGCATGAACCCGGGAGGCAGAGCTTGCAGTGAGCCGAGATTGCGCCACTGCACTCCAGCCTGGGCAACAGAGGGAGACTCCATCTCAAAACAAAACAAAACAAAACAAAATTTAAAAATAAAATAAAATAAAATAAAATAATAATAAATGAGGAAAACCTTGATAGATCATATTACAGTGATATTGACAAATAAACATTTCTGGAAGAAAGTAGCTCGATAATTAACAGAATAAAATAATTTTTAAAAGTCAAGCAAGTTGAGCACAAAAAGTATTCACTGGCTCTAGAAACAAGGTCACCAATGACCTTGAGAAGAGAACTAGTGAAGTGGTAGGATTGTTTTAGATAGTGACCCCTCTTGAATGAGACATCCATACCTAGGAAGAAGTATAATTTTGACTAGATTTTAAAAGATGAAAAATAAAGAGACCTAAAAGAATGGGCATATAAGATCAAAGGATACCAAAGAAAAGAAGCACTGTGAGAAAATCTAAGTAATTTTACAAAAATGATGGGAGGTGAATTATTATATTCTTATGTTGTTCTTGTGGATACTTGTCTTATGAACATTAATGCCCATTTCCTCATACTTTTAGCCCTTCATTGTTTCTACGTGGAAGGCACCTCCTATTTTACTCAGCTCATCTGAGTCTTAATCTTAGTCAAGATGCAACAGATGTTCTATAAAATTCCTTCAATAATAATAGTGAACACTTGTATTTGCTCAAGATATGCCAGCAAAGTTCTATGTGCTTTATACGCAGTAGCTAATTTAACCCTTAAAAACATACAGGGTAGATACCATTATTAGAATAAATGTGAAAACTGAGACATGGAGAATTCAGTAGCCTGGCAAGTGTTAGAGATGGCATCAAACCCTGAGGGTTTTTGGCTTGAGACTGTGTTGTTAACCACCAGAAATACTGTGTCTCTCTAGAAATCATTTTTAGTATGATTTATTTATCAGTTAGCAATTCTAGCTGGGATTGTTTTTAGCTATGTACATATACATGCATGCATGTATGTATTATGTGTTTTCTCTAATCATTTAATTGTGAGGTCCTTAAAGAAAGAATATTTATCAACATTTGCTGATTTTTGACAATCCAGCTTCCAGTGGTTTTTCTTCTTGTAAAGTACCCAGTATTTCATTTAGAAAAATGCCCTATCTCATTTCTTTTTTTTATTCTGTATATATTTTTATTATACTTTAAGTTCTAGGGTACATGTGCACAACGTGCAGGTTTGTTACGTATGTATACATGTGCCATGTTGGTCTGCTGCACCCATTAATTTGTCATTTACATTAGGTATATCTCCTAATGCTATCCCTCCCCCCCTCCCCCACCCCACAACAGGCCCCAGCGTGTGATGTTCCCCTTCCTGTGTCCAAGTATTCTCATTGTTCAATTTCCATCTATGAGTGAGACCATGCGGTGTTTGGTTTTTTTGTCCTTGTTATAGTTTGCTGAGAATAATGGTTTCCAGCTTCATCCACGTCCCTACAAAGGCCAAAATTCAGAAATGGGATCTAATTAAACTAAAGAGCTTCTGCACAGCAAAAGAAACTACCATCAGAGTGAACAGGCAACCTACAGAATGGGAGAAAATTTTTGCAATCTACTCATCTGACAAAGGGCTAATATCCAGAATCTACAAAGAACTCAAACAAATTTACAGGAAAAAAACAAACAACCCCATCAACAAGTGGGCGAAGGATATGAACAGACACTTCTCAAAAGAAGACATATATGCAGCCAATAGACACATGAAAAAATGCTCATCATCACTGGCCATCAGAGAAATGCAAATCAAAACCACAATGAGATACTATCTCATCTCTTTCATACATTTCCACTCCTGTACTAGATGACCCAGGCCATGTCAGTCAGCACACCAAAATCTCCTGGACACTGATGGATTTAGTAGACTCCAACTAAATTCAGAGTGAATCCTTGAACTTGTGGGAGAAACAGAAATACTGTCTTTTTTATTGGACCTAAACCTTGAAGAATATGACCTTGAACTTCTCAAATGAGCTGTATGGAGCTTAAGAACAAAAGACAGAGAAGGCTGATCTAAAAGAAGCAAGAA
Source organism: Homo sapiens (assembly GCF_000001405.40). Classification (NCBI taxonomy): domain Eukaryota; kingdom Metazoa; phylum Chordata; class Mammalia; order Primates; family Hominidae; genus Homo; species Homo sapiens. The sequence goes on from NC_000006.12 coordinate 50,415,666, forward strand.
ATTAAAAGAAAACGAGGAAGTGAGAAGAGAAAAGAGAGAAGAGGAGAAAAACACAGAAAGAGAGATAGAAAAGATAGGAGAAGAGATAGAAACATAGAAATCGGAAAAGGAAAAAAATTATTTTGAGAAAATTCTTTTAATTGATCTAGTAGCTTTCATATAGATTGTCATATTTAATGTTTTCATAAAATTCCTGTGCAAATACATGGCATGACTAAGACTCAGTCAGCTCTAATTCTAGATATTTGCTTATTTACAACTTTTTGCAGTTTCTTATAAGGTATGAAAAACAGAAAAAGTGTTTTTTTTATATAGAGTGTGCAATATGAATTTGGTTGATATTGATGATAATCATGTGGATGTGTTATAAAAGACATAGTTGTTTTAAACATAATGTGAAATTTTATTCTGAAAATAAAATATCTAGTTTAATATACTGAAAATATCATGATTAATGTTTAGAACTCTCAGAAAACACTAAATATTTGTTTACTTTTAAATAGTACAGGGGTTCTTGTGTTAGAAATTGTTACAAAAGGTCGGGCACGGTGGCTCACCCCTGTAATCCCAGCACTTTGGGAGGCCGAGGTGGGCAGATCACAAAGTCAGGAGATCGAGACCATCTTGGCTAACATGGTGAAACCCCGTCTCTACTAAAAATACTAAAAATACAAAAAATTAGCCAGGTGCGGTGGAGGGCACCCGTAGTCCCAGCTACTCCGGAGGCTGAGGCAGGAGAATGGCGTGAACCCAGGAGGCGGAGCTTGCAGTGAGCCGAGATAGCACCACTGCAGTCTGGCCTGGGCGAAAAAGCGAGACTCCATTTCAAAAAAATGAATAAGTAAAAATAAATAAATAAATAAATAAATAAGAAATTGTTACAGAAAATTATATGTTTTAACAATAAACCAAGGTCTTAATCTGTTTTTAAAAGAGACATTTAAGAGTTTTTGTTTGCTCATGGGGTAATTACAGAATATATAGACATAATGACAAAATTAATTATTTATACCATTATACCCTGGTTCCCCTCAACCTCCACTTCCCTGCCAAAATTAATCGGCTGTGTTTTGCTCTCTCCTTATTGCCATAAAGAGCAAGGGGTCACCCGAGTTCTTTTCTTTCAAATTCCATTGCTTTCAGGAGAATTTCTAAATTCTTCACTCTTTAAACTAGGTTTGACCATGTAAGTTACGAGATCATTGAAAATATCTCAATGTCAATTGAAGTAAACCATCATAAATTGAGCCTTAATTATGTACCAAGAAGAGTGCTAGAACCTAGAACTAAGAAACTAATTCAAACACAGTCCCAGCCAGGCGCAGTGGCTCACGGCTATAATCCCAGCACTTTTGGAGGCTGAGGCAGGTGGGTTAACTGAGGTCGGAAGTTCAAGACCAGCCTGGCCAACATGGTGAAACCCCATCTCTACTAAAAATATGAAAATCAGCTAGGTGTGGTGGGGTATGCCTGTAATCCCAGCTACTCGGGAGGCTGAGGCTCGAGAATCACCTTAACCTAGGAGGCAGAGGTTTCAGTGAGCTGAGATCATGCCATTGCACTATAGCTTGGGTGACAGAGTGAGATTCCATCTCAAAAAAAAAAAAAAGAGAAAGAAAAAAGAAAAAAAACATAGTCCCTAAATGCAAAAAGCTTGCATTCTAGTATACAACAGAGACATGCAAACCAAAATTTACAAAATAGGGCAAATAGAAATATAAACAGAAGAATCCAGGGGATGGTCAACTTTTTAAAGCAGAAATAGGGAAGGATAGATAGCTTTGAGCTGATCTTTAGACTGAGGAGTTCACTAAGATGAGGGTATTCCTAGCAATGGAAAGAGTATGTATGAAGGCCTAACATCATGAAATAACATGGTTTATTTTGAGTTATAAGCAGGTTGCTATTACCACAATATGATGCACATTGATAAACTAGCTGGGGATAACCTTGGAGAGGAAGTCAGGGTTTCTGCCAGGAAAAATTCTTATGTAGTATTTTGAATATTTACTCTTAGGGAATAGATATATTACACTAACAGTGGATTCCAAAAATATATATAAGGCTACCCTTTTCAGTATTGATTATTTTATTGAAAAATTGGAAACATCCAACCTATTCTTTGAGATGACATTGGTTAAAATTTACAGTTAATCAGTGTAGGGCAACAGTAACTAATCATTTCATAAATCAAACATAGAAAGATGTACGTGATAATGTGATTGGTTAAAAAAGAAAAGGAGAGAATTTTTAGCACATAATGTATTAAATCCCAGTTCTAATTCCAGTATTGCTTTAGTTAGTATTATTTTTTAAGATGATGTTGTGGTGATGTTTTTTACTCTTTCCTGCAATTTCCTAACTTTTTAAAACATGAACAATCACTATTTTTATGAAGAGGTAAAAATAATAAAGCCATTGCCATTTTAACTTTTGTAAAACATTCGAAAGCTCAATTCTGCTCTCAAGTGCTTTGATCTAGCGTTGCAGAAAGATAAATAATATGTTTATGAAAAGATGATGCTACAAAGTATTAAGAAGTAAATGAGTGGTATCAAACATATGCTCATTTGATGTCACCATCAGTATCTAGTCACCAAAGCCAGAAATATCTGAGAATTTGTATTAGCGTGTTTTCACATTGCTATAAAAAGTTACCTAAGACTAGGTAATTTATAAAGAGAGGAAGTTTAATTGACTCACAGTTCCACATGGCTGGAGAGGCCTCAGGAAACTTAACAATCATGGTGGAAGGGGAAGAGGTACATCTTACATGGTGGCAGGTGACAGAGAGCAGTGCATGAAGGGAGAGGAGCCCCACACTTATCAAACAACCAGATCTCATGAGAATTCAGTCACTATCACAAGAACAGTATGGGGGAAACCACCCCTACCATACAATCATCTCCCACCAGGCTTTGCCCTAAACGTGATATGGGGATTATGAGGATTACAATTCGAGATGAGATTTGGGTGGGGACACAGAGCCAAACCATATCAGAATTATTCCTGATTTTTTTCCTGAGTCACTATTCTTTCTACATTAAACCATCTACTAATTCCAGACAATTATATTTACAAAATATTTATCATAGTCTTCTCTTTCTCTTTATCTCCATTACACTGTTTTAGCTTAAGCTTTAACTATCTCATCACTGAGATCATTTCTAACTAGTCTCCTTTTCAACAATCTGGTTCTGATAAAATGTATCCCTTACATGGTTGCTAAAATGGAGAGCATAAAACACTTACCTGACCATTTTACTTATAATTTTAAAGCCCTTTTGGGCCAAGTTCTTCATAGCATAGAGACAGGGTTGTCAGCACAAGATATAAGACACTTCATGCCTTGGTCTCTGATTTTTTTCTTAACTCCACTCACTAATCTATGTCTTATACTTCATGTGTCAAGATCCTTTCTGCTGATAACTTGCAAACACACAAGCTATTTCTTACATCGATGCCTTTTATATATACTTGGACCTCATTTCTAGAGTTTTCTGCTCCCATCTCCATCTAGCCTAGTCATCATTCAAGTCTCAGTTTAATTACCATTTCTTCCTAATCCTAAACCCATACCTAGCCTAATTCAAGTTAGGCTTGGTACCCCTTCTTGCTGTTTTTATTAAAATATCCTGTTCACAGTTCTATTACTACAGTAACATATTATTTCTAATTGTCTATTTATATATCTGCTTTATCTTACTAAATTAATCTTTTTGAGAAAAGGTACTGTGTGTTAATTCACTTTGTATTTGAGCACCTAGCACAAAGCCTGTAAGTGCTCAAGTAAGTATATGGGAAACAAATTAGAAGGGCTCATAGTAGCTTTGGCAGGTAGTAAACTGTTTACTCGGAAAGTGAGACTTCAATCATTCCTAAGGATTGGCAAAGAGGCAGACAAGCAAAATACGGTAATTCCAAATAAAATGGGTGGAGTGAAATTTTTGCTAAAGTTTCCAGGTTGGCACGTGCAAACATGTTCGGAGGAATCTCAGTGCAACTGGAGTTGAAAAGTTTCTTTAGATGAAAAAGCTAGCTTGGAGTCCTATAGTTTCTCTAAGAAGTAACACTGCTTAAGAGAGTAAGGGAGCATTAAATAATTTTGAGTCTCTAGTGGCCATGATTTAAAAAAAAGTAAAATTTTTCGTATCTTGAAAGTCCCAATATAGAGAGTAGAGAAAATAAAATAATATCATCAGAAGGTTTTCGAAGTAGTTTAGCACTGATTATGGTAATAAGAATAGGAAGAAAATATATATGATATTAAAAAACAATTTTCACTGGTTGGTTGAATCAAAAGTTCTGGTAAAAGAAAGCATAAAGGATGATTTGGAATGTTCAAACTCAGAGTGAAAATAATGCTCCTGTTATAAATAATAAGAACTTCTAAAAGTAAACCAGTATTAGGTAGTCGATAGAGAGGTTTGGTTTCTCCTATGTTGAGATTAATATGACTGTGAGATGTCTGAGTGGAAATACGAAGCAAGTTACTGAAAATGTAGAACTAAATCTGTAAGAGCAGGGCAGAGCTAATGATACTAAGTTTAAAAATTATATCCATAAAAGCAAAATAAAGTATAAGTTAACACCCACTAAGATGGCTACAAACAAAAAGAGAAAACCAAGTATTGGCAAGCATGTGGGAAAATCTGGATCCCTCCTACATTCCTGGTGGGAATGTAAAATGGTATGGCCAATCTGGAAAACAGTTTGGAAGTTATTTGCAAAGTTAAACTTGAATTTACCATGTTATCTGGCAATTGTACACTTAGAAAGCTACCCAAGAAAAATGAAAATGTGTCCACCCAAAGACTTGACTATTCATAGTAGCATTATTCATAATAAACCAAAATTAGAAAATCAAGATATCCATTAACTAATTAATGGATAAACCAACTATGGTATACTTACATAATGAAATATTATTCAACAAGAAAAAGCAGTAAACTGTCCATACATGGATGAACTTCAAAAGCATGGTAAGTAAATGAAGCAGAACACAAAAGACTGATTCCACTTATATGTCCTTTATATTATATGTCCATTGTCTGATACCATTTATATTATATGTCCAAAAAAAGGTAAATTTACAGAAGCCAAAAACAGGGTATTTGTTGCCTTGAATAGTGCGTGGGAGCAGGAATTAACTACCAATGGGCATGGAAGAACTATTAGGGGTCATGGAAGTAACCCTTGAAACTGCACGTGGTAACATTTGCACAATTCTATAAATTTACCAAAAACCATTAAATTGTACATTTGCAATGACTGAATATTATGGTATGTAAATTCTATTTCAGTGAAGCTGTTAAAAATCATATTTTGGAAATGGCAGTTGAAGTCTAGGAAGTTGTTGTAGCCTCAAAAAACAGGAGAAAATAATTGAGAGCCAATAACTAACTTTTGAGGATATTTTTAGTTTTATTCTTGAGGACTGATACGGATAGGCTGTGCCCTCACCCAAATCTCAACTTGAATTGTATCTCCCAGAATTCCCACGTGTTGTGGCAGGGACCCAGGGGGAAGTAATTGAATCATGGGGGCTGGTCTTTCCCGTGATAGTCTCCTGACAGTGAATAAGTCTCACGAGAATGTGATGGGTTTATCACGGGTTTCTGCTTTTGCTTCTTCCCCATTTTCTCTTGCTGCTGCCATGTAAGAAGTGTCTTTCGCCTCCCGCCATGATTCTGAGGCCTCCCCAACCATGTGGAACTGTAAGTCCAGTTAAACCTCTTTTTCTTCCCAGTCTCGGGTATGTCTTTGTCAGCAGCTTTAAAACAGAGTAATACAGCCAGGCGCGGTGGCTCACGTCTGTAATCCCAGCACTTTGGGAGGCCGAAGCCGGTGGATTACAAGGTCAGGAGAATAGAGACCATCCTGGCTAACAAGGTGAAACCCCGTCTCTACTAAAAATACAAAAAATGAGCTGGGCGTGGTGGCGGGCTCCTTAGTCCCAGCTGCTCCGAAAGCTGAGGCATGAGAATGGCGTGAACCCGGGAGGCGGAGCTTGCAGTGAGCCGAGATCGCGCCACTGCACTCCAGCCTGGGCGACAGAGCGGAAAAAACAACAACAACAAAAACAACAACAAAAAAAACAGAGTAATACATGGACCAAAGATGAGAAGAGGATGAACTAATTATGAAACCAAAGAGTAGGCTGAGAAGTCAGAAAACAAAGAAAAAAACTATGAAGTTAAAAATACATATATATAGAACAAGATATTTTAAGAATAATGTTCTGGCCAGGCACTGTGGCTCATGCCTATAATCCCAGCGCTTTGGTAGGCTGAGGTAGGCGGATCACTTGAGGTCGGGAGTTTGAGAACAACCTGGCCAACATGGTGAAACCTCATCTGAAACCTCATCTCTACTAAAAATATAAAAATTAGCTGGGTGTTGTGGCGCACTTCTGTAATCCCAGCTACTTGGGAGGCTAAGGCAGGAAAATCACTTGAACCCCGGAGGCAGAGGTTGCAGGGAGCCAAGATTGTGCCACCACACTCCAGCTTGGGCGACAGAGTGAGACTCCATCAAAAAAAAAAAAGTATAATAATGTTCTGTCCAACAACACTAAGTAATTCAGAAGAATCGAGTAACATGGGAACTTAGGAAAACACATAGGCTTTGGCAATTAGAATGTAAGTGATGAATTTCAACTTAAGAAGCTAGAAAAATAAAGATAAAAGCAAAAGAAAATGAAAAAGGAAAAATGTAGAGTGATAAATTCAGAAGCTAGTTCTCAGAAAAAAAGCAACATATATTTTTTAAAAACTAAATATATCAAATTTATAGCCAAAGGGAAAAAGGAAAACAATGCAACCATATACCCGAGAAATGATAAAGTATCCCCAATTATTCTAATAAAATATAAAATTACTATTCTAAAAAGTGTAAAATCTCAAAGATACAACAGTTAATTTTCCAAAAAAAATACAAATTTTCAAAGTTGACTCCAGACCTGTAACAAAGTCATAAATAGACAATTATCATATAAAATGGGGAAGCCATTTTTAATTGCCTCTAAGAACATTATGGGCCATGGCCATTCCTCTAGAATATTTTACCAACCCACCGTTACCTCACACTAAGATACTGTGTGATTTTGAGCCATTTACTTAACTTCTTCAAGCCTCAATTTACTCATTTTTAAAATGAAGATACTTAATTTAGAGGCAAGGTGGTAGGATCAGTAGGTCAACTTGTGGGTTTTATTCATAGTTAACAATGAATAAAAATAAATTTCCATCATTTTATTATCATTTCTGTACTTAATTAGTGCATAGAGTATTGATCTAGAATATACTATCTGGCTTCAAAATATGCTACAAAGCTATAGCAGACAAAACAGCATGACACTGGAATAAAAATAGACATATAGACTGGGCCAGGTGCAGTGATTCCTGCCTGTAATCCCAGCACTTTGGGAGGTTGGGGTGGGCAGATCACGAGGTCAGGAGATCGAGACCATCCCAGCTAACACGGTGAAACACTGTCGCTACTAAAAATATAAAAAATTAGCTGGGTGTGGTAGTGCACACCTGTCTTCCCAGCTACTCAGGAGGCTAATGCAGGAAAATCGCTTGAACCTGGGAGGTGGAGGTTGCAGTGAGCCCAGACCACCCACTGCACTCCAGCCTGGGTGACAGATTGAGACTCCATCTAAAAAAAAAAAAAAAAAAAAGACCCATAGACCATAAGAACACAACAGAGAGCCCAGAAATAAGTCCACACATTTACAGCAAAGTGATTTTCTTTTTTTTTTTTAACTATTTTTTATTTAACTTTAAGTTCCAGGACACGTGTGCAGAACAAGCAGGTTTGTTATATAGGCAAACGTGCACCATGGTGGTTTGCTGCACATATCAAACCATCACGTAGGTATTAAGCCCCACAGGCATTAACTATTTGTCCTGATGCTCTCCCTCCCCTCGCGAGCACTTCCCCCTGACAAACAGGCCCTGGTGTGTATTGTTCCCCTCCCTGTGTCCATGTGTTCTCATTGTTCAGCGCCCACTTATGAGTGAAAACATGTGGTGTTTGGTTTTCTGTTCCTGTGTTAGTTTGCTGAGGATGATAGCTTCCAGCTTCATCCATGTCCCTACAAAGGACATGATCTTATTTCTTTTTATGACTGATTGTCAACAACGATGCCAAGAACACACAATGAGGAAAGGACAGTCTCTTTAATAAATGGTGCAGGAAAAAATTGTATATCCATATGTAAAAGAATAAAATTAGGTATCTATATCTCACCATATGCAAAAATAGACTAAAGACTTAAATGTAAGACCTGAAACTATGAAACTACTAAAATAAAATATTGGGGAAATGCTTCAAGAATTTGTCTAAACAGTCTTCTTGAGTAAGATCTCAAAAGCACAGACAGCAAAAACAAAAATAGACAAATAGGATTACATCAAGCTAAAATGTTTCTGCACAGCAAAGGAAACAATCAATATGTTAAAAAAAAACCCACAGAATGGAAAAAATGCTTGCAACCTACCCATTCTATAAGGGGTTAATAACCGGAATACAACTCAACAGCAATAAAAAATAATAGTAATAACCTAATAAATATATGGGCAAATAGCACTATTCACAATTGCAAAGACATCGAATTAACCCAAATGCCCAAAAATGATAGACCGGATAAAGAAAATGTAATACATATACACCACGGAATACTATGCTGCCATAAAAAGGAACGAGATCATGTCCTTTGTAGGGATATGGATAGAGCTGGAAGCCATTATCCTTAGCAAACTAACAAAGGAACAGTAACCCAAACACCCCATGTTCTCACTTATAAGTGGGAGCCAAACAATGAGAACACATGGACACAAGGAGGGGAACAACACACACTGGGGCATGTTGGGGTGCCTGGGGTAGGGAGAGCATCAGGATAAACAGCTAATGCAAACAGGGCTTAATACCTAGGTGATGGGTTGATAGGTGCAGCAAATTACCATGGCACACATTTACCTATGTAACAAACCTCTATATCCTGCACATGTATCCGAGAACTTAAAATTAAATTATTTTTTTCAAAAAGCATTATTCATATCTCCACTATCTCACTTTGACTATGTGCAAAAAATGCAAGGACTTATTTTGTATACTATTACAATTTCCCCACATAAATAAGCTTTTTAAAATAATAATAAAATAAAATATGAGCAAAGGATCAGAATAGATGTTTCTCAGAAGAAGATATAGAAATGGACAGCAGGTATAAGAATAAATGCTGAACATCAATAATCATCCCAGAAATGCAAATTAAAACTACAATGAGATATTATTTCTTGTCAGTTAAAATGGCTATTATCTTAAAAAAATCACAATAATAATAACAGATATTGGCAAGGATGCAGAGAAAGGAGAATGCTCATACACTACTGGTGAGAATATAAATTAGTATAGCCACTATGGAAAAGAGCATAGTGATGTCTCAAAAAACTGAAGCTAGAAGTACCATATGCTCTAGCAATCTTGCTGCTGGGTATTTATCCAAAAGAAAGAAAATCAGTGTATCAAAGAGATACTGCATTCTCATGTTTATTAAGCCTTGTCTACAATAGCAAAGATATGGAATCAACTTAAGTGCCCATCAACAGTTGAATAGATAAAGAAAATGTGGTATATACACACAATGGAATATTATTAAGCCATAAAAAAGAATGAACTTTTGTCCATTTGCAGGTACATAGACGGAATTGGAGAACATTATTTTAAGTGAAATGAGCCAGTCACAGAAATAAAAATATTACATGTTTTTACCCAAATATGTGAGCTAAAAAGTTGATCTCAGGGAGGTAGACAGTAGAATGGCTATTACAAAAGGCTAGAAAGGGTAGGCGGGTGGGTAAAAAGAGAGGTTGGCTAATGGATACAAAAACACAATTAGAAAGAATAAGTATTAGTGTTCAATAGCGTAGCAGGGTGACTATAGCTAACAACAGTTTATTATATATTTCAAATTGGCTGGAAGAAGATTTGGGATGTTTCTAGCAAAAGTAAATGATAAATGTTTGAGGTGATGACTATCCCAATTATTTTGACTTGATCACTTTACATTGTACATATGTATCAAATTATCACATATACCCAAGAAATATGTACAATTATTATGTATCAATAAAAATAATTAACACAAGAAGAAATGGTAATTAGATTAAATCATATTTTTCACATTCCAAATTTCTCCTGATAGTCACTATGCAAACCTTGGCATCTGTTCTTGTTCATTTAGAATAAAACAAAAATATTAAGTACATGTGAGCTTTATGATAAAGTTGTTCCTGAAAACTTTCTTAAAAAATAATTGTTATGAACTTTATACTTCAATCTGTCATGTATGTTAAAGAACCTTGCTGTCTGAATAAATCTGAGCACAAGCTACAGCCTGATGGGTAAAGAGTCATCAGGTTTGCCAATCAATTACTCTTAAACATTTCAGGGAAAATTGTGTTTGTGTGTGTCTGTGTGTGGGTAGATAAGAAAATAGAAAATGATATAACAAATATGATAAAATGTTTACAGTAGGGAATCTTAATTAAAGCATATACAAGAATTCTTTGCAACTTTTCTGCAAATCTAAAAAATAAATTAGCCCCTATGTACCTATTACATAAAACTAGATTTTTTATATATTGCCTTTCTCTCAAAAATGTGTGGTACAATTATCTTAAGTATCAAAAAAAGTCAGACACAGAAGTATTCTGAATTTAGAGTTAAGCCCAGTATTGGCTAAACTATTGGGGTTTTATTGCCAAAGACCAGAAGTTCTGGGGAAATAATTAGCCTTGCACCCTCACATGTGAGTCCTTGCAGAAACCCTAGAGGCCATCTGTGAGTCAGATGCTCTCTGGGTCTAATTCCCTATGGTAGAATAGAAGCTTCAGAGAGTGGTCCAAAGAAAAATCTTTGTGTGTCTCCATACATCCTAAAATGTCCACAGTATGTTTGCTTTTTAGAATCTCAAATGGGAAATTCAAAACAGCTGGAGATTAAGTCTGACAAGAGGGCCACAATCTTGATGCTTTTTCTTTCTTTTCTCTTGCTTTCTTTAGCTTAAGTGTAGTCTAAATCCCACCACTCCATTGTATTAATGTTTATACTATTTTCATTGTTTTTAATGCATCAATTTATCTTTTTTCCCCTTTCCTCAAAATGAAGCTAAGTTTGAAAATCAAACCAGAATCAATAAAGATGTCAATGCTATCAAATACAGAAGGGAAGAGAGGGGAAGAAGATAAAATTTGATAACACTTATAAATAGCAAGGAGTGGGAAAATAGCAGAGAAATAAGAAAGAGAGATAAATTATGTCTGTCTTATCACATCCTTTCATCTTCCATATGTTGTATATCACCTCTAGCAATTTACTACACACCAGCTCCAAGACAGTGGGAAGCAAAGGATTTCCTTAGATACCGCAGCTCTGCACTGGTTCTCACCTCTCTTTTGTGGGCCTACATTTAGAAAAACAGAAACACTCACAGCAATCAAAAGTTCACATTGGACTGCTTGTTCCTCCTCCAGGACTCATTTCAAGGCAGATTTTTTTTTTTTTTTTTTTTTTTTTTTTTTTGCCTATGGAAGTGTTTTAGCATTAATTTTATCATGGTTTCTTTCACACTCCCTTACTAAGGTACTAAAAAAGGGAATTCACAGAAATACATGGGGTGCCATTGGCGACATTTGCACAAGTGTTAAAAGAAATGAATATGATAATGGATTTCAGACAAAGTTCTTCAACTTACTTAGTTCACTGGGTGTTACAGATTAGTCATAGTCCAAGTATGTCAAATAAAAATATTCTAATTTTTGGCTGGGTGCGGTGGCTCACGCCTGTAATCCCAACACTTTGGAAAGCCTAGGCAGGCAGATCACCTGAGGTCAGGAGTTCAATACCAGCCTGACTAACATGGCAAAGTCCTGTCTCTACTAAAAATACAAAATTAGCTGGGCGTAGTGGCAGGTGCCTGTAATACCAGCTACTCAAGAGGCTGAGGCAGGAGAATCACTTGAACCTGGGAGGTGGAGGTTGCAGTGAGCAGAGATCATGCCATTGCACTCCAGCCTGGATGATAGGAGCAAAACTCCGTCTCAAAAAAAAAAAAATTCTAATTCCCAAATTAGACCATTACATTGACACTGCATCCATGAACCCCCTTTATTTTTTCCATGTACAACTCTATCCCCAACCCTTATCCCCCAATACCTTTTTAACTGTGGCTCCTTAAGATGTATATGTGTAGGCCGGGCACAGTGGCTCACACCTGTAATCCCAGCACTTTGGGAGGCTGAGGTGGGTGGATCACCTGAGGTCAGGAGTTCAAGACCAGCCTGCCCAACATGACGAAACCCCCTATTTACTAAAAATACACAAAATTAGCCGGGTGTAGTGGGGGGCACCTGTAATCACAGCTACTCAGTAGGCTGAGGCAGGAGAATCCCTTGAAACCAGGAGGCGGAGGTTGCAGTGAGCCGAGATCACACCACTGCATGCCAGCCTGGGCGACAAGAGCAAAACTCTGTCTCAAAAAAAAAAAAAAAAAAAAAAAAAAGATGTGTACGTGTTGTATTTAATTTAATATCGTTGAATACAGTTTTCATTAATTATAAATTTTATAGCATAAAAGTGCTGACCAGGACATACTAGTCCTGCACATGTGGATTAAGCTGTTTGGCCAGACGTGTGTCCCTCTAAAAATGTATGTTCTCAATTCTGGAGAGTAAGTCTGAGGCATGCTTGCCATATAATTGACAATTTGTAGTGAGTCTGAGGGATTCAATCACAAAGAACATTATGAGTCAAGGACAACAGAAAATATGTTAAAAACAAAATGAACTGCTGTAATTAAGGCTTTAAAAAAATCAAGATCAGTGAATACTTCTCAGGCAGGATAAGTTTATTAGTCAACTCACAATGCCATAACAAAATATCATAGACTGTGTAGATTAAACTACAGAAATTTATTTTCTCACAGCTCTGGAGACTAGAAGCCCAAGATTAAAGATCCAATATGGTAAGATTGTGGTGAGGGCTCTCTGTGTGAGAGAGCCACCTTCTCCCTGTGTGCTTACATGATGGGGTGTGAATAAGTGAGAGAGAGCAAAAGCTCTCAGGTATTTCTTCTTATATAGACAATAATCCCATCAAGATGGCCCAACTTTCAGGACCTCATTTAAACTAATTTTCTCCTAAATATTCCATCTCCAAATACCAGCACATTGGAGGTGAAGTCTTAAACATATAAATTCCAGGGAAGACACAATTCAGTCCATAGCAAGAAATTGGAATTAACTGTGTTTGGCTGGCACATTACACTGCTGAATTATTTTGAACACAGTGGAATCTGGAAAACCCAAGTCTTTTCCCATTTTGCTGCTGTTACACCTCTCCCTCTCATCCTTTATTTGGGCAGTTGGCTGGGTGTTACTACTATAGATCACTAGAATAATCAACATTCACTTTTATCTTTTTGTATCTTACCAGTTAGTCCAGGATTTTCATACCATTGAAATCCTGGATGGGTGAATTCTTCTAGCTTTTTATTATATTCAAATTGAATAAAGCTGGCTTTTCATATGTTCATCTGTGTCAATAACTAGAATAACAAATAGAAAAGGGAAGAGGGAAGTCCCTCCCCATGGACCTTTTATTGTATATTATAAAACCCCATTATTGATGTCTTTGGGGTTCTCTCATTTAATAAGCCATGAGTCTAACAAGCTGTAACAATATACATTTTATATTTTATCTTGTCCAGAAGAAAATCGCCAAGTATCTTGTAAACTGCCTCCAAAATTCCAAGTACACTATATTTCATTTTTTCAACCTCTCATTTCAGTAACCCTAACAAAAACTTGAAAAGAGATAGACTGACACATTTTTCCTCAGTAAATTCATGCTGATTCCTTTCGATAGGTACTTTTTCTTTCTAACTCTGTGACTATTTCCTAATCAAACTCTAGTCTACAATGGCATTTAGTTTACTTGGAATATCTACAACATTTAGATTTTAGTGAAGGGTCCTGTGATGGAAATGTTGCTTATATATTCTTTTTCTATTCTAGATTTAATTTATTTAAATATTTCCATAACAAAATTTTGCATAATGTTGTAGAATTCACTCATTACATAAACAGTTTTAAGGATTTCTCTTCTCTTACTAACACTGGAATGAGCACATGAGAAGCTCTCCAAAGTGCTTATTAAAAGAACAAGTAAACAGCATTCTCTTATGAAGCAGCCTTAGGGGGGCCAGTTCATAGTTATTGAAGAAACAACAAGTGAAGACATTTTGAATAACAGTTATAGGTATTCAGGGAGGCTATAGTATTTTCATTCTTTTACCTTTTTTAAAATTTCTTTTCCATTTAAGATTTTGTGAAAAAGCCTAATTCTGAAAATGTAGATATTTGCAAATCATTGATTCCTAGTTATAAATGCATAACCCAATTACATTCCATTCAAAAGTAATGCCAAAGGAAAAAATGCAGGATTTTAAAGTTTAAAAGTAAAATAATTATGCTCAACACACATATTCAATAAAGAAGAAACTATAAATCCAAATGGATGTATTTTTTATTTGTCTGGTCTCCATTAGATGTTACTATTGTGAATGTTGTGGAATTCACTCATTTCATAAACATTTCTAAGGACTTATCTTTATGTGAGACAATAACTTTCCTTAAAGTTACCCAGAAACTGGACGTTCTCCCTCCTGCTGGGTTTAACCTACCATTTAAATTTCCATTAAAAAGGCTTAAACTCAATTCATTAATTTCTCAGAGGATTTTTAAGTTGCTTACATTTTCTCCTAGTTACCTCTTGCTTCTTTTTTGTGTGTCAGTCAAACGTTTAGTTTTACTTCATGGTTCTCCTCTTCTACATTACTGCAAATCACATTCAACATTCTCCTAGCTATTTTCATTTCTCCAAAGTGTGGCTAACACAGGCTGTGTATCTACAGAGCCTATTTTTACTGAAGAGTTTTGGCAACTAAGTGTGATAATTACACTACATAATACAATAAAACTTTAAAATTGGTTAAAATTAGTTATTAGGTACTATTCTCTTACATTCTACTATGCATTTCCTGCCAGGAGTAATTTCTCATTGATCAAGGCCTCCTTTGACCCAAGTTTCTATGTTCTTCTGCTATGTCTTTCTATGTTATTGTCCTGTTCCAGGCAGCCTCCAACTTACTATTACAGTTATTTTCTCATGCAGAGCAGTTCACTTCTCCATCCTGTACCCCAAATACTGTTGAGGTTCATGTTTGCATACTCAGGGATTCAAGAAGATGAATTTCTAAACAAACAATTGTCAACTTTAAATTTCCCCCATTTAACAACAAGGCTCCTGAGGATTCTTTGCTTAATTTTTATATTCTAAGAAAAGTTTCCCTCAAGCTGCTGCAGCAAGAACTCATATGTTCTGAATTTTATTTTTCTTTCTCATACATCAATAAAACACCCTGATAGCATAGAATTATTCTCCAATCAATGAAACTCCACTTAATAGAGTTGACAAACTCTATTAATTGCTCAGCCCTGTTACCAATATGGTGAGACTGCACAGAGCACAGATTTAAAAGTGCAACTCTTCTGTCACTTTATATAAATCACTTGATCACTTGGTGAAGGTAGGGGCTTATGAACCCAGAGTTTGAAAATAAGCAGAAAGAAAGTAAAAGAGTCTTTTCTCCCCTTAGGGGAAGAAAATCCACCAGCTTAATCTCTAGTCAAGAAAGGAACATGATTCTCTTTTCTCTCTGTGGACCTATGTTGATACTTGGACTTAGGGTGACAATGTTTCCTGGGCCTCTAGAATTATGCCTGAGTATGAAGTTGCGCAGGCATCCATTTACATTTCTTTAGAAGACTTTTTAACTCTGTAGCTCTAACAACTGCTTTTGAGCAAAGGGAAATTAGGCAACTTTGAAGATCAAAGTCTTGCATTTTTTTGCTTCTTCCTTACTATTGCTATACTATCTGAAGCCGACACGGCCTCATGTTACAGCATGATACACCATATGTGTTTAAAGGTGGGGAACAAAATCAGCCTTAAGGAACTGACAGTAACCTTCAATATATCAATTTGTGTACCATCATTGATTTTCTCTCTCTTTTTCTTCAAGAGCCAGAAGGTGGCATCTTACTACTTATTTGTAATATTTAGATTAATTTCATTAATCTATGTTATGCTTAGATTGAGGATTTTAACTTTTTACATTAAGTATAGGATTAAGTACAGCAAATTAATCCTCTGGACAAAAATAAAAGATCCAAAGCAAAAAATATAAAAAGGTAATAAGGGACTATCCTTTCCATCATGAGATCCACAGAGCAGATCACATTAGTCTTAAAATGATTATGACCTACATATGTTTATCGAGACATTTTAGTGATCCTGAAATATTCAAATAGTAGTAAGACTATTAAAATAGGAAGTTAAGAAAAAACATAAATTATCTTTCAAATTACTCTGACTTGGGCTTAAACTTCAGAGATCTGGAAATGTGGAGAAATGCAAATACATGTGCAGAAATGCCCTCAAACAAGAAGGCCTAGGTATATTTTTTCCTCTAGCTACCCTATGATTTTGTTCATTGTGACTTCTTGATCAAAATGTTAGTGAAATTGAGAAATAGCAAATAGTAATAATAACTGAAGTATTTAGTAATACATTTATTTCCTCTTTCTATAATTTTTTGCACCTTTATATATTTACCCATTCATTGAAAAAATGTGGGGTTTTTTGTTACTACTTTGTATTAGATTCTCTGTGCTAAGCATGTTGGCTGTAAAGAACAAACCATGGTCCCTGTCCTAAAGTCACCCACAACATAGCCTGGGAGACTGTCACAAAGCGATAATCAGTTGTTTTGATTTTTAAAGGCAATGCAATGAGGGTAATGAAGGACATGTGTAAAACTATTTTAAAAGTTCAGAACAAGGCATCTCCTGAGGTACACCCTGAGAACAAGTATGAAAGTCAGGGAAGGTTGGCCAGGCGTGGTGGCTCACGCCTGTAATCCCAGCACTTTGGGAGGCTGAGGGGGGCGGATCACGAGGTCAGGAGATCGAGACCATCCTGGCTAACACGGTGAAACCCCGCCTCTACTAAAAATACAAAAAATTAGCTGGGTGCGGTGGCTGGCGCCTGTAGTCCCAGCTACTCCGGAGGCTGAGGCAAGAGAATGGCGTGAACCCAGGAGGCAGAGCTTGCAGTGAGCCGAGATAGCGCCACTGCACTCCCGCCTGGGCGAAAGAGCAAGACTCCGTCTCAAAAAAAAAAAAAAAACAGGGAAGGTTTCCTTAAAAAGGTGACCTGAATTGAATTTCCTAACGTTAACAGGAATTCAGCAAAGTGGGATGACTTAACAAGGTAGGAGTGGCATTCTAGGTAATGCACAACAGAAGATAGCATGAGGGGATGGAGCTGGCGGTGTCAGATATGGAGTTCCTTATACGTAATATTAAAGAATTAGAAATTTGCCTTCTAAGAGCTAAGACTCCTTTGAAGGGTTGTACACTAATGGGTTACACGGTCAAATTTAAGTTTTATAAAGTTCACTCCAGTGGCAGGATTGAGAATTAACTCTGGCAGGATAAGACTAGAGATAGGCAGAGAAATTAGGAACCTATTGCATAAGATGATGAAGGTTAAACCAAAGCAATGTTATAAGGACAAAGAGAAGGGTCATGTCCCAGAGCTATCTAGGTAGGAAAGTTGGCTAGATTTTGTGACACATATACCGTGATGTGGAAGAAAGATATGTTCTGTAGTGACTACCTGACTTCTTGCATGATTGCTGTATAGAAAGTGATACCATCAAATAAGACAGAAGAATACAGGAGGAAGTAAAAGTTATAAAAGGAAATGAATGTGCTCACAATTTGAAATGTTGAGATTGAAGCACCTGTGTGGCCTCCAGGTAGAGATGTCTAGTTGGCAGATGAATATAAGTCAAAAAGATAGAGGTTTAGAATAGAGACATTGACATGAGTGTCTTTAGTAAAGGTTAGAGACATGAGAATGGCCAAGATCTCTCACATAGAACATGAGGAGGCAATTAGGGGCTCTAGGAAAATCCCTAGTGAATTTTTTACCTTTAGGAGGTAGTCAGAAGAATTTCCTGGGACAGAAATTGAGAAGTTAACATCCATTTTTCAAAATTGTACAAATGATTTAAAAGGAGAGTATTGATAATCCTAATAGCCTGCATTTTCCTTTAGCAGTGGCTCACACCTGTAATCCCAGCACTTCGGTAGGCCAAGGCAGGAGGATCACTTGAGGTCAGGAGTTCAAGACTAGACTGAACACTGAGACCATATCTCTAGAAAAATATTAAAAATTAGCTGGATATGGTGGTACACAGCTGTAGTCCTAACTACCCCGGAAGCTGAGATGGGAAGATAGCTTTAACCCAGGAGTTTGAGGCTGCGCTGAGAGGTGATTGTGCCACTGCACTGTAGCCTGGGTGATAGAGTGAGATGCTCTCTTTTAAATAAATGATAATAAGGCAGTAAATATTTGGCATCAACTATTAGTCTCTCTAAAGCAAGGCATTGGGTAAGCCCTTGGCCTTGGCCAGCTGAGTGCATCTGTCTTGGATCTTTCCAATCTACCTCTATCTTTGTGGCAGCTCTTTGTTGTTTCTGCTGCTCTGCATCTGAACCCAGGATGGGCAACACCCTTTCTCATCAGCCACTTTATTAGATTAGAGCTGATGTTCACATTGGAAAGAGTTCTTATTTTTATGTCAGTCTAATTGATCTGACCTAATAGGAAGATGACTGAGGAACTTTTCAATGACAGATTTTGCATTTGCTCTTATAGTTGATAAAGATTATTGAGCTGCATAGAAAAAAAAATGGCAGTGAGGGTTGCAGATATTGAAATGCTTAGAATGTAAACCCTGCAAAATAGAACTCTCAGTTATTGCTGAATGTTTCCCTGCGTGAATTTCCCCATTTTTAATAATTTCCATCCTTAAGATTATTTTCAATGTAAATTCTAATAAAGAACGGTTAATACTCCTTTTACAAATAAAGATTTTCTCTTCAAAAATTGACACACTTTTCTTGTACACATTTCTCACTTACTGAAAAGTATTTATTGCAGAGTAGCAGTAAAGAATTGGAAAAATTGAAAGGAGGAGAACTGAGAGTTTGGCCGCAATGAAGCAAAATACAACAACAGGTTTATTACCAGATGAACAAAATTAATAAACAAGTTATTCTCTGCCTTATTAGTCAGGAATTAGTTGTATGTAAAAGACCATATTGCAAAATTCTACACACAAAGGCAAGCTGAACAGTTTTCCTTTGGAAAATCAGAAATACGTTTCTAGCACTTATTATTTTTCCACAGTTAAATCTCTGCTCGTGCCCTTGTCATTTCACATCTGGTATTCCAAAGCCCATTCTTCACCACCTGTCTTAGCCTTCCCTTCAATCTGTCCAAAATGTTATAGCTAAAATCATCTTTTAAATCTCTTCTTTAACCACATTACTATCTTCCTTAAGATTACTTTTCATTGTAATTATGATGTCTTAAATCAACATTTTCTGCGGAGACTTGGAGGATATTTTAGTAACATCTTACCCTCAAATGAAATAATTGCACCTAATAACACGTACATTTTTAAAAATCGTGAGAAATAATGATGTATTGTACAGTGTACAATTAAAACATAAAAATCAGAACACCTTTTATGCATATAGTGATCAAAAGTTTTCAAAGGTCTTTCATTTTATTCATTTTGCTACCTCCTATTGTTCATTTGATAGATTTGATTCTTATTTTAAGATGGAAAACACTGAGACACAGAGAGTTTGAGGGCATTATGTGAATCCATTCAGGGTCAAAATGAATATCAGAACTCAGTTTCCTCGACTATCAATCCAGCACTTTCTTCACTTCAGTAAAATGGTATGTGTCATGCTGCCTGGTATTCATGCCACTAAGAAAGTGTACCAAATTACTGCGTGCCTGTAGTATTGCTGGCACTGAGCTAAATAAATTAGACACATATTTTCTATGAATCTTCTCAATGACCCACTATTTTTTTTAAAAAAAAACTGAGTACTGGGATACAGATAGTATAAGAGCCAGTTACATTACTCACTATGTAAGTAATGAAGTAGCATAATGCGTTTCATAAGTAACGAGGAATAACTTAAAACTAGGTTTCTAACTCCAGCATCTGAGCTGTTTCCACCTTATTGTACTTTTCCACCTTATTGCTCTATCTCACACAGTAAGAGCTTCAAATATAGCTTAAAGTCTATCTCTGCCTATACCCAATAGACTTTTAATAAGTGGACTGACTTGTAATAGACATTTAATAAACATTTATTGATAATTGAGTTCAATAAAAATAATAGAATGACTTTTATGGGATTCTGATTAAATTTATTCTTGTACCTTAGAAAGATGGAAATAATTTAGCAGCAGGAGGGTCAATAGAAGTGAAAAATGTTTTTTCAATGTAGTTATGATGTCTTAAATCAAGATTTTCTGTGAGACCTGGAGGATATTCTAGTTACATCTTCTTACCCTCAACTGAAATAATTGGACCTAATAACAAGTACTTTTTTTTGAGACCAAGTCTCGCTCTGTCACCCAGGCTGGAGTACAGTGGCACAATTTTGGCTCACTGCAACCTCTGCCTCCCGGGTTCAAGAAATTCTCCTACCTCAGTCTCCTGAGTAACTGGGACTACAGGTGCCTGGCATGACACCCAGCTAATTTTTTATACTTTTAGTAGAGATGGGGTTTCACCATGTTGGCCCAGGCTGGTCTTGAACTCCTGACATCAACTGATCCTCCCACCTCGGCCTCCCAAAGTGCTGGGATTACGAGCATGAGTCACCAAATCCAGCCCACAAATACATTTTTTAAATTGTGAGAAATGATGATTTATTGCACTCTGCACAATTAAAACATACAAAATCAAAACACTTTTTATGTACATAGTGATCAAAATTTTTCAAAGGTCTTTCATTTTATTCATTTTGTTAGCAAAAGTTTTATTGACAAAAAAAATTTTGGAAAGATTGACCTCACCTATTACAGAAATGGTGTCCTATTCATTCTTCATTACTTTCATACACATTAAATAAATTCACGTGTAGAACAGGTTTAGATAGGATATTTATTATATGTGGATTTAAGAACTCTTATTCTTTGTAAATTCACAATTGGAAACATAAGGGTTTATTATTTCAATTCAAATTCATCTTTTTCAAGTTTAAATGAATTGGTTTTGAAACATGAATTTAGAAAGGCAAAACAACTAATCAAACAGACTCCTAAGACTTCTCACCCCTGATGAAATATATGGATGCTATTTAAAAATCAATGCAGAAAAAAAATACAGGTTTAAATTTTTTATTTAAATAAAAGTTTGCCTTTGCAATACTACATAGTGCATGATTAATTAGAAGATATGCCCATTAACAATCAATACAAACTGATTCTGGCTGATACAAGCAAATACAGTTAAGTAGAGTTTTTGAAAATATGCTGTGTAGCTCCTTGATTTGACCTACTAAGAAGACTGGGGAAGAGAAAGAATCAAACAGTGGCAACATAGCCAGAACTATAGCAAAAGTCCAACCAGGGAACCTCTGCAATGAAGAACCCTGTTGCAGCTACCATTAATTTCTCAATCCTACATCTAACTATACCCATGTTGTTGGCTACTGTATTACTCAGTTCTCACACTGCTATAAAGGAATATTCGAGACTGGGTAATTTATAAAGAAAAGAGGTTTAAGTGGCTTATGGTTCCACAAGCTGTATAGGAAGCATGCCTGGGAGGCCTCAGGAAACTTACAATTATGGAGGAAGCGGGAGCAGGCACATCTTACATGGACAGAGTAGGAAGAAGAGAGAGAAGGGGGAGGTGCTACACACTTAAACAATCAGATCTCATGAGAACCCACTCACTTTTATGAAACAACGTGAGAAAAATCCGCCCCCATGATCCAATCACCTGCCACCAGGTCCCTCTTCCAACATTGAGGATTACAATTCGACATAAGATTTGAATGGGGACACAAATTTAAACCATACCAGCTACTATTATCTGAATTTTTGTGTCCTCCTAAAATGTTTAAAGCTAATCCCCAGTATGATGGTATTAAGAGGTGAGGCCTATGGGAAGCGATTAGATTGTGAGGCCAAGGGAACTTATCTGCCTTTCTTACATACGAGGTTGCATTGAGGAGACATCTGTCTATGAAGGAAGTGGGACCTCATCTGACAGCAAACCTGCCAGCACCTTGAAGCTGCACTTCTCAGCCTGTGAGAAGTACATTTCTGCTGTTTATAAGATGCTCAGTCAGTGGTATTCTGGTGTAGCAGCCTAAACATACTCAAAAATTGGCACTGCATTCTGGGTGACACCACTTTGTACTGGCACATCCAGGAAAGAGTTTCTACTGCTCTTGGCATCATTTGCTTCTGATTTAAGGCCAAGGATGAGTAATCTGATTGGATGAGATTGCAATACACTATGCTCACAAAGGAAAGTAACTCAGATGCTTTCTGAAAGTTCTAAAGATAAATATTATCAACAAGATGATATGAATGTTTGACACTGATACAATTGTCCTTTTTTTTTTTACTTCTTATTCTCTGGTTTTGTGCAATTCTTCCATTTTCTGTCGTAAGTCTAGAAAGTACATCCTATTACAGGATTTAAAGTCACTTTCCCATCTCGTAGGACTTGAATATATATGTATTATATATGATTAGGTTCACCTACATTGAACAGCAAACCTCCAAAACAGCACTGATTTAAACAAGATGGAAGTTTTCTTGTTTATCAGAAAGGAATTTTGGAGATAGGCTTCCCAGAATGGATATCGTGGCTACATAATCATAATAAAAACAAGGGTCTCTCCTTCTATTACACCATCGAGGGTACCTCATGGCCCAAGATGGCTGCCAGAACTCCAATTATCACATCTGTTTTGTAAGCCAGCAGAGTAAAAAAGTGGAGGAGTCAAAATGATATTTGCCTCTTTTCTTTTAAGGAACTCTTTGGAAGTTACACACAAAATTTCTGCTTACATCCCATTGGCCATAAGTTAGTCACCTGGTTATACCTAGCTGCTAGAGAGTTAGGAAATATGTCTTTAACTTGGGCAGCAATGTACTTAGGCTATAAACTGGGATTCTGATGCTGATGAAGAATGAGTGAGTGGCTAATGAGGAAAGAGGGTATGCAAACTACATTGTCTCAAATAATTCCTTTTTACTGTTCTGTCAATATTCCTTATGTGTTATTTTTGTCTGACAAATAGAATTAGTTGAAGTGAGTGAGTACTGTCTCTTACATTGCACAAAATTCTTTAAAAGTAGTATTCTCTGCTACAGCATTTTCTTCTCCAGGTACTATTTTCCTGATCTCCACAAACAGCATCTAAATTGCTTTCCCCCCCCGCCACCATCAATCTCAGCCATATGCTTTGCTATACTCTAACCTTATTTCCTGGGATTAGTGTAGCCCATTACTTTAGTCACAATACTTCAGTCAGTAATAGATGTCTAACTGGGACTAATTTTATTTGACAAAACATAGGAAAAGTTTGGATACAGGTTTCTCTGGGAAAAAAATCAGCTAGGTAACAAATAAGTTGTGTATATATACAATGTGCCAAGCGCATTTAGAATATAGGAGAACATTGCTTCAGGTGCAGAGGACAGTAACTTCTAGATGTACAAAATGCTTGTAACATCATCAGAGGAGCTGTAGGAACCAGACCAAGGCTCAGCTGTTGTTAGGAATAATTCCAAGAACACCACAAAAGAACTGGTCTAATAAGGCACTGCTTTCCCTCCTATCAGAAAGCTGGGTCATCAGGAGACTGCTGGTCCAACTACTGGCTTCAGTATTACAGTGTTTCCTTCAAAGTGCAGGCATCAGAAAGCCAGCAGTTGCTCCCAAGATCACATCATATCAACTACAATTCAAGCCCCATGTCCTGCCTCTTATTCTCATAAGGCAGGAATTGGATATTGGAAACTCTGATACCATTAAATGTGGAACAAACCAAACAAAAATATCCACGACTGTGCTTACCTGCAGAACTAGCAGAAGCAACGAAGTAGAGACGTTGGCTTCTTTCTATCATGTACATCATATATTGGTGGCTCTTTTGGGCAGGCAATGATCACCTGAAAGAGAGTCTAGAAACTGTCTTAAATTTCTTGGCCTCAAAAATAAACATATTATACAGGAACAGTAATGGAGCTTTTGTTGCCAGTCTGCAATAATTTATAGCAGTCAACAAGACAGAATCTTTATCTTTGATGATGTTCTAATAAAATAAAAAGTTTATGTCCTCATAAGGAGCCTCTTCTCTTTCTGGGGAGCAACTAGAACAGATGTGTGGTATACCTCGTCCAGATAGTGTGGTGTGTACAGATAAGTCTCTAACTTCTCTCAGTCATTTAACTACCTTGCAGGAAGACAGCCTAAAGATAAAACCAATGAATAAAGAAGAGTTGAGCTAATAAATTCATACAGAAATATATAACTGGAGTTCTGGTGACATCATGAATCTCTATTTTAAGCAGTGCCTGAATCCAGTCTTCCTTGAAATTCTTTGTTAACTCAACCAGTAAGGTCTTCTCTTTGGCTAAGCCACATTGATTTGGATTTTCCATCTTTGCAGCTAAATGATTCTTATTTATATGACATTTAGAAACAGAAATGGAGTATTGAAAGAGCTATAACCTAACATATGGAGTTGGCTAAATTAGAGAGAAAGCAATTATGATTCTGTTATTAAGAGCTAGAAAACTGGCAATCTTTACTATATGCTGTAAAAATTTCTTGTTAAACTGGTAGCAGTTGTAGCTTTGGCTGAGACAATGTACCTACTGAAGCTAAAGCATTAAAGCGCTAAGTAGGAAAATTTCAAGATATTAGTGTGTTGGCTTCCTCTTCTAGCATTTTTTTTTTTTGCCATCATCTACTAACTATATATGCTGCAGCAGGCAATATTCTGTTTACTTTTATCAGCTTGTTTAAGACTCAGAATAACTGATTACACAGGTACAATCATTATCTCCATTTTACTGATGAAGAAACTGAGACATTCTTCCATTAAGTACCTAGACAAAAGAACAATATGGACTGAAACTTAACTGTCTAAAATAAGAAAAGGAAGAATATTCACTTTTCCCAGGGTGATCCTTTTGTCCTGTGTCCTGTGTCTAACAAAGTGACTGAAAGTGAGGTTATATGGAACTTTGCACTGAGGGGAAAAAACTATCAGCCCTATTCTAATATTAGTTACAATAAAATCTGAGAAAAAGATACTATAAAATTGGGGCTATAAAATTGGGGCCTGAGAGAAGTCTTATTGTCTAGGCACCTCTCCAGTAAACTCTTGTGCTTTTACTACATAAAAACGGACCCATCCCCCTAATTGTAAAGATGCACATGAATGACCCCCTCTTCCATTTCACCCTATCAGCCTATTGCCCTAATATTTTCTGAAAAAAAAAAAAAAAAGATTTTTTTTTTTTAATGAGGCCGTTGAACTAACACCTGTTTTTGAAAACAAATTTTTCAGGACAGGTTAGAGAGGCAAAGACCATGATCTAAATACATCCCTAGTTTTGTTTACTATCCCTTGGAGTTTAACAAAAGAAACCAAAGAAAAAAATAGTTAAAGCAGTAAGAAAGTAGCTTGAGGGCAAAACCCCCAAATGAGAGGAATTACTGAGGAATTAAGCATGTTGATGGCTCTACCCCTTAGGCAATTCTCAGTCTCCAATAATGAGAAAGTAAGCTTTTGAAGTCCCAAAAGTAGATAACACCCAAATTCTTACTCAAGGTGTAGTCACAATGACAGTGGACAAAGATTTCTTCCAGGGACTACAGAAGCAACATATTAGCCAAAAACTTACTTGGTTCTCAGAGCAAGAAGTCCATGTTACTCTGGCCCAGTGGAAAATAATATATGTCACAGATCATTGATCAATATGTATTTTTATTTGCTATTACTATGGTGATACAGTTTGGCTCTGTGTCCCCACCTAAATCTCACCTGAATTATAATTCCCATAATCCCCACATGTTGAGGAAGGGACCTGGTGGGAGATGACTGAATCACAGGGGCAGATTCCCCCATGCTGTTCTCATGATAGTGAGTTCTCACAAGATCTGACAGTTTTATAAGGCAGTTTTCCCTGTTCTTGCTCTCTCTCTCTTTCCTGCCACCATGTAAGATGTGCCTCTTTCCCTTTTGCCATGATTGTAAGCTTCCTGAGGCCTCCCCAGCCATGCAGAACTGTGAGTCAATTAAACCTCTTTTTTTACAATTTATCCAGTCTCTGGTATGTCTTTATACCCATGTGAAAATGGGCTAATACACATGGTATAGTGATTGTGTTGAAAGAAATCAAACTTCCAAGTTAAACCTTGTCAGGTCACTCCAAAAGAAGCTAAATCTAAACAAATCTAAGAATATGGCTCATTGCCTAGAGCAAGGGTCAACAAATTACAGTGTGGGGCCAAACCCACCTGCTTTCCGTACTTGTGTTTATAAATGAAATCTTATTGAAACACAGCTATATGAATTGTTTACATGTTGTCTACAGCTGCTTTAACACTGCAGTGCAAAAGCTAGCAGAGACAAATAATTGCTACAGAGACAGTAAGATTCACAGAGCCCAAAATATTTCAGAATTGTTTTGCTGAGCCCCAACCTAGAGAATCCTAGATTTGGATCTGGATGCAGCAGTGTGGTTGTTTCATGAGTTGCACAACCACAGACACATTCAATGATTCACTAGAAGGATTCATGAGACTCAAAAGCAGTTGCACTCAGGATAATGTTTATTACAGGGAAAGATACAAAGCAGGATCTACAAAGGGAAAAGGTGCGCCAAGTGGAGTCTGTTGGTAACCAGGCACTTATTTCTAAAGTTGTTACGGAAGTCGCACAGGATATGCTCTTCCTTCAGCAATGAACTGTGGCACTCAAAAAGTGTTTTTGCCAAGGAAGATGCTTGAGTCTTAGAGTGCAATACTTATTGAGGGCTGATCACATGGGTACATTGACCTGCATGACCAGCCATGATGAACTCCAGACTCCCAGAAGGAAACCAGAGCTCACCAGAAATCACAATGTGGGCACAAACTACCTTGACAAGTCAGTACAGCATGGTTCAGTGCCCTACGTGTACAAAACAACCTTATTAATTAATAACAGAAGGAGCATCCAAGCACTATGTTCCCAGGAGTTGGCCAAGGGTCAACCACACAATCAGTTCCTCCTGAAGATGTGCTAGCATTGAACAGCCAAGCCTGAGGTGTTAACTCTTCCCTATTTGATGATGCAGGTATGGATGGTCTCCTTCTTGGAAGGAAGATGAGATGAGTACATTGGATATAGGCCTCAACATAACTTTGTGGGAAGAAGAATGCATACAAATGTGGGGTAATTAAGTGGTAAAAAGCAGATGTTTGCTTCTCTAGAATCTTTTTCCCCTAAACAAAAGCTGGATTTCAGAGAACCATATCTCAGACATAAATTTTTGCAGGATAGACTGACCCTTTACTTCAGAGTTGAACCATAAATGGCTTAACATCACCAGGTTATCTCACTTATCTGGCCACAATGAGTGTTTCAGAGATGGTCATGTGATCAAACTTGTGGCAAGAAGAGCTTTTCGTAGGATATTTCTAGGTAAGAAAGTTTTCTTCTGTGTGAACTATTTTAAATACATATGCTCTCTCCTCTCTCTGGTTTACTGTTTGATTATGCGGCTTGGAAGTTTTCCACTGATTTCTTCTACTATTAAAACAACGTGCATAATACTGAAGCTCACAAATAGATAACAGTAAAATTGGGCTGGGCATGGTGGCTCATGTCTGTAATCCCAGCACTTTGGGAGGCCCAGGTGGGTACATCACCTGAGGTCAGGAATTTGAGACCAGTCTGACCAACATGGTGAAACCCAATCTCTACTAAAAATACAAAAATTAGCCAGGTGTGGTGGTGGGCACCTGTAATCCCAGCTACTCGGGAGACTGAGGCAGGAGAATTGCTTCAACCTTGGAGGCAGAGGTTGCAGCGAACTGAGATTACACCATTGCACTCCAGCCTGAGCAACAAGAGTGAAACTCCGTCTCAAACAAACAAACAAAGTTAACAACAAAACTGTAGGAAATGCAGAGAAAGAGATCTGAAACCTTGAAGGCACATAACCCTAAATCGAACATCTTCTTAGATGCTGACATGCCTCTAGGTTTTCTATTAGGTGGGCCAAAGGAAAAAAAAGTTCTAAAATTCTGCATAAGCCAATCTGCGTCGGGATCATTATCACAACAATAAATATATTTAACTGATAAAGTATCATTATTCCTATTTTGCAAGTGAGAAAAACAAGATATAGAAAAGTTGATTAACTTGCCTATACTCACAACAAAAATAAATGGCAGAGCCAGGATTCAATTCAGTTCTCTTTGTGTCCAGAAGACATATATTATTTTTCCCAATTCATAGTCATGAGATTAGAAGCTTCTTGTTGAACTCACCTTGCATCCCTCACCAAAATCAGCTGGGTACTTGGGACCTACCATACATTCAGGTAACTCATGGGAATTTATTGTGACATCATTGATTTATAGCTATGCCATCCCTACAAATTGAGACTAGATGAGCCTTAATGTGAAAAGGCTTATCTATTCCCACTTTGTAGGGATGACATAGCTATCCCAACATGTGATATATTGAAGTGGAGACCAAACTGACCATTCTTCTTAGTTTATGTTCTCCTCCTCCTTAACTACTTCATACATTTTATTTCATTTTTCCTGAAGTATATAAGATATGAAAAAGAGATCTATATAATTCTGAGATACCTGAAGAACTTCAGATTTTAGGTTCAAAAGTTACATCCAAATAAAAAGTTAGTTGGATTTAGTTCCTAGTGGAAATCATCTCAAATCATTTGACTAGGCTTGTCTATAACTGTATTTATCAAATATTCATGCTTATGTACCATTTCAGTTACATTCATAGAGGAAAAAAAACTACTACATATGTCCCTAGAAAGAAAAAGGTGAAGTATAACTGTGGGGGAAAATCTTTTCAAATATTCTCATACTGTGAGCCTATTATAAGTGCAAAAAGATTAAAGATATAGTTTAAAGGTGTGTATTTAAATGACTACAAATAACTGTTTAACTGGAGCTGCCTAGGGTACATCAGTAGCCCCTAAATGATCAAAGGCTATTGCTGCAGGCAAGGTCCAAAACCACCTGCTTATATAAAAAACTTTAGATGACAGCATTGATTTTGTGCATGTATATTGATACTTCCTGAAACAACTATTTTAAAAAATTATCCATCCAAAACTGACAGAAGGCAAACAGATTGAGAGTTAAGTCTGTAATTCTCCTATAGACTCATTCTTTGCCTTATATAGAAATGTGATAATTTCTTAGGATATTTCACATATTTCCTCCTTTGCCATTGTTATCCACAGGAAGAAGAAAATTCAGGTTATATTGCAACTTAAATGATTATCCTTTCACTCATAATAGGCAACCCCAAGCAAAACTGTGAAATATGATAGATTTTTTTCTTTTCTATGTCCACTTTAAGTTCTACCATTGTATGAAAATGCAAGCAAACTAGTGACACTAATATTTCACTTTTTTAAAAAACAACCACAGAAAGAAATATATGCAACATACTTATTAATCCACATATATAGTCCAGATAGATAACATATAACTTTTGTTTTAATTATATATACATAATATATTTTATATATTATACAATTATAATATGGAGCTTATGGAATATATAATTGAAACAAAAGTTATACAAAATGATATTTACCTGTATTTTATGTAATGCACTATGACATTTTTTATTCTGTTCTTTTTCATCTTTTTCATCTTTGTTAAATGTAGGTCACAATATGACTTACTCCATTAATTTCAAAAACTATTAATGAGTTATGACTCACAAATTTAGGAGTGATAATTTACACTAACAGATAACTATCCATCAATGTCCCAAATTCCTAATTCTATTATTTACATAGCAGCAGGGATACAAACCAATGAAAGATGGTTAATAATAGAATACCAGGCATCAGTGAAGACACAGGGAATAATTACCCGAAAGATTTACCTGAGTTTGGTGGATTGTTCCACCAGGAGAGTTTTTTTTCTTGCAAAGCTCAGTGAGACCACTTATCACAACCTTACTTGTGGCGACTCATAAAGTGACATGAGTCGCTTTCAGCCTGATCATAAATCTTCCCATGAGTGATCCCCCATCCTCCATCCTCTGACTTGAGACAGATTAACATAACAGTATTGAAAGCCAAGTGTTCACAATGGCAAAAATATAAGATGGAAGGAGTCTGAATATCTTAACCACTGATTTTTTTTAAAAAAAATCTGTCTATCAATCACGAACACCAGTTTTGGACTTTACATGAGAGATAAAGAAATGTCTATTTTGCTAAGTCCCAAAGATTTGGGGGTTTGTTTATTAAAGCAGCTAGTATTATTTCAACTAATGCGTAAGCTATCATTTTGGAAATTACTAAGAATAGCCTTCTAAGAGGACGTGATAGGAAGTCTTCCTCTTCAAGAAAAGATACAACGCATGAGGCATCCCCAATAAGAAAAAATAGAGGCACCGATTTTGTGATCATAGATAATTCAGGTTCTACTCAGATTCCTTTCTATATGAGCTCTTCTTAGTCTACTTTTTCATATTTCTTTTAGGGTCTCCTTTTCCACTTTGTTTTACATTCCTCTATAAACTTTTCACAAATCCATAAATTTATCCCAGACTTTCTTCCATATTCCAAATCCAAATTCCTTTCACCGCTCAGCAATGATAAACATATTTACATATAAATTAGATGACAAAAGCAAGTGCAAAAAGGAACAGTGAAACTACGATAGGCCATTTCCAGAACTAGCTGAGTATGTGCTCAAAGTAGATGTGTACTTGTCTGACTTAGAATTCTTTGTCTTCCTCTCTCTCTCTGTCTCATAGTTGAAATTATTTCTTCTTTGGTGGACAAAGAATATGTTGACCAGCAGTTCTTACTTCATCAATAAGGTGGTTTTCTGTTTTATTGTTATGGATATTTTGCCTTTAGGAATTTTGGGGGCCATGAATTCATTTACCCATTTGCCTGACATTCTTGGAAGAGACTATCACTGAAAACCAGGAAGCAGGGCAGAGAGAACAAATGCGTAGAACAAAAAGAAATTTTGACCCCTTTGATTACTCTTACATGACATGCTATGTAGTACATGGGGAATTATCAAAGCCTCAATTGACAGAATACACCAAATACCACCCTCCCAAAACCCAAGAATAGTTAAATTTGTTGTGAGAAAATTCATGCTAAGCTTTATTGGCCATGGGGATAATTTGTTTAATGAACAAAGACAGTGCACTTTCACTTCAAGTGTCTGTGTGCAAAGGTATAATGCAGTGGACAGAGTCTAGTCAAAATCTTTGCTCCAAACCACATTACTTGTAAAGCACTGATAATTGACCAAAGATTTTTGAAACTCAGAGTTTTCTTATCATTGGAAGTAGGCATTACCTAGCTGAGTGTTTAAATTATTAGACTGAGTGTATATTTTTTTTTCAGCAAATAGGTGCTGAATAAATAAACCATATTACCATTAAAAACAGGAAAACACTGTCATACTAAACATTCTTAGGACTTCAAATAGTTTTTTTAAATAACATATGTGAACTGGGCATTTTCAACTATAGAAAAGAATATGTTCTTGTCTGTATATTATATATTAATACTGCATTTCATAGGAATTTTTATTGGTGAAACAAAATATGTTGGTTGAGGGAAAGGCTAATATGTATCTAATCTATTTATATTTACAGAAAAATTCCCAAAAGCTTGAATCTACAAGAAGTGCAAAACTATTATTAATTTATTTTTTACTTAATTTCAGATTTATAAAAAAATTATTTTAACACTTGTAAAAAAATTTTCCCAAACTATATTTGTTCAATTTTACACTAAAGTAGGAACATAATCGATTAGTTTTCTAATGACTGAGGTTTTTGCATAACTCAGGATAACCATTGTCAAAATATAAATCATATAAATTTACAAAATCTGGAACCACAGTATGGTACTGTAGATGTAAAAATTGTAGACTTCAGAGATAAATATTTGGCTAAATGTGTACTAACCAAGGACCATCTCCTAGAAACTGGTTTATATTGCATAAAATATTTAATGTGAGCCTGTGTTCTTGTGATTCATTTTCATTTATGTTTATTTTTGAAGTATTTTAAATATACAAAAGATTTTCACATACCCACCACATTTTTTAGAAAATAAAACATCACAGGGTTAGTTGAAGCAGCTCCTCTGTCCTGAGATGTAATTAATAATTGGAATATCGTGTGTCTCTCCCCCAAACCATGTCTTTATGCTTTACCACATATATAGGTAATTATAAATCATTAATAATAATATGTTTGTATTTTACAGTTCCAAATACTATAGTTGGACTTTTTATTGATCTGGTAATTTCTATTTTTAAGAATCTTTTTAAAGTATTATTTTTTTACAGAGACAGGGTCTCACTCTGTCACCAAGGCTGGAATGCAGTGATACAATTATAGCTCACTGTAACCTTCAACTCTTGAGCTCAAGCAATCTTCTTTCCTGGCTAGGACTATAGGTATATTCCACAAGTAACTTTTTATTTATTTTGTAGAGAAGGAGTCTCACTATGGTGCCTAGGCTAGTCTTGAACTCTTGGCCTCAGGCAATCTTCCTGCCTTTACCTCCGGAGACAATGGGATTACAGACATGAGCCACCATGCCCAGTATGTCCATTTTCTATTATTGTTAATACATTTAAATGTATTTTTACAATTTTATGCTTTCTCTTTTCTATAATTTTCTCTTGCTTATTTTTTCCTCCTCCGTGACTTATATTTGAATAATCAAATCTTCTTTGTTTTCTTCTTTTTCCTCTATTAATTGGTGTTTCTATTCTTAAGTGGTTGCATTGAAAATTTAACAGGTATAAATAACTTGAATTTAACAAGCATCACTGCCAAGGCCCTAGCTTCTCTATTTGTTTTCCCTTATACAGGAATTCATTTTTTAGAACATATTTCACTGAGAATCAGTGCATAGTAAATTGTCTTAGTTTTTGTTTGGTATAACTTTTTTTCACCTATCTCCTAAGTGACAGTTTTTCAGGATAAAAACTTCCATGTTAACAGTTTTTACCCTGAAAAACTGTCATTTAGGAGATATTTTCAATACACTATTTTTTTTGTGTTCTGGTCATTAGTTTTGTATGAAGAAAATTTTCAGTAAGTCTGTTTGGGATTTTTTGTTTGTTTTTTGCAGGTAAGTCATATTTTACTTCTATTTGCTTTAAAAATTTTTGCTATCTTTGGTGTTTTTCAAATCTTTAACGATGCATGCAGTGATCTTTACATACATTGCTTTAGATTTGTGCTTCTTTTTCTGAGATTCTTTACTTCCAACAATTAATGAAACTTCTCAACTATTATCTCTGAGTATTGGCACTCCCCCATTTCTATGCTTATCTCTGGAAAAGCTATTAGACATACGTCAGCATTTATTATTCTACCTACTGTTAATCTCTTTTTTATAATTTCTATTTCTTAATCACTTTTTTGCTATGATCCCAGTGAGCTTCTCAAATCTGTCTTTTAGTTCACTAATAAATGCTTCAGAGTAAGCTGTATGCATTTAACCTGTATATTATATTTCTAGATTTATTTTTAGTATGCCATATCTTTGATATGTTTGTTTATTGTGTTCTGTTATTTCATGATACTTTATGTATTGGTTAGATGTTCATGTTTTGTCATTTTAAACACAACTTATACTTACCCTTTATATTTTCCTATTGCCTCTTGTTTTTAGTTTTGAGAGAAATAGAGCTCTCCATTAATATGTCTATTCTTTCTCCTGTGGAATATTTCCTAATGTTTTAAATAAATGCCTGCTATGAGATTATCAGCAATAGGGTTTTTGTTTCATTTTTGCTGTAGTTGTTGTAGCTGGGGGAAGAAAGTCCTATTTGTGAAAGTGTCCCCTACAGAGGCATTCTGCATTTACCAGATGTCCAGGGGCATCACAAGTAGAGAGGTACTTGCTATGTTAATGTCTCAGCTTGGATTTCTACTTGCCATTACATTGTTCAAACTTGAAGTCCTTTCATACTTTTTTATGGGAGACTTTTTTTTTCCAAATAATCAGAGCCCCAAGCAGGACAAGCTTCAAAGAGGTAGAATTTTCTAGTCCCTATATTACAGAGCATTTTCAAAGTTGTATAGAGAGGTTGGTTTTATCTCATGACCTTGCATGGACCCTGGGCCATATCTCCAAGTCTTGCAAGGATTTCAACAGCTCAGCCTCTCAATGTTAAAGCCAATATCTCGGTTCGTTTCATACTTACCACTAACACTTTGCTCAGCAGTTATTCCATCAACTTGCATTGTTACTGCTCCCACTTGAGGTTTTTGGTCTTCTTTATTCCCCTCTTATGTTCTTTTAAATTTCCATGAATATTAATGTTTTGGTTATATTTTATCCAGCAATGCAAATGTTTAAAATTGAAAGTGGCCTTATATGAATTAGGCTACCATGCAAGAAAAATAGGTTTATTGTCTTCTTTTTCTCATTAGTGAAGTAACATAAAAAGTCCTGGTTAATCAAAGTTTCTAGTTAGGTTGATTACACATAATTCAAAAGTTTATTATGGTAAAAAATGGAGGTAGAGGTAAACCTAGTATATTGAAATATTGAATTCCATGACTTAACATAAAAATTGATACTTTGATTTAATCGAAATTTAAAATTTCTGTTCATCCAAAGACACTATTAATTTAAAATGCAAACCACGAGCTGGGAGAAAATACATGCAATGCATATATCTAACAAAGGACTTGTATTCAGAATGTACAAAAAAATCTTACAAAACATTAACTTAAAAAATTATAAGAAGGGCAAAAGACGAGCAGATGCTTTGCAAAAGATGATACATGCCTGGCTAACAAGCACATAAAAAGGACTCAACACCATTATTTGTCAGAGAAATGAAAAGTAATCTCACAACTAGATAAAACTCCATACCTACTAGATTGGCTAAATTAAAAAAATAAAAAAGAAAGCAAAAAACTGGCACCACCACCAAATGTTAGTGACAATATGGGGCAATGGAAACTCTCCAAAACTTTGGTGGCAATGTAAAAATGTTTTACAGTCTCTTATAAATTAATTGTATATCTCCCTCATGGCCCAGCAATTCTACTCTTAAGTTTTCCCCCCGAAAATGAAAACATATCCACCAAAAGATCAGTAGAAAAATCTCCCTAATAGCCTTATTTCTAATAATAAAAAAAGTAAAGAACCCAAATATTCACAAGCAAGAAAATGGAAAAACTGAGTTATATTTATGCAATGAAATACTACTTCACTCATAAAAATAAGTAAGCTACTGATATACACAACAGCAGGCATGACTTTTAAAAATATTATGTTGAGTGAAAGGAAACAAGCACAAATAATGTATATAAATTACACAAACTTCAAAAACAGATGAAAAGAAATATATGGTGATAGGAAATAGAATAGTGATTGCCTCTCCATTTCCAACTGGCATAAGTGGTTGACTGGAAAGAGGGATTAGAGAACTTACTGCAGTGAGGTAGAAATGTTCTATACCTGGACTGGAAAGTTGGTTACATCAGTGCATACATTTGACAAAGCATTTTAATTGTTCACTTAGTAATCCTTGTAAATTTTAGCTTAGGTTTAAAAAAAAGTTTAATCTGGAGGTTATCAAGTATTGAGGCCAGGTATTTTAAAATCTTAACAGCGAAGATAAGGGGAAATGTGTTACTCTAAAATAGTTTTTCGGGACTTCCCCTTGGCCAGAGGAAGCTCTCCAGAGCTTTTTCTGGCATTGAAGTTCTATATTGCTTCTTATGTCTTCTAAAAGATGATATGAAGCTTTTACAAATAATGAAGAAGTAACCCTAAAAGAATTACATAACCATACAGCTATTTCACTCTTCCAGGTGAAAGCCATTAAATAAAATGCTTGCATTGCTAATGCTGCAGGCTTCAACCAAGTAGCTGAAACCATGATTTTTTCACCATCAGCTATAAAGATTATGGAAGATGAACTAAAAGGCAATTCTGTTGTTGATGTGTAAGGCAGACCCAAACACAGCTTGTCCATCTGTAGCTCTTGTGTTTCTGTACTGACATCAGGAAGAACAGTGTGGATTTTGTCAATAAATTTAGCACACTTGACATGGATATTTAAGGCACACAGGGAGTAGAGATTTACAGCATGCTGCCACTTTTACACAAAAGTCTCCTTATGCCTATAAAGTCAATGGGAGAGAAATAGGAGCATTTTTCCCTGAGGAACTGGTCTTTTCACACACACTGTCATAGCAGATGCAGCCAGAGTTTCAACTGCGTCACCTTCTGAAACCGAGTGAAAAGTCTTTGAGAGCCTTTGTGAGGTGCCGCATGCAAGGAAGGGCATGAAAAAGAATAAAGAAAAAAATACAGAAACAAACAAGCCATAAGACTCGGTGATGAGTCATGGTTTCCATTTAGACAAAGATTTACAAAAATTTTTCTTCAAAACTTAAACCTGTAAAGGAAAAGCAATTCTTTTAATTTGATTTGATTTGTTTTTATGTCATCTCATACATACAAGGAAAATAAAGAAGGTGAAAATAACGGGCCATCCCTCCTTTCTCTCTTCTAATGATAGTGTTTAGCAGTCTGTGTCCAGCTCTAAGCCAGAAGCCAAAGATGCAAAATGAACAGAGTTGCATCCTTGCCTGTCTACCTGGGATTACATTACCTCTTTCATTCATTTCTCCTATTACCACATTAGTGTTGGTCACGTTTAAATCTCTGATCCTCTGAAAAAAATGCCTAACTTGTCTCTCTGCTACCACTTTTGTGTCTTCAATACATTCACCATTCAGCACTCAGACTTGTCTCATTAAGACACATGACATGGTGTCATTTGTCCTATGAACAGCCTTTGAAGCTTCTGATTGCTCCAGGCTCTTTTGTAAGGTCATAAGACTTTAGTAGATACTATACTGCTTATTATCTTCCCTGTGGAAAATAAGGCTCAGATTTGGGGCAGGTGTTAAGTTTAGTTGGGTGTCTCTTGATATCAGAGCAGGTGGTCCCTGTCTGAGGTATATAGGAATGGCCAGCACTGTCCAATAACCATAAGATGAAGTCCTGCAAAGGGCTTCTAGGGAACATTCCCTTCCCCAAACAGAAGAAGGAGAAGAAGGAAGAGTAAGAAAGAGAAGGAAGATGAGGAGACGGAGGAGAAAAGAAAAGAAAGGAGGGAGAGGAGAGGAAAATAAGAAGAAGGAAGAAAAGGGATTGAGAGGACAGCTAAGCAAAACAGGGAAAATAAGATATCAAATAGTAAGCAAAATTCTCTTCCTGAACTACTCCCCATGTCTCGCATTTGAAATAAATTGTGGAGATACATGGAGATATTGCAGCCATTCTGCCACCATTAGGGTAAGGTAGAGGACACTGGATAAATACCTTTTCAATGTTGTGACATTGTTGACTTGCAGGGGGGAAAAAACTCCTCCATGACTCTGATTCCTGCCTATTTCTCCATCATGATGAATACAGCCTAGGATCATGAGATATATTTTACTTTTATGAACATGCAAATGTCTTTCCTACCTCAGGGCCTTTGCCAAGCTTCAACATAAAATGGTACAGAGTATGCAATGAACATATTAGGTGTCAAGGTCATATTTGAATTATTCACGTATTTGTGTATTTATTGCAGTAACTTTCCATCAGTGTCTTGAGAAAGAGGCATAATTTTCTACATCTTACAAAGTACCATTTGCACTGTAGTGGCCTTCCCTGTGACAACTACGTGTTGTTCCCTCTGATGGAAGCACTTCCCCTGAAGTGTATTTGGCTCTTTCTTTCTTATCCTTCAGTTTTCAACTGAAATAGCATTTCCTCAGATATGCAGTCCATGGGAATTCTGTTTAAAATGGCATTCTATTTTCTCACTGAGAATAGTGTTGTTTCCTGATAATCCTTATTAATATCTAAAATTATTTTGTTTATAATGGTCTCTGTCTGCTACATGTAAGAGCTGTAAGAAAAAGGACTCTATCTGTCTTTTTCACTCTTAAGTCACCAGGGCCTAGCCCAGAGTCTGAGTGGGCCCTCATATTTATTGGATAAAATGATGGAAGACTAAAATAAAGCAGCAAGGCAGGAAGGCAAGAAGCCAGGAAGGTAGGCAAGTAGGGAAGAGGGAAGGGATTTATTAAACCAAGGCAAACCAGTATTCTGTAATAACCAAATCTGAATTAAAATCAGGTCAGAAGCCAAGCGTGATGGTGTGTGCCTGTAGTCCCAGCTACTCAGGAGGCTGAGGTGAGAGGATTGCTTGAACCCAGGAGCTCGAGGCTACAGTGAGCTATGATAGCATCACTGCACTCCAGCCTGAGTGACAGACCCCACTCTAAAAAAACTAAAAATAAAAATAAAGTAATAGTAATTTTTAAAAATTATGTCAGAAAATAGGATGTTCTAGTGGTTATAATTAATGTCAACCCTTTTATATACATATACAAAATACATATATATACATTTTTACCTTGTGTATGGGTAGCAATAAAAAATGTGTCTTGCTAAGTATACCATGGGACACATGAGTAGTAAGTCTGATTTTGCAGAGTAAAGAAATCCTTCAGCTATAAAAAGGAAAGTGCATTCTGGAAACATATCACTGGGAAGAAGTAAATTCAAGAAAGACTGAGAGCCACTGAGATTACTACCAAGAGTAAGTCATGCAGGGTATGCGTTGTTTAAATGTACCAAGGAAGTTAAAAAAAAAGCAAGGGAGGCAGGGGCCAATTGGCAAGGTAAATTCTATCTGCACTTTTTCCAAGGTTCAGTGTATTATGTTTACTGGGCAATTTTAGCAATCAACAGATTCACTTTCCCTAAAGATATTTAAGTGCCATTAGCGGTGAACTGCAGGGCCTGAGTTGTATATGCATTCTTGAAATGACAAGACATATATTTTCCTTTAAAATTCCTCCTTAATTGCCAAAAGAATGGACATTAGACATCTTTACATGAGCTGATTTTGGTGGTGGATTGAATTTAAAAAAAAAAAAAAAGCCATTTTTTCAGAGAGCCCAGAAGGTTCAGTGTGATATTATCTACTCTTTTCCTTTAAATTTGTACCATAAAAATTGGCTTTTTCCCCTCCCTCCAGTATCTACTCTATAAACTCATTCTGTTGATCCAATTTACAAAATACATATTGAGTTCATCACTGCCACCGCCACCCTGCTGGCCCAGGCCATCAGCTCTCAGTGGAACCACTTACTGCCTTCCCTGCTCCCACTCTTGGCTGCGGCCCATTCATTCTCCACGGAGTAGCAAAAGTGCACCTGTAAATATGTCATCCTGCAGTGTAAAGTATTTCGCAATTTTCCACTATCCTAAGAAAAGAAATAGAATATTTGCGTGAACTGGACCCTAGTCATCTCTCTAGCCTCGATTTACACCCTCTTCACTTCAGTCATTGATCTTTCGGTTCCAAAAAGGAAATAACTTCAACTCTGACCCCTTTGCAAAGGGGTAGAGCTCACAGCTCTGTCCAAGGAAATCATCTTCAAAAAAATTTCTTCCCCAGTCTGCAATGGCCTGATCCTTTCTATGCCCTCCATGTTTATGACATATTTAAGATTCATTGAGGATTTAAAACCACTAGTCACATGTGGTATACCTCAAAACTTCCTTTGATACAATACGTATCACTTTAGTGTCTAAACTGAAGCTTCCACTGTAGCATCTTATCTCATTAATAAAGCTCTCTCTGTATCAGCTTCTTCATTTGTCAAATGCCAGTAACAGTATCTTCCCGTTAGGACTATTGTAAAGCTTAAATGAGTGTATATGTGTGTGTATATAGACACACACATCAAGCATAGTGCCTAGCTCAAAGTAAGCATTCAGTGTGCATGTAGACCTGAGAATATAGTTGTGCCTCCATGACCTCCTTATGCTGTTTAAACTACAGCGTGAGCTAACTTCAGCCCTTCTCTCAGCTGTGTCTGAGTGATATGTAGGCCAAGCATTCAGTGTATCTGATGGAAAGGAAGGCATATAGGCTAAAGAAGAGATAACAAATGAAGACATTTCTATAGCAGTCTGGTTAGCTGACTTTATATATTTTTTTCTATTTTGGGGATATAGAATTTCTCAAATACTTCTAAAATGGGTAGATGCTTTTTCTTTTCTCCCTGTTATGCTAATCAGCATTGGTTTTGTTTTGTCTTTTCTTTGATTAAAGTATTGTTCTTAGCCTGAAACACAGTTGCCTTTTGAGATTTATTAGTGCTAAGTTGTATATTAATTCTTATATATCAAGGAATTAATTTACCCTCACAAAATAATTGATTCACTTTATTTGTTTTCTGTGGCTGAAATTATTTTTAAATGAGGTAGAAGAAAAAAAGTAATAAATATAATGTTATAAGAACATGAATGATTCTATTCTCAGAGCTTTTTTACATATAAAAAATAGATACTAGGCCAGGCACGGTGGCTCACGCTTGTAATTCCAGCACTTTGGGTGGCCGAGGCGGGTGGATCACAAGGCCAGGAGTTCAAGACCAGCCTGACCAACATGGGGAAACCCTGTCTCTACTAAAAATACAAAAATTAGCTGAGCATGATGGCATCCACCTGTAATCCCAGCTACTTGGGAGGCTGAGGCAGGAGAATTGTTTGAACCCCGGAGGTGAAGGTTGCAGTGAGCCAAGATTGTGCCATTGCACTCCAGCCTGGGCAAAAAGAACAAAAAACTCCGTCTCCAAAAAAAAAAAAAAAAGCTATCAGTACTCATACCAGTTAATTATAAAAGCACTTACCAATCCTTTTGTATTTAATTAGAGTCCTATACTTAAATACATATAAAGTAATAATCACAGATAAATACTATCACTAATAAAACACTGTTCATGTTACAGATAGATCTGAATTAACAAAGGGAATTTTTTCCAGATCATCTACCTATTTCACCAAAGGTCTGGGCTTAACATACAGGTGTTCCCATCTTAATGTAGAGTTCATTTTCAGAGTCCCCACAAATAATATCACATTAAATATCATTCTCATCTTGAAGATTCCCTGACCCTCAAACCAGATGCCAATCAGAATTTCTAAAATATTTTCTTCCTCTATTCTGGTGCTTACTTAGTTTCTGTGAATTATAATTATAAAATTATCTTGCCTTTCCCACATCCTCCACCACTACTGTAAGTCACTTAAATGCAGGAGTTTTTGTTTTCTAAGTTTTATGTCATCCTTCACAGGGTTTTAAACTATGCACTTTAATTAGCAGATTGTCAGTAACTTTATTGGATTGTAACTTAGGAAGCCATGCATTTTTCTGTCTAGCTGCAAAGCTACATGGTTGTATAAAATCAGTCATAAAAATAATTTAGTATTCAAATTTTTGTTAAAGCTGATCCATTTGGTAAGTCAAGAAACAATGGGCAATATTGCCTCTATTTAGAATGTTTGGTCCATCATTTGTGTCTCTTTTCTTTCAAGAGGTATCTGTACCTACCACACTCCTTTAAGATGGGATTATGGGAGACAAAAGCAAATATCTATTGTCAATACCGCAAACTCCAAACACCACCTATGGTGTTTGACTGACATGACATATACCTTTAACAAGAGCTGTCTTACAGAGACTACAGGAAAGAGACAGGCAGACAGACTTCAGACAGCAGCTTAAAATGACTGGCATTCTTTTGACAATTTCATTTGACTCTAGCTCACATCAGCTTATCTTCCTACTGCATATAGGTTTCTAATTTACAAGTGACAAGAATCTTAGGAAAAACGAGAAAAGGAAAGGAAACATTAGCAAAGTTTAGGGAAACACAGTAGTAGAGTTTAGCACTTCAGGTTTCTCTGGAAACAATACCTACTGCTTGCATTTTAACTTTGGACCCATATAAGATTAGTAGGTTTTTTGGCCAGGCATGGTGGCACACACCTGTAATCCCAGCCCTTTGGGAAGCTGAGGTGGGTGCATCACTTGAGGTGAGGAGTTTGAGACCAGCCTGGCCAACATGGTGAAACCCCATCTCTACTAAAAATACAAAAATTAGCCAGGTGTGGTAGCTTATGCCTGTAATCCCAGTTACTCGGGAGGCTGAGGCAGGAGAATCGCTTGAACCCGGGAGGCAGAGGTTGCAGTGAGCTGAGATCACGCCACTGCACCCCAGTCTGGGAGACGAAGCAAGACTCTGTCTCAAAAAAAAAAAAAAAAAAAAAAATTGGTATTTTAGATTACATGTTACATTGATTTCTGTTATTTTCATGTAAGATTTATGTTCTCCTTCTTTTAATAATTCCATTTTTGTTTTCCTTTGAGTAATGACTCAGTCCAGACTGTGTCAGTCCGTAACTATTCAACCAATACATACACTATCTCTGAAAGTGAGCAGATAATTGCCATATAGCTCTCGGTTTGTTCTATTCTCCATCAGTAAAGAAGCATTCATCTACAAAAGGAAACAAAAGTAATGTGACCAAATCATAATTCAATAACAAGTTCTAGGTTATTTCAGCAGCTCCATAATTTCAAACTGTGGTATAGGTTCCCGAAAGAGTCTCTTAGCTTGTCCCTCATAGTCATATGACTGTACCTACAAGCAAGAAATTGCTAGGGTGGAATAAGAAAGGTACCTTCCACCCACTTTACCACTTATTGGAGAGAAAATCCTTTCCTTTCTCAGAAATCCTGAGCAGACTTCTGTTTACATCTCAATAGTTACAACTGGGTCACATGTCTATCCTTACTAGCAATAGGGAATGGAAAATCAAGTATCTGGATTATTCAGTCTCTATAGTGGGAGGAAGGTGAAAAAGTCAAGGAAAATAGAGATTGCTGAAATTGACTGATGGGAAACCACCCAGTGTTATCTGTGCTATATCCTTTTGGCCATAGTGATAATGTCAAGTACAGGGATGTACACCAAGCCAGGCCAATGAAACCTAATTCAGATATGTCAGTTGTGCTATTATATATGTTCTCTTAATTGATCTATATTCCAAAAATATTCTGATTTACTCTTCATGCCTTCATTAAAACATTATAAGGTAACCATCACCCTGAATGTGGTTCTGTCTAGTTCAACAATATCATAATTAAGAGTCATCAGTGTTTCTTCTCAAATTTATTGTAATTGTAAAATTTTATTGAATATTGAATAAATTAATAAAATATGAGGGAAAAGAAGAAAAGTTATCACCTTTTTGAAAAGTTGAATGCTTTGGGAAGACTAGATAAAAGAAAATCCTGTAGAATTAGAAATATATGAGACACTAAAAATATGAGGGCAGAAGTAAAACATCCATAAAGTTTTTGTGGTCTGTTGATTTCACAAGTTTGTGCATCATTTTACACTAAATCATAGATGTTTCATTATAAGATTAATACAAGAATAAATGTATTATCTCAAATTAGAAAAAGAAAACTGGATTCAGTTCTACCTTAACCAGATATAAGCAAATAAATAAACTATATAATTTTCTTATTGTTGCTGTAAAAATTACCACAATTTAGTGGCTTAAAACAACACACATTTATTACTTCATAATTCTAAAGTTCAGGGGCTAAAATCAAGATGTCTACAAGACTGTTTTCCTTTTTAGAGTCTTCAGGGGAGAGACTCTTTCTTTCCTTTTTCAGCTTCTAAAGACCATCTACATCCTTTGGCTTATAGCCCCTTCCTCTCATCTTTCAACCTCTTGCTTCCATCACATTTTCTATTTCTGACACTGATCCTACCTAAGAATCATTGTGATACTTTTAAGAATTGTTGTGATTAAGAATCACTGTGATTAGATGAGGAGTCTAATCTCCTCATTTCAAAGTCCTTTACTTAACTATGTTTGCAAAGTCCCTTCTACCACATAAGGTAACATATTCACAGATTCTGGGGATGACGGCATAGACAATTTTAGGAGGGGCGTTATTCAGCCTACCACACTCCCTTCATTGTTTATTCCATCAAATTTTCCATCTCTTTCAACCAAAGGATTCCTGAAGAATACAACAAGTGAGTTGGG
Source organism: Homo sapiens (assembly GCF_000001405.40). Lineage (NCBI taxonomy): Eukaryota > Metazoa > Chordata > Mammalia > Primates > Hominidae > Homo > Homo sapiens. The sequence goes on from NC_000006.12 coordinate 50,459,928, forward strand.
AGACATCAGAATTAGGATTGCAGAAAATATCATAAGGAATAGGAAAAGAAGAAAAGCACACCTAAGAAATTGATAATACCAAGGTAGAATCTGTTTTTAAAATCATAGGAGCATAGAATAAAATATAGAAGGACAAATGCCACCTCATAAGATCCCTATCAGAAGCTGGAGGCAATATGTAAATGAAGAGATAAAGAGGGGGAGAGATATTTCCTTAGAGTTAGTAATTACATTGAAGTCAAGAAAGGTCCTGTCTTTAAAAGTCAAAATGCATTTTGGAATGTCATTCTATAGCTAAGTCATAACCAAAGTGTAATTTTGTAAAAAGGGGCTCTATCACTTATGCGATCACTTGTGGGACCACAGCCCTTCATACAAAGTGGGAAGTGTGCCTCCATGACAGTCTATAACCATACAGCCTAAAACAGAGAGATATGTTTAAATTTCTTCATGCTGACTCCCATACCACTTGCAAATCCACAAATAAACAATAAAAAGACCTATCTGAGGGGAGAGGGAAAATTGTCTTTAAATTTTCTTGTTAATGGGATCACTCCAATTAAAACCAGTAACAACAACAACAACATACAAGTTAATTCTATATTAACTTATGAATAACATCATCTGCTGCCTGTTCATCCAGTGACACCATGCCCCAGGCATCATGGTAGGTGCCAAAACACAACAGTAAATAAGAATGTTGGACATTCTGCTTTTACAGAGCTTAAGCTCTAGTGTAGAAAGAAACAATAAAAGCAGAAAAATAATGATAATTGCGGGTCATTTTTTAACTTTGTACACTTGCTCCTTAATCTTGGTCACCTCATTCATTCTTATAAATTCCAGTGTTAGTATAGTGGTCAAATATATATCTGTTTTTCCAATGTATCTCTTTCCTGAACTTGACATTGCTGATTCCAGCTGTGTGCTGGATCAATACATAAGCATGTGCATATTCTGCCATTATCATAGCTGTCCAAAACTGATTCAATCATTTCCCTAGTTAAACCTTTCTTATAAGTCTTTATGTGTTTAAGTTTATTGCCATTAACTCTTTTTAAGCTGTTCCTTTATCTAAGACTATATTAAGCAATAATTTTTCAGACGTGTGCTATTCCCCATAAGGAATAACTAGGTGGTTTCTTTTTTTTTTCATGGATTGTTACACACACACACACACGCACACACTCACACCACATTTTCCTTCAACATTTATTTTCATCTTCTCTTTGACATCAGATCTGGGAAACTCAACCTCATATTTTAATTTGAAAGAACTGAAAAGAAAGGAAGAACAAATGAAAGTCAAATAAGATGTTTGAATGCATACGTTTTTTGATCCATTTTATTATTGATTTCGTAGGTTGTTAATCTACAATCTTGAACTTAGCAAGCATAGTATTACCAGGCAAGAGAGTTGGCATATCTTCCATTTCTGGTTCAGATGCTAGCTTGCAATAGTTTTTGGAAATCCACAGAGGTTGGTTTGGAGAGAAACTGTGAGACAGGTAATCACAAAAAAGATATTCTAATGTTTAGTTATATTACAGTGTAGCAAGGGCTCCTAGGGAATATGGCACAAGCCCCATTGGTTGATTCATTCTAACAGGGTTGAAGGAAGCAGAGAAAACAATTATCAGAGGAAGTCTCACACTGGAAATTCTTGAAATATCCTTATATATGTGTTTCCTAAGTTTTTTTTTTTTGAATAATTCACCTGTATTTTACTTTCTTTCCTCTTTTCTTTTTTAGTTTTAAATTTCATATTCACCAGCATCTAAGATTTATTTTATTTTCACTGTGAGTACTGAGATATAGGAAACAGATATTCAGAAAATGCTAGTAAAAAAATTCAGGTTAAGTTCCTTAATTCCCCCTGTTTACTTGCTAGGTGCAAATAGATGGCATGTATATACTAGGCCTTGCTTTTAGACCATCACAAGCCAGAAAGTTGCCATGGCAACTTCAGCCACTGATAACCTCCATGAGAAATGAATTCCCAATAGGTGTGGAGTTCTTGGCAGTCTACGCAGCACTTTCAAACCATAAATTCACTCATTATTATTATAATCATGTAATTAAGTAGGGCTGTTAATACTATTCTTATTTTCAGGTGACGAAACTTCAGCTTTAAGAGGTTAAAAGACTTGTCCAGAGTCATGTTAACAGGTAAGTGGCAGACTTAGAACTCAAAGGCACACTTTCTGATCCTGAGTCATACATTTTCCAGAGTCAGCCTAATTATTGAAAATAAGATCTATATTTGCACTAGACAATTTTAAAATGTAGAACTTTTGGAATAATCTGCCTAAGTAGTCTCTTATTGTTTTAAGGTAAACTTACAGTGTAGACCTTGTGGGTTTGGAGGTACAAGTCTTCCCTCAATAGCTTTGATTTTAGCAACTAGCCATGATGGCCACGTTAACAGGTAGCCCTTTAAGATCCAGTGTTCTAAACCATTCACGCTTTGTCAAATACTCTGACCCAATTTCCGAGCTGGGGCTTTGTCTGAAGGGAAGAAAATACAACTTATCCTTCAAGATAAGGGCATGAAAAAGTGAAATATTACAAGAAGCATAAACATGTAAGAGCAAATAAATGTTCCATGTATGAACTAAGAATCATGATACATGAAATCAAACAATGAAGCAATACCTATAAATCAGTTCTTAACTGGGGATCAATTTTGTCCACCAGGGATCACACGGCAATGTTTACAGACATTTTAGTTGTTACAGAGTAGGGATGTTACTAGCATCGGGTGGGTAGAGGCCAGGGATACTATAAAATATCCCACAATACACAGGATAGCTTCCACAAGGAAATATTTGAACCAAAATATCTATAGTTAACCTGTTGAGAAATCCTGCTATAAATAATGCAAATAATTTTATTTTTAAACATTTACTTACCTTACAAAAGTACTTTCTGCACTTGATTTGTCTAATGTTTTTGATTTATTTTTTTTTTCCTTTTTGAAGGAACTATTAAGTATTACCTGGCCCTCATAAAAAATTAGAAAATACAAATAAGCATACAGAAAAAAATACCAAGTCACTTTGTAACAAATTATATTAATATCTTCTTATTAGATATTTAGATTGAATTCATTTTTTCTAGCTATTATGAATAATATTGTCATGAATATCCTTGTGCATTAATTCTCGTACAAATATCTGATAATTTTGTAATATCCTATAAATAAAATGTTCAGGTCAAGAGAAATATACTATTGTACTTGATATACTTTGCTAAATTTCACAATGTAATTAACACTAATTAACTAACTCATAAGAAGTGTCCATTGTAAACATATTGAATGGCCTGTATGATATGTTGAAAATCATTCCTTTAACTTTCGTGAAAAATAAAAGATTTCATGATACTTAAGTGTATATTTAGATGAATGGTCTAAATCTGTGATCTCAGGGAAGATCATAGTCTTTCATTTGTGTAGGTAAATAAAGAGATTGCCAAATTACTGTAATCCCAAACCATAGTATATCAAGTCCATAAAGTAGGAGGGCTGACTTCCATATATAAGTCCATTTAGGTCATTTTATAAAAGGAGAAACACATGAGATCAGAAATTGAATAGAAACAGAAATTGAATAGATGAATGTAAGTCTCTAAAACCCCTCAAAAATATTGGAAACTGTGATGATTTTCTTATTGTTTGTAGGATGGGATTATGAGACATTTTTTCTAAATTTTAAAAGGCAATTGTTTTCTTATAATACTGGAAGATTTGAGAACACCCAGACCACTAACATCAGGGTTACATATTACAAAACATTCGAAGAGAAAAAAAAGAATCCAAGGAAAATGTCAAGGCATGTGTGTTACTTTTTGTTTTCCCAAGCCAGAGGGAAAATGCCACTGTGACAGCAAACAAAAATATATTTCAGTTGTTTTCCCATTTGATGCCTTTTTTTGTCGAATATTAGAAAGATATTTATAAAATGCAATTTAATGCATTTGCTAAAAAATTAACACAGAGATGGATTTTCGGCTAATTAACCTACTCTTCATAAAAAAGCAGTAGGGAAATGCTTGCTAATGTTTAAGCCATAAGATACACAAAAATGCAGGCAATATTTCATCGTGACACCCAGGAGACCCATGTGTGACACAATATAGAGTCTGTGTGTATCTCACTCTCCACAGGAACTAATTTTGAAGCACCAGAATGCTGTGAATTGGCTGTAAAACAATGTTGAAGAAACTCAACATAGAACAGAAGGCACACTTTCCTTAGGAAGAATGCTGATAAAATTTTAATGAACTAACATGTTGTCATGGGGATTTGTTGCTATTCATTAATTCATTGTGCTGTTCCTCTATAGTTTTGCTGAAGTTGACTGACAAATTGTCAAGTCGCGGTTCTGGTGGTTTACACTACCTCATTGATAGCCTAAATTTAGGGGGTAAATTCTTCTAGAGACTTACCCCATTGCATTTGGGGTAACACATTTTTCGCACTATGTGTGCTCAATTGTATTTCAAATGAAACTCCATCTCTAGAGTAGGCCTTTGACTCTGCAAAACAGTGGAAATAATCACAGAATGATTGACAGCTCTGGTCACAGATGGGGACTACCATAGAAGCCAGGGCTGGGGAAGGCTCTACCATAAATAGTCAACTGGCCTCCTATGAATTAGGATAAAATTCTCAGTGGAAAAGAGTAATTTAATCATAAAAATCATAGAATGCCAGAAGCTTGCAGGGACCTCAAAATCTGTCTAACTCTTTCGTTTTGCAAATAAGAAAATGGATGACACCCAGAGAGGTGAAGATTTATAAAGGATATGAGTGGCAAAACAAGGATCAGAAACTCAGTATATTGGCTTATTTTCTTGTCATTATGCCTCCCTGGATTTCTTCTCTTGTTCTTTTCACTTCTAACGGATTTCATACTTTCCCCCTGAAATTAGCCCTAATCACAGAATAACATGAAACAATATCCCTGGGGTTTAGGAACATAGCCATGGTTGGCCAATCATAAGCTCGCATGTTATCTTTTAAATGCACACGAATTTTATGCTATAAATGATCCATGTTTGTATTAATAGAATTTTTCCAAATCTTTGAGTAAAATGATGCTCTAGGAAAATTTAGCAAACTTGCCCAATACTTTATATACCTCCAGGCACTGCTGCATACCCAGATTGTGATAAGCAAATAAAGATCACTGGCAAAAAGCACAATCAGAGCAAGAAATATGAGGGATCCCCCTATCATAGTGATCATTAAACAATATTGATGGGGCTTGATACCTACTTCTGTGCCTTGATGGGGGCCAGCTGAAAGGAAAAGCATAGGTTGTTCTGCTCTGTGGTGGCTATGGCATTGAGAAGCAGCCAGAGGTGAAAAGTCCCACAACCTGGCACAAAATATTCATGTCGTATTTGCAGAGACAGCCAAAGATCAGTGGATAGAAGGTTTGATTGTTGTTGTTGTTTTCTTTTTTTCCTTTTTAAATCCTATTCTCCCTACTGCCAAACGTTTGAGGATATTAGTTTCAAATCAACTTATTGATTGCCCACTTTTGCAGAACACTGAGAGGATTCTAATTTATAATATGCAAATACTCTAAATGCCCAAAGCAAGGTGCTAAACAGTAAACCAACAAAAAATCCTTTCTCATTATTAAACTCCAACAGCTTCATTTTACATCCTAAATCATTGCTACTCAAAAGCATGGCCATTGCATCATAAGTATCACCTCGGATCTGCTAGAAACATGGAATTTCAAGTCCCACCTCAGACTTAGCAAATCAGAATCTGCCTTTTAATAAGATCCCCAGATGATACATATGCACATGAAAGTTTGAGAAGCTTTGGGCTACCTTACATAATACCAACATAGTATCCTAACATTTATGCTAATAACACACATAACACAACCCAAATAGAGATACTTACTGGTACTTTACCTTTATGTTGTTCCCAACAGGCAAGAATAATTACTGGTAAATTTAACTGTGCTTTTTTTAAAAAAAAAAAAAAGAACCTTTTTATTGATATATCTAAAAGCTTGTTTAACTATGTACATAATGAAAACAATTGCTATCCTTCCTCCCAAGAAATGCAAAGCTTGTAAAATCTCAATACATTTTTATTTACTAATGGCTATATCCAAATAATAGCAACAGCAAAATTCACTGGGGGTTCTGTAATGGGCCAGGCACTGTACTGTATAGATTGTGCACACTATTCAATTGAGCATTCTCCACAACCCAAACATGTGGACAATAATATCACCTTCGTTTTACAGAAAGATAAATTAAAGCATATAAGTAGTCTGTCTAGGAACTAACAGTTAGTATGAAGTAAAAGTGAGATCAGAACCCACAAAAATGGGACCTGTCACCCACCACACTAGTTTTGATTAGGCTATTAGCACTGCAAAAAAAAAATAGCGTAAACCCAACACAAATATATCTCACTCTAGGATTAGTCTTCAGATAGGACATGTTTTTATTTTGTGGAATACCTATTGACTACTAATTACATACCTGCCATACATGTAACAGCCTAAAAAAAAAGCAGTTAGAACTATATTTAGCAGCTAAGATAATTTCTTAAGCTAATAATTAACCTTAAAAAAAGATTTGAAGTCCTTTTAGATGAGCAAAATAATTGACACTTTGACTAATTTTACTTGAAAGAATCCATCTAAAATAAAAATTAGAAATAAATAATAAATAAATCAGAAACAGGAGCTATTTTTCACAGTAATCTTATGCCTTTTCAAAATTAACCTAATACAAAATCCAGCATTATAGTATTATGTAAGCAAATTATATATATCATACATTAAAATGTTACAATGTCATTAAAATTATAATTGCAAACAATTTTCTATAAGAATATATTCCTTAAATTTAAAAAGCTGGATACAAAATGATATCTCTTCTATATACAGAGAGAGAATGAGAGAGAAAATGTGAAAATACATCAGAATATGTAAATATATATTTTATATATATAATACATATCCAAAGAAAATATACCACATTCTAAATTTAATTATATATGATGATTTGTGTTATATTTAGATTTTCCTTTTTTTATATATTTTGGACTATTAACCAAAATAAATATGTATTACTTTACAAGTTACTTTATAATTTCTCAAACCAGGGAAACTATGTTCTTTATTCATTAAATTTCAAGACCCAGTGTATTTATTGGAATTTCATAAAATACATTTAAATTTCAAACTTTTTGGTCTTTACAGAGCAAGGATTTTGGTTTATTCAGCATTTTCCTGAGTAAACACATGCAAGTAAAAAGTCTCATTGGACTATAACCAACAAGTGCTTATTTGAAGATCCCAGGGTTGATTTGTTAATTATAGACTTCCATTTAGTTTATGTATATAGCAGATATTTGAATTGGTACACACTTGAAGCACAGAGAGATTATGAACTAAAGCAAAATACAGTCCTATATGGATTTTAGCTGATGTCGCTTGAGAGTTCCACTGAGCCACATTCAACAGTAGTTACAGATTTAAAGATTTATCATTTTCTCATTTTAAGATGAATACCATTATCACTTAAAAGTCCCTTTTATTTCATTCATTAAACTCTATTAAAATCATAGATTGTTCAGAAGCAATTTTTCTTTGAAATTCTTGATTTTGAAAGCATTTTTTATCATTGAGAAGACACAATTCCCTCCCCAGATTTGTGTCAGTTTCCCTCTAACTGGGACTCCTAGTAACTTTAAAAATTATTCCATGAGCAGCACACAAACAGTCCCCACCCAGGTGCATTATTTATTTTTTTCCTAAAGATCTACAGTAAACATAAGACAAATGAAAAAAAAATCACTATCAAATTAAGTTCAGGTGACCTAGCCATTTTTAGCATAGAGTTATATTCCAGAACCTCAGGTTAGCAAAACTCACATAGGCAGTCGAATCTTTGCTTTTCAAATTTAGACACAAAAGAATCTCCAAAGCAATGGATGACATTTTATCATGTGATTCCCAATAATTAATTTGTTATGGGCCCACATAAATAAAATAAATGCTGAGTGATACATTGACTTCTGTTATCGAAAGCATCTCCCTTCTCACTCCTGCCTCTCTGGCTCCTGACATTATTTCTTGGTTATTGGTTGACAGTTCAGTGCCTTGAGTGTTGCTCTCGCTGTAGGGTTAGCAGGATAATTGACAAACCACAGGGATTGAATCCCTGGATTAGGATGACCGGACTGTCAAAACAACCATGACAAACTCTCACATCAACTTCGACTGCAAGTCAAAGCTGTGAGGGAAAAATTCACCTTGGCAGGGCCAGATGGGAAGTCTTTAGTTTAAAATATTTCCCACTACAAAATGTATTTCAGCAAGAAAGAGGAACAATATAAGAGTTTTTAAAGTACAATTCATAGAGAAATACTTCAATACAGTCCCTATTAATTAGAGCATTTATTATAAATAAACATCCCGGAGTCTTATTTCATTTACCTAATATGTCTTTTGAATTTCATAAAACATATTTAACTTTTGTTAGAAAATTGACATATGTTTAGGAGAACTCTATCTGTATTGTTAGAATGTTTATGAAATATTATGTATGTATTGGTTATGTATGTACACAAAGGGAAGTGTGTTAAATATCCAGTTTTATGCTTTATGTATAATTTTGTTTAAAAATATATTGTAAATTTTAAGTCAAATTGATGCATAAATGTAATTCATATTAATAAGCAACATGCCACAAGTTGTGATTAGCAAATAGGGAGCTATATACATTGCCATCTCAAGCAACACAGTTAAAAAATATTTGAAAAACTCTAAGTAAATTTGCTACTTTCAACATTGTCTCTAGACTTTCAGATTCCTATCATAGATCTTTGAAATGACAGCTCAAGTGACATCTGTTTATAATGCAGGCGTATTCTCTGTATGAAAACATAGATTGCAAACCGTTAAAGGGAAATTAAAATGCAAATACAAAAAAGAGTTATTTACTTAGTTCTGTGCCAGCTAACACATGGGATATGGACACCTAGGATTAGAAAGATCCAATTATTTTTAAAATATAAAACTTAAAGAACTTATTCATGCACCACTTGGGTCTTGGAATATGATCAAAATAGTTTTGGAATAGTTAATCAGTATTTTTCCATCAGAGTCAAATTTTTCACAACATTGAAAAGAAAGAGCAAGAAGCAACAGTGAATATTATTTACTGACAGACACTTCAGCTTAACAAATGCTGAAATGTTAAAAAACAAGGATTGGAATAAGAAAACGTTAAACTATCAATTTTTATCTTAGAAAACTGATAGTTTTTGAAAGTTTCATTAACATCTGTGAAGAAAAAAATAAAACAAAATGTTGTTAGCCTCAACAAATTCAGTCTTATTTTCCTAGTACTATGCGTCAAAATATCATTCTGGGAAAAAAAACTGTAAATACTCTCATATTTTCATGCATATTTTGCTTGTTTAAACAAAGAGGATATAGATTTGGAAGAAATAATGCAAGTGGGATATTCCAAAGGATACAGGAAATTTTCAGAAGCTTACTATTATAAGATGATAAATGCCAATATAAAGAAAAAGAAATAATGAACAATCAGAAAAATTATTTCACATGCTAAAGCAACTCATATATTCTTACATGTCAAAGTGATCTTGTCCACTGTTAGTTAAAAAGAAACGTATTGCATATAAATAAATTTAATCTTGATATCACCATGAATTAGGCAGGACAGGTATTAATGCCATTCCTTTAAAATTGAAAGGATAAATGATATCTCTATGCCACAGAGTCAGGACTTGAACCCACCTTGAGAAACATGCTTAGCTCCTTTTCCTATAACATATTAAAGAATGTTCCCCCACACATGAAAGGAGAAATAACAGTCTTTTATATTGCTGTTTTTCTATTTGCAGTGATGGCTTTTGTTCCATATATGAGCCATATTAGAAACAGTAATTTACAGTAAATTATCAGAAAGCCAAATTCCCTCTATTCTACTTGGAATAAAGGCATAAGTCACATTATTTGGTGGCAATAATAGTGAATTTAAAGAATATACCAAAAATTACTTATGGCTATAATCTTTGTAATGCACGTAAGAAAGCAATTACTATATCATTCCATTCTGCATACTGCTGCCTCCCATTTTACAGAGGAGCAATAGAAGCTTCAAACTTGTTCAAGATTATTCCAAGGTTACATAATTAGAATGGGGATAAACCATGAGGAGCCTTCTTTCTATTAAATCAGTCTACTCATCTATGAAATTCACAACATTTTTCACCATTATCATGTTATCCCACATTACCATTACCATACTAGTGGCTAAGATGGAGTTCAAAACGTTTAAGATATTGTGCTAATAGAGATCCTAGACTTTGATTTAGGTACTCCTCACTCTTGAGAGGACTGTATTTTAACTATTCAAGAATAATTAAGCAGTTGTTCAGCTTGTCACATTCTTGAGTACCCACTCATACTTACAGTGCACATTTGCTTCTTCCTAGCAAGTGCCTGAAACCAAGTAAATGTTCAACAAAGCTTACTTTTCCTTCTTTGCTTTTCTTAGTTATATTCTTGGAAAATTTTTTCTACATTATGAAAATCTTAGTAAGAAAGACTTAGAAATTTAAAAATCATGAGTTACCAAAGAATATATCAAGTTGAAGTCAAGTTATACCAAAGCATAAAATCCATGATGACATGGCTATTTTATTCTCTAGTTGGCAAAAAACTGATTCCATTAGAAGGAGGCTTTTGATGTCTGTGGATTGTCAATGAAATTGTCTATGCTGAGCAACACAGCCTTTTCAAAAAAAAGTACAAAACTTATAATTCAAAGTAACATATCATGAATATGGCACTAATGATGACAACAAAGAAATAATTCTAAATGGCTTAGATAACAAAACAGGAACTTTTTTATTTTGCTACAGAAAAAAAAAAAAAAAAAAAAAAAAAAAAACCTTTTTCACCTACTTATCTGTCCCTGATCCTGAACTGCAATACTTTCAGGAGGAGAAAAGATTGGAAAGGGGAAGAAACCTGTTGTAGAAAACGATCAAACAATAGAGGTACAAGGATATCCATAAAAAGAGAGAAAATAGAAAATAATTGCAGATTTAAATCTACAAAAGGACCCTGAAGAACAAGATCGATCCTTAAAGTTGAAATAACAAAAATTGAAAGTGATCGAATAACTCCTATACATTCAGCATTTGTAACAAATATTGACCTGGTAGGATCCAGGCATCTGGATTTGTTTCTTAGCACCTCCCCGGGAAGGCTGGAAAGAAAACACGGAGAAATAGAACTCCAGTATGGCGGAAAATGCAGGCATTCAAGGGAGAGTTGTGAGAATGGCCCACGTCATCGCCATCACCTCTCCTCTTCTTCATTTCTACTGCCTGTTCTTTCGACTTCCTCCAGTGAAGTGCTAAAGAAAGGGAAGAGGAAAGGGGTGAGGGTGGGACAGGTAAAGATGGAATGTGAAACTACAGGAGCACTTAGAATAATTGGCTTCTCATAGTCCTACAGAGAATTTATACACTGTAAACTTGTATATCATATTTAGATAAATATACACTTATATACATATATGAACACATATATGTATTACACACATGCATGTCCCTTTTAGTTAGAGAAAATATTTCACTCAAATATTACCATTAACACTTATGGATACATGTACCCTTGGGTGCAAAACAAATGTTACCAAGGCAGTTATACATATAACACATTAGAATTTCTCAAGTTGATTTTGTGTGTGTATTTTCAAAAGAGTCCTAGGCAAAAATTCAAATAAGCTTCAACTTTTACAGCCTGGGAACCAATATAGAGTCAGAAAGTTAGCTCTAAAATGCCTGAGGGGGCAAATAGTTGTTTAATGAGGACAAATGGAATAAAATTAAAATGCAGCCTAATAAAATAACCTCTAAATGTAATGTTAGCTCAGTCATGTGTCTCCAATAATATTTTTGCTCAAAGGTACATGAACGTAATCTTAGCAAAATAAAAATATAAAATGAAAGAGAAGAAGAACAGCAGAGAATCCGTAGCCATCACGATATAGAAATAAGGAGAGGGTAGAAACATATAAATAAGATTATAAAAATAAGATTTTTATTATGCTGTCTCCTCCACCCCACAATAAAAGTTTCTCATGAAAACTCATGATGCTTAAGATCTAGAAGGGGTCTGGGTATAAGCCTCAGATGGGAAGACTGTAACTCTCATTTGCGAAGAGAGCTTCAATACAGAATTTTTTTAATGGTTCGTTAGCTTCAAGCTTATTAAAATTCTAAAGACCAAGTCCCTACAATTATTATTTGATTTTAATTAGTTGAGATATGCACAGACTAGGCCCCAGTAGTCTTTAAATGTCACTGAGTTTCCCAGAAGGCCAAGAGTCTCTCACCATCTTCCAGTTCAGTCTAAACTGGCCGCTGGCAAACCAAGAAAAAGCCCAGAAAAATCAAAGAATTCAAGAAACCCTGGTCACTCACATTAATCAACATTTAGACCTGTTAAGTATCTCTTTAACTCATATTACCTAATTACTTTTAAAGAAAGACATGCTAATAGCTCCATAAATAGTCATTACAATATGGGACGTGTGGTCTGGGGGCTAAGCCCAGCCTCTCTGCCATAGTCAATTGATGAGACAATCTACAGAGAAAAGCCCATGTCTTTCTTTAACTCTCAGCCCGTATATTAGCCTGGGTCTTTCAACGCACACTGAAAAGACTTCATGAGACCAGGGCTGACATGTCTTGCCTGTTCAACACATCCATTACACATCCATGCCGTAACCCAGTGGTGCTGATGCTGTAGTCCTGTTTGATGGTGCAGTCCTGGGATAGTGTCCAGGCCCTCTCCTAGATCTACCAGGTATAGCTTCTCCTCCTAGCAACTTTTGCCTATTAATACCAAAGCTATTTCCTGACCACAGAAGATAGCACATATGTAATACACTTCTCTGAGATGTATGTGTGAACCCAGCATTGAACAGTTTCCTATTGTGTTACCCAAACCCCAAGTAGCCACTCACCAATATGAATGAAATTAGACTTTATATGTTCACCTGGATAGATTTCAAAATTATTTTCAAGCAAATAAACAAATCACCATGGTATAATTACATATATAAAAATGAATCAATAAAAATTAAAACCCAGAGAAAGAGAGGGGAATGGGGCTAGAAAAGACATACAGGAAGATTCCAACAAACCTGCATTATTTATTTTTTTAAAGATCAAGGCTGGGCACGGTGGCTCACACCTGTAATCCCAGCACTTTGGGAAGCCGAGGCAGATGGATGACCTGAGGTCAGGAGTTCTCAACAAGCCTAGCCAACATGGTGAAACCCCGTCTCTACGAAAAATACAAAAAATTAGCCGAGCGTGGTGGCACGCACCTGTAATCCCACATACTCGGGAGGCTGAGGCAGGAGAATCACTTGAACCTGGGAGGCAGAGGTTGCAGTGAGCCGAGATTGCACCACTGCACTCCAGCCTGGGCAACAAGAGCTAAACTCCATCTAAAAACAACAACAAAAAAAATTTCTTCTGGGGAAGATGGAGTTACTTTTCCCTATTCCTCTTGCTAAGTACAACTGAAAACCTTTGGCATTGCAGGTAAGGGAATATAAGGCAAACATAAGACGACTCTCAATGAGAAAGAGAAAAAGGCAGACTAGCTAGGGACTTCAGGACCCCAAAATAGACAACGTGGTAAGATCTATGTGTTTTCTATTCACCTCATATATTCCAAACATGGTGCTGAAGATGCTGGCAACTTAGAAATGCCAAATAATGCAGACCAAAAAAAAAAAAAAAAAAAAAAAAAAAAGGCCCAGAAAAAGCATGCTCTCCATAGCCAAAGGACCAGAAATGGGGCAGCCTAGCATAAGAGAAAACATTATCTCATAAACCACTGTACTGTATCTGAACACCATGGAAGAAAATCTAAATTTGTTCCCACTTGTGCCAGCAAAGGCTAAATGGAGAGCCTAGGGTATAATGAAATATACAAATTCCCTCCATCTACCACCCGAAACCCAACCCCAACAGTGTGATGGTATCAGGGAAGACTGAGTAGAAAGCCAGGACTTTCATCCATGCTGAGCCACAAAGAGGCTCCTCACCTCAGAGTTTCAGTGGAGACCAAGTGGGGATTCTGGAGTTTACCCTCCATCTGATAATAATTAGGCACCCACCCTCACTGTTGGAGTGGTGTGAAAAGAGGCCTAGTAAAAGGTCAAGATTTCACCACTACTCAGCACTAACAAAGCTAACCTCTGTAGTATCAGCAGAACCACATGGTGAGTAATAAGAGACAATCCTATCCCGCTCAGCTCAGAGGTAACAGTGGAGGCCTAGTGGGCAGTCAAAACTCTTCATCTGAGCCTGGAGTCAAAGGGGGCCAAGTGGGAAAATTGGACTTCCATTCCTAAATGGCTGTAATGAGGTCACACCTTCCACCCTTACCTTGCCAGAATACTGTCAGTAGAAGCAAGCTAAAACAGTCAATTTAAATAAGATCCGGAGTCTTATTATACAACCTCTTTGTTTCACACAAAAGTCTTATCATATAAGGACTTTGTTTCAAACAAAAGCCACTTCTCATTCCAAGAACCAAGAAGATCTTATTTTGAATGAAAAAGACAATCACTAGATGCCAAAACCAGTATGACAGAGGCATAAAAATTATTGGACAAAGATTTTAAGCAACCATTATACGAATTCTTTAACAAGCAATTACTCATATAAATGAAACAAATGGGTAAAAAGAAAGTCTTATACAAACAAAAAGAAGTTATAAAGAATTAGATGGAAATTATGGAACTGAAAAATACAACATAATTTTTTTAAAAAAAGAATGGATTCTGCTTAACAGAGGAATGGCGCTGGAAGAGAAAATAATTAGTGATCTTAAAGACAGAACAATGAAAATTACCCAATCTGAACAACAGAGAGGAAACAGACTTTTTAAAAATAGAACAAAAGGAATAGGGCCTCTGGCACCTATGGAATTATAACAAAAGATTTAACATTTATGTCATATGGAGTACAAAAGAGGGCAAGAAGACAGGGGGAGAAGTACTTGAAGGAATAATGACTGTAAACCTCCAAAATTTGACAGAAGTCATAAACCTACAGACTGAGCAATCCTCCAACAAAATAAGCCCCCCAAAAAACCATACCAAGACACATCTTAGTCAAAATTCTCGAAACTAAAGACAAAAGAAAATAATCTTGAAAGCAGCAAGAGAAAAATGACACTTTAACTTTAGGTGAAAAGCTACTTAAATGGCAGTGGATTTCTAATTAGATATCATGAAGTCCAGAGGAAGTGAAACAATATTTTTAAATGCTGAAAGAAAAGAATTGTGAACTAAAATTTTATTATCTGAAAAGAATATCTGTCAGGAATGAAGCTAAATTAAGTCATACTCAGATGAAGGAAAAAAAACACCCTAATAGAAGTTCTCTAAGCAGAAAGAAAATGATAAAATCTTGGAGCATTAGAAAGGAAATAAGAACAATCAAAAGAGTAAAAATGTAATACATTTTATTTCTCCTCTTAAGTTTTGTACAATAGATTTAACGGTTAAACATATAACACTATCTGTTGTGACTTTAAATTATATAGGTAAAATATTTAAAGCACATTGTAAACAGGATAAGGTAAAGAAGAGTAAAAGATGGTAATGTTTCTAAACTTCAGTGGAAGTGGTGAAATGTCTATTCAAGTAGACTGTGGTAAGTTATGTACATTTAGTGTAATACCTAGAGCAAACAAATAAACTGAAACACTATAGATAAATCAAAATGGTATTCTAACAAATGTTCAAGCATACCACAGGAAGGCAGGAAAGTAAAAATAGAGAAAAGAAAAACAGATGAAACAAACAGAAAACAAAAAATAGAATGACAGATCTAAGTTCCAACATATTGACAACTATATTAAATGTAAATGATCTGAATATATTGACTAAAAGAGTGAATTTAAAAATATGACCCAACTGTGTGCAGTACATAAAATGTATACTTAAAGTAAAATGATACGGGTAGTTTGAAAGTAAAATAATAGAAAAATAAATATGCAAACATTAATCAAATAAAACAGCCAGTTGGCTGGTGGGGGGGGTCACACCTATAATCCTAGCACTTTGGGTTTTGGGAGGCCAAAACAGGAGGATCACTTGAGGCCAGGAGGTCGTGACCAGCCTTGGCAAATAGCAAGATCCTGTTTCTACAAAAAAATAAGAAAAAAAATTAGCCAGGCATGGTGGTACCTACCCATAGCCCTAGCTACTTAGGAGATTGAGGTGAGAGAATCACTTGAGCCCAGGAGTTTCAAGTAACAGTAAGCTATGGTCATGCCACTGCACTCTAGCCTGAGCTATAGAGCAAGACTCTGTCTCTAAAAGATAAATTAATTAAATAGAATAAGTAAAATAGGAGTGGCTTCTCCATAACAAAGAATTATATGACCCATAATATTTATAGTGACAAGACTAAAAAACCTAGAACAACTAAAAAAAATTGAGTATGGACTATATTGTACCAATGTTGAATATCCTGAATTTGATAATTTCCTGTGACTTCGTAAAAGAATGTAGTTGTTTCCAGAAAATACATATTAAAGTACTTAAGATTAAAGGAGTATGTCTCAACTTATCCACAAATGATTGGGAAAAAAAATACATATACATTTAGAAAGAATGAATAAATGATAATGCAATGGGGCAAAATGAAAACAAGTGAAAAATCTGAGTAAGGGAATACATATATTTTTATTATTTTTGTAATGTGAAATTATGTCAAAATACAAATTTAAATGAGAAAATATATAAGTGGCTATATAAACATCAGAAGAAAATAAGATTCAAAGCAAAAAATGTCAGACATAGAGAGGGGCATTACATAATGATAAAGGGTCAATTCACCAAGAAAACAAAGCCATTCCAATATACATGCTCCAAAAAACAGAGCTGCAATAAATATGAAGCAAAAACAGATAAAAGTCAAATGAGAAACAGAAAAATTCACAATTTTACTTGGAGACTTTAACATCCCATTCTGAACAATTGATAACAGCAGTTAAGATAGAATATCAGCAAGGACATAGACCTTAACAACACTGAACAATAGGATCTAATCAATAGTTATAGAACAGTACACCCAACAATAGCAGAATACACATTGTTTTCCCATTAATTGTGTGCTATAATAGTCCATATTCTAGGCCATAAAATAAACCTAAATACAGTTAAAGCAATTAAATTCATATGGAATGTACTCTCTGATCATAGGAGAATCAAACTAAAAATCAACAACACAAAAACAGGAAATATCTCTAAGAACTTGGTTGCTAAACAACATGCTTCTAAATAACCCATAGGTAAAACAGAAGGCCTAACTGAAAATCAAAAAATACACTGAGCTGAATAAAAATAAAAATACAACGTAGCAAAATGAGTGAGATACAATCAAAGCAATGCTGACAGTGAAATCTACAGCACTAAATGTTTATTTAAGAGCAAAGGAAAAGTCTCAAATCAATAATCTAAGCTCCCATCTTAAGAACCTAGAAGGGGGGTGGAGCAAAGATGGCTGAATAGGAACAGCTCCAGTCTACAGCTCCCAGCATGAGCGACGCAGAAGATGGGTGATATCTGCATTTCCAACTGAGGTACCAGATTCATCTCACTGGAGAGTGCCGGACAGTGGAGGCAGGACAGTGGGTGCAGCGCACCATGCGTGAGCTGAAGCAGGGTGAGGCAGAAGCGCAAGGGGTTAGAGAATTCCCTTTCCTAGTCAAAGAAAGGGGTGACAGATGGCACCTGGAAAATCAGGTCACTCCCACCCTAATACTGCACTTTTCCAACAGACTTAACAAACGGCACACCAGGAGATTATATCCCACACCTGGCTCGGAGGGTCCTATGCCCATGGAGCCTCGCTCATTGCTAGCACAGAAGTCTGAGATCAAACTGCCAGGTGGCAGCAAGGCTGGGAGAAGGGCGCCCACCATTGCCCAAGCTTGAGTAGATAAACAAAGCAGCTGGGAAGCTCAATCTGGGTGGAGCCCACCACAGCTCAAGGAGGCCTGCCTGCCTCTGTAGGCTTCACCTCTTGGGGCAGGACACAGACAAACAAAAGACAGCAATAACCTCTGCAGACTTAAATGTCCCTGTCTAACAGCTTTGAAGAGAGTAGTGGTTCTCCCAGGACACAGCTTGAGATCTGAGAATGGGCAGACTGCCTCTTAAAGTGGGTGCCTGACCCCCGAGTAGCCTAACTGGGAGGCAGCCTCCAGTAGGGTCGGACTGACACCTCACATGGCTGGGTACTCCTCTGAGACAAAACTTCCAGAGGAATGATCAGGCAGCAGCATATGCGGTTCACCAATATCTGCTGTTCTGCAGTCACAGCTACTGATACTCAGGCAAACAGGGTCTGGAGTGGGCCTCCAGTAAACTCCAACAGACCTGCAGCGGAGGGTCCTGACTGTCAGAAGGAAAACTAACAAACAGAAAGGACATCCACACCAAAAACCCATCTGTATGTCACCATCATCAAAGACCAAACAAGGATAAAACCACAAAGATAGGGAAAAAACAGAGCAGAAAAACCGGAAACTGTAAATATCAGAGCACCTCTCCTCCTCCAGAGGAACACAGCTCCTCACCAGCAACAGGACAAAGCTGGATGGAGAATGACTTCAACGAGTTGAGAGAAGGCTTCAGAAGATCAAACTACTCCGAGCTAAAGGAGGAAGTTCGAACCAATGGCAAAGAAGTTAAAAACGTTGAAAAAAAATTAGACAAATGGATAAAGAGAGAAGTCCTTAAAGGACCTGATGGAGCTGAAAACCACCGCATGAGAACTATGTGACAAATGCACAAGCCTCAGTAATCGATGTGATCAACTGGAAGAAAGGGTATCAGCAATGGAAGATGAAATGAATGAAATGAAGCATGAAGAGAAGTTTAGAGGGAAAAGAATAAAAAGAAATGAACAAAGCCTCCAAGAACTATGGGACTATGTGAAAAGACCACATCTACATCTGATTGATGTACCTGAAAGTGATGGGGAGAATGGAACCAAGTTGGAAAACACTTTGCAGGATATTATCCAGGAGAACTTCCCCAATCTAGCAAGACAGGCCAACATTCAAATTCAGGAAATGCAGAGAAAGCCACAAAGATACTCCTCGAGAAGAGCAACTCCAAGACACATAATTGTCAGATTCACCAAAGTTGAAATGAAGGAAAAAATGTTAAGGGCAGCCAGAGACAAAGGCCAGGTTACCCACAAAGGGAAGCCCATCAGACTAACAGCTGATCTCTTGGCAGAAACTCTACAAGCCAGAAGAGAGTGGGGGCCAATATTCAACATTCTTAAAGAAAAGAATTTTCAACCCAGAATTTCATATCCAGCCAAACTACGCTTCACAAGTGAAGGAGAAATAAAATCCTTTACAGACAAGCAAATGCTGAGAGATTTTGTCACCACCAGGCCTGCCCTAAAACAGCTCCTGAAAGAAGCACTAAACATGGAAAGGAACAACCGGTACCCGCCACTGCAAAAACATGCCAAATTGTAAAAACCATCAAGGCTAGGAAGAAACTGCATCAACTAATGAGCAAAATAACCAGCTAACATCATAATGACAGGAACAAATTCACACACAACAATACTAACCTTAAATGTAAATGGGATAAATACTCCAATTAAAAGGCACAGACTGGCAAATTGGATAAAGAGTCGAGACCCATCAGTGTGCTGTATTCAGGAAACCCATCTCATCTGCAGAGACACACATAGGCTCAAAATGAAGGGATGGAGGAAGAACTACCAAGCAAATGGAAAACAAAAAAAGGCAGGGGTTGCAAACTTAGTCTCTGATAAAACAGACTTTAAACCAACAAAGATCAAAAGAGACAAAGAAGGCCATTACATAATGGTAAAGGGATCAATTCAACAAGAAGAGCTAACTATCCTAAATATATATGCACCCAATACAGGAGCACCCAGATTCATAAAGCAAGTCCGTAGAGACCTACAAAGAGACTTAGACTCCCACACAATAATAATAGGAGACTTTAACACCCCACTGTCAACATTAGACAGATCAACGAGACAGAAAATGAACAAGGATATCCAGGAATTGAACACAGCTCTGCACCAAGCGGACCTAATAGACATCTACAGAACCCTCCACCCCAATTCAACAGAATACACATTCTTTTCAGCACCACACCACACCTATTCCAAAATTGACCACATAGTTGGAAGTAAAGCACTCCTCAGCAAATGTAAAAGAACAGAAATTATAACAAACTGTCTCTCAGACCACAGTGCAATCAAACTAGAACTCAGGATTAAGCAACTCGCTCAAAACCACTCAACTACATGGAAACTGAACAACCTGCTCCTGAATGACTAGTGGGTATATAATGAAATGAAGGCAGAAATAAAGATGTTCTTTGAAACCAATGAGAACAAAGACACAGCATACCGGAATCTCTGGGACACATTCAAAGCAGTGTGTAGAGGGAAATTTATAGCACTAAATGCCCACAAGAGAAAGCAGGAAAGATCTAAAATTGACACCCTAACATCACAATTAAAAGAACTAGAGAAGCAAGGGCAAACACATTCAAAACCTAGCAGAAGGCAAGAAATAGCTAAGATCAGAGCAGAACTGAAGGAAATAGAGACACAAAAACTCTTCAAAAAATCAGTGAATCCAGGAGCTGGTTTTCTGAAAAGATCAACAAAATTGATAGACTGCCAGCAAGACTAATAAAGAAGAAAAGAGAGAAGAATCAAATAGACGCAACGAAAAATGATAAAGGGGATATCACCACCGATCCCACAGAAATACAAACTACCATCAGAGAATACTATAAACACCTCTATGCAAATAAACTAGAAAATCTAGAAGAAATGGATAAATTCCCGGACACATACACCCTCCCAAGGCTAAACCAGGAAGAAGTTGAATCTCTGAATAGACCAATAACAGGCTCTGAAATTGAGGCAATAATTAAGAGCTTACCAACCAAAAAAAGGCCAGGACCAGATAGATTCACAGCCGAATTCTACCAGAGGTATAAGGAGGAACTGGTACCATTCCTTCTGAAACTATTCCAGTCAACAGAAAAAGAGGGAATCCTCCCTAACTCATTTTATGAGGCCAGCATCATCCTGATAGCAAAGCCTGGCAGAGACACAACCAAAAAAGAGAATTTTAGACCAATATCCTTGTTGAACATTGATGCAAAAATCCTCAATAAAATATTGGCAAATCGAATCCAGCAACACATCAAAAAGCTTATCCACCATGATCAAGTGGGCTTCATCCCTGGGATGCAAGGGTGGTTCAACATATGAAAATCAATAAACATAATCCAGCATATAAACAGAACCAAAGACCAAAACCACATGATTATCTCAATAGATGCAGAAAAGGCCTTTGACAAAATTCAACAACCCTTCATGCTAAAAACTCTCAATAAATTAGGTATTGATGGGACATATCTCAAAATAAAAGGAGCTATCTATGACAAACCCACAGCCAATATCATACTGAATGGACAAAAACTGGAAGCATTCCCTTTGAAAACTGGCACAAGACAGGGATGCCCTCTCTCACCACTCCTATTCAACATAGTATTGGAAGTTCTGGCCAGGGCAGTCAGGCAGGAGAAGGAAATAAAGGGCATTCAGTTAGGAAAAGAGGAAGTCAAATTGTCCCTGTTTGCAGATGACATGATTGTATATCTAGAAAACTCCATCGTCTCAGCCCAAAATCTCCTTAAGCTGATAAGCAACTTCAGCAAAGTCTCAGAATATGAAATCAATGTGCAAAAATCACAAGCATTCATATACACCAGTAACAGACAGAGAGCCAAATCATGAGTGCACTCCCATTCACAATGGCTTCAAAGAGAATAAAATACCTAGGAATCCAACTTATAAGGGGTGTGAAGGACCTCTTCAAGGCAAACTACAAACCACTGCTCAATGAAGTAAAAGAGGATAAAACAAATGGAAGAACATTCCATGCTCATGGATAGGAAGAATCAATATCGTGAAAATGGCCATACTGCCCAAGGTAATTTATAGATTCAATGCCATCCCCATCAAGCTACCAATGACTTTCTTCACAGAATTGGAAAAACTAATTTAAAGTTCATATGGAACCAAAAAAGAGCCCACATTGCCAAGACAATCCTAAGCAAAAAGGAGAAAGCTGGAGGCATCACGCTACCTGACTTCAAACTACACTATAAGGCTACAGCAACCAAAATAGCATAGTACTGGTACCAAAACAGACATATAGGCCAATGGAACAGAACAGAAGTCTCAGAAGTAACACCATACATCTACAACCATCTGATCTTTGACAAAGCTGACAAAAACAAGAAATGGGGAAAGGATTCCCTATTTAATAAATGGTTTGGGAAAACTGGCTAGCCATATATAGAAAGCTGAAACTGGATCCCTTCCTTACACCTTATACAAAAATTAATTTAAGATGGATTAAAGACTTAAGTGTTATACCTAAAACCATGAAAACCCTAGAAGAAAACCTAGGCAATACCATTCAGGACATAGGCATGGGCAAGGACTTCATGTCTAAAACACCAAAAGCAATGGCAACAAAAGCCAAAATTGACAAATGGGATCTAATTAAACTAAAGAGCTTCTGCACAGCAAAAGAAACTACCATCAGAGTGAACAGGCAACTTACAGAATGGGAGAAAAATTTTACAACCTACTCATCTGACAAAGGGCTAATATCCAGAATCTACAAAGAACTCAAACAAATTTATAAGAAAAAAACAACCCCATCAAAAAGTGGGTGAAGGATATGAACAGACACTTCTCAAAAGAAGACATTCATGCAGCCAAAAAACACATGAAAAAATGCTCACCATCACTGGCCATCAGAGAAATGCAAATCAAAACCACAATGAGATACCATCTCACACCAGTTAGAATGGCAATCATTAAAAAGTCAGGAAACAACAGATGCTGGAGAGGATGTGGAGAAATAGGAACACTTTTACACTGTTGGTGGGAATGTAAACTAGTTCAACCATTGTGGAAGTCAGTGTGACGATTCCTCAGGGATCTAGAACTAGAAATACCATTTGACCCAGCCATCCCATTAGTGGGTATATACCCAAAGGACTATAAATCATGCTGCTATAAAGACACATGCACACGTATGTTTACTGCGGCACTATTCACAATAGCAAAGACTTGGAACCAACCCAAATATCCAACAATGATAGACTGGATTAAGAAAATGTGGCACATATACCCCCATGGAGTACTATGCAACCTTAAAAAATGATGAGTTCATGTGCTTTGTAGGGACATGGATAAAATTGGAAATCATCATTCTCAGCAAACTATCGCAAGGACAAAAAGCAAACACCACATGTTCTCATTCATAGGTGGGAATTGAACAATTAGAACACATGGACACAGGGAGGGGAACATCACACACCGGGGACTGTTGTGGAGTGGGGGGAGGGGGGAGGGATAGCATTAGGAGATATACCTAATGCTAAATGACGAGTTAATGGGTGCAGCACACCAACATGGCACATATATACGTATGAAACAAATCTGCACATTGTGCACATGTACCCTAAAACTTAAAGTATAATAATAATAATAATGTCACTCATTATAACATTAAAAAAAGAACCTAGAAAAAAAAGAAAAAAAAACCCAAAGCAGGTAGAGTGAATAAAATAATAAAGATAAATGCAGAAAACAAAGCAATGGAAAAAATAACAGCAATAGAGAAAGTCAATGAAATGAAGGCCTAGATCTTTAAAAGGATTAATAAAATTAACAAACATGTAGGAAGACAAGAAAAGAGAGAACCTAAAAATTACCAATATCCAGGAATGAAACAGTTCCTGCAGATATCAAAAGGGAAATAAGAGAGCATAATAGACAAGTCTATACACGTAAATTTGACAATTTAGAGGAAAAGTACCAATTTCTCAAAAAGCACAAAGTACTACAACTCCTCCAATGTGAACAAAATAATTTGATAGGCTAGCAACTATTAAGAAAATTAAATTCGTAATTTAAAAATTCCCCAGAAAGAAATCTACAGTTAAAAATGATGTCACTGGAAAAGTCTACCAAACATCTAAAGAATTAACACTAATTCTATGTAATCTCTTCCAGAAAACAGAAGAAGGGGAACATTTCCAAATTTATTTAGCAAGCTAGTGTTATCCTAATATCAACATTAGGCAAACACAGAAGAAAGGGAAAAAAGAAGAGAGATAAGAGAGGGAGGAAAGAGACAGAGAAGGAACAGGGAGGGAAGGAAGGGAGGGAGGGAGGCAGGGCAAGACTACAGAACAATGGTGTTCATAAATGTAAATATAAAGTTTTTAGCAGAATATTACCAAATAGAATTCAGCAATACACTTTTAAAAACCATACATTATGACCAAGTGCACTTTATTCTAAGGATTCCAGGCAGGTTCAATGTTCAAAAATCAATTAATGTAGTCCACCATACTAACAGGGTAACAAAAATCACATGATTATATGAATCCACGCAGAAAAACAAAAAGAAAAAGGGGGCAAAAAAAACCCAATTTATATTTTAAAAAAAAACTCTCAGAAAATACGAGTAAAAGGGAAATTATTCAACTCGATAAGAAGAATCTACAACAAATCTACAATTAACATCATACTTAATGTTGAAAAACTGAATTATTTCTCCCTAAGGTTTGTAATAACTCAAGGATACCCATTCTCATTATTCTTTTTTTTTTTTTTTTTTTTTTTTTTTTTTTTTTTTTTGAGACGGAGTCTCGCTCTGTCGCCCAGGCTGGAGTGCAGTGGCAGGATCTCGGCTCACTGCAAGCTCCGCCTCCCGGGTTCACGCCATTCTCCTGCCTCAGCCTCCCAAGTAGCTGGGACTACAGGCGCCCGCCACTACGCCCGGCTAATTTTTTGTATTTTTAGTAGAGACGGGGTTTCACCGTTTTAGCCGGGATGGTCTCGATCTCCTGACCTCGTGATCCGCCCGCCTCGGCCTCCCAAAGTGCTGGGATTACAGGCGTGAGCCACCGCGCCCGGCCCTCATTATTCTTATTCAACATATTGCCAGAAGTTCTAGCCAGCACAATAAGACAAGAAAAAAAAAGGTAAACAGATTAAAGAAGGAAAAATAAAACTATCCCTGTTTGTACATGACATCATTGTCTAAATATAAAATATCAAGGCATCTATGAAAATATCCCCAGAACTAATAAATGAGTTAAACAATGTCACAGGATATAAAATAAATGTACAAAAATCAATTACATTTCTATATAGCAGCAATCAACATGTGGACAGCAAACTAAAAATACAGTGCCATTTACAATCACTCAAAATATTAAACACAGTGATAAATTGAATAAAACATATACACAGTTGTATGCTGAAAGCTACAAAATTTTGATGGAAGAAATCTATGACAAAGATCTAAATAGAGTGTGTTCATATATCAGAATACTCAACATAATAAGATACCAATTGTCCTCAAATTGATATACAGTTTTAACACAATTACTATCAAAATCCCAGCAAATTTTTTTGTAGATACATACAAGATTATTCTAAAATGTATATGGAAAATCAAAAGAGCCTTAGTAGATAAAATAACTTCAAAAAACAGGAATACAGTGGGAAGAATGGAATTATCTGCCTTTGAGAATTATAGTATAACTACTGCAATCAAGTGGAGGTACAAACACATAGATCTGTGTGGAACAGAATAGAGAATATAGAATTAGAGCCACACAAATATACCCAACTACTGCTTGACAAAGGTGCAAAAGTTATTTAATGGGAGGAATAGTGTTTTCAACAGGAGGGGCTAGAGCAATTGGATATTCATAGGTGGCACACACAAAAAATCTCTAGCTGAACTTCAAACTAAAACTTTTATAACAAAAAAAAAACAAAAAAGGAGAAAGAAAATCTAAAATCATCTAGAGATCATCTAGGGGTAGGCAAATATTTCTTAGACTTCACACCAAAAGCATGACCCATAAAATAAAAATATTGATAAATTGTACTTTACCAAAGTTTAAAATATTTTTGTCTGTGAAAAGTCATGTAAAAAGGATAAAAATGGAAGCTATAGACTGGCATAAAAGATTTTCAAGTCATATAGCCAATAAAAGGCTAGTATCTAAAATATATTTAAAAACTCTCAAACAACATTTAAAAAATCAAATTATCAAATGGGCAAAAGATATAAACAGACTTTTCACGGGGGAAGATATACAGACATTTATTTTCATAAGCTATTAGGGAAATGCAAATAAAAAATACAATGAAATATCACTATATACCTATCAGAATGCTTAAAATTTAAAAAGTGACGGCACCAATGATGCAAACAAAACAGATCATTCAAAAAATGCTCATGGAAACTAAAATGGTATAGCTACTCTGAAAACAGTTTGGCAGTATCTTTAAAAACATTGTTTTTGTTTGTTTGTTTTGGGAAACAAGAAAACAAAACAAACTACCCTCCAACCCAATTGCACTCCTGGGCAACTGCTCTGCAGAAATGAGAATTTAAGTTCAAACAAAAAAGCTGTACACAAACATTCGTAGTTGCTTTATCCCTAATAGGCAAAAATTGAAAACAACTCAAATGTTTGAATGATTAAACAAACTCTAATACGTCCATTCCACGGGGTACTGCTCTGCAAAAAACAACAAACTACAGAAACAGACAACACCTTTGATGAAGAGCTGGAGAATTATGCTGAGGTTTTAAAAAGCCAATCCTAAAGGGTTGCATATTATACAATTCCATTTATATAATATACATGAGATTAAAAATTACAAGGAGACAGATTAGTGGTTGCCAGAGGTTTAGAATGAGGAAGGGATGGGTGGGGCTAAAGTAGGTGAGGCTATAAAAGGACAACTTGAGGGATACCGTGGTAATAGAAATGTTCTGTAAAGAGGCAGAAAAGGCCTTCGACAAAATACAACAGCAGCTTCATGCTAAAAACGAACAATAAACTAGGTATTGATGGAATGTATGTCAAAATAATAAGAGGTATTTATGACAAACCCACAGCCAATATCATACTGAATGGGCAAAAACTGGAAGCATTCCCTTTGAAAACTGGCACAAGACAAGGATGCCCTCTCTCACCGCTTCTATTCAACATAGTATTGGAAGTTCTGGCCAGGGCACTTAGGCAAGAGAAAGAAATAAAGGGTATTCATTTAGGAAAACAGGAAGTCAAATTGTCCCTGTTTGCAGATGACATGATTGTTTATTTAGAAAACCCCATCGTCTCATCCCAAAATCTCCTTAAGCTGATAAGCAACTTCAGCAAAGTCTCAGGATACAATATCAATGTGCAAAAATCACAAGCATTCCTATACACCAATAACAGACAGAGAGCCAAATCATGAGTGAACTCCCATTCACAATTGTTACAAAGAGAACAAAATACCTAGGAATCCAACTTACAAGGGATGTGAAGGACCTCTTCAAGGAGAACTACAAACCACTGCTCAAGGAAATAAGAGAGAACACAAACAAATGGAAAAACATTCCATGCTCGTGGATAGGAAGACTCAATATCATGAAAATGGCCATACTGCCCAAAGTAATTTATAGATTCAATAGTATTCCCATCAAGCTATCATTGACTTTCTTCACAGAATTGGAGAAAAGCTACTTTAAATTTCATGTGGAACCAAAAAAGAGCCCACATAGCCAAGACAATCCTAAGCAAAAAGAAAAAAGCTGGAGGCATCATGCTATCTTACTTCAAACTATACTACGAGGCTGCAATAACCAAAACAGTGTGGTACTGGTATCAAAACAGTTATATAGACCAATGGAACAGAACAGAGTCCTCAGAAATAACACCACCCATCTATAACCATCTGATTTTTGACAAACCTGACAAAAACAAGTAATGGGGAAAGGATTTCCTATTTAATAAATGGTGTTGGGAAAACTGGCTAGCCATATGCTGAAAGCTGAAACTGGATCCCTTCCTTACACCTTATAAAAAATTAACTCAAGATGGATTAAAGACTTAAATGTAAGATCTAAAACCATAAAAACCCATAAGAAAACCTAGACAATATCAATCAGGACAAAGTCATGGACAAAGACTTCATGACTAACACACCAAAAGCAATGGCAACAAAAGCCAAAACTGACAAATGGGATCTAATTAAAGAGCTTCTGTACAGCAAAAGAAACTACCATCAGAGTGAACAGACAACCTACAGAATGAGAGAAATTTTTTGCAACCTACTTCATGACTAAAACACCAAAAGCAATAGCAACAAAAGCCAAAATTGACAAATGGGATCTAATTAAAGAGCTTCTGCACAGCAAAAGAAACCACCATCAGAGTGAACAGGCAACCTACAGAATGAGAGAAATTTTTTGCAATCTACCCATCTGACAAAGGGCTAATTTCCAGAATCTACAAAGAACTCAAACAAATTTACAAGAAAAAAACAACCCCATCAAAAAGTGAGCAAAGGATATGAACAGACACTTCTCAAAAGAAGACATTTATGCAGCCAACAAACATATGAAAAAAAGGTCGTCATCACTGATCATTAGAGAAATGCAAATCAAAACCACAATGAGATACCATCTCACACCAGTTAGAATGGCAGCGATCATTAAAAAGTGAGGACACAACAGATGCTGGAGAGGATGCGGAGAAACAGGAACACTTTTACATTGTTGGTGGGAGTGTAAATTAGTTCAGCCATTGTAGAAGACAATGTGGTGATTCCTCAAGGATCTGGAACTAGAAATACCATTTGACCCAGCAATCCCATTACTTGGTATATACCCAAAGTATTATAAATCATTCTACTATAAACACACATGCACATGTATGTTTATTGTGGCACTGTTCACAATAGCAAAGCCTTGGAACCAACCAAAATGCCCATCAATGACAGACTGGATAACGAAAATGTGGCACATATACACCATGGAATACTACAAAGCCATAAAAAAGGATGAGTTCATGTCCTTTGTGGGGACATGGATGAAGCTGGAAACCATCATTCTCAGCCAACTAACACAAGAACAGAAAACAAAACACCTCATGTTCTCACTCATAAATGTGAGTTGAACAATGAGAACACATGGACATGGGGAGGGGGTATCACACACTGGGGCATGTCAGAGGGTGGGGGACTTGGGGAGGGATAGTGTTAGGAGAAATATCTAATGTAGATGATGGGTTGATGGGCGCAGCAAACCACCAAGGCAAGTGTATACCTATGTAACAAACTTGCACTTTCTGCACACGTACCCCAGAACTTAAAGCATAATTTAAAAAAAAGAAATATTCTGTATCTTGGCTATATCATTGTTAATATCCTGATTACGATATTATACTATAGTTTTGCAAGCTGTTACCATTGAGGAAAACTTGGCAAAGGGTATGTGGAATATCTCTGTATTATTCTGTACAATTGAATGTGAATCTACAATTATCTCAAAATTCTTATTAAAAATATATGAAGCAAATTATAAGATAATTTGACATTTTATTTTTTATGTTAGATTTGTCATTTCCCAATGATGTTCATGCTGGAATTCATAGAGATATGCATATAGTTTTCACTTGTAGAACACTCTTTTACATTAATTAAGTGATATAATACACTCTCAAAAGTTTTTGGAACCATAAAATCCTATTAAACATGGGAGTGTCTCCCAAGGATTTTATATTTTAGATATTTCATTGTATATTCACAGTAGTCAAATGACATTTCTCTTTATGTCCATTGTGAAGTGAGGAAAACTGGAGTTAGAAAAATTGTGTCATCAAGGTAATTTAGTGTAATTAGGTAATTTAGTGTAATTAGTTAATAAGCCAAATCGGATCAGAATCCCAGTTTTATAGAATCTCTGTGCATAGTTGCCAACACCAGAGTAGGATATTTTGCTGGTAGGAGCATAAAATTGTACAGCTCCCATGAAAACCAATTTGGCAGTTTATTTAAAAATTAAACATGCAACTACCATAGGACTGGAGGGTAAATGTTAGAGAGTAGAGAAAGAGGATAATAAGAGCCATTCTAATTCTAGTGCATATGTGAAAAGGACAGAGAAGAAAACTAGAGCAAGAGATCAGTCATAACCATCTCCAAGGGAGTTGGATATCAAGGATGTGAAAACATCCACATGGATCAGGGGAAAATATAAGACCATGAGTGACAACACCCTACTTCCTTGCACAAGGCGTAGAGAAGAGAGCAAACTTTTCTGAGATGGCAGGCACTGAATACAATGCTACAGTCAAACTGACAGCATGGGGCAGTTTACACATATGAAACAGGTGCCTAGTGGATAAGCCTTGCAGAACCTTACAACTCCAGAATAGTGCACAGGTCATTGCCTTGAGAAGGGCATGGAAGCTCTAGGAGAGTCAGAGTTCTGGGGCAAGTCAAAGACCTGGATAGATCACAAGCTAGCTCCCATAAACCTTGCAGTCAGAGACAAGGATAGTGACTGTGCTTCAGCAACAAGTGTTGGAGTGATGTCCAAGAGAAACAAAAGACATCAGCCCCCATGACGAACACCATTTCCAGAAGTCCAGAGATGAGACAAGACAACCTATTCCAAACTGGCAGTACCTTAACTGAGACCAAGGAAGATAAGAAGATGCATGTTGATGCATGCCCATGGATCCATGGTATGTTAACTTTCCCCCGCACTAAACACCACTCTGGGGAGGAGTAAGAGAAAGGAAGTTTCCTTTAGAAAGAAAAAAAAAAAAAAAAAACCTCAAGATATGTGAACTTTGATTTGCCTCAGAAGTTACCCAAATAAAATTAAGTATTTATCTGAAAGACTTCATCTTAAGTCAAAGAAGATCTAATTATATTTACTTGGAAAAATATCTCTTCATTCCCCATAAGGTATATGAAGTTTCTGGAGCAAAATGACAAATGAAACAAACCAACATTATTTTCTGAACATTTTATGAGATACTTTGCTAAACCTGAAATAATCTACAAATATGTGTGATACCGGGTTCCTGTCCTAAAGAAGTTTGTAATAGGTTTCAAGTGACAATACCTGTATTTTACTAAAGATTTGGCCAAATAATTAAAGCAACAAACAAACAAAATACGTGGCATGCTTTGCTTGATGCCCTCTAACAATGGCCACTGCTAAATGCAACAAGTACCAGGCTACAAGTGGGAAGGGAGGTTTAAAGCTCAACCTCTTTGTGCTTGTCAGGATAAACCACCCTGGTGAAGAGGAAAACTTAACCTAATAAAAATAATTTTCCACTATCACTTAGTTTACAGGTAATCACTCCTTAAAAGAAATCACTTACTGGTCCTTGAAGCTCTAGAATTTCTCCATGTGTATGTCTGTATTTCAGATATATACTAAAGCCTCAGGGAAAGTAGAGGAAAACCACCAACAGTGACACATCTTCCTAGGACCAGATATGCTCCTGAGTACACACCTAGGTTGTTCTCAGGCAAATGACTTTGACAGCAATAATTCCTTAATAATAATAATAATAATAATAATAATAAAATTAATAATACAGGGAAATTGCAATCATTTTCCCCATAAAGTAACAGTTTGGCAGAATCTGACAGGAAGAATTTGATGCAAATGTATAGAGATAGATGGTATCACAAGATGTAAACCCAATTTTTAACCACAAATATTGTGTCCAACAGATAACTCTGACCCATCCTCCATTTTCAACTACCCCTCAACCACTAATAACTCCGAAATTTATATGCACTTCGCAAAACTCCCTTCTGAGATCTAACCCAATCTCTTTATTTGATATTGCCACTCAGACGTGTCTCAAGCAACTCATCTAATATGTTCAAAATTGAATTGTTTTATTCTTTTCCCCAAAATTTCCTTCTCCAGTTTTCTCTATCTCTCACCATCAATCACCCAGGTGTTCACAATGCAGGAATAATATTTGACACTCCCCTTTTTTACATATTTAAATCTATTATTGAGTTATACCACTTTCACATTAAAAGTAGGACTTAAATCCACCTGGTTTTCTCTATATTCACCACTAGCATTCTGGTCTAATCCACCATCAATTCTCTTCTGAACTTATACCAGCCTCACAGATCTTCTTAAGTCCCAAATAGGTCTCCCAATTCATTCTTTATAACTATTAAAATAATCTTTTAAAAACATTATCAGTCCTCTGCTCAAACGTCTAAGTGGATTTTCATTGACCTTGGATGGAATCTAAGCTCCTTAGCATTGCCTTTAAGAGCTTTTATGATGAGACCCTACCTTCCTTTTCACCTTGTTTCCTCCCTCACCTCCTTGGCTTAGCCAGGCTGGCCTTCTCGAGGTCCACCAATGGTCCAGGCACTTTTCCCTCCCAGGGTCCCTTTACAAAGGCTGCCCTTCTTCCACTCTTCACCTGACTAATTTTAAATCAAATACCAGGTTGCAGTTTAACTCCCCGTTATAGAGCAGGTCTTTCCTGACCCTGCATTATAAACTCTAATATTTTTCTCTAAGGCAAGTTTTCCTTGATGTATAATTATTTGTTTGTGTGATTATTTATTTGTCTTTCGAATTAGTTTAAATTCTATTAGAGTAGGGACAGCGTTTTGTATACTATTTCAATTCCTCAGTGTGGCACAAAGAAATTTCTCAATAAATGTTTAATAAATAAATGAGTTAATTAACAATAAAATAATAAAGTGCCACCCGAGATGGGTAGAAGTGTCAATTTAAAAAGATAAGCAAATTAAAATGCCATAAAACTTTCCTATCCTGAAATTTAGGACACCAACACATATCCAGCTTCTTTAAAACCTGTCTGAAACCCAATCAGTGAATATTAAATGAATGAATAGATGATCAATGGCACATTTGCAAGATGCCCAAATATATGCAAATATTAGGAGACTATTTTCCACAACCAGCACAAAACTTAGTCAACTTGGTAACCCATATTAACATATTAGTAGTAAAACATGTTGTATGGCTCTATTGAATATACATATTGTTTTTGTTACAATTTTTTAAATCTTTGTGAAAAATACATTTCAAATCAACCTTTTGTGGAGCTCTTGATGAGAGTCCCACAGAGTAAAAGGTGACATTCATGCTTAGATATCAAGATGTTTCTCTAGAGGGAAAGACAATTCTAGTAAAAACTTCTTCTCATAAATTATAAGCAATACTTACAGAAGAGTTAACATATTAGTGAATATAATAAAATCATAGGACAGCATTTATATTTCACTCATGAATACTGATATTAAAACTGTGCTAACATGATAAAATAACTTTTAACACTGAATCAATTAGAATGCAGAAAGTAATTTAATTCAAAAAGAAAACTGAGTTCTTTTTCAGAGGATTGTTTCCATTAGTAAAGAAAGAATCAACATTTTAAAGTGCACAAAATGATAATAATTTTGCCTTAAGCCCACTATTTAACCAATACAAATCTCCTAATTAAAGATAATTCCAGCATTTTAAAGATCAAAGCTTCTCTGCTGGTTGATTAGTTTCTAGGTCCTAATTTTACACTCTTAGTCAAACCATACAGTCGTTAAATTAAAAAAAAAAAAAAAGAAGATTGCCTTTTCCAACAAAGAAAAATTAACAGTTGTCATTACATGAGATCACATTTCCAGTAAGTGATACATACTAATCAAATTACTTATTAATCATCCCACTCCATGCCCTATAGCTGGACCTCTCTGCTTTACTTAACGTGTCAACAGCCTTTACGCTGGACACATCAAGCTGTGCAAATGCCACTGTTTTCATGAAAGACACTCCAAATCCCAGAATATGTCAAAAATATCTCCCCTTATACTATTTCATCTTTTAAAATGAAAGAGTCATAGTTCAGGAGGGATTATTTCAAAATAGCTCTTCTAAATCCATAATTCTGTAAATGAGAAAACAAACTATTTTCTTTAAATCACACAGTTATTTTTGTCTTATTCCTAACTTACAGATACAGAAATTGGGACTCAAAGAGAGTAGCAAATTTCTCAAGACCACTCCAGCCAGGATTCTATTTGGCTCCAAAATGCATTCTTTATTTTTCTCCAATACTAATTGCCTCCTGAAATGTTACCTCACCCTTCTTTTCCCAGGTCCAAGGACTCTACTTCTTCTTCACATGGAACTTGCAAATCTTCTTTAACTGATTTAATTTATTCTTTGTTATACTCTCTTCAAACTGTTTCATAAAATTATTTAAAAAATTTTAATTGACATCAAGATATACATATTCTACTGAGGCCAGTGGCATCTGTTAACAGCAAAATCCATGTTACTAACCTTGCACAGCATCCAGGACAAAGAGCTTGGCACTTATCAAACACTTTTTGACGTGATTGATGATTCTAAGACCTCCTAGAAGATTTAAGAAAGACTCAGCACTTGGAGCTTCCACAAATTCTGACATGTAAGGGGATTCACAGGCTCCAAACCAATTCTGAAACTCCATGATACCAATTCAATTTCTTACAATGTGAATATTCTCAAGTTTCCTTCTTTTTTCTTTATAGTGAAAGTTTTAGGAAGTGTATATGAATTAATAAAAATCCTGGGCTCTATGAAGCCAATCTAGCTTTGAACATGCTTTTATTGATCTTTCAGGTAAATCTACTGTGAATGTTATGAGCCAAGCCCAGATCACCAACTTCAAACAGAATTGGAGGTACCTGTAGAGAGTTACGCTGGCAGACAGGCTTTTACTAAAGCCAGCAGAGCAGAGGTGAAGATAAAAAAAAAAGTTGCTTAATTAACATTTTAGATGTGTTGTAGGTTGAATGATTTAAGGCAGCTTATTAAACTTTCCCTGTTGCATCCTGGGGGTATCATTTTTCTTTCTTTTCTATTTTACAGATGTAATCAATTTGTTTCTAATATCAGAACACATTAGCATAAGGAAGATTTCTAATATGCTGGAGTTCTTTTTATATTCATTCTTATGAGTCAATTGTCTTGCTTGAAGATTCCAAACAATGTTACTACAGCCCATACAATGAAAAAACATTTTCTAGATTCTTGCTTCTTAGACACAGAAAGCATCCCCAACACAAAAGGAGATATTTCCATTCCCTATTTTGCATATGGATGAAGGGAACAATAACATGATTACCCATTCTTACCATTTCAAAAATTCATACTCTAATATCCATATGGAGGGGCTGTGATCATTCCTGTATATTTTCATGTGTCCAAACAGGTTCAACTCATATGTGGTGGGACTCTAGAGATATAAACCATTAGCATCTATGTCACATGGCCTTGCTTCTTGGCCTAGACCTAATTTTGAATCTGCACTCTCTAAATAAGCCATAAAGTTACTTATAAGTTCCATATAGAGAAAATTTTGCCAATTATGCTAGCTCAAAATAGACTCATGAAAATCTCAACCCAGGGATATGCATCCATGTGGTTAAGCACAAGGGTCTTTGGTCCAGATGCTTAAGTTTGGAACTTGGCTTCATGGCAACCCATAGTGTGTGACCTTATGCAATTAACTTTATCTCCCTCAGCTTGAGTTTCCTCAACTGTAAAATGCAGATAGTAATAGTAACAACTTCATAGTTTTCTTCTTTTTTAACAAGAGCTGTAGCATAACCTCAAGAAAAATACTGAGAATATTTTTATTTTCTCATTCCAAGCTATATTTTGATGGCTCTACTAAAAGTAGACAATCAATACAATTTACATTTTTAAAAAGGAAAGTTGCATATCACCTACATTCAAATACTATCAACTCTTGGAAAGTCTTATGTCATCCACCTTCTCCTCCCTTTTCATATTATTATGGAACACAACACTTTTCTGTATTTTAGCATATATCTCTAAAAAATAAAAACTCCTCAAAAATAAAAGTCGCATAACTACAATAACACTATACCACCAAAAACAGCCTTAATAGATTCAAACATTCAGTAAATGCTCAAATGTCTTATCATTTTATAAAAATGTTATTTGTATCAGAATCCAAATAAGGTCAACATATAACAACTAGACAATATGTCTCTTACGACCTGTTTAATCTATAGCTTTTTCCCCCTATCGTATTTACATTTCATTGGTTGACAAAACTAGGTTTTGTTCTCTAGATTTTCCCATAGTCTGGATTTTTATGGTTGTATCCCATGAAGCTTTGTTTTGTTTTGTTTTAAATATGTTCCTCTGACTTGTATATTTCTTATAAATTTGTAGTTGGATGTAAAAGGTTTTATTAGATTCAGGGTTGATATTTTTGGCAAGGATATTTTCTTAGAAGTTGGTACACTCCTCTATTAAGGGGCTGTATATTTGCTTGTGTTTAAAAAAAAGATTCAAAGTTGACAGGTAACACTGCAAGGTTTGATTGTGTACAATATGTATTGAAGTAAGTATGCATTGTGGAATGGTTATATGTAGCTAATTAACAAATTCATTACCTCACAAGGTTATTATTTTTTGTAGTTGGTTGTCTCTCTTTCCATGATGTTAGCAACCACTGATATGTAATACCTAGATCCATTAATTCATTAGGTGTTGCAAAATATTGATATTTTAGTTTTG
Source organism: Homo sapiens (assembly GCF_000001405.40). Classification (NCBI taxonomy): domain Eukaryota; kingdom Metazoa; phylum Chordata; class Mammalia; order Primates; family Hominidae; genus Homo; species Homo sapiens. Next base: position 50,496,581 of record NC_000006.12, read on the forward strand.
TCATTTCATCTTCATTAGGTATAGGCTAACATAGATCTATAAGGAAAAATGTCCCTTCATCTGCTATTTACTAACCCAGTAGTACATTTGTATAGAAAAGGCAAAATAAATATTCAGTTCTAATCTTCGTTTATCAATCTTCAAAATATTTCATCCTCCAAGGATGACCAATTATTTTTTAATGTATCAGTAAGAACGAATGAAACTGAACAGTTTATATGTTTAAATATATGAAGTAATCATCCTTACTGATGCAGAAGTTTTCCATGTTTGGGCACAGGAAACCTTTCAAGTTGTCTCACTGGTCTTTTTATACAAACCTAGTAGTCTTTGGTAGCTTCCTTGACATCAGCCATAATGATATGTTGAAGCCCATCTTGTACATTTCTACACCAACCATATCTCCAAGGAGATCCTGTTCATTTTAGTAGTAAATAGTATAGTTGATAGGATTTTCTGCAATATTTTCTCTCCCTTTCCCTATATGTACCTACATGTATGCGTACATATGTAAAACTCTACCATTTGAAAGTTGCAACATCATGACATTTTACCCTTAAATATTTCAGCACACATCTTCTAAAAATAAGAACCAGAAAAAAGTGCCATCATGACCTAACAAAATAAATAATTGTTCTAAAATATCATATATTTAACTTATATTCAGGTATCTTCAATTCTCCCAAGATAATCTTTTATAGCTGTTTTATTTTGACTAGGATCCAACCTAAATCTGCACACTGCATTTGGCTGTGTCTGTTTAGTCTCTTGTACCCTAGAACAATTTTGATTCTTATTTTTATCTCACCAATTTTTTCAAGAGCCCAGGATAATTGTCCTGCAGAATGTTCTACCTTTTGGATTTTTCTATTGTTTCACCATGATATTCAATTTCCTTCAAATAATGACTCTCCAAAAAATTTTCACCTTGAGCTCTTGAGGTTAGCAGTACATCTATCTAAAACCTTTCCTGAAGCAATATTGATTTTCTCTTCATTGAAAGAACATTTGAGTTATATGACTATCATAGTGACATAGTATTATTTGCTCTCTTTATGAGGTACAGAGTATTCTAAAATCCATATTTCCTGTATATATAATGGTTTAAGGAATGTAGTACAAAAAAGAATATTATATTGAACATTTAGGCAAAAGTTTACACCTGTGAATGTCCACTCATAAAAGACCCCTTACCTGGCTATGGGGAGGTGTCAAAACTCTTGGTAGATGTTTAGTAGAAGCAAAGATAAGAGAAGTTACAGTGTCATCTTCCAGAATCCCCTCTATTATGAACCCGTCTCTAATATTTTATTTTAAATATGTGATTATTATTTTTGGTTAAATGTGACTTGCTCCCCTTCAGACCAACAGAAAGCTTTTTCTAGTTGGTCTCCTGAGCTTCCTCTCTTCCCTATATTATGAAAATAAAAAAAGTACCTCATTTTAATCAATTCTAAGCTACATAATAAGGCCATATATTCACATCTTTTAATATCTCTTAAAGCATTTGTTTAAAGCATTGCTGATAAGAATTATTGTAAAGCTTCTTAAACTCAGATTCCTCATATTGACCCCAAGGGAAAGGACCTGAGAAAAACATTTTTAACAAGTCTTCTAGATGCCAATCACAGACAAGCCTAGGAAATACTGCTCTTTTGTGTAAATACATCTTAATCACAAAAATTCACCTGCCTTGGCCTCCCAAAGTGCTGAGATTACAGGCGTGAGCCACCGCGACCAGCCAAAATCCAGAGTTCTGAAACCACACTACCTGAAGTCAAACTTCAGCTATTAATATTTTCCTAACCAGCACAGAGACCATGTGTGTTAGAGTCTCTGGAACTCTGCTTCCTCATCTTTATAATAATGAAAAGAAAACAGAGCCTGCCTCATAGATGACAGTCAAGAAGGATACTCATATTAAATGCTTAGTACAACCTCAGTAAATGCTAGTCATTAATTATTATAATTATGATAATTTTTTCCTGTAAGATGACTCAATTATTTTTTGTTTTGAATTGACATGTGAAACATTAGTTATGATTCACTCCAAGAGCTGTATCCCTGCTCTAAAAGGGTACACTGTTTGCTCAGGTGACTAGGCACATTTTGATGGTATTTTGCTCATTTAAAAATATGTCACTTGACAGGCATAATTATCTCTAAATATATGAAGAATAGGATCTGCTGTGGAAACACTGAGGACCTACATGAAGCCACTGAGAAAAAAGAATGTCCCACAGACCACTTATCTTGAGGTGAAGAAACTCCAAAGATAACATGGTCCAAAAGTACATGGTCAGTAGAATAGTGTTATATAGAACACGGAAATACCAAAAGGTGATTTATTCTTGGAGTGGGAAAGAAAAACTATGCTATAGGGGAAACAGCTGAGGCACAGAAGGAGATGAAAGCAAATGGCCAAATCCACCAAGATCAGCAAGGAGACCAAAGAGGATCTGTATTGTGGGCAAAGTGTAAGTAAAAGAACTTTAGCAGTCCATGGACTGCTGCAGTCTAAACCATGGGAGAGTTTCTCTGTACCCATTAGCCTTGGCACTAGCATGGGCAATGTTTTGGAAACCCCAAAAGGGCATTGGACCAAATAGAAAACTCATGTTGGATCATTCAACCTACCCCTGCCCCCACCAAGACCTAAGCAGCTGCAGTGGGGTGGCCATGTGAGAGCAGATATCACAGGACTGCATCCTGCCCTGGGAACCACAGCCAACATATCCCCACATCTCAGGAGTCCCCAGTGGCATTCCCCAGTGTCCACCCAGAGGGCTACAATGGCATGGATCTGGCTGGACCCAAAGGTGCTATGGGGTCTCCAGTACTCTAGCCCACAGAAAGTACTCCTCCCAGGGAAAGGATGGTGCAGTGCACTAAAAATGCAATTCCTGGGAGAATTCCCCATCTGAGACTATGAGACATGACCTTATCATCAGCAGTGCCAGAAGCTCTGTGCTCAGACTTGCAAGTGGAAAGTGAGATCCCCTCCCAAAGGCAATCAGCCTCTGTGCTCAGACTCATGCACAGATGGCAGGACCCCCTTCCTCTGCACACTGCTGCAGGCACAGCCACTGCTGTTGATGCCAGAGGCTGGGTTGGTTGATCCAGAGGACTGCCTGTCTGGGACTGTGAGTGGTAACTATACCTTAACTGGTAGTATGGCCTCTGTTTCCCAGTGTGTCTCATGCATGAAGTGTGGGGTCTTTCCCCCACTCTGTGTAGGGCACTGGGTGCTGCTGCCACACATAAGAGAGCCTGAGAGCTGCATGTCTGCAACTATGGGTGGTGATACCACAGTGCAGCCACCACCAACACCAATGTGCACCACTTAGTACCCAAAGAGTTGTCCTGCTACTACTACTGCCACTTTCCACATCACACCAACACCAGCTGTCTAGGGACCCAAGAACTCGCTCACCCAGTGGCTTACTACTGCAAAGACTGGCATCCAGGCAAGCAACCTGGAGGCCCAAGAATTGTCCCACTTGGTCGCACTGACACTAGTGCTACAATATGCCATCGTGGGGTCCATGATCAGGCATGGCTGGTCCACCACTGCCAACACTGAAGACTGAAGCCTTGCCCACTTGGTATCCCTGCCCTCACATGGTGGTTTACATGCTAAACCACCAAAAAATTACAAATACCACTGACACTATTGACAGCTGAAGAAATCGTAAAGAGACTGGACTATCACACATACCCAGAATCAAAGCCGAAGAGCCCTACACAACCAACACCACTGATATACCTTCAGGAAAAAGTTCTTCCACACTAAAGCAAATTCATAGAACTGGAAGAAGTAACAATTACATCGGATACACAGATAACAAAATAAGGACACAGGAAACATGAAAAAGCAAGGAAATATGACACCTCCAGGAGAACACAATAATTTCCCAGCAACAGATTCCAATCAAAAAGAAGTTAATAAAATCCCAGGAAAAGAATTCAAAATTATGACACAAATGAAGCTCAGTGATATATAAGAGAATTCCAAAAAACAATACAAATAAATCAGAAAAACAATTTAGGGTATTTAGGGTATGAATGAGAAATTTACCTAAGAGATAGATATAATAAAAAAGAACCAAAGAGCAATTTTGGAACTGAAGAATTCCTCAAATAAAATACAAAATAAATTTGAAAGCTTCAACAACAGACTTGATTAAACAAAAGCAAGAATCTCAGAAATTGAAGACAAATTTTTAAAATAACTCAGTCCGACAAAAATAAAAAGAAAAGAATAAAATAAGTAGAACAAAGCCTTTGTAATATATGGGATACCATAAAGTGACTCAATAAACAATTTATTGGTATCTCTGAAGGTGAAGAGAGAACAAAAGTATCTGAAGACCCATTTAGTGAAAGAATGGATGAAAACCTCCAAAATCCAGAAAGAGATTTAAACATCTCTATAAGAGATCCAGCAATTCCCAATCATATACAATGAAAAAATATGTTTTCCATGGCACATTATAGTCAAACTATCTAAAGTCAATTAAAGAGAAAATTCTAAAAATTGCAAGAGAAAATCAGCTAGTCATCTATAAAGGAGCTTCAGTCAGAATAACAGTGGTCTTCTCAGCAAAAACCTTACAGAATGGAATGGGAGGATATAAGGAAAAAAACCTGCTACCCAAGGATAACTATGTCCAGAAAAATTATTTCTCACAAATGAAAGATAGATAGTCTTTCCCAGGCAAGCTAATACCAAGGGAATCATCACCACTAGAACTCCTTTACCAGAAATGTACAAGGGAATTCTAAAGCTGGAAGTGAAATGGTGGCAGTTACTCTCATAAAAAATGCACAAAAATATAAAACTCAGTGGTAAAGTAAACAAACAAATGAGTAAGAGAAAATACTCAAATGGCACCACCACAGAAAATCAGCAAACAACAAGGACAATCAATAAGTAAAAAAGAAAGGAAAAAGAACATAAAAAACAACCAGAAAACAATTAACAATATTACAGGCACAAAACTGCACATATCAATAATAACCGTTCACATAAATAAGTTAAGTTCTCTGCTCAAAAGTGGCTGAAGGGATTTTTTTTAGTGATCCAACTATATGCTGCCTATAAGAAACACACTCTACCTATAAAGACACATATAGACTGAAAGTAAAGGGATGGGAAATTATATTCCATGCAAATGGAATCCAAAAGTGAGCAGGAGTAGCTATACTTATAGCAGATAAAATCAACTTTAAGTAAAAAACAGTAGGAAAAAACATACAAAGCAGGTCACTATATAATGATAAAAGGATCAATCCAGAAAAAGGATATAACAATTCTAAGTATGTACGCACCCAACACTGGAGCACCCTGTTCATAAAGCAAATATTACTGGATCTAAATAAGGTGATATATTCTAATACAATAAGAGCGGGAGACTTCAACACCCCAGTCTCGACATTAGACAAATCATCCAGACAAAATCAATAAAAACATCACACTTAAACTGAACTTCAGATCAAATGAACATAACAGACATTTCCAGAACATTTTATCCAACCCTTCAGAATATACATTCTTATCAGCACATGGAACATTCTCTAGGATTGACCATATATTAGAACACAAAACAAGTTTCAATTAAAAATAAAAATAAAAAGCATACCAGATATCTTCTCAAACCACAATGAAATAAAACTGGAAATTGATACCAAGAGGAACTTTGGAAACTATACAAACACAGGGAATTAAACAAGATACTTTTGACTATGAATGGGTCAATGAGGAAATACAAATGGAAATTTAAAAATTTCTTGAAACAAATGAAAATTGAAACACAAGAAACCAAAAGCAAAGGGACACAGCAAAAGCAGTGCTAAAAGGGAAGTTTATAGCAATAAATGCCTATGTAAAAACAATTTCAAATAAACATCTATGATGCACCTCATGAATCTAGAAAAGCAAGAATAAACCAAACCAAAAATTAGCCTAAGAAAATAAATAAGAAACATCAGAGCAGAACTAGATAAAATAGAGACTAGAAAAACAATACAAAGGATCAATGAAATGAAAAGTTTGTTCTTTGAAAACATAAACAAAATATATAAAGCTCTGACCAGACTAAGCAAGGAGAAGACCCATGTAAACACTCATACATGAAAGATGATACATTACAACAAATATCACAGAAATTAAAAGATCATCAGAGACTATAGTGAAAACTATACATTCACAAACCAGAAAACTTAGAGAAAACTAACAATTCTTGGAAATATACAACCTACCCTGATTGAATCAGGTATAAATAGAAAACCTGAACAGACCAATAACAAGTAACAAGATTGAAATAGTAATAAAGTCTCCCAACAAAAACAAAAAAGAGGCTGGATGGATTCACTGAAGAATTCTATCAAACATATAAAAAAGAACTAATACCAATTCTCCTCCAACTGTTCCCTCCAAAAATAGAAGAGACAATTATAACTCTTTCAGTGAGGCCAGCATTACCCTGATGTCAAAACCAGGCAAGGACACATCAAATAAAACTACAGACCAATACCCCTGATGAATATAGATGCAAAAAATCCTCAACAAAGTACTAGCGTCTGAATCCAACAGCACACCAAAAAGATGACACAAAACAATCATGAGGGATTTCACATAGGGATGCAATGATGGTTCGATATATGCAAAACAATAAATTTAATGCATCACATCAACAGAATGAAGAAAAAAATCATATGATCATCTCGATAGATGCAGAAAAAGCATCTGACAAAATTCAAGATCGCTTCATGATAGAAACTCTTAACAACCTAGGAATAGAAAGACCATACGTTAAAATAACAAAGGCTGTATATAACAAACCTATAGCTAACATCATACTGAATGGGGGAAAGCCAAAAGCCTTTCCTCTAAGTGCTGGAACAGGATAAGGGTGCCCACTTTCACTACTACTATTCAACATGGTACTGAAAGTCATAGCCAGAGCAATCAAGTGAGAAAAAGAAATAAAAGACATCTAAATTGGAAAATAGAAAGTCAAATTTGACTCTTTGCAGAAGACATGATCTCTCTAGAAAAAACAAAACAGTCCACCAGAAAGCTCTCAGAATCTCATAAAAAATTTCAGTAAAATTACAGGATATAAAACAACATATAAAAATTAGTAACATTTCTATATACCACTAATGAAACAGCCAAAAAAAGAAAAAAAGAAATCAAGAAAGCAATCCCATTTATAATAGCTACCAAACAAAAATAAAATACCCAAGAATAATTTTAACCAAGGAGGTAAAATATCTCTTCAAGGAAAACTGCAAAACACTAATGAAAGAAATTGTAGGGGACACAAACAGAAAGATATCTCATGGTAATGGGTCAGAAGAATTAATATCATTAAAATGATTGTACTACCACAAGGAATCTACAGCTTCAATGCAATCCCTATCAAAATAACATGTCATTTTCATAGAAACAGAAAAATCAATCCTAAAATTCATGTGGAACCAAAGAAAAGCCCACTAGCCAAAGCAATCCTGAGCAAAAAGAACAAAGCTGGAAACATCATACTACCTGATTTCAAAATATATTACAAGGTTATAGTAACCAAAACAACATGGTATTGGTATAAAAATGGGCACATAATCCAGTGGAACAGAATACAGAACCCACAAATAAATCCACGTATTTATAGCCAACTGATCTTCAACAAAGTTGCCAAGAATATACAGTGGGGAAAGGATATCTTCTTCAATAAATGATGTGGGTAGGCCGGGTGCGGTGGCTCACACCTGTAATCCCAGCACTTTGGGAGGCCAAGGTGGGCAGATCAAGAGGTCAGGAGATCGAGACCATCCTGGCTAACACGGTGAAACCCCGTCTCTACTAAAAATACAAAAAATTAGCCAGGCGTGGTGGTGGGCACCTGTGGTCCCAGCTACTCAGGAGGCTAAGGCAGGAGAATGGCGTGAACCCGGGAGGTGGAGCTTGCAGTAAGCCAAGATCATGCCACTGCACTGCAGCCTGGGCAACAGAGCAGGACTCCGTCTCAAAAAATAAATAAATAAATAGTGCGGTAAAACTGGAATGAAGTTTAAAACTGAAGTTGAGCAAAAAAATGAAACTATTTCTATCTCTCACCATATACAAAAATCAACTTAAGATGGATTAAAGATTTAAATATAAGACCCCAAACTGTAAAAATACTAGAAAGAAACATAGAGACAACTCTCTAGGACATTGGCCTAGGCAAAGAAACTGACTTATACGTTGAAAGTATAGGCAATAGTAGCAAAAATAGACAAATGGGACTATATTAAACTGGAGAGCTTCTGAACAACAAAAGAAATAATCAACAGAGTGAAGAGACAACCTCTTGAATGGGAGAAAATATTTGAAAATTACTCATCCAACAGGGGACAAATACCCAGAATATACATGGAACTCAAATATCTCAATAGTAAAAACAAAAAACACAAAACACAAAAGGCAAATAATCCTGTTAAAAATGGGCAAAGAACATGAATAGATATTTCTCAAAAGTAGACATATGAATGCCCAACAGGTATATGAAAAATGTTCAACATCAAGGGCATGCAAATCAAAAACACAATGAGGTATCATCTCACCCCAGTCAGGACAGCTATTATTAACAACACACAAAATAACAGGTGCTGGCAAGGATGCAAAGAAAAGGGAACTGTTACATATTGTGGATGGAACTGTAAATTAGTACAGCCACTATGGAAAACAGTATAGAGAGATTTCTCAAAGGACTAAAAATAGTTACCATTTGATCCAGTAATTTCATTCCTGGGTATCTATCCAAAAGAAAAAAATCAGAATATCCAAAGGATACCTGCTTTTACGTGTTTATTACAGCACTCTTCACAATAGCAAAGATATGGAATCAACCCAAGTGCCTAATGAATGGATGAGTGGATAAAAATACTATATATATATATACAAAGTGGAATACAATCCACCCATTAAAAAATGAAATCATGTCATTTACAGCAACATAGATGGAACTTAAGGTCATCATATTAACTGAAATAAGCCATGAAGAGAAAGACAAATATCGTAAGTTTTCCTTCATATATGGGAGCTAAAAAAAAACTTGATTTCATGGATATAGAGAGCAGATATATTGATACCAGTGACTGAGAAGGGAGGGTGGTGGGTGGGTAAAAAGAGATTGGTTATGGGTCCTAACATACAGTTAGATAGAAGAAATAAGTTCTAATGTTTGATAGCAGACTAGAGTGACTATAGTTAGCAATAAAATTATATACTTCAAAGTAATTAGAAAAGAGGGCTTAAAACAATAGCAAGACATAAAAATGATAAACACACTGAATGTGGTGACTCATGCCTGCAATCCAAACTTTTTGGGAAGATGAGGTGAGAGAAGTGCTTGAGCCCAGGAGTTTGAGACCAGCCGGGCATGGTGACACACACCTGTGGTCCCAGCTATTTGGGAAGCTGAGATGGGAGGATCACTTGAGCCAGGAAGGTGGAGGCTTCTGTGAGCTACCAGTGTGCCACTGCACTCCAGCCTGGGAGACTGAGCAAGACCCTGTCTCAAAAAGCAAAATGACTGATACTCAAGGTGATGAGGGTAACTGGATATCCCAGTTACTCTTACTTGATCATTACATATTCTTTGCATGTAGCAAACACTCACATGTACCTCATAAATATGTAAATTATTATATATGTGTTATATATTAAGGGGGAAAGAAAAATAAAAATTGTGTCATAGTTTATTCTCCTCATCTTAAATTGTATATTTCACTTTAGAAAGAAAGTGTATTGTTTTTTCTGGCCTCATGACATGACTGTTGCAGAGCCTATTTTTACTCATAATTGGATGAATACAGCAAAAAAAATTAAATTTTTTATTTTCCATGATTCTCTTGGAACTTAGTCTCAGAGTCCTCAACACATAGCATCTCAAACTTTAATACATATAGGAATTACCAGGGGACAGTGTTAAAATGCCGATTCTTATCCTATCCGTCTGGAGTACGGTTTTTTGTTTGTTTGTTTGTTTGTTTGTTGGTGGGGGTACAGGGGAAGTGCTGATCCAGAGACCGCACTTTGAAAACCAAGGCCTTAAAGAAATTGTTTCCCTTCCATTATGGGCAGATTGTGGATAAACAAAACTGAGTCTGATTCTTGCCAATTGTTTTTCTACTACAGTGCATGTGAGCCCATCTGTGGGGACTCAGAATATAGCCTGTTTTGTTTTGTTTTGCTTTGCTTTGCTTTTTTATGGGTAATTTTCTACTGGGAAATCACAACACAATCTAAGAACAGGCACCAGAAAAATCTCCCTTCCCTGGCATAGGACTAAAGCAGTTTACTGCTTACATCAAATCATAAGTGGAAGGAGACATGGGAGAGGGGAATCCAAAGATTGCCCAACATAGATATGGGACCCAAACTTGCACTCTGCATGCGGTGTGTAACTTGAAACCCTGAGCAAAGGTAGACATAAAGTCAGTTCTGAACTAGATAATGCCACACGTCTTGGGCATGCAGAAGGAACCTGAAAAACCACATAAATTATCCTGAATAACCAGAGCAATCTGAAAGGGGGCTGTAGAGTAAGTGTGTTTAAATTTTTCAATGAGCTAAAGAAAGGACCAAAATCCAGAAAAGAGATTAAGAAAAAAGATTGATTTTAAAAAGAATAAAATAAAATCTCTAGAAGTGAAAAATGTAGCAGAAATGAAAATAGCATTTTTGTTTTTCTAGAATGGAAGTCACTAGAGTAACTTTACATGTTGACGAGAATAATCCAGAAGATTGGAAGAAATTAATTATGCAGGGTAGAAGAAAACCTGAGTAGGCCAAAGTCTTTCATCGTTAAGGGCAGATGGGCTGCAGAACGCAAGAGGGGAGATGACCACTGAAATGAAGACAAGGGGCTTATAATTGTAACAGAAGAGAACAAGAAAATATGTATAGATGCAGTGAGATATGTGGGTTCCATAGTGGAAAATAAAGGGGTTTCCATCTAATGGCTTATTTTTCCCCAGTGAAGTATGGCATAAAGTCTCAGAGCAGAAGAGATGTGTGATGTCCAAGGAGACTAGAGAAGGAAAAAAATAGTGCGTTCAACAAGATATACAAATTTCTAGGTCAGTAATAGAATTACCAGAAATTGTTGAATGTTCATGTGACTTTTCTGAAAATTAATTAATATAAAATAAAAATAATCAGGCCTCTTATATGATGTTCTCTAAGAATGTTCTTTTTTTTTTTTTTTGTGAGACAGGATCTCCCTCTGTTACCCAGGCTGGAGTGCAGCAGCGCAATCTCAGCTCACTGCACCCTCCACCTCCCAGGCTCAGGAGATTCTCCTGCTTCAGCCTCCCAACTAGCTGGGATTACAAGCGTGCACCACCAAGCCCAGCTGATTTTCTGTATTTTAGTAGAGATGGGGTTTCACCTAATATTAAAGTCCATCATCTTGTACTAAAGATATAAAATGTTGACCTTTCCTTTGTCTGTACTGCCTGGTAAAATCTTGTCAAAATTTCCAAATTATTTCACTATGAAGCATTACTACAGTAAACTATGGTATTTGTTGGTAGCATATGTGTGTGTGTATTTTGATCTCATTTTTCATCCTCAAAATTCACCAATGCTTACAATTTTAAAAACCTGTTCAATGTGTAGAGAGCAGGATTATTATTTTGTGTATGAGAGAAGACTCCTTAGAGTGCTATGTTTTTAAAATAATACTTTTAGCAATTATTAATACAGTACACTTTGTTTTAAACATTCTTTAAACAACTTTTAAAATTGTATATTAAACAAAACAAAGCTGTCTTGCCTTTAGGAGGTTCTTTAACGTCTTTGTGCTTCAGTTTCTTCAGCAATAAAATGGGAATAACAATAATGGCCCTATCTACTATTCAAATATCTATTAAGGCAAGTTAGGACAATAGAAATAGATACAAAACCTTTTTGAAAAGATACCACTTACTATTATCATTATTTATAAAACTAGAAAAAACTTAGTAATGTTTTCTGTCCCAGTTTTCAATGAGAAAACTAAGATAGTGATAGGTAAAGTACTTGCTTAATTTGAGATGACACCTGGGCAATTGTCGTTGTCCTTGAAAAAGCTAATAAAAATCAAATTTTTTTAAATAAAATTATTTGTGAAATGTACTAAGGGAACACACTACATGCCTTTGGCCAAGCAAAACACAAAGTGGTCTCAGACTTCTCAACATCAAATTTAAAGTGTGTGTTACATTGCCTGCATAATTCTAAGAGAAAGTTATCTTTTACTAGAATTCTAGAGTGGCCAATTGATCAATCAAATGTGAAATATTATTACAGATACTTTTAGAGATGCAAGAACACAGAAAAGCCATTTTCAATCCAACATTTCTTAAGAGAATGTACTTCAGGGAAATGAGAGTGTGATAAAAACAATACTGCAAGGAAAATATAGGCACTTAGAAACTCTAAGGAAAATAGTCTCAATGAGAAATAAAATGCATTTATGGCACACTTTTTTTGCTTCTGTAAGTGATCGACAATAAATAAATGAGAATAAACAAAGTGTTGGATTGCCAAATCAGACACTTAAGCAACACAGATCTTACCTAGTATCAAACTTTAGTATTAATTCAAGGAATATTGATTACCGTGAGACACAGAAGGACATGGAGAAATTCAAGACCACCAGAAATGCTTCCCAGTTCCTCTCTACAACATTAGGACATATCTGGCCCAGATTTAACAGCTGCAGTCTCAAAGTAGCACATGTGGGCATTGCTTACCCAAAGGGAGCCCTTTCAACTCATGAAATATCTTTTTATACTTTGATAATTGTAGAGCCAATATTGACACTTTCTAACAGGCCATGACTTGTAAATCTATAAAGTCTAATTTTATACCAAAATGAGTTATTTTTCCCTTTCTTCTACCTCCCCCTTTTCCCTCTCTACCAGTGTTTCCCAGGGTTGGGAGGACACAAACCAGCTACTAACCTATTTCATTCCCATTAGTCATAAAAATGTAAACAATATGTATTAATTTTTCAACTTTTAGAAACAACTTATAACGCATAGCGAGATACTTAATTATCATTAATAAAGACAATGCAGTGTTATCAAGCTTGACATTTAAGAATAAAGAGGACAAAATGTGGGTTAGGACGAAGGTGAAAGCTGAAAGTAATGTCAGAAGTGCTAATATCCTCACCTTCAAAGTAGAGAATCAAGAAATACTTTCTATAATTGACCAAATAAGAGATGAATATGTAAGTAAATTACTTAAGATTACAGAGACAATGGATACAGTAACTAAAATTTTAATGTGTTTGTATTGGGTAGGAGGTATGCCATTATTGGTCAGTGAGCTAAGACTCAATAGATAATGTTTAAATTTATAAACTAAAGCACAATAGACATAAATATGGTATTTTGAGAAAGGTATATAGTTGCCAGAAGACATAGTTAAAGAAATTAAAGAGATGTTCCCTTTTCAGAAAGGCACTATGGAGCAGAAGAGTACTGCTTTCCCTTTTAAGTCTACCTGCACTCTCTTTTTAACCACGTGTGGGAATTCTTTTTCTATTACTTTCATTTTTTAAATTATTAAAATAAGGATATAAATGTTTCAACCTGGTCACATCTGGGTCCACACTGGGGCCATAGTATTAAAGAGGAAGCATAACTGACTAGGGCCAGAGACATAACCAAGAAAATTTCCCTAAAGAGAAGGTGAGCATAGAAATCAAAAGCTAAGGCTCTACAGCCCCACTCTTCTTCCCAATGCTATGGCTCCTGCTGGGTCAGAGACTGCTATTGTCCCCCAAAATGCATTTTTCATTTGTTTAAGAATAGTGTTTTTAAGTTTTCTAAGCACATGTGCCCTTCATCTACTGAGGACATTTCCCAGCACTTGCAACTAGGTGTGGCCACATGACTTAGATCTGCTTGAAGATAGGAACATAGTTGATGTTTGTCACTTCCAGGCTATGCCCTTAAAAGGAATGGGAATGAACTTCCTTTGCCCTCTTTATTTTCAAATTACAAGAACTGGATACAGAGAAGGAAGCCATATTTTGAGGATGGCAAGACTCTGGCAGCCTTTCAGTACCTCTATTCTGTGAGGGAAAAATACACTTCTGAATTACATAAGCCACTTTATTTTTGCATCTCCCTTATAGAATCTTGGACTGTACCTTAACTAATGCCTCTTGCCTTCATTGCCAACCTTATAGATTAGGGGTTTTGTTTAAAGGAATTTTGTAGTTGGTGTCCTTACATTTGATGATTATAATTGTTGTATGTACATATGTCTTAAAAAGCTGTATGAGAACAGAGTACACACTATACTATATATATGTGGAGGTATTTAAATATTGACACTGTAATTTTCAATGAGGACGCTTTCTATCACTTGATGTGTGATTGCCCTAAAACCCCTACTAATGGTTTTATGTCGATCCATGCGCTCAAGCAATCATTTATCCATTCATTCATAAATTCAGGTTGAATGTTCACAATATGCATTGCACTGAGCTAGAAACCTGAGCAAAGGGAAAGGGAAAATTAAAAACATACAAGCATTTTCTTCACTGTCTTTAAAGAGCAAGAATTAGCGAAATGGCATGATTGAGAGGTGGGCCTGGAGTCAGGATTCTTGGGTTTCAATTCTGGACCTGCTATTTACAAGCTATATGATTCCAGATAAATTTATTTAACCTCACTGTAATTCATATGTATCATCTTGTAAATGGGAATAGTATTATTAGCCATATCATTGGCCGGTTGTGAGATTTAAACAAGTTAATAAAATGAAGCACCTAGAACAGTGCCTGTCCCATAGTAAGCACTAAAAAAGTATTTAATTTTATTATTATTCTACCTGGAGAGATGAGACATATATACATACTAAGAAATAGCAATTTTTGAAAAGATGTCATGTAACAATCTTTGACTAATAGCCATTAAATGGTGATTTTAGGAAATTTTTAGGTGTGGGAAATGGAAAGGAATATTCTTATTCTGGCTCCACCAGTCACATAGTCAAAGCATTAATTTAAAGTCTAGATCATCAATACATATGTTCATTTTTAGTTGTGTGCCATTTCAGACAGTATCTTGTTCTGTTCATTCCATTTGTGTAGGTTTTTCTTTTCTGAATTACTTAAATTACTCTGTCTAGTGTAAAATTCTGCTTGTCTACTGACAGAGCCACATATAATTCTATCACTATCCACAAATTTACTTGCATTTTCAAATATATAAATGCTAAGTAGATTTCCAATTCTATTTTTATCAAGTGTTTTCCCTGATTTCCCTACTCATGTTAAAGCACCCTGCCTTGATAAATCATATTTTTAATGTGAAATTGAATATACTTCATATTTGTTACAATGAAAAATATTTAATTTTAAAACTTTTTTAAACTAAATTGTATTGCCCATCTGTGTTATGTATGTAAAATGTTTCTTGTCTTTGTCTGGTTTTCTTTCTTTTTTCATTCCAGTAAACTAGAGCAAAAACATTATTAAAGGGTGAATTTGTTTTCTAGTAGAGTATGTACATAGGCTTCAATTCAGATTTTCCATTACATGTCTAACTTGTGACTTTCCTTTGGTCTTTAATATTATGAAATTCTGGTTTTCCTAACAAGTATTTGTACCACTTAATAGCATATTTCTTCATTTAAATTTTATTGGTGTGGGCTTCCTATCCATATTAGGTATAATAATTTTTGTCCTTGGTTGCAGAATTGCCAGCTATCAATTGAGATTTTCTTCTTAATTTATCTAGTTTTATTATTGACAGATTACATACAAATAGAAGATTGTCAAATCTCGAGTCTCCTCTTAAACATATAGAGCTAACCTCCTTTGTAAGTTCTTGTAGCTTTTGCCAAATTATCAGTTATTTTCTATTGAAAAAATAGAATCGTCAACTGAAAATGACTCCATTATTAGGTGTTTATTACTGGTTCACAGAAGAAAAATATTAAGGTAGACTGTTACAGAGTTGATTCAGTGGCTCCTTGATATAATCAAATACCCAGACTTTTCTAATCCTTCTGCTCTGTTATCCTCAAGAAGTTAATGATGTCTCCTTGCGGTTTCAAAATGTACACAGTAGTTCAAAGTATTACATCTTCACACAAAACATGTACAGAATCAATAAAGGAAAATGGGAGCTTATATTTGTATGCCTTTCTCCTTTTATCAAGAAGGAATAATTTTCCAGAAGTCTCCAGCGTAATTCTCCTCATGTGTCCTTGGTCAGGTCTAGTTCAGATAACACTCTTTAGCTGGAAGGAAGGTAAGAGAATAACCAATGTTTTCAGCCTTTCTCCTGGTTGGCCAATGGAAAAAGCAGAGGAGAATGGCTTTTAGATGTTTAGCCATCAATGTCAGCCTCAATGAAGAAATAACTTTTGCAAGAAGGCAGGAGAGTTCAAAATAGCAGGTGCATTTTTATAGGGCTCTTTCCAACTTCTCCTTGAGACCATAGCTATATGAATTAGAGAAATAATTTTTTCTTCACTAACAAAATTGTAAAGCAGAACATGTAGTTTCATTGTATTATTTTATGTAACTAGTTAGTGAAAATTCATAAACTAGCCTGAAAGCTTCATTTTGCATGATACTTTATTATAATTTCCATATGGGTCAAGAGAGTGATAGGACTATAATATTTTTCATGTTTTACTATGTGCCATAACTCCTCTAATACTTGAAAATACAGCTTGCTATGTGTATAGTTTCTAGAATCTCATAAGCCTTTGTTAAAGAAATTGATCCATATTCATCGATTTCATTCAAATCTAAATAAATTAAATCACAATGTTACATAAGCATAGGCTTTTTTCTTTTCATGCTATCATATTCTAAGTTGAAACAAATAGGATATAACATTTTCAGCTATTTTAGTATGCTGCATTCAGGAAGAAAACAGCTAGTAAACCAAGAAAGCATATTAGTCAATATATCAGCAAATACCAATCTAGGCGAGTACTTAATTAGAAAAGTTCTGTTACATTCACTTGCAATAGTACTTTCTTTCTGGTTAGAAAGGGATAAAAAATAAAGGGGAAGGTGAGACATTAAAAAGAATTATAAAATAAGCTCTTGCATATAAAGTGTTATGTCCATTATCTGAAACTTAATGCTCTTTGGTAAAGCTGTCATCAGACTCAGGGATTACCAGGTTACAGGATGAGGTTAACATTTGAGAGAAAATGGGTGGAATCCAACCTTTTCCTCAGTTGCAATCACCTGAGCTGGAAAGGCTGTCCACAAGAAAAGAGCACCAGCAAACCTTCATCCCAACAGCAGCTGGTGTGCAGCAAGGCTTGAATTCCTGGTAGAGCGCAAAAAAAAGCTACTGATCTTTGTGGAAAATGCCGAGAAGCATTCTAATTCAACTCATGGAGCTTAAATTTTAAGCATTTTTTCCCCCTTTGAGCAGCAGAAACAGATGAACTCTCAAGAAATAAAGATCTCGTTTTCATGGAAATCATCTCCCAAGAACAAGAGAAAAAAATAAAGAAAATGTATGAGAGACTTGGGATTGCTGTAAAAGACAACAGGTGTCAGAGTTTTCTATGAAGACTTCACTATTCCTTGAGGTATATTTTAATGACATTCTAACAGTTGATATAGTTTATCTTCCCTTTGGAGTAAATGGAATTCTAGTAACCAGGTGCAAAATGATCTGCTCTGAAAAACAAAGTTTAGCTACAAAACTACCGTAAATGCAAGACTATTCCATGTCTAAAGTTAACACATCACAATATACAGAACACTGGGTACAGACAAAATTCTTACTGGTATGTGGTTCATAGTAACTAGGCTGACTTTCTAAATGCTGATGTGACAGACCCATCTCAAATCAAATAGCGAACACTTAATAAAACTTCCAACGATCAGCCAGGTGTGGTGGCTCATGCCTGTAATCCTAGCACTTTGGGAGGCTGAGGCGGGCAGATCATGAGGTCAGGAGATCGAGACATCCTGGCTAACACGGTGAAACCCCATTTCTACTAAAAATACAAAAAATTAGCCTGGCGCTGTGGTGCACTCCTGTAGTCCCAGCTACTCAGGAGGCTGAGGCAGGAGAACCACTTGAACCCAGGAGGCAGAGGTTGCAGTGAGCCGATATTGCACCACTGCACTCCAGCCTGGGTGACAGAGTGAGACTCTGTCTCCAAAAAAAAAAAAAAAAAAAAAAAAAATACTTCAAATGATCTCAACGTATAGCACATAGAAGCATAGAAGTACTGTGGATCTCTTCAAACTGCTCACACCAGGACTCCATGCCCAGAATTATTAATTCAAAAGCTCTGAATGCAGCTCCAAGCAACTGTATATTTCAAAGACTGCAAGGTGATCTGATAGATGCCAAAAGTTTCAAATGATTGAAATATCCACTAACTTGTCATAGATGTGTCAACTGTTTACATTATAATCTCAAAGATGGGATTGATTTGAGAGTTTGATATGAAACAGTAAACACTCACAAGCTCCTTTTTCATAAGCTTATTTGTCTGTCTCTCCCTCTTTTTTTTTTTTTTTTTTTTTTTGAGATGGTGTCTCACTCTGTCACCCAGGCTGAGGTGCAGTGGCACCATCACAGCTCACTGAAGCTTCTACCTCCCCAGGCTCAGGTGATCCTCCCACCTCGACTTCCCAAGCAGCTGGGACTGCAGACAAGTGCCACCACACCTGGCTACTTTTTGTAGAGACAGGATTTCACCATGTTGCCCAGGCTGGTCTCAAACTCCTGGGCTCAAGCAATCCCCCTGCCTCAGCCTTCCAAAGTGCTGGGATTCCAGGTGTGAGCCACAGCGCCCAGCCTTTCTGTCTCTCTTAACCCCCACCCCCATTAATCTATGAGCTCTACAAAGACAGATCATGTCATGTTCATCTTTGTATTCAGAAAACAAACTCAGTTACTGGTACATGGAAAACATTCTGCAAATAAATGTCAAACCAAAAAGGAAGAAATTCTGAATTAATTGAATTCCCATATATTCATCTTAGTATGTTCAAGGAAATAAGATGTGAACTGGGGGGTCCCACATATTTAATGTCTAGATTTTATTGACAAAGTCAGAAAGGCAACAAGGATGGAAACACAAACACTAGAACAACATATTTTAACATCTTATGATTACAGATTTTAGGGCAGCTTAATGAAGGGTTCCCATGGAGATTATTTCCAGGAAGCCCTGGAAGAAACTATCTACAAGGGTAAACATGTTAAATATATTCAGGTGTACTCTGTTAGTACAGAACAGTTTTAGCTTAGAAAGGTAGACACAGTCCACTGTGTCTTGTTACAGTGATGAGCATCACCTTTGCCTTAAATAACCAGAAATTTCTATAAGCACTGCTTTGGAAGCTACATAAAGTCTTCTGGGCCTGTTCCTTCCCATACTCTCTCTAGCTATGCACTCTTTACAGATTTTTTTTACTGCTCCAGAGAGTTTGCCAGCATATACTAACTTGGATATTTGTGTGCAGATCAATAAACTACACTTGTATATGAGTTACATTCATCACATTGATAATCTAGTGAATGCTATGGGTTCTTCAACAGCAGCAAAGTGAACATTCAAGAAAAACCTTTTATTCAATTCCAGAATGTTCACAGATATCCTGAAGTCCATCTACAAATTTTCTAAGGACCTTTAAAACCCATGTTGAGAAACTACACAGTTGAGTAATTGCATAAAAATCACGCAGTCTATTTATACCAATGGCTACACTAAACACAGACAGATATATTAAAGGTATATACATGGCTCCCTGCCACACTGAATCATCACTCTCCATCAGCCCATATCAAAATGCTTTAATTGCCACTGTTAAAACTTCAGACTCTCTCCTCATGCATTTCTTCTAGCTTTCTACCCTCCCACATGACAAAACAAGGAAAAGTTTGGCACTCCGTTCACCATGTTGCCAATCCATGTGCATCAATTTGCTAATGCATCCAACATGTCTGCTAGATGGCTCAGTCATACAGTGGCAAAATTAATTAGGGCAACCACCCTTAGAGCTGAAATACAGCCAACAACATGAAAATTTTCATGGCATTTGTATACAGAACGTAATTCGTTGCATTAAAAAAATTTCAGAAAAAGAGCCTTTCAGGATGGAATTTTCTTACATCTGCATTTCATTTTCAATATTTATGTTTACATGATTGAAAGAAATTTACCCTTTTAATATTAACAACACAATTTTTGAGATATTTAGGAATGCCTCTATGATTTCTGCTAATTGTAACAGCCAAGCACTTAGTGGAGCTGAGCATTGACAAGAGTCACCTGGGAGCTGCACCTTTAACGTGGTAGTAATTAGGCACTGAAAAGGCAGCCACCACCATTTACACTCAGTGTGACCCCATTAAACTCATCCAGGTTATGCTATTCATTCCTGCAGTGACTAAAAAACAAAATATTCATTTTGTAAAAGAATAATAAACTTTTGCAAGTTCCTAGGACAATATTTATTGCACCAGAACAGTCATTCCACAAAAATAGCACTTTAATGGCCCAAAATTTCCACACATGGGAAAAACGTTTGCATCTGGCATCTAAAAATATAACATCATTATTAGTAAAAATCCCTAGGTAACTTCCAATGTTTGTAAATATGACTAAAACTTAGGATTATATTACAGATTGCCTGAAGACTAAATTAAGAGTTTAATTAGGCATCACTAACCTTACCATGATATACACTTATACACATACACACACAAAAAACACATATTCTCAAACTTCTCTGGATACTATAAAGTTATATACATAGTTATATATATATATATATATATATATATGCAGACAGAGAGATGGAGTCTCGCTCTGTCACCAAGGCTGAAGTGCAGTGTCACCATCTCGGCTCACTGCAACATCTGCCTCCTGGGTTCAAGTGATTCTCCTGCCTCAGCCATCTGAGTAGCTGGGATTACAGGTGCCTGCCACCATGCCCGGCTAATTTTTGTATTTTTAGTAGAGACAGGGTTTCACCATGTTGGTCAGGTTGGTCTCGAACTCCTGACCTCATGATCTGCCTGCCTCGGCCTCCCAAAGGGCTGGGATTACAAGTGTGAGCCACCACGCCCGCCCTAAAGTATATTTTTAAATGCACAGAATGAATAAAGAAAATTCACTGTCTCCTCATTACGCTTTTTTTTGGTTTGAGCTCCTTCTCATTTCTCTTCTGCTGTCTACCAGTAGTTAGGGTTACATGACTTTGTTTTCAATGGCTTCATAATTTCCCATAATATAAGTCTACTGCAACTTATTTAACCTGTTTTATCCTACTGATTGACTATTCGATGGATTATTTCCAGTACTGCCATCCGTTTGTATGTGTGGGGAATTTGCTCCAGGGCCCCTGTGGATACCAATATCCTCAGTTGATCAAGTCTCTAATATAAAATTGTGTAGTATTTGCATATAACCTGCACACATCCTTCTGTGTGCTTTAAATCATCTCTAGATTACTTATAGTACCTAACACAATGCAAATGCTATATAAGTCACTGTTATACTATATTGGTTTTTATTTGTATTGTTTTTATTGTTGTATTTTTTTTAATATTGTGCATCTGAGGTTGGTTGAATCCACAGATGCAGAACCCACATACATGAAGGACCAACTGTATTTGGCTACTACAGACAACATTACATAACATTTTCTTGATTATTCTTAAACATACAATTTTATATATAGGTACAAATATATTCATAATTTTCTAGATGTGGAGTTGTTAGGTGAAAGCACATGAGATTGTAATTTTGATTTGATTGAAAGGGCTACTACTAAAATGCCTTTGAGATAGAATGCAGCAATTTATACCTAGCAATAATGCAGAAGAGTTCCTATTTCTCCATTCCTTTATACTTGGCATATTAGCAAACTTTTTGCTATTTGTTAGTGTGTCATGTGAAAATACGACATTTTGTCAGATATCTAGTTAGCCTCCGTTTCATTAAACATGAAGTTGAGCACATTTTGCTTTCTTTTCTATTGATTTTGGGGAGCTTTGATTATATTTAAAAAACTGGCCCCTAGCTTTTAAATACATTTTAATTTTTTCTACTTTGAGATTGGTATTTTGACTTAAAAAAAAATGTTGCCAGGCGCAGTGGCTCACACCTGTAATCCCAGCACTTTGGGAGGCCGATGTGGGTGGATCACCTGAGGTCAGGAGTTTGAGACCAGCCTGGCCAACATGGTGAAACCCCGTCTCTACTAAAAATACAAAAATTAGCTGGGCGTGGTGGCAGGCACCTGTAATCCCAGCTACTCAGGAGGCTGAGGCAGAAGAATCACTTGAACCTGGGAGGCGGATGTTACAGTGAGCTGAGATTGCACCATTGCACTCCAGCCTGGGGGACAAGAGTGAGACTTTGTCTCAAAAAAAAAAAAAAAAAGTGTGTGTGTATGTGTGTGTGTGTAGCCAGGCACAGTTTTGACTTCTATACTTATTTATTTTTAGAGATACAGTCTCTCTCTATTGCCCAAGCTGGAGTGCAGTGGCATGATCATAGCTCACTGCAGCCTTAACTTCTGGGGTTCAAGTAATCCTCCCACCTCAGCCTCCCCAGTAGCTGGGATTATAGGCACATGCCATCATGACTTGCTAAAGTTGTTTTTGTTTTGTTTTGTTTTGTTTTTTGTAGAGCCGGAGTATTGCTATGCTGCCCAGTCTGGTCTCAAACTCCTGGCTTCAAGTGATCCTCCTGCCTCAGCCTCCTAAAGCATTGGGATTATAGTTGTGAGCCACTGTGCCCAGCCTCCTTTCCCATTCTTAATGAGAAGTCCTTGGAGATGTTTTGATTTGATCAAGAACTGTAGGTCACAGTTGAAGTTTCATATCTAAATCCACAGAAATCAATATTCTTTCTGGAGTTTTAGTAACTCTTCCTTTAATCTCCAATTGAATAATAAAAATACAGTTAGGTATCTGAATTAACATATTTAACAAGGTTTTATTGAGCAACTACTATGTATCAGGCTTCTTTTGAGGCACTTGGGATACAGAAATGAATAAAATAGACCAAGATTCCTATCCTCATGAAATCAGGAAATAAGAGTACTGATAAACATTTCCATTTATTAATGAGAACTACAAAGATCACTTCTATGAAGTCAAATACAATTACATTTTCAAGTAATTCAAAAAAGAATTACTTCTCTTCTCAGAAGGGAATCTTTCACTTTCCTAAAATTTTAAATTTCCCAAAGATTTCTTTAGTGGTCATGTCTGTGATGAATCCTAAAGAGTGCCCACAGATTTAAAGTATGTAACATACAACATATATTGGAAAAGTGGGTCTTTTCAGATCCTTCCTAACTCAAAATTTTGAGAACTGCATAATACAATGGAAATATGTATTGCTGTCTTTAAAACCTTAAAGTGACTTGCATATAAAATAGAAATAGATCTGTGGCACTACACTCAGCACAGTGCTAGACACATAGAGCTACACTATCTATATAAAGAGATCACTCAGGGGAGCACAGGAAATAAAGCCATATATCCCATTCGATCTTAAGACAGAATTCTTTCATCAAGTGACCAACCTCTCCAGAGAAAAGCTTCTTACAGCCCTATTTAGACCCTGGTGTGGATTTGCAAATTAAATGAAAAGACCATTAGGAAACATTTCTGTTTAAAGTGCTAAATGGGCTGCAACTTTCAAAACTAACCAGGCTGCCAAATTGTGATTTAAAGTGAAATTGGCATGAGCAGACATTTCCACATCAGCCTGTAGCACATCTGGTCCAGACCAAACAAACAGAAGATTTATTCTGTCAGGGAGATCATTTAGCATTCCTTTTCATGCTTCAGAAGGAGCCTGTACCTGTCACTCACCAAAGCAGTCGGCTTTTGGTGGCTAGGCTCTGTTGCTCTCCCTGACTAGCCTTGATCTAATACTTCTAAGGAGGCTCATGTGCACCGCTCCACCTGGGAGCCCAGTACCCATGCCAAGTTCATTTCCATAGTCTTATAGAAACCTCCTGGAGGATTTCAAACATCTGCTCATAAGTAAAGAAACATTGTCTTGAGCTCTAACAGTAATATAAAGGGCAACTGAACCTTCTTTTGCAAATAAAGTAGAGCTGATAAATGATCTTATTTCATAAGACTGGATACAAGTATTTGTGTGTCTTTCTGAGTTCAAATGTTTAAAATATAGTCCATTAATCATGGGGAAAATCAGATGTATCCAAAATTTTGCCATTAAGTGATATATAGTAAGGATTGTGAAATAGGTTTAAAAGTCTGTCATTTTTCTGAAACTAAATAAATATATTTACAAAAACTATGCCATTATTCCTAAAATGAATAACATTCTCTCTCTCTCTCTTTCTCCCTCTCTCCCTTTAGCTACAGCTTCAGACACAGCCAAGTATAATGCTCTTGCTTCATGAAGCCAAACAGCCACTTTCTTCTCTGGAATGTTAATCTGCTCTTATTGGAGTTAGCAACCCCAGGAGGATCGCTTCCTGATTTGTCTTATCCAGAAAAAAAAAAAACAAAAAAACCTCCTCTTTCCCACCTCTGGAGTGCTGTGAATACTCAGAAGGGATAGACACATCACCACTGAGAATTCCCACATTTCCTTATGCTGCTGCTCTAAGAGGATATGAAAGATTCTGTTTTAATCTAAACAAAAACTGAAAAGGGAAGAGGCAAATTTTTGTGTTGATGCACATTTTCTTTCTCATATTTAGCTAAAATTTACCTCTAATTACTCCTTTAAGAAATAAATGAGTTAGGCATAATGTCTTCCAATGTCCCTCCAGTTGTATCACAATTATCATGAATCATCATAGTGGTTCCTTTGTCCTTGAGGAATT
Source organism: Homo sapiens (assembly GCF_000001405.40). Taxonomy (NCBI): domain Eukaryota; kingdom Metazoa; phylum Chordata; class Mammalia; order Primates; family Hominidae; genus Homo; species Homo sapiens. The sequence continues at coordinate 50,521,456 of NC_000006.12, forward strand.
TATTTAATTCATAGACACTATTACTTTGCTTTCATGCAAAGTATGTGAATCATGTAATTCATGTGAATCAAGGTCTAGGAAAACAGAGGGAGTTTATCACATAAACATAGAAAAGTTATTTATCTTACTTAACTTATAAGAAATGCAAATTTTTTAATCTTGAGATTTCCAAGGCAGTTTTTAAAGTATGCATCAAAGAAGGCACACAGTTTATACAAATATTTTCATCCTCTTTGGTTTGTTATAGTACCAAGGTAGTACAAAGGGTGAATTACCTCTACACTTGTTTCATGTCTGTCCCTCCTACTGAGGCATTAATAGATGTGATACCATGAGTACTGCATTGTTAATACTCAGCTTCGTCTCTAGAGCTCAGAAAATGCTCTTCTCAAATTCATACAGAACATTCTTATATAGGTTATGCTCTACCTACTGCATTTGTAATGAAAAATATGTATCTACACCAAAATCCTGCTTCTTCAGAAGGAAACAACAAAATGAGCCTTCCATAACAACAAAAATTAATTGCAACCAATCTTGAAATATCTTGACATGAAATGTTGGAAATTTCTTAGAATATCTGAACATTTTATTTGCTTGAAATATGTTTTTCAAGTAAAAGACATATGATGAAAAAAAGACATATGATGATATTTGTACCTAAATAATTCACTTATGGATACATTTACTTGTATCCTTATTTGAAGATATAATATTAACATTGAAAATAGTATGCATGTATAATTTCACCATAAAAATTAGTGTAATACCATATAGAGAAACAAAGATTTCATCCTTCCTTAGTGAATCTGAAGAACTTCAAAACCAAAAAGAACTCTTCTGATTTTTAAAAGTTATAGTCAGCCAGGCACTGTGGCTCATGCCTATAATCCTAGCACTTTGGGAGACCAAGGTGGGCAGATGGCCTGAGCTCAGGAGTTTGAGACCACCATGGACAACATAGTGAAACCCCGTCTCTACTAAAATACAAAAAATTAGCCGGGTATGGTGGCACGTGCCTGTAGTCTCAGTTACTCAAGAGGCTGAGGCACGAGAATTGCTTGAACCTAGGAGAGAATGATAGGAATTTGAAAGTTACTTTATTTTTCTAGTTTATATTCCTTTAAAGACTACATTCAGAATTAAAGACGAGAAGCTCAAAGCAGACAGGAGGTGACTTTGTTTTAATAGCTCGATAGGTTGAAGAGATAAAAAAGTAAATCTACTTATAAAATATAGAGATTTAGTTTATGCAAAAATCATGTGCAGCTTATAAACTGTGTCTCAATGAGATCATGCAATGTCATTTGACTGTTAGGAATCTCTAATCAGAAATAATCATATAAATAGCCAAGAAACAAACAAACAAACAAAAACAAGGAAAAGTAAACAGTCTTGCTCATCAAAATAATGGGTAATGTATATGGAAGGAAAAAACAGCAGAAACAAAATATGGTCAGAATATATAAAAAGAAAGAATACTTCAGAACAATAAAATTTTATTGAACAGGTTCTCGAAATGGGGCACTTTGAAACTTTTAAGAACATCCTTGTAGATGTATTATTTCGGATTTGGTTTTCCAAATATTTAACACATTTCATATGCAATTAATTATCTATGAAGCTTTTTTATCAAAGTTTTCACTCTATTTAAATAATGTTATCAGAACTTTAAAAAATATTTAGTGTACTACAACTCAAGCATTGATTTGTGCTGTTCTCAATTTCCTAAAAATCTCAACTCATATACATCAAAATCATAATCATTTCAAAGTGACTAAAAACATGGACATAATGATAAGGTTTCACAAATGACAGAAAGTTTTACTGTCTAACAAGACCACAGCAAGGTTTTTTAAGTGTATGGGAGTTGATTTAAGTCTCTGTAGATAGCCAGTTTGGATTGAGAAGGAAAACGTTCCATCAAAAACTCAGCACACAATCTTTTGAGAACATTCTGCTTATGAAGTCCTGTACTTGATACTTTAGCACATTCAAAAGTCTGAAGAGAGAAAAAAATACAAAAAAAATAAAATAAAATAAATAAATAACACAAAAGTCTGAAGAGATTGTAGAATAACAAGGCAATTACAAGTGCCTAAGCAAATGCTACTTATGCTAAATAGCATATGCCATAAGGCCAAAAACAAATTAAAATTTAATTAAATGTAACAATATTAGTTTATTAATGCATAAAAATAAATATACTTGAAGACAAATTTTATTGAGTAGGAATTATCAGAATAGTCTAGTTTGAAACTTTGAAAAGCATCCTTTTAGATTTATTGTATTATTTTGGGTTTAGGTTTGTAAATTTCAACACATACCGTATGTATTTAATTACCTATTAATCTAACTACCCCATCCCCCAACCCCATCAAGCAATACTCAATTTTACCCTTGTGGTAATTCATGAACATGTGCATCGATTGTGGTCTGTTTAGTGTTGTGGTTTTTTGCATTTTTGTCATTTTTGTTACGGACATGACTGTTTAAAATGGCCCCCTACTGTAGTACTAAAGAGCTGTTTAGTGTTCCTAAGCACAAGAAAGCTAGCACCTCATGGAGATATATGTTAGATATGCTTCATTCAGGCATAAGTTATATACTACCGGTAGCCCTAAATTCTATGTTAATGAATCAACAAAATATTAAATATAGTGTTTTTAAGCAGAAATACAAATAAAACAAGGTTAGGTATTGATATGTTGATAAAAATGTAAAAAATGTGACCTGAGGCTCACAGGAACCTAATCCTGCATTTCTCCTAGGAGCAACGACTCCGTTTTAGCTACATCAGTGTTCACAATGACTTTAGAGAGCATAACCACTAATACTGAGAATTGACTGTGTATCTATGTCTGTATATGTGTTTGTGTGTATACACAGGTTCTTTTTTAAAAAATAAAACAAAATCCAGAAGTTATCAAACTTGAAAACTACTTCAAATTCTACTATTTGGGAAAATATTATAGGAGAAAAGCAGAAATAACATTGGATTTTAATTGTGCATAATATTTTTAGCCATTGAAATTTCCATAAGGAGTTTTAGCACATGCAGTTAATTTGCATGAGAGACAGCTGGAGCATATTGGCTCTTTCAAAGCCACTATGATTTATCAACTCAATAATGCATGAGCTTAGACAAAGTTATACAAGTGTCTGTATTTTTAACAAGGTGATAGAGTAAGAAATTTGCTAAAGCAGCCATTCCAGACCCAGGTGACTAAAAGAAGGTTAGATCATTTATACAAACTGGAACACAATTTTACAGTCCTGCTTTATTTTTGGCCTTGGGTTTTTTTTCCTGAAAATAATATTTTGTTTGGAAAAAGTGCCAAACTTAAAAACAGACAGTTTGGGACACAGAAGTCATGTGTTCTTATAAGCTATTATTACAATATGGAGAGAGTCAAATTAAGATCTCTACTAAAGTTACCTCTGGAATTAGATTCAACTTGCAGAGGCAGCCTCTAAAAAAAACTAATTATTTTTCTCTGTTTATTCAAAGAAATTGAATGGTCTTTATTTAATAAACTCCAAATGGCAAAAATGGTTCATAGGAAATGTCTCTTTTTTAGATTCAAGTCTCTTTTATGGTCTTTGTCAGGATTTGAGGAGAATGAAGCTAGATACAATTAAGAAGTTATTGTGTAAGAAGAAAAAGAAACAAACTTTTTTCTACCTTTATCATAAGGTTGTCACAGGGGGTGCCCATGATATAATTCTCCTGACATCGTTGAAATTATTACTTGGTTTCTGTTTTTAAAAAAGAAGCTATTGTTATAGTAGACACATAGGTTACAAAAGCTCTATACATGGACTTTGAAGTCATGTAGCAACATAGAAAATATAAAGCAAATAGAATTTAAAACATTGTAAATGAAAAGATACTGTTATGACTTAGTATTCAATGATTACTGGGATAAAAAGGAAAGAAATTATTTGAAGACTCAGTTTCTGTGCCTAGGTGACTAGAAGAATAACTGTATCTATTTTTAGAACAAATAGAAAAGTTTAAATTTAACCATTATAACTAATTTTGGGCATCCATTAGAACTCATTTTGGGCATTCACATCTACAGGTCATAAATTTCAATATCCAACATGCTAACTCTACAAGATATCAAATGTCTATCTTATTCAGACTTCTACCATGTCCCCGCTAATGAGATACAAGAAGAAGGATAATAAAGAATAAATTTCATGAGAATCATTTGCATCCAGTCATCTTCCTTGCCAGAATGTCTTGGACTGGTAGGTTGAAGCCAGGAATTGGCCGACAGCATCAAACAATAAGTTTGCTGATGTGAGGCCAAAAGTTCTAGTAAGCCTCCCACTGAAAAAGGCTACTGAAGTGTACAAATAAATCAAGTATCAAGTTATAAACTTACTTTGTGTCAGTTAGCCCAATCTTACTTCAAATGCCAAGTCAAGTGAGGACAGGGGAACCAGAAACGGTATACTACACAGTAACCAGAGGAGTAACTGGAAAAACACCTCCTCCTCAATAGTTAGGTTTGGAGAGGCATCCATACTGTCAGAGTTTAGAATTAAGGTATATTACCTATAACCATGTACAAATCCCTTATTTTATAGATGAGAAAACTGAGATTCAATGTTGTACATTTAATCAGTGCAGAGGTGAAAATAAGAACCAAGTCCTCAAACTCATACAGTCTCAAAATTGAACAATCTCTTTAAGAGATCAACCACTCTTGGCTGGGCGCAGTGGCTCACGCCTGTAATCCTAGCACTTTGGGAGGCTGAGGTGGGCGTATCACCTGAGGTCAAGAAATCGAGACCATCCTGGCCAACATGGTGAAACCCTGTCTCTACTAAAAATACAAAAATTAGCTGGGCGTGGTGTCACATGCCTGTAGTCCCAGCTACTTGGGAGGCTGAGACAGGAGAATCACTTGAACCCAGGAGGCAGAGGTTGCAGTGAACCAAGATCGTGCCACTACACTCCAGCCTGGCAACAGAGTGAGACTCTGACAAAAAAAAAAAGAAATCAACCACTCACTAGAACACCAGTTCTCAAACTTTTCTTTGCAATAGAACTCCATGGAGGGCTTATTAAAACACAGATTGCTAGACTTTACCCCCAGTCTTTCTTATTCCATAGGTCTGAGTTAAACCCAGAAAATTTGTATTTTTAAAAGTTCCCTGGTGCTGCCAACCCTGCTGGTCTTGGAAGTGAACTCTGACAACCATCGTTCTATACCTTCTAGTCTAATATTTATTCCATTCTAACAAATTGCCTCTCAGGAAAAAATGAACCCTGTCCTAATATGGCTAGTCACAAGAGTTAAAAAAAAAGATACAGTCTGAGAAATCATGACAGTATGGGCAGATATAATGATGGCATAGCTAGAGCAATTCTTCATTCCACTCAAAAACCAAAGTGTTCTTCAGCCAATGCATGTCTTATGGCTACTCTATAACTAAGAGTTATTGATCATCTGCTTCTCATCCCAGTGTGAAAACTTGGACTTAAAGTGAAGAGTGTTATCAGAATTTATCTGGAAGCAAACAAAGATGAGATCATTTAGCTGTCTTTTTTCCCCAGATATTGAAGTGGTATGATAAAAATTATACAGTGGCAGCATTGATTATCCAAAGTCTAGGTATGAAATTTAGCAAACAGAGATATATACACATAAAAAAGGTCATCACTAGATAATAGAGATGAGGAAGTCAATAGACGCACCAGAGCTCCATTGGAATAGAACACCTCAGTACATCTATTGTATATAACTACTATGTACAAATTATTGTGTGTGATGTGAGTGAGTGGGGAGGATAATGAGAAAGACTTAGCCCTGCCCACAAGGGGCTTTCAGTAACTAACATTCAGAATCTAAATCTAATAAGATGCTGAATGTAATAGCATGTATATTATAGTATATTTGTGCAAGTATGTATGTAGTGTATGCATATTAAAGTGAGTAAATTTAAACAAGTTTCTCAAAATGAATATTGAAAGAGTTTTTAAGAAATACAACATCCTGAGAAAGAAACAACAGTGGCAGATCTGGCATTCTGTAAAGTAATCATGATGAATTTTAAATGAAAATGTCATGTAGTACCAAAGGAGAATCAATACCTTTGAGTAACAGGCAAAAAAAATAGTTTACAAACTATTGTAAACTTCATAAAATTTTTTAATAATTCTATAACTTTTTATCTACTTTCCTATCTACATCATCAGAAATTTGATATTTGGTCAGGAGTATTTTAAACTATACCATTGTCTGCTTATATATCCCAAACTTTGCAAAGTAATCATCAAATCTAAATTACCGACCCTTATACTTTACTTTGAAATATGTCTATGGAATCACATAAAATACATAAAGAATTCAATTTTAAACTCTCTAAGAATCAATTAAATTTCTAATGATCTATTAGAGTGAAATAACATCAAAAAATATCACATCATATGCCCCCTCATTTAATATAAGTGCACTATGAATCCAAAGGTGTCTCCTGGCATATATACATGAATCTCTTGATAGTACTATAGAGAAAGACATAATTTCTTCCTGAGGTTGGAATCTGCCAAGGCCTTCTCTGTCTGTCATGTAGAAGAACTGTGATGCTGAATATATTTGCAAGAGCAAGAAAGCAATTCAGCAGATACAGAAAAAAAAAATTGCAAGCCAACTGTCAAAAGGAAAAATGTGTCTTACCCACCAGTCACAAAAGGACCTATCAGTGTAACAAAACAGTATCAACTATGAATGACAACAGTTTTAAATGTAAGATAAAATGGCACTTTGTACAAATGTACTACAAGGAATTCTCTGAGTGCTTAAAAAAAGATAAATTGAAAGGAAGGGTCTGTCTAGAAGGTATTTGCTCATCCCAACAGAGAGCATGACGAAAACGTCAACATTCACCTTTGCAGAAATGAATCTCTAATATGCATGTCTACACTGTCCTTTTTCCAAGGCTAGTCCTGAATCTTTATAAGCCTTCTTGGATTTCCACTGGAATTTCTAGCCAGCATCAAGCAGAATACAGAAATATTTTTCATGCTGCTTACCTAAGTGCCATGACTTTGATGCTGTTACTGATACCACAAGCACAGGTTAAGCCGAGTGACATTGACAGATGAATGATAACAAACATCTATCATGTATCGCTCTCTTTTCAAAGTTTCATTGGGCCCTGATCACTATGCAATAAAATCTAAATTTCTTAACATACCATTCATTTAAGGACTTTTCCAACAATCTAGCCAACATACTTTCTTCTATTTTTTATTTCCTGTCTCCCTATTATTCTACAGAAGACTTGTGCCCTGGTCAAAAAAAAATCTTCTCACTATCCAGAACACCCTTAAACTCCATGCTGACCTAGCTTATTTATGGCACATTCCCTTGCCTAGAATGTCCATCTTAACTCTTCAGTAAATACTGAGGCTTTCCTTTTTCAATAACAATAAATACTGCAGGTAAAACAAACAAAATAAAGATGAACAACATGTAATGGATTTAGCCATGAAAAGCTCATCAGTGGCCTTTACTAGACGCATTTCAGTGGCAATATTTAAATGGTAGAAATTGAGCAGGGAATGGAAGACTGGAAACCTAAGAGAGCAAGTATAGCTCAGGAACATAGTTATTAACAGAAGGGAGGAAAAGTGGGCACAAGCTAGCTAAGAACAAAGGTCAAGAAAGGATTCTTTGTTTTCTTTTTAACATTGAAAACCACTGAGCATATTTAAAGACTGATTCAAAAGAAGAGAGTGGAGATACAGGAATGAGTGTATAGATGGGCCAAACATCTGAGAAGATAAGATTGGACTGCAGCTAGAACATCGGTGAGGAAATCAGTCTCAAAACAACTATTTTTCACTATTTCACAACAAGAAGAAAAGATAGATTCAAGTAGCTATGAACTACTGGAAGTGTTTATAGTAAAATTAAGAAATTTCCCACTTGATTGCCTCCAATTTGTTGTTTTTGTTTTGCTTTATTTTGTTTTCAGTAATATTGACAGTAAGAAGAAGATAGAAGGGTAAGTAGTTTTTAAAAAGCAGAGAAGATTTCAAAATTTAGCTGTGGAGAATTGGTGGTGAGGCAGTGCTTGCAAGAACCTATAGAAAATATCTCAGGCTGTGTCAAGGGCCCAGCTGATGTTGAAGAACATGGATGTATGTGTGGTGATTATTCTGTAGCAGTACTCAGAAAAATTGGAGCCCAGATGTAGAAGCTGGAAAGGCAATGAGTAGAATCCATCTAGGACTGGATTTTGCTAACACAGAAAGATAATAAAGAAAAGAAGTTGAAAAAAATTGGAGAGAATGTTAAAAGCAGTAGATCCTAGGTAAATAATTGTAATAATAATACAAGACTGCAGAGAGATAATAAAACAAAAAGAAAAGTTGAGACATCAACATCATAATTGGAGACCATTATTCTAAGTGAAATAACTCAGGAATGGAAAACCTAACATTGTATTTTCTCACTCATAAGTGTGAACTAAGCTATGAGGATGCAAAGGCATAAGAAAAATACAATGGACTTTGGGAACTCAGGATAAAGTGTGAGAGAGGGTTGAGGAATAAAAGACTACACATTGGGTACAGTGTACACTGCTTACATGATGGGTGCACCAAAATCTCAGAAATCACCACGAAGAACTTATTCATGTAACCAAATACCACCTGTTCCCCAAAAAACCTATTGAAATAAAAAATAAAACAAAATGTAAGTATGATGAAACTAAAAAACTGAGGCAGCTGGAAATAAATGACATGTGGTCAGAGAATTGGGAGTCTGCATTAAGGTTTCAGAAACAGAAGAGTTTCAAGTCCTCAGAAGTTCCAGTTACTGAATTATTATTGACAAACCCTATGCTGTTCCTCACTCTCTGTTCCTATTGTGTTTTAAATAGGAATCCAATATTTGATTATTCTTCAACCTTTCTCCTGTACCATCTGAACCTCTCATGGAAGATAGAATAAGATAAATATTTACCACATTGTGTCCACTTTTATTTCTTAACCCAAAACTGGTGCCTCCATGGAAACCTGAGAGAAACCTCATTCTCTCACAATGCACGGACCTCAAAGTCAAGAGAGAAGATTGGTTACTGGTTCTCAGTCCTATGCTGAGACCATTAATTTTCTCCTAATTTTCAAAATATGCTCTCTGGAGACTTTTGTTATTTAGCTATAGTATCTCCCTTGTCTCCTCACTGTAGTCATCCTGCAGTCCGCTTTAACTCATAACTCCAATGCCTAATTTCTCCTATACTAAAATCTAAAATCCAGCCAACATCCCAAAAGTGTTTAGTATCTGTGTGGATGCTCTAACCTGCATGCTAGCATCTCAGTTACTCGAGCTTTCTATTTTCCAGAAAGACTAAATCTTGTTGCTCAAAAAATAATGGAGTTAATTAATCTTACTGTGGCTCAAGAGAACACTACCTGAATAGAGTCCTGATAGTGTCCCAAAAGAGGAGAGAAATTGAAGGGTCCTTGTAAAATTTGGGAGTTTGGGCCCAAGTAATTTAAGATGGATCTCTCAAGAGGCCATTAATTAGGACTGGGCAAGGTTAGGATATAATAGTTTTGTATCAGTGACACAAGGAGGCAAGAGTCTTGAAGTAAGTCATGATGAGATCATTGTTGCCCTGATAAATATGTTATTACTGAATTATTATTGACAAACCCTATGCTGTTCCTCACTCTCTGTTCCTATTGTGTTTTAAATAGGAATCCAATATTTGATTATTCTTCAATAATCAAATTTTGTTTATTGTGTGCAGTCTTATCTTCCTTGCTAAGAATTTTTCAGAACAAATGATTAAGTTATATTGACACAGATGTTCTTGGTTTTCACAGAGATGACCAAAAGGAGAAAAGATCCTTCTTGAATTATTTCCCCAGGACAAAAATCACTCCTTGTAAGGAATAAGAAATTGTAGCATGAAATCAAACGTATTATTTAGCTGTTGAAGGTAAGGCAAACTGTTTCCATTACTGTGTAATTTGATCTCACAACCAAAGTCGGTTCACTAGAAATAAAAGAAAAACAGACGACATAAGTTTTCTCTGTGGTCCAAGACCATCAGCTCTTAGTTATTCTTGCAGACAGACCTCTTCCTATGAAAGAAAAGCATTACCAAGGTGAAGTTCTCATAAGAGTTTTCTTGTCCATCACAATTTGCACTACTTGGACTCTACAGTTCTAAATCAAGAAGACTCCTCAGCAAACCTGCCATTTCTCCTTCTTTCTTTGATTCAATTTCTTTGAAATCTGGCGTGAATCAGCTCCCCAACTTATTCCTTTCCCTGGAGCCATTTCTCTTAGTCTCTCTTCTCCTTCCCTGATTTATAGGAGAGGTTTGCCCCCTCCTTTGCACTCAGCAGCCACATTTCTAAAAGGATTTCATCCTCTTGGCTTTCATAATGGAAATGTTAAGTTTTCCACAGAGGACATTCCCTAGAGGGGAGTTTTGCTCACACCCTAAAATGGATGTCAGTTAATATTTAGACACAATTAATTAACGGTAAACCCTAAGGCAAACTTTGCTGTTAGGAAAATCAGACTGTATCCCCGATTAAATGAAGGGCTGCTTCCCTGACCAAGTCAGCAGATGTTTGTTCTATTATCAGCAAAGACTGACATCACATGCTTGGTGGGTGCAGACATAGGTTAATTAAGAATATTTAAAATATATGACAGAAACAGTGTCGGGCTTTCTCAAGCTAAGTTGCCAATGTTTCCCCACCTCCTGACTTTCTCTTCATATAGTTCCTTTTTTCTACCACACCTCAGATTTCAGTCCATGATGTCATAACAAGCTTCCAGATTTCTGAAAAGCTCTTTGAGTCGCTCTGAAGTCTTTTCAAGACCTTCCTCAAGTCATTTAGCCTACAGGGACTTGAAACATTTATCATCCTATTCATTGAGAACTGTTGGAAGATATATTTATGTTTTTGCTTCAGTGAATATAGAAGTCTGGATATGGCTGAATCTAATAACTGAAGGTTTTATCTTGACATTGTAAATATAATGAAAATGTGTACAAAATGGAATATACTATTTATGAGGTAGTAAATAACAAAATGGACTCAGCCCAAGAATGTTTGTTCATTTCTTCATTTTCAATTAAATGCCTGAAATGAATTTATTTCTGAATAAATTTATTTAATAAATATTTAGCAAATGCTCAGTGTGTTTTAACTATCCTGAAGGATTTTTAAAAAAAAATTCAAAAGGGAACCCCTGGTAGGGAAATAAATGAAGTTTGTTGGGATGAGAACATTTCTTCCTTCTCCAGATGTGAAGTGAGCCGCACATTTGGCCTAACTTAACATTTCTCATTCACTCACGGCCAGCTTGAAAAGACATATTGGTCATATAGCCCATTCCCTTTCTTGTCCCTTTATCTTGGGACCCAGCCCCACTCCCTTATAAGTTTCAGGGCTTGCTAGATGTTCATTGCCATGTTACCCCATCCCTAGCAGTGTTGACCAATTGTAGTGTTTGCCTATTCCAAGCTGCTTTTTACTGGGTAAATAATTGTCCAATTCTGGAATTCTGTTTGGCACCCCATTTGCCCAAAGTATCAACTTCATCAAAAATAATTATATCATTTTATATCCCTTTCACTTTATTGTTTTATCTCAACCAGTTCAGAACATAGGTGCAAAAAAGGGTCCTATTGATTTTAAAAACACTCAAATTCTAATAAAGCAGAGAGATAACTATAATAAACATTTAAGGTTTTTTTTTTTTTGAGGCGGAGTCTCACTCTGTCACCAGGCTGGAGTGCAGTGGCGCGATCTCGGCTCACTGCAATCCCCGCCTCCCGAGTTCAAGTGATTCTCCTGCCTCAGCCTCCAGAGTAACTGGGATTATAGGCGTGAACCACCACACCCGGCTAATTTTTGTATATTTAGTAGAGACCGGGTTTCACCATGATGGCCAGGATGGTCTCGATCTTCTGACCTCGTGATCCTCCTGCCTCAGTCTTTCAAAGTGCTTGGGATTACAGGCGTGAGCCACTGCCCCTGGCCAACATTTAAGTTTCAACGTGTCTAAGAAACATATAAAAATTAAAACAATTATTTCCAGTTGGGGTGCTAGCAGTTGCAGCAAAAATCTAGAAAGATTTCTTTAGATCTTGAGGATATAAGGGGCTTATCTGTTTGTTTCCTATTATCTTCCCAACATACAGCCACAGTAAATTGAGCTAATGAAAAAGTTGGAGACTTGAATGATGACCAGGCAAACCTGCACGTTGTGCACATGTACCCTAAAACTTAAAGTATAATTAAAAAAAAAAAAGAATGGTGGATAACCGGGCCTGATGGCTCCCACCTGTAATCCCAGCACTTTGGGAGGCTGAGGTGGGAGGATAGCTTGAGGCCAGGAGTTCAACATCATCCTAGGCAACAGAGCAAGACCCCATCTCCATTAAAAAAAAAAAAATCGAAAACTAGCAAGATGTGGTGGTGCATACCTGTAGTCCCAGCTACTCAGGAGGCTGAGGTGAGAGGATTGTTTCAGCTCAGGAGCTTGTGGCTGCAGTGAGCTAAAACCGTGCCACTGCACTCCAGTCTGGGCAACACAGTGAGAAGTTGTCTCTTGAGAAAAAAAAAAAAAAAAGAAAGAGAGAGGGAGAATGGGGATAAGAGAGAGAAATGGAAATATTTTAGGCAAATGAGAAACAACTGATTAATGTGCAGGGGTAAGAACTATGTGTTTTTCTTAAGAATTGAATAGAGCAAAAATGCTCAATTAATCAAAATTTGTTATCTAAAATAAAAGCATAAAATCCATTTAATGCAGAAAATACCTTGTTACAGTATTTTTTTCCCAGAGTAGCCTGGGACATCTCAATCATTTACATATTGAAATGAAACCACTGTGACAAATATAAGTCTATGTACATGCTGTAGAATAAAAAACAAGTTAATAATTCATTTATTCTGATTTTTTATCCTACCTTCTGAATGTGGCAGAGATTTCTAACCAGCATTCCTGGCACTCAACCAATTGTTTTAATAAATTATAACTTCTAGTCTATAACACTTATATGGCTATAACCACTAAAAGGTACCAGAGTAGAGGCAAATGTCATGCCAAACTTTGTAGCTAGGTTCATAAAAGGAGATATTAAAAAATATTAAATTAGCATTCCTTCCAGATATTTCTCATTTAGCTTCATTTTAAAGTTAGGTGGCCACCACTTCTGACACAATTCCTCCTAATTTCATAGTCAGCAAACAACTCGGCCTAGAAATTCCTGCTCACTGAGGACCCTCCTGAGTTAGGGTGCAGAGTGACACTCTCTGAAATAACGGCAGGCCCTGTTTTGTTCTTCAGAGCTGTAAGAAACAAGCCTCTGAAACATGATCAACGAAAACTTTGTTTGTTGCCCTTTTCTTAAGAAAAAAAACAAAAACAAAAACAAAAAAGTAGTATTTTTGAAGGAATAAAAAATGAACTCTCCAAAGAACAAAGGAACCAGCGGCTCCAGATATATTTTAAGCCTAAGGAAAGTTAGAAGCCAAAAGAGAATATGAGTGGCAGGACACATACAGTCGACCTTTAAAGGTTTGATTTCTGTTTTAAGTTCTGCAAACACCCCCGGCTTTCCCCCACATAAAATTAAAAAACCTGACTTATGTTCAAATGTGGCCTTCGTCCTTCACCCTAACACCAAACACCACGAGGAAAAAAATTAGGGGTGGGAAGGCGACATGTCTATAAAGATATGAATATCCATCCCACAGTACCAACTGAATCAAAGATGAAGCTCTGAGATTTGAGCTTGGTGCAGAATCACGATGTAGTGTGATGATTCTTAAGCATGGGGGTCAGACTCAGACAGCACTTTACTGCAGAGCTGGTGAAGAAGCTGCCACTCCCACCTCCTCTCCAGACCATCCTTCAGGAAGGCCTACCAAGATCCTCCACTTGACCCTGGATGTGAGCCCCGTAAGGCAAAATCACTTTGATCTCTGATATTTGTTTCATCTGAAGGTGAACTCCTCAGATCATCAATACTCTGGCTGTGTCTATGCTAGCATTATTAGGCAATGCAGAATTGAAAAAAAAAATCTAGCAAATTAAAATAAAGGAGGCCATGAGATAAACGTACTTTAGTCTAAAATATTTAGATAATGAAGAAAAATGGCCTTGTTAGCTAAAAGATATAGATTTGATTCAGTTTTCAATTTTAGTCTTGGATGGACTAAGTTTTATTCTCTGCTCAGGTACACAGGTTAGTTCATTAAAAATAAAGACAGAATATCAAGAGAGTGATTCAGACCAATTTCTTATACATTCAATGTTGTGTTTTTGCTAGTGGTCATTAAATTAAGAACAATTTAAGAAAGTAGTAATTACTGGATTTTCATTCTCATTCAACATCCTAACATAGAAGATTTTAAATCTACTAAAATTTTAAAATTCACACAGTCAAGTGAGCTCATATGTTTAAAATGCAGAATTTTTTGAATCACTGAGAAATAGACATACTAATAGAAAAAATTGGTAAAAATCTGAAAATGTGATGAATATATCAAGTAATGCAAATGGTCAATGAACATACGTTCAAACTCACTAGTAAAATTTAAAATATCAAATTAAAATGAGATACAACAGCACATTTATTAAATTGGCAATGAAGAAAAAGGGATAATACCAAGTGATGATAGGACTTCTTGGACTTCCACACACAGCTGTTGGTAGAATGGAAACAGCTATAACCTTTCTGTAAGGCAACTCAGCAAGCTACAGCTGAAGTGTTAATAATGAGCACATTGTCTCTGCAATAGCATTTCCAAGGTTAATTGCAAATAAATTATTAAAGATAAACAAAGATTTGCTTGAAGGTTATTATCATATTTCTTTATATTATTTCAAAATTTGGAAACAAATGTTATATCCAAAATAAGAATGGGTTAAGTAACTAATGTTAAAATCATGCAATAGGACACTACTGAAAAATCATGTTTCTATATGTTTTATGAAAAAATAAATTTATTGATATAGGAAGAATATCACAACATATTGTGTTAAAAATAAAGTCATTTTATAAAAGAGTGCATATAAATATTCTCTTCTGTGTTTTATGGAAGGGTAAATATCACCAAAATGTTAACAAGGTGACTTCAGGTAGTAGAATTGTACATATTTTTAATTTTTGACAACTAAAATATGTGTAATAGAATTTCTTTTTAATTTATAGTAAAAAGTTGAAAAGGAAGTGAGGATGTGCTTATAAGCTAACGTAAGGAGCAGAAAAGTAAAATCGTGAGCTCCACAGAACACCAAGATATTTAGTTAAAACTATGCAAACAAAATTGACAAATGTGATTTAATTAAACTAAAGAGCTTCTTTACAGCAAAAGAAACTGTCAACAGAATGAACAGACAACCTACAAAATGGAAGAAAATTTTTGCAAACTATGCATCTAACAAAGGTCTAATATCCAGCATAAGGAGCTTAAACAAATGTACTAAAAAAAATTAAAAAGTGAGTAAAGGACATGAACAGACATTTTTCTTTTTTTTTTAATTATAATTTAAGTTCTAGGGTACATGTGCACACCGTGCAGGTTTGTTACATATGTATACATGTGCCATGTTGGTATGCTGCACTCATTGACTTGTCATTTACATTAGGTATATCTCCTAATGCTATCCCTCCCCCCTCCCTCTTCCCCCACCTCACAAGAGGCCTCTGTGTGTGATGTCCCCCTTCCTGTGTCCAAGTGTTCTCATATGAACAGACATTTTTCAAAAGAAGACATATGTGCAGCCAACAATCATATGCAAAAAGCTTAACATCATTGATCATTGGAGAACTGCAAGTCAAAACCACAATGAGACACCATCTCACACCAGTCAGAATAACTATTATCAAAAAGGCAAAAAAATAACAGATGCTGGTGAGGTTGTGGGGAAAAAGGAATGCTTACGCACTGTTGGTGGAGGGTAAATTAGTTCAATCATTGTGGAAGACAGTGTGGTAATTCCTCAAAGACCTAGAGACAGAAATACCACTTGGCCCAGCAATTCCATTACTGGATATATTCCCAAAAGAATATAAATCATTCTAACATAAAGACCCATGCACACATATGTTTATTGCAGCACTATTCACAATAGCAAAGACATGGAATCAACCTAAATGCCCATTAATGGAAAACTAGATAAAGAAAATGTCGTACATATACAACATGGAATACTCTGCAGCCATAAAAACAGAGTGAGATCCTGAGTTTTGCAGAAACATAGATGTAGCTGGAGGCCATTATCCTCACCAAACTAACACAGGAACAGAGAACCAAATACCTCATGTTCCCACTTACAAGTAGGAGTTAAATGATAAGAACAGATAGACACATAGAGGGAAACAATACACACTGGGTATATGAGAGGGTGGAGTGTGGGAGGAGAAAGAAGATCAGGAAAACTATTGGGTACTATTCTTAATACCTGGGTCATGAAATAATCTGTAAAACAAACCTCCATGACACAAGTTTACCTATATAACAGACCTACACTTGTATGCCTGAAATTGAAATAAAAGTTAAATGAAAAAAAAAAACTATGTGAACATAACTCCAAATAACTTTGTGAAAATACAAAATGAAGGCATTCTTTGTCCGTTACATATTTTCTTCTTCAAATATAAAATCTAAAAAATGTACTCCTTTTTATTAAAATGGTTTAATCAAACTATTACTGACATGGAGCTTATCCCAATAACTTAGAAACAAGAGCTCAAGTTTTCTAACAAATGTATTTTAATTCTAACCTACATTGTATTGTACTTTCAGTAATAGTTTACAAACATTGATGGAATTCCATTTACTTTCTTAAGTAAAAGTTATATAAATTCATAAAGATGATAATGGCATGCTATTATTTTCTCAAACACATTTTTATTTATAATTCTATTTCCCAGTGGTATTTTCTGTACCCTAAACAGAAGTGGAGGTTTTGCCTGAATTATCAGGATATTGCCACACTTCTAATCTTTGCTTTGCTAGTAAATATCTGACATATGGGACTTGCCCAAGGTTGTTTAAAAATGAAGGAAATGCCATGAGGGGAATACAGACATTCTGACTAATTCAGATGTACCTCTCATTATTTATTCATTCATTCATCCATCCATGCCAATCCAGTTGAGTTTGTAAGATCCATTTTTCCCCTACTGGGATCCCCTCTTTTTTCTCTGGTATTCGGCTGCACTTCACAGGCCTGCTTCAGCGCATATACCTGTCCCTTACTCTCTTACTTCAGAGGTGACATGTCTTTAATTTCACAGTATCTTTAGCTTTGTACTATAATTATAAATGGATTTCAAGTCCTATACTAATTCTATTTAGTTGGTAGTGGCTGCACAAAATGATTTATTGAGAAGAATTTTAGGAGAAATAGGAAAACAAATTCTAAATTGGTATCCCAATTCATTTGGAAAAATTTCCATGATTGACTCATCATTCCTACCACTCATGAAATTGGAAGGAGAAGTGGGGATAGCAACAATAAATTATCATTTTCAGAGTGGGCACTTCTATTAATAGTTTGGTTCTTCACTCTCCTGTTTCTTCCTAACTATAAATATTTATAACTTTTTAAATCTTTAGCAGAGCTCACGTTGGCATTTCCCAACATGACACATATCCCTCCCCTATAACAAACCCTTCCTCAAACTCTCCTTTATTTCAGTTGTCTCTTAAGTCCAATCCATTCATTCTATTATATTTAGAGTGTTAACTAAGTGCCAAGCATACTGCTGGGATTTTAAGAAAAATCATCAGGACCTGAACTAGAACAGTGAGCCACTGTAGCCAACCACATTCAATGTCAAACCCTCACAGGGAGACCCCACATTGGATTTATACAAAAAGTAATGCCTTTCAGGCTAATTGTATCTCTGGTTCATGTTTAGGAAAAAGACTTCCTAAACATTTAATGGGTAACAAATGACAATGTCTCCCTCCTTTTTTTCTCCTTTTTCTTTTTCTCTTTTTTTCCCCCAATGTTTATGTAGCTTAAACAATAATATCACGCAGAAAGTCACCCCAGGAATCTAGCTAAACTCCTGTCTTCAAGTACTTGAATACAAATGAACACAAAACAGGAGTTAAATGCCACTGAAGACTGTTAACCATCTGAACTGGTAAGATTTTAAGCAATTGCATAATATTGCCTCCAGCAACAAACTTTACCTAATCATATGAGTCCATACCAGTTCAGTGCAAATATAAGCACTGTAAGAAAAAGCTACATTCAGCCTTAAACCAAAAGCAGTAAGATGCAGCCTGAAAAATACTCCCCTAATGTACAAGGAAAGAGCTTAAAGCAGAAAGTTATATGAGGAAATGATTTATCCAGAGCATTCTAAACAAATAAAACCGAACAGTGCTAAAGTGCTACAAACAATTCCATTTTCCATTAATTAACAAAATCTAAATTTTACAATTACCACAAGGAAAAAATTGTAAATGTTGATTCCATTTTAAATATTGAATTAAATGTTATGTGCATTAATATGTGTTGGCACTTAGAACAATCTCTTGTATATGATATGCAGTATATCATTTGGCTATTATTATCATATGATCATTATTAATAATTCAGAAGTGCCTGTGACTACTTCATCAATTGGACTTGAATTTATACAGCTCTGAAAAGCCGTATGGGAGAAAGTGCACTAGATGAAGGGTCAAGAATCTCAAATTCTTCCTGAAGATTAGGACAAGGAAGAAAGAAAAAAAAAATCTCAAATTCTAGCCTATGAGTGAGATGCTAATGCCGCATCTATATATATAGCTGCATCTCACTTTGCTTCACCAGATCTCAGTTATATTTATCTTTAAAATGGGAAACCTGCGTTACATGATTCAGCCATAGACAACCTCCTGCTGCTTCTATAAGGAGAGAAGACAATTGAGCTAAGGCACGTGAAAGGACCGCAAATGCCAGTTGGTGCTTCACAAGTGAGAGATATTTCAGCTACCAATCCAGCAAACCTCACAGGCCTGCATATGATTTCAATGCCAAATGGATCCAGAGTCTGAGAATTTCTTCATTAAAACAAATATGGAGTGAGAGAAAAGGAGTGAGGGGAGAAACCTTGATAAGGCGGAAAGAACGTGGACAGGATCTTTTAATAACAAGGCTAAAAGAACAAAAATAGCAAAATGCTGGTTTTGAGGGCAAGTGCTTGTACCATAAATGCCTCTCTTCCCAACTCAAACTAATGGTTTTCCTCCAGTATTCCCATTGAGTCTTCCTCATACTGAGGACACAAGATCACTTCTTGGTATTCCTGCCGAGATTCATGCCTGGTATGTACAATGTAAATTTAACCGTTGGCAAATATTAAACAAACCCAAATCGAAAGATGGTCTGTTCTCTTCTAAAATACTGAGGAATTGCCTGTATTCTGAAATATTAATGTTATAAAAGACAAAGTAGACTTGCCTTTTGTTATGAAAGACAAAGAAGAACTTTTTATAGTCATCAAAAAATTAAAATAAAAGAACACAGGGCATGGCCACAAAATGCAGCAGATGACATTCTGTTGCATCAGCCCTCTGAAATTTTATCTTTTGCTATGAAGAAATTGGGATGATATTTGAATAAAAATAATAGAGATAATATTATATTACTGTTTATTTCCTGATTTGCACTGTGCTACGTAAGAGGATATTTTTGTCTTCAGGAAATACACTAAACTATTTGGAAACAAAAAGATACTGGTTATCCAAGTGTTTTAGAGAAATATATTTTTAATGTATAAATAGATGTATATAAAGAGAAAGAGGCATATCTATATACATATATATGTATATAGAGAGAACAAGACAAAGAGGATGAGAAAGCAAATGTGGTACATTATTAACCATTTTTGGAGAATCTGAGTGAACAGTATGTGAGAAGCGTTTTTAATACTTTTGCAACTTTTCTTTAGGTCTAATCATTTCAAAATAACAAGTTAAAGGGAAAAAAGGTGTAAAAATGTTCATATTGGAGACTCCTATCTCCTGAACAAGATTTTAAAAGCTCTGAGGTAGACGGATCGCTTGAGCTGAGGAGTTCCAGCAAGCCTGGGCATCACAACAAAACCCTGTCTCTACTGAAAACACAAAAAATTAGCCGGGTGTGGTGGTGAGTGCCTGTAGTCCCAGTCCTAGCTATTCAAGAGACTGAGGTGAGAGGATCACCTGAGCCCAGGAAGTTGAGGCTGCAGTGAGTTGTGATCGTGCCCCTGCACTTCGGCCTGGGTGACAGAGCGAAACCTCTGTCTCAAAAATAAATACACATATATATATATATATATATATATATATATATATATATATATATCCTTGTGCTCTCATGCTCTCTCTCTCTTTGCAGCACCTTGCCTCTCCTACTAGACACATCGAGGGTTCCTAATAACTTACTGACAGACAGAGATGTATCTAAGTGCATGAAATTTAACCCAAAATTGAAGCTTGAGGTTCAAATTCAACTGGTAGACATGTTTCATTTGTCCTCCATGGTCTGCCAGCTGAGATTTTCAGCTGATGTTGAAAACTCTGGAGTTTTCACTTTTTTTCCCCCAATAGGTAGAATTGGAGCTTCTCTTTAAAAATCAGAAAATCTGGCACCATTGGGCTCACATGGCAGGAAATGGTCACAGTTGAAAAACAGCCACCTCGGTTATGTGGGTGCCAGTTCTCCACAGGCTCCAGTCCTGTTTATTTTCTCTCAAACTGAGATTTGGTGTGAATCGCCATTAGCCATTAATGACTGCACTGGCACAATTATTTGCCTATGAGGAGAACAATGTATTTCTGTAGCCATATCTTTACCTATAGCAAAGAATAAGAGAGACTGATGTGCTTTTTACTCTAGCTGGCTTCATTCATTCAGGTAACCTGTCTGGCACCTATGGGCATTTGGGTCTGAAACCATTGGCTTAATCCATTGCCAGAGCCTGGACTTTGTTTTAAGGGCAGCAAGATATCTTGGCCCAAACCAAGCCCTCTGGCATTGCTGAGAATTAAAGTTAATTCCCTGTTTGAACAAGCTTGAGGGAACCTTCAATACATCAATACCTACTAGCGATAGAGCAGATGCTGACAAGGAAGCCACTACAAGGAAAGATCATTACATAGATTTCTTTTTTCTTATTTTCTCTGACAGAAGCTAGGAGTCAGATAATAAGATAATGGGAAAGGAGACTTGGCAGGAAATGGAGAGGTGGAAGAGGTTTATCATCTCTCCTTTGGTCCTGGAATCCAACAGAATGCTGATCTGTTTCTTTAATTAGCTTATCTAACCCCTCATGGGTGAAAATGAGAGAAAACACATTTCAAAGCAATCTTACTTCAATAATGATAGCAAACAATTCTGTAGCAGTTAACTATGTGCTGGGCTCTGTTTGTTTATACTGTACATGACTAATGCATTCAGTCTTTACAACAACTTGTGATGTAGATTACTATTATTATACATTTTACGGATAAGGAAACTGAGGCAGAAAAATAGTAGGTAACTTGCACACAGTCACACAAGTTATGAAGTCAGAATTCTAGCCCATAGTCTGTTCTCTTAATTACCACATATTTCCTGCTAAAATGTCTCTGATTAACTATTAACAATGAAGTCTGAAGTGATATGATTCTGTTAAGGTTCAAAGACCAAAATATTCTCATGCCCACCACTACTAATGCTTTTAATCAATTTTAACATCGTAAGCTGAAAACAGAACAGAGTCATTGTCTCCTGTTAAGAATTGAAGCCATGACCTAAACATGTGACAGTTGTTTTTAAGTAACTCAGAGCTGAGCAGACGTCTGACTGTTGAGGTTCCTCGGAGTGTGGCTACAATTGTCTGTCCTAACATTGTCCTGGGGCTTTTCACGTGGTTCTCTAAGGCCCAATTTTCCAGAAAGTAGCCCTCTGGCCATATTTCTGTTGGTTATAGCTAGGTCTTTCGGTCTGAATCTGCTTTCAAAAATAATAAACAGTTGACTATGGATGCTTTGTGGAATTAGAAGCAATAGCCTAGCTAGCAACTTGGAAACACAGGTGTCCTTTCAGAAATTTAACAATCTTCACTCCAACAGGTACTTATAACAGGCTCACCGTGTAGCATTTGCTTTTCAGGAAGAAGCTGGTCAGCAAAAAATGTATGTGCCCCTGCTTCCTAAGGAATCTCTCTCCCTTAACAGGGCAGTTCTCACAGAGCACGAGGTCAGAAAATTAAAAGGCTGCTCTGGGCCTCAGAAGCTTGACCTGCTTCACTCATTCCGCCTTTCTCTGAAACTCAACCCTCTGGATTCCCAAGATCTGTTTTATTTTATGCTCTTCTACCACTTTGCAGATTTCCCTCGGTGTACTGGCCTGACTTCACGGTCACCAGGTGTCCTCTGTCCTCCCATCAACTGACACTTAATGAGCAGATGGTGCAAATGGCCTGGCAGTAATGTGATGCCTGAACGGGTGGGCTGCGAAAGGGGAAGGCAAGCAGCTTCAAGGAAACGGACAGATTTATTTGGTGTTTGTGCCACACAGAATCAGCAACCACAGAAAGAGGGTTGGAGCAAATATTTTTCAATGTAAAAATAAGATAGTATTCCTTAAAATGAGGAAATGGATATGAGAATGCAGCACTCTCATGCTTCTATGTGAGGGAAATTACTGAACCCTGGTATATAATTTACAAAAATGTTTTTCAAGACATCAAGGTCCTATTGGCCAAGATAACTTGTCTTTGAAATTAGGATGGGTGAGAATAACTTCCTATTTATTTATATATTCCATAATGTACTCAATGCCAGACACTCTACTAGGGCTTGTAGGACAGTTGCTGTGCTCAAGTTGATGGAATGTTTAACTGGAAGGAATCTTTAAGATCCCCAAATTAGGACTTCTTAAGCTGCAGTGTTCATAGGAATTACCTAGGATGTTTTTCAAATGGATGTTCTGATTCTGTGGGTGAGAACTGAGAGTTTATAGTTCTAACAAGCTTCCAGGTGGTGCCAATACTGCTGATCCATAGGACCATACTTGGAGTAGGGAGGATCTAATCTACTATGTTCTATTACAGCTAAGTAAACAAAGCTCCAAATATTCAGAGGTGTGTTCAGGATCACAAAGCCAGTTAGTGGAAAAGCCGGGCTTGCAACCCTAGACTGGGACTCATTCCACAATGACACGGTGCTTCAGCAATGAGTGAGCCAACATTTTGGTTCTTCAGCTTCCTTCCTCTCATAAAAATGAGTTGATAATAATGATACCCGCCATCTGTCATCAGGGTTAGGGAGGTAAAATCATTTAGGCTATTCAAACAAAAGATTATCTTTACCAATTATCTTTTGTAGTCTGACTACAAACCATGGAAATCATGACAATCTTCCTATTGCCAGATGCTCAATCTATCTGCAAATTTTCATTGAAGCACAACTTGTTTGCAAAATGTAAAATTAGAAGTGACAGACAAATCTATTTTTATAAATCTTAGCCTGTCTATTTTGAGTCTCTGAATTTTAAAAGAAGGATTGAGGGCAGCTGTTGAACTTGACTGAAATGTTTAATGATGCTACTCTATTTACTTCTAATTTCTAAGATATAGACATTTTCCTGCAGTATTATAAACATGCAGTGTGATGTAGGGCACCTACGGGGCCATTTCAGTCCTATAAGAGAGATGCTTTAGCTTACTGTGTGTTGCACATAAGGGTAAGAAAGTAGTTGTGGCTGAGTAATTCAAGATTACCTAGAAACAAGGGTCCCAACTTAAGTTTACTTAATGTGTGACCCTAAAACACTGTACTGCCTAGACTTCAGTTTTTTCATGTGTTAAATAGAGATGAAAGAAATTATCACCTTGATCACACAATTATTACATTTGAATATCATGTAGTTAAAAATAATGCTTTGTACTTAAACAAAGTTAGTCACCACAAAAGGAAATTTAAACTCAGAAGAGAAGTCTTAACTATATACTGGACTCCAAGTACTGTACTTCAGGATCAACCAATATCCAACAAGCTGTTCCTACATGAAAAGTAATGTAATGAAGTATAGTACTTAATATTCCATGGACCTTGTTCTCTAAGTAAAATAAGAAAGTCTCAGATCATTCCTATTTAAAACATAATTAACATCGTAAGCTAATGATGAAAAATTAGGTAAGTGATCCAAGTCCTACCAAGTCGTTTATAATGTCAACAGACATTAAAATTCCAATGGAATTTAACAATAAAAAGGTGTACAGTGAGAGTGAATGCTCTAATACCAACCCTACAGAGCCTATTAACAGAATTGGAGGGCACTCAAACAGAAATCTCTCCCATCTCTGATTTGTTTTTGTTTTTTGTTTCAACCAGGAATCAACATTTCTCCCCTAAAGCTAAATGGCTCTAATTTTGCATAATGGCTTTTCTTTTTTCTTATGATTTTTTAAAATCCAGTTAGTTGATTGTTTCAAAATATCTCTTCTTTGTTGCTCATTCATTCCATTTTTTAACCAATGTAAGCTCCTCTAATAGGAACCCACTTCATCTCCTCCTCACCTATCCCAAATCTCCCTAACCTAACCATCAAACATGTATGTAAAATTTAAGTAAATTGGAATCTTCAAAGCAGAAAGTCTACTTTCCCTCTGGCCTTCCATGTTAAAAATATATGGCAGAATTGGGAAAACTTTAAAAAGTACATTAAATGTGCATGCTCATTTAAAACTGTTAAAATATGCCTTAAGAGTAAATGTAGCATATCATTCAATTCTTATAACCCACACTGACGGCAGTGATTATTCCTTCCATTCTAGAGATGATATAATATTTCATGTACAATTTACCTGGGTTCTTGTGGTTTGAACTCATTATTTGTGACTCCAAATTTGCTAATTTTCCTGTTTCATCACATTGATTCTTGCTCCAGGTCCCTCTTTTCTCTTTTCTGGCATTCTTCCCTATTCTCCCTCTCTTCTCTCTTCTCTTCCTCATCATCTTCCTAAGCATAAAAAGATACCTTTTTGGTTTGCCTTATTATCTTTTCTGGCAGATCTCAGCCTCAAGATTTAGAGGGGGCTAGGATTCCTTCTAGATTTGGCATCATTGATTCCTAAATTCTTCAGACATGGAGTTTCTATGAAGCCATTTGAGGCTTTGACATGTCTCTGGATAAAGGTGGTCAGAGTTGGTCCAGGGCAGAGACAGAAATAAATGGTTAACCGCCTTCTTTTTATTTAGTATCAAATATTCCTCAAAATTCTTTATTGTATTTAGATATATTAATTATGTCACCCCTCAATATTTTCCTGCCCACACAAAAATCTTAGACTCTCTAATGTTTCTCTCTCTCCCTTTTTTTAAAGCTTCTTTATGGATTCAGAATTACAAACTGCACTCAGTGAATGAATACCTGACTGGCCTTACTTATCTTCGTACCACCCCTTCCCCAGAAAGGTTAGTGAAGTGCCCAACATATAGTAAGTAATCAATTCATGTTGTTTAAAGAATTGATGATTATTGTACAACACATACCAAGAGGGTTAATTTGTACCAGTTTTGTCATTTAGATATAAAGCAGTGGCTCTTAACTGGGTCTGTTTTTGGGCATATACACATACCCCCAAGGATATTTGGCATTGTCTGGAGACATTTTTGATTTTCACAACTGGGGGAAGGGTTTCAATGGCATCCAATGAGTAGAGGCCAGAGGTGCTCCTAAACATCCTAAACATACAAATATAAACAAAAAAAATTAGTAAAAATGGCCACTATTTAGTGGCAATATTGAGAATCCTGACATAATTGTATGGCACTAAAGGGACCCTAGAAAGACATTAGTCATCTTGACTCAATCCTGAAATTGTGTGTCCTGTGCTCCGTGCTCAAGCACCTTCCTCTAGCCCCAGAGGTACCGATTGACACTCTCCAGGCAGCCTGCACATCCTCGCATGAAACAGATTTTGTTAAGACCCCATGAGTTGGCCGGGCGCGTTGGCTAACGCCTGTAATCCCAGGACTTTGGGAGGCCAAGACGGGCGGATCATGAGGTCAGGAGATCCAGACCATCCTGGCTAACACAGTGAAACCCCGTCTCTACTAAAAATACAAAAAATTAGCCGGGCGTGGTGGCAGGCGCCTGTAGTCCCAGCTACTCGGGAGGCTGAGGCAGGAGAATGGCTTGAACCCGGGAGGCAGAGCTTGCAGTGAGACGAGATCGCGTCACTGCACTCCAGCCTGGGCGACAGAGAGAGACTCCGTGTCAAAAAAAAAAAAAAAAAGTCCCGTGAGTTAAGATACCTGTCAGACCTGCCACATCTTCAAAGGCAGTGAGTGTATTGGAAGAGTGTGTTCAATGACAGAGCTGGGTTGGAACCCCGGTGTTGTCACTTACTTAGCTGTGGAGGCTTGAGCAAATCAAAATCCCTGTGCCATTTTTTACATAGAATGGAAATGATAATCCCAAGGCTTCAGTGTTTCAGTGTTGCTATGAGGGTAAAATATGCATATATATATATATATATATATGGTATCTAGCACATAGTACATATCTGAAAAAAAAGCAGCTAGTATTTTATTTAATTCTGATAATAAAACACACTCATTTAGACTAAGTAGTATCTGTATTCTCACCACAGCAAGCATTGGCTCTCTAAAAATTTATATAGATCCTGTCTGCATCCTTGTAGTTGATTTTATTTTTGTTCAAAGTATTCACTTCTCCCCTCAAAGAAGGATTATACATTCTGCCTTCTTGATGCCATGGCACATCAAGTGGTATATGAGTGGAAGAGATGAAGACCACCTCCAAATCCTGCCATTTTCTTTCCCCTGTCACAAGATGACTAATGTCCCCAAGAGGGACTGTTCCTTTCAGTTAAGGCCTATAATGAAATCAATATGAAGCCCATGGCCAACCCAAAAGACATGCACTGTGAGTGAAAAATAAACCTTTGTTTTTGTAAGCATCTGAGGTTTAGGGATTGTTTCTACCATAACATTAATGTGACTAAGTTAAATGATACTGCCACCAATTGCTCAACTGGAAATACAAAACTCCTTGGTACCATAGGAAATTTGGCACCAAGTCGGTGATAGTTTACCGGGATCCTAAATGCTAAATACTATAAAAGACAGTGTATAAAGTTTTCTCAAAGCTAGGGTAAATTTTAAGGTCTATTAATTGGAATAGATACAATGCCTTTGTACTGAAAACTTGACTATTAAAGCCAGAATCTGAATCTGGCACACAGCCTTGTCCTTCATTCCTTGCTCAGGAATGTGCCTAATAAGTCTACTTCCAAATATCTGTAAGTGCATAATTCTCTAAACAACCTGATTATTGAATTTTCCTCCAAACATTACCTATTTCTTGAAGAATTGTAATTGATTAACAACTTCCAAGCAACTCATGATTGCCTCACAGAAACTGTTGCTAAAACTTCTATATAGTCCTTTTACCAAAATCCACAACATGATGAGAAAAAATTAGTTTTGTAGATGACTTTTTTCTCTACTCTATTACAAAAAAAAAAAATCATTTTCCACTCTGCCAACTGATTATGCAGCCACGTTGTTTGAAAGCTTGCATAATTTACATTAGCATGCTTAAGATCTCAGGTGACTATGCCTTTGAGGCCAGCGTGCTAACCCCAGTGGACTGATTTGATATTCTTCCCAATATCTGACCCTTTTTTCCTTGTTAATTACAGGCAGACTTCCCTGGTCTGTCCCTGGATCTGCACCTGTTTCCCATCTTTGAGCAGCTGCTAATTAGGTTGAAAATGGTAGGGCTGGGCAGTGCAGGCCACACATGCCTCATCAGGCTATTGATCAGACTGGCATACCACACATGCAGTAATGGCTATCTGCACAACCCAGTTCCAAAATAAAAGTCATTCTTGGAATTGCATGTTTGAATCCAAGCATACACTAGACTCTAACTCAAATATTAGAACATGTGAAAGGAAAAATGACACTATACTTTTAAAATAATATTTTTCTTTGAAATGGTAGGTATGACCTCAACTACTTTGTACTTCTCATTGGATTCTTTTACTTTAGAGTAGGAAAAAAAGTCTTCTTGTAGGGAAAGCACATATGTATATGAACATAATTTTAACAGTAGATTCTGTGAGTATGAATTATATATTTGTTAACTATCCAAGCAATATTCCTATCCTGAATTCCCATTTGGCCTTGTGAATGACATCATTATATAGAGTTTTAAATTACATTGTGATTTATGATTTTAGTAACTATGAACATCTAGAACACTGATTATCAAAGAGGTCATTACAGCTATCTATGGGTAGTATTAAAAATGGGCAGGGATGTTTGGGGTTGTCACAGTAATTAAAGGGTGCTGCTGGCAGTGGCAGCTCCAACATCTGTTACAAATCATAAATAAGAGACTAGCTTAAAAAATCATTTTATAAATATCTGTACCCAGATCCTAATTCCATATTACATATAAATATAAAATATTTTTGCAACCTCAATATACTGAAATATAATAACCTAAAATTTCCAAGAATGGAAATCCAGGAAAAATTAGATTTTATTTGATTTGAAATGATTGAAGAGTTATCATTGTTTTGAAAATCGCTAATGGCAAGACTATTCTCATATTTCAATTGCCAATAAATCATACCATATTCTTTCTCTATTTGTTCCTTCTGCACTCATAATTTTATGAATCTGTAGACATCTGACCAACACAGTATATCATCTAGTGTAGGTAAGCCTAATTTTTACATACTGAAATTTATAATATATTTAATATATAATTTTATATAGTTTTTTGGATGTTAAATTAGACAATTATATTTTTAATTACATGCACAGTTAAGTTGTAGTATCTATGACTTTCATTCAAGGATCTTAAGGGCAGATTACAAAACACCAATTATGAAAAGAAAAGGTTGGGTCTGATAGAGAAAAAGTCACTATTCTAGGGTAATAGGCCTGGGTATAACTGTTATTTGTACTTGCTTGGCAGGAACTTTGAACTTTTTATGCCTGGCATTTGATAGTCAATGATTTGTTCCTTAAAGCTCTATTCCTCACTTCTTCTCCTGAAATTGTCACACTACTACTGTTGTCTGTGACCCAAACACAGTCCCTGGCAGAGTTGCCCCCACATAAACACATAATAGTCTAAATGCAGAGCAACCTCTGATACACCAGAAATGAGTCATGGTCTGCTTCTAACTTGGGGTAAACCTTATGCTCACATTATATAAGCCTTGTAGAGGCCAAGGAGATGGAATACTCATTCAAAACGGTATAAGTTACTTTACCTCCCTGAGTTCTCTTGTCATAAGACCCTATATGATTAGTTCTTCACTTTATTCTTTCAAGCAACAAAGAGACCCTATAGAAAGTCATGACATTTGGGGTTTTTGTTGTTGTTGTTTCTGTTTGGTTTGTTTGTTTTTTTCTTTTGCTCCACCTCCTATATTTTATCAGTTGGGAAAATTGTAAAATTAAGTACTTACGTATGTGAAATTTTTTAAAGCAGGTTATAACAGCTTTCAAGGTTCTTAGGCTTTGGTTATATACTGAAGGACATGCTGACTCCCATTCTGTCATATAAACTGAATATGGCTCAATTTTTTATTAAATTTGCTATAAAAGCACATCCGTCATTTACCTTGATTGTAGCATTAAACTGGCTTCTCTAATAATGTCCCTACTGTATTCAGAATCTTGAATGCGCCATTTACATTAATGATATTATCTTCATCAGTAGATAAGCAACTTCAAGTTGTTAAAGATCAAACAAATCTTCTGCTATTAGCAGAAGATCATTAATGGTGATTCATGGGATTCTTTTCTTCATATACCCTTGCATGAGTTACTTTTGTGTACCATGTTTCATATTTTTGGTCTATTTTTGAAATTTCCCTATAAAATCAAGTCACATTGAATATTTTAGAGTCTCTCTTCTTTAGAATTTAGATGAAACTCTTGTTGCAAAGCCACACTTGCAAAAAGGTGGTGTTCTTCATAAAATGGAATAATTAAAAATTTGTATACTTAAATATCAAAAAATGCCTTGAAGGAGTCACATTTATAAAATACATAAGGACGCATTGCTCATCTTTTCCTATAGAGAAGAGTGGTCTTTCAAAATATGTGGTTGAATGTCTTCTCTCATCTAGATCATCTTGAAGTTATAATAGGTATAGAATATATACTGACCATAAACACTGTCATAAACACTGGCCATTTCTTCTATTGTCCTAGATTCATGCTATCTTCTCCACTGTCCTTTGCTTCATTCTTTCTGTTTGGAAAACACTGCTTCAGATTTCGTCTCTTCATCCAGAGAAATTGCCCAAGGTCTATCAACTCGCACCAAATATGCTTCTTGGGAAAAGATATCCTGTAACTTCATAGCTTTGGAGTCACTGATCCAGCCCACATAAGTTACCTGTTAGACTACTTACTGGTCCCACTATCTACCCAGTTATCTAAAGCAGAAACTGTGTAATTTTCCTATATGCCTCCACTTCCTCACCCTCTGTGTCTTGTAATTTACTTTATGCCTCTTATGTCTTCATTTCAGTTACCACACCTTGGTACAATATCCTCTTAACTAGTCCTCCTGCAGCCAGACTTATCTCAGCCTTGCCACCACAGGATATTTTTTACATGGTGTCTAGAGTAAACCTGTAAAACAAAAATTTGAGTATAAAAGTCTTCCATATTAAACCCTTCCAGAGCATGTCAAAAACTAAGGATAAAACTCAAAAGTCCCGGTTCCTTCCTGTCTCTCAGTATCACCTTTCCTCATTTCTTCCCAAGGAGAAAAGAATTTTAATTTGTAGCATTTTAGAGCCACACACAATTTTTGCCAGAAAGGTATTATCTGTTTTTCCTTTGTGTCTTTGTTGTCTTATGCCTGCAATACCCTCAACCTACTGTCTTACCCTTCCTTTAATATTTAGCTCAAGGTGTCAGACTGGGTATTGCCTTTATCTTTGTACTGCTTTAACAGAATACCAGAGACTGAGTATTCAGAAAAAATAGAAATTCTTTTTCCACAGTTCAGGGAGCTGGAAAGTTCAAGATTAAGGCACTGGCTGGTGAGGTCCTGGCCTCTCTACTTCCAAGATGTCACCTTGAATGCTGTGTCTTCCCAGGGAGGAACACTGTGTCCTCATGTGACAGAAAGCAGAAGGGCTAAAAAGAGAGGAACTCCCTCCATCAACCCCTTTTATAAGGACATATGGTCCCATCATGGGGGACGAGCCCTCATGGACCAATCACCTCCTAAAGGCCTCATCTCCTGATACTCTCACATTGGCAACATCTAAATTTTGGAAGGGACACATTTAAACTACAGCAGCCTTCTTGGCTCCTCCAAGCAGATTCCAGATTTTCTTCTTTGTATGTTTTTATGTTATGCAAGTTATGAAATTGTGCTCTATTTCTTATTTCGCTTATCTGTTTTAAAATTACACTATAAACTTGAGGGTTAAGTCTATATTTTTTCCTTCTTTTTTAATGTATCCTCAGAACACAGCACAATAACTGCAATGCAAACACTTAATAAAAGTCCTTGGGATGGATGGATAGTTAGATATTGTATCAGTTACAAATACTTCTTCCTAACTTTAAAACTACTCTGCAAACTATGCCCAATTTCACCGCTTAGTCTCGTTTTTTACCTTTCCCTGTCATGCAACCCCTGTTTAGTTGAGAAAACTACAATTCTCACTAATTATTATGGCTTATAGTTTATGTCTTATGTTTTAGTTTACGTTGGCTTTCCAGCCTTCAATGACCATTGTTCCTATCTATCCCCCCTAATTAAAATAATAACCACATCCAAGTCTCAACTTAAGTGCCATTTATTTTTATAAAATCATCCTTAACCACCAAACTCAGTGTAATGGCTTTTTTATGGAAGTAACGAGCAGAATAAATCAATGAGATCAGTAAATAAATTATACAATTAAGATAAATCTTAGGTAAATATTTCCTTTTTCCTCCCTAATGCAGGTTAGTTTACTACAATAATGTTGTATTCTCTAATACCATATGACTCTGCACAGTTCAGCTACATTGTAATGATAATTGTATTGTAATAATCATTTTATCTGTCTATGCCTTTCCCCTCCTGTACTAACCCTAAACTGAAAGCCTCTAAAAATTAGAAACCATGTTTTTGTTAATATATTGTTAGAGTTCTACACAGCACTTAATACATAACAGATGCCTAATAACTTCTTTAACAAAATGAATACAGACTCCGTAAGGTAATTACCAAACTCCATAAGGTAATAAGCTGTACTAAAACAGGGATTTTTTTTGTTTAGTTTGATTCACTATCTGTCACACTTGGTGTAGAGCCTGCCACACATTAGGATTGAATAGATAATTACTGGGTGAATGGAATAATGTCTTGTAACGAGAAGTATTTTGCTGTAACTGCTCCCTGTGTATTTTGTGGGCTCGGAACTTATCACATTCCTTCAGGGAGGCAAAACTAAAATAATACTAATATTAATACTAACAGCTTTCACACAAACAGACACATATACCTAGCAATGCTATATGAAATGGTGACCATGTACTGAATTACCCTGGGAGGATAACAATACCCGATCATACATACACTTTACTATTACAAATTACACTTTACTACACATACACTTTACTATTACAAAAGCAGATAAAGAGCACAACTTATTAAGTGTACTGACTCCATCTCACATTCCAAAGGAAATATATTCTCCTTTCGTCTCAGCACCCTTATCTTTGTCCTGTGATCGATGTCTTACCTTGTTACATAGGTTTCTCATCTTTAAAGTTACTTACTTTGTATACGGCTCGGCCTTTAAGAGCAAGCCACTACTTCATCTGGGCCTCAGCAGTGATTGGTTTCAATACTGGAGAAAAAAACTGTAGACCTATTGGGATATGGTATATTGGCGCCTAAATATACCTCTTTCTTAGGAGATTTTCATGGGTAATTCTGTCTAATAATCAGGTCTTGTATGTTGCTCCGTTGCATACAATCAGAAACACATTGCTCCAAGAACAAAATTGTGAAATGTTGGGAAAGAGAAACCATCAGAGACTTAAAAAAAAAAGTGACCAGAGGATTATAGGGAGAATCAGCAAATATCAGTGTCTTATAAGCCAAAAAAGGTAGAGAATTTCTAGAAAGAAAAAAGACTGAGTTTCAAATACACCAGAGATTTAGTGGGTATATTAAGATCACTAAACCTTATTCAAGGCAAAGTTTTGATTAGCTGTGTCAATGATAGTATAAATAAAACTACAGAATTCTCTATTTTTCAGTTTTTTTATTGATAGGAACATGAAACTTTACATATATGGAAAAAATGAAATTTTAAAATTATTCTACTTTGACAGTTAATGAGCATAGAACATGTTCTGTTTGGAAAAAAAGAACATATTCTGAATTTCTCAAGCTAAACGTCAAATCAGCCCTAAGAGACATAAGACAGTTTCAGGGATATATGGGAGGAACCGGCCGTAGAACTAGTTGAGAACTAAAAAATGAAATTGTAATAAGAGACAGCAATTCCCCCTACACTTAAACTGGCACTGAGAAAATGTTTGCAGATTTATCGTGAAAGGAAACCTAGAACTTAAGGAGTTGTAAGTAAAAATGTCTTTTAAAAAATTATATGTCATCATGCCTGAAGCCCAGGGAATGTATTTGGATGGCTAAAAATTAGTCCATGATCAGACCATGATCAGAAGAAACATCCTTATGATGAGCTTTCCTAGTCATTTGAAGTCACTCTTAAATATACTATACTCACAGGAACAAAGGAAACAAGTAAAAAGGCAAAGGAGAAAGTTGAACTCAAGCAGCTTTGTTTTCTTATCCTTAGTCTTGAGGAAATTGGTGCCTAAATTGAAAGTGCCCTGAAGGCGGCTTTAACTTATCTGACCAGACCTTACCCTAGGGATTGCCTCAGGTCCTGCTAACCTAGGCAACTATTTGAGGGTCAAGATTCCACTCAACTGAAGTATTCTTGAAGAAACCCTCCTGTGTATTCAAAG
Source organism: Homo sapiens (assembly GCF_000001405.40). Lineage (NCBI taxonomy): Eukaryota > Metazoa > Chordata > Mammalia > Primates > Hominidae > Homo > Homo sapiens. The sequence continues at coordinate 50,555,513 of NC_000006.12, forward strand.
TGGGCAGCATCATTTTCCTCCCTCTCAGTCTTTCTCTGACAATTGTTTGTTCTTTAATGGCTATGACTCTTTGTGTTGCTGGCAAAGGAACTCCTCCAGAGGGTGAATTAGGGCAAGCGGTGTTCAGTACTTCCCTCCTGGGGCAGTAACAGGTGCATCTCTGTTTATCATTTTCTTGGTGGTACTCTGCCAGAATCTCGCATTATAATTTGTAAAACTGACCTTATATGTTCTCTAAAATCAGAATTCCAAGTAATAACACAGTTTGTATTTAAGACTGAGGAAGTTGAGGTGAGTTTGGTCGGTCAATTGGTTGGTTGGTTGGTTGGTTGGTTGGTTAGTTGGTTGGTTAGCTAGAAATTATGATGGAAAAAAATGAGAAAAAAGGTTAGGAAAAGGGAAGTTGCATGGGGGGAGTCTGTTTTAAAAACCCCAGTCTCTTAGATACAAAGACTGGCCCCTTTGCATCCCCTTATATTACTTAGCACTCTGACAGAAACTAGCTTTTTAATATACATTTTTGGTGGGAAGGCAACATTGATATGCCTAACACTGTAATAGGCACTCTTGGAGATGGAGGGTATGAAAAGTGATATAGGGCATGCCAAAAAAATTTAAAACATGGACACTGTATAAAAACGTAAATATTATGATGCAATCACTTCAGTTTAGCTGGAAAAACAACATGGATCTCTAAAAATGCTAGGATTCATTTCCTGTGTTCATGAGTTAATTTGGCTCATTCTGAGGGAAGAGACACAACCCTTAACTTAATCCAACATGTATATTCATGTATGCTTGCGTATAAGTGTGAGATGAATACAAATTTATCACCTCTGCTAATAAAAGGAAACAAGTAGAACATATTCCCAAATGAGTGTGAGTCCATAGTGAGGTATTTCATTATACACAGGATGACCATATGTCCCAGTTTGCCTGGGACAGCCTCAGCGCACTCTTATGGTCCTAGTATTATTACAGATAAAACACCTCTCATTCTTAAAAGTGTTGTAGTTTTGACAATAAATTATAAGCTCATCCTGTAAAATATGGTGGGTTTAAATGACTGTAGACATCGAGACTTCCAAAAGAAAAGAATTGCAATTTTTGCTCATTATCTTTGACCTAATATAGTTTCTGTGACTACTTTAAAATTCTATAAGATCTACCCTCTGGCAATATAAGTTTTTGTGAAGTTTTTGTAGGCTTAAATTATGTTCATTTTACTTTTAAGGAAACAGAAGACCCTACCAGTCAATGGGAGGAAATCTACCTTGTACCTTGGTAGAAAAAAATAGTGGAGATGCTTTAGAAAATAGTGTGAATTTTTTTTGAATAATTAAACAGGGTTACTATATGACTCAGTGATCCACTCCTAGACAATAGATATGAAAACATGTCCACAAAAAAATTATAGCAATATTATTTGTAATAGCCAAAAGGTGGAAACAACTTAAATGTCCCTCAACTGCTGGATGGATGAACAAAATGTGGTACAGGCTGGATATCCATTATTTAAAATGGTTGGAACCAGAAATGTGTTGCATTTTGTATTTTTTCAGATGTTGGGATATATGCATTATACTTGCTTGTTCGTCATCCCTAATCTGAAAATCCAAAATCTGAAATGCTTCAAAGAGCATTTTCTTTGAGTGACATCTTGGTACTCAGAAAGTTTCAGATTTTGGAGCATTGCAGATTTCAGGTTTTTTGGATTTGGGATCCTCAACCTGTATATCTATACAATGGAATACTTTTCAGCAATAAGAAGAAATGAGGTGCTGATACATGCTACAACATGAATTAATCTTGAAAACATTCTCTTCAATGAAAGAAACCAGTCTCAGAAAGCTGTATATTACATGTTTCCATTCACATGAAACATTCAGAATAGGCAAATCTATAGAAGCAGAAAGTAGATTAGTAACTGCTTAGGTCTGGTGGGAAGGGGCAATTGGGGAGATAGGGGAGTGCTAGCTAAAGGGTACAGGGTTTCTTTTTGAAGTGATTAAAATATTCTGTAATTAACTATGGTGATGGTTGCATGTACCTGTGAATATATTAATAACCATTGAACTGTGCACTTCAAGTCGGTGAGTCATCTGATATGATAATGATATATTAATAAAGCTGTTAAAATCAAAAAAAGAATAAAGACTCTACCAGTCAGAATAGCACCAATTATCACGAATAACAATAACCAACATTTACGGAGAATTTATATGCCTTATCTCAATGAACCCTCACAAAATGACCTATGGCATTTGCTCAAGAATTATCCCAATTTTGAATATAAAATATTAAACATAAAATGTTAAGTAAATTGTCCAAGGTCACTGTAGCTTGTTAAGTAAATTGTCCAAGGTCACTGTAGCTTATGACATTGAGCACAAGCCAGCTAAAGACAAGTAACTCCAAAGGTAAATCTTAGAGATATCTGTTTACCTAGGTCCAGCCTTGTGATTGAAACCTATGACACATAGAACTTCGCTTCTGTCTGGAGCTTGCTTTTCAGCAGTAGGTAGAAGGAAACCATATCTTGTCTTTGTAAGTCAGAGAGAACTTAGAGCTTCAATGAGTTCTAAATCCAGACTGAGCTCTTGCACTTGCTTCTCTGCTGGCTTGGTCCTCTGTCAACTGGCCTGTCTCCTCATCATGTTTTTTATTGTTTGGTTTCCCTCTCATTTTCACTTCTGCTCTCCACCAGTAGTTAGGGTTACATAGAAAGCATTATAATTCAGGTCTCACCTTTTAGGCTTGGTCCTTGTGTAAGAGATACATACATATATTAGAGAATACTTAGAATATTTATTTGTAACAAATAAAAATGAGTCAATTCCTTTGGTCAATTTAAATGAAAAGTAATATTAGGGCAAAAGATAAAAGAAGAAAAAGACATAATTAAAGAGATTTTTCTTTAAATGACTTGAGAGAAATTTAATCAAGCCACTTAGATTTATATACTAGGAAAAGCTGGCTTTTTGTTGTTTTAGGAACAGTAATCTATGCACATGATAAAAATAAAATCCAACAGGACAGATGGTTTTTAAACAGTTAAAGCATGATGGGTAATTCAGAGTGTGTAATAGGAATCTTAGAGGAGCAATGTCAGCTTACTCTACATGCTAGACTTTATCCCAACAGTGACCTCAAGTCACTTTAGGAATTATTTTCCATATGGAGATTCAGTAAATGGTATGCTCAGGTACAACAGGGAACCTGCTGTGATTTGAATGTTCGTCCCTCCAAAACTCATGCGAAACTTAATCCCCAATGTGGCAGTTTTGAGAGGTGGGGCTTTTAAGAGATGATTGGGTTATGAGGGCAGAGTCTACTTAATGGATTAATGGGTTAGCAGATTAATGGGTTATGATAGGCGTGGGACTGGTGGCTTTATAAGAGTAAGAGAAAGTTTAGCTACTATGTTCAGCCCCCTTGCCATGTGATGATGCCCTGTACTGCCTTGTGACTCTGTAGAGGGTCCCCTCCATCAGATGCAGCCCATTGACCTTGGACTTCCCTGCCTCCAGAAGTGTAAGAAATTTTTTTTCTAATAAATTACCTAGTTTCAGCTATTTTGTTATAAGAAGCAGAAAATAGATTAAGACAGAGCCTAAAGGCTATTTTCCTACCAGGAATTATTAAGTAGGTAAAACATACTTAGATTTCACCCTCCATGAAAAGTCCATGTATAATGTGAGTATATATAAGTTAAAGAGAGAGGAAAAAGAGAAAGATTATTCTGATTGATTTTCTGAGTACTTTTCCTCTTGAAAGTCATATTATGACCTTAAAGTTATGGATCTAATAGTGCTATTCAACAAAGAAGTGCTTTCTCCACCACGGAAAACAGTTTAGCAGGTTTTTAAAAATGTTGAATGTAAATTTACGATACAACTCAACAATTCCACTCCTAAGTGTCTAGCCAAGAGAAATAAACGCATATATCCACATAAATATTTGAATTCAAATGGTGATAACTACTTTATTTGTAATACCAAGAACTGGAAACAAACTAAATGCTCACTAACTGATGAAGGGATAAACAAAATGTGGCATATTCATACAATGTAATATTATTCAACAATAAAAAGAAATGCTGTTTCATGTTCCAACATGGATGAAGCTTGAAAGCATGATGTCAACTGAAAGAAGTCAGCCACAAAAATACCACATATTGGATGATTTGTTTATATGAAATGTACAGAAAAAATAAATCTGCAAATATAGAAAATGGATTAGTGGTTGCTTAGGACCATTGCAATGGTTGCAATGGTCCCAGTATTGTTGGGAATGGGAAATGACAGCAAATGGGCATTAGATATTTTTAGGGAGATGAAAGTTTTCTGAAATTAGGCTGAGGTAGTGATTGTACAACTCTATAAATATACACTTAAAACAACTAAAATATAGGGTATATGAGTAATAAATAAGGCAGTTAAAATCAATCAGGGTAGTATACCATATTAAGAAAATGAAAGAAAAATCAATAGATTCAGAAAAAGTAGATGACAAAATTCAGCATCTAGTTTAAAATTCTTCTCCCTATGAACCACATTCCAAGCAACTGAAAATATGATATATTAATTAGGCTGTAGTGAGTTATGTTCTAGTAACTGACAATCCCAAAATTTCAGTGGCTTAATATAATAAAAATGCATTTCTATCTCATACTAAATAGCCAACAGGTGTCACCAACAGAGGTTGGGGGAAACAGAGGCAGACTGTACTCATCACAGCGTTCAAAAGCAAAGTCTGACGGAAAATACGTCTTAATACCTGTTTCTGAGATTTCAAAAAAAGAGGAAAGGAACATGGAAAATCCTGCCCTGCCTCTTATATCTTCTTCCAAGAAGTGAAGCACATCACTTCTGCTCATATTTCTTTTTTTTTTTTTTTTTTTTTTTTTTTTGTTTGAGACGGAGTCTCGCTCTGTAGCCCAAGGCTGGAGTGCAGTGGCGCGATCTCGGCTCACTGAAAGCTCCGCCACCCGGGTTCACTCCATTCTCCTGCCTCAGCCTCCCGAGTAGCTGGGACTACAGGCGCCCGCCACCGCACCCGGCTAATTTTTTGTATTTTTAGTAGAGATGGGGTTTCACCGTGTTAGCCAAGATTCTGCTCATATTTCATTGGCCAAAGTAAGGCACATGACCACAGCTAATTTCAAAATATACTCGAAAAAATTGCAATACCTGCATATATGTTGCTACTGTATATGCAGAAAGAGGGAAAAGAAAATATCTGTAAGCAGCCTGATCACAACCACAACATGATACACCTTAATCTTTCTTTTGCACTGAATAAACCTGAGCAGAGTACAAGATAGCCCAGAACTCACTAACAAAGAATATGATAGGTTAAGAAAAGTAGATATGATGGGTTTGGTGGCTAAAGGATCAGAATTTATATTTAACAAGTCAATACTTTAGAGGAAAATTTGAAAACCATGGTTAGGCCTTAGATATTAAAGATTTAAAGCAACATTTTAAGGTAGACTTACATCTTAGGACTTAAAAGTTATGCTTCGGTAGTTGTTAAGACTTTAATGGAAAAAAATTTCTGCAATATTAATGGGAATAATATTGCTAAAGTAGTGAGCTTTTGCCCAGGCTGAGGCCTGGTCAGATATAAAAATTAGAGCTGTAAAAATAGCAATGGAGTCCATAACTTTATTGAAATATTAAAATCATTCAATAAATGTTAAATTTTATTACACAATTCTTTCTGCATCTCTCATAAAGATAATATGATTTTGCACTTTACGTTTTTAGCTATTGATAATGGTGAGCTACCTACTTAAACACCACCTGTTAAAAAACCATGCTTATCTGTGTTTATTTTAGCACTCAGGAGAATAAATATAAATTTAAAAGACTAATAAATATATACATATATGTGTGTATATATATATATATATATATATATATTTTGTCAAGTATAAGGCGAAAAATAGAACAGCACTTTTCCCTGTAACAATGATGAGTGGGGGCTGCAATATAAGGACAAAATTTCTAAAGTCATAGGTAAAATACAAAGGAATATTGAGTACAAAGTGACAGCACACTGTCATATTTTTGAAGCTGATTTACAAGGTCTTTCTCTGTTCATTCATGTCAAGCAATGTTTTAGGTATGGGGTGATGGTTTGAAAATTATCAGTCAGATTATCACAGATACCGTTAGAATTCTTGTTACTTTTTCATCACTGGTTAGTGGCTTGATAGGTTTTAATATTGCTTCATATACCCTTTTACCAAATACCACTATACATATTACTGGTTTGTTTTTACCTTAGAGTTTTTTAAAGGTAAGACGTAAGTCCTAAAAGTTTCTCTTAGACATTTAAATTAGAGTATATTTAAGAAAAAAAAGGGACAAGACAGTGCAATTTTAAAGTCATTTGGCAAACTGATTCTGTCAAAAAAGCTTAGTTTCATTCTGTTTGCTGCAACAGCTTTTTTTTTCCATAGCTCCACTCTTCTTGTTCTTGTAATACATTTGGGAGGCCTGTCAAGGCCTATCCACTCTCTAAATAGCTTTGCAGATTAAATTTTTAACTCTCTTCTCTTCATGCAGATGTATATTTCTGACAAAGAATTGCCCTGAGATGTCAGCTTCCATTTTTCTCACTGGAGAGAGAGCATATAGGTGCAAGTGTGGAGTCTCAAGTCTCACCCTCATCAGGAAACACACACATACACATAGATACTCATCTCTAGGACCATGCATCAATGTTGGTGTGGCTTCTTCCTTTTGAATTTTTTACTCATACTTTTTTCTCTCTCCTAACCCTTCCATGGGGCTGGAAGGTAATATTACAAAAGACTAAAACAAGAAAATAAATATAATATGTTTATTTTTGTAAGCTAATAATCTTAATAATAAAGACATGCCATGGTGCTGAGATAGCACCAAAGAATAGCATAAAGTCAAACTTGAGACTTGGGAGCTGGCTTCTTTTTCAGATAATGTCTGAGATGGACTTTAAAGGATGAGTTTATAAGGGAAGAAAGAGAGAAAAAAAAGTGAAAAGATCATTCCAAGCAAAGGAAACAACGTAATTAAAACTGTGAATTTGTAGCAACAGCATGGTCTGTATAATAATCTTTAAAAATGTGAGTAATACTAAATTCCAAAAAAGTGAGGTTGAAAGTGGACATGACTTGTAATGTCCTACAGAGCTAAAATGCATTCAGTACCAGAAAAGGGGATAACATTCTCTTAGCCTTTGGCAGGACTCATTTTAGGCCACATTGCTTTGGCATTCCTATACATTTGTCTGTTCTTGTAGCTTAATATGCAATTTGTAGAAACAGTCTATCTGGTGCCAGAATAATTTTTAAAAGGCACCCCCATTATCCATATTGAGAAGTTAAAAATGAATTTTATTGAATGAATTAAATGAATCAGTATGATTTTCAATTAAAATTAACCTAACACCAAAAAATAGAGTAGTAGTGAAATGAACACTTAATTTATTAGAGGACATGAGCTTTAGTCTGAGCTTAGTCAACAACTAGTCATAGACCTTGAGCAAGTCACTTTAATCTTATTGCCCCTCAGTTTCCCTATCTGTAAAATAATAGAGTTAAATTACATGATTTTCTAAAGTCCATCCTAAAATCTGATGTTGCCATGCAGGTTGTAGATTACATATGTATGTATGTATGTATGTACATTTTTTTTTATTCTTTTTGAGACAGAGTCTCACTCTGTCACCCAGGCTGGAGTGCAGTGGCATCATCTGGTGTCACTGCAACCTCCACCTCCCAGGTTCAAGTGATTCTTGTGCCTCAGCCTCCCAAGTGGCTGGGATTATAGGTACGTGAAACCATGCCTAGCTAATTTTTGTATTTTTAGTAGAGACGGGGTTTCCCCATGTTGGCCAGGCTGGTCTTGAACACCTGATCTCAAGTGATCCACCCACCTAGGTCTTCCAAAGTGTTAGGATTACAGGCGTGAGCCACTGCACTGGCCTAGATTAATTCTTATACTTCCCCAACTTTAAACATATTCAAATAAGTGATAAAAATCAAAACTCTATTGAAACTCTTACCAAAAGAGTATCCAAATTGTCAGCTTTTGAAGGCTGCACGCTACCACACCCAGCTAATTTTTGTATTATTTTTGTAGAGACGGGGTTTCACCATGTTGGCCAGGCTGGTCTCAAACTCCTGGCAGCAAGTGATCCACCCCACTCCACCTCCCAAAGTGCTGGGATTACAGATATTAGCCACAACCCTGGTGTTGTAAATATTTAACTAGTGATCATAGGAGAGGATGCCTGATCAAAAATATCAAAAACAATATGAAATACATACACAAAAGTAATTATAAAAATCCCAAATCAACAAATTTGTATAAATTTACAAACATATACATCTGGAAACATCATGCCAATATTATGTTTATGTGTTTAAAAATTGTTTTTTTCATTTAGAAATGCATAATAGTCATGGATGAAATTATATGGCATCTGAGATTGATTTCATAATAATTCAACATGTTGGGAGATGAGTAGCATTGGGTAGGAAAAAAAGAAACTAGATTAGCCATTAATTGATAAATATTGTGGTTGAAGAATGGCCACTAGGGAGTTCATTATTATCCACATTTGAATATGTTTTAATTTTACATAAGGATTTTTTAAATTTTTGTTTCTATGTTGAATAAAAACACAAAGGCATAGAATGCTGCATTCGTGTTTACAGGGGAAAGGCCATCATAAAATATTTGCATTTATTTTCATAAAGAAATATTGGAGACTAATAAAAGCAGTTATTTATGATGGTGGGAACAAAAAGAACAGCTGTTAAGTGTGGGAGCAAAAGTTCCCAATATATAACATTTGGTATCACTTTGATATTTAAATCACGAATATATATTACCTATTCAAAAAGCTATAATTATTCCACTAAAATGTAATAGTGATACAATATTTTTTCAATAAATAGCACATTGATAATTAGATATCCATATAAGAGAACAAATTAACCTTAATTCCTACCTCATACCATACACAAAGACCAATTCCACATGGTTTCTAAATCTAAATTTGAAGAGTATAATAATAAAGCTTTTGGAAGAAAATACAGGTGACTATCTTAATAGTTTGAAGGTAGACAATGACTTATTAAATAGGATGCAAAAATTACAAACCATAAAATAACAAAGTGGTAAATTGGAGTTCATTAAGAATGTCTTTATCAAAGAACATAATTCAAAAGGAAAAGTTGCAGTATGGCAGAAGGTACTTACAATATGTATAATAATATACATGTTGAATCCAAAATAATATCTAGGATATATATTTTTGAATTATATAGCTATAAAAATGGCAGATAAATCTATTTAAAATATAATAGACCTAATTTTCCACTCTTCAAGTGTAACTGTAGGCAGTGACTTCCTTTCAATGAGTTTGGATAGGGAAGAAAAGAGTAATTTTAGAGTAGAGAAATTTGACAAAATACTATCTCAGCCAGGTGATCAAGGTCAACATCAACAGTGATATCTCATATTGGTAATATTTACTCTTGGTATGATAGAATGAAAATATGACACTTTACCTCTGTGGTTTTCCCCACCAAAACCCCGAACTTCAGTTTAGTGATGAGAAAAATATCAGACAAATCCCAATTAAGGGACATTCTACAAAATACCTTATCAGTGCTTCTCAAAATTGTCAAGGTCATCAAAAACAAAGTCTAAGAAACTCTTACAGCTTAGAAGAGCCCAAGGAAGCATGAGAAATGTAATGCAGCACCCTGGATGGGGTCCTGGAATATTAAAAATACATTAGGTAATAACTAAGAAAATATGAAAACTGTGACTTTAGTTAATAATATTGTATCAATATTGATTTGTTAATTGTAACAAATGTACAATACTAATTTCAGATGTAGAGAGAGAGAGAGAGAGAGCATGTTAAACATGCTTTCAAAACCCTCTCTCCCCCAACCCCCTTCTTTCTGTCTGCCATTAGAGCCCAGAGCCACCATGTAGGAAGTCCAGCTATCCTGAAGCTCCCATGCTGGAAAGAATACACTGAGAAAGAGATGCCAAGGAGTCCCAGCTGTTTCAGCCCCTTCCTGTTTCAGTGTTTCTAGACTAGGCACCAATAATGTACGTAAAGAAGCCTTTCATATGGACCTCCGGCTCTCCATAGCCACTGCAACCTCATGAAAGACCCTGGGCAACAAATGCCTAGCTAGGCACTTCCTGAATTCTTGACCCACAGTAACCATAATAAATAATTGTAGGGTTTTTTGTTTGTTTGTTTGTTTTGTTTTTGTTTTGTTTTGTTTTGTTTTTATGGAGTCTCACTCTGTCACCCAGGCTGGAGTGCAGTAGTGCGATCTCAGCTCACTGTGACCTCTGCCTCCCGGGTTCAAGCAATTCTCTGCCTCAGACTCCTGAGTAGCAGGGATTACAGGCGCTCACCACCATGCCTGGCTAATTATTTTGTATTTTTAGTGGAGACGGGGCTTCACCAACTTGGCCACGCTAGTCTTGAACTCCTGACCTTGTGAACCGCCCGCCTCGGCCTCCCAAAGTGCTGGGATTACAGGCATGAGCCACTGTGCCTGGCCAATTGTGAGGTTTTAAGCACTAGTTTTTGGGGTGATGTGTAATGCAGCACTTGTAACTGGAAGGGATTCCCAGAGAAGGCAATAGTTGCAGGGAATGGAAGTTAGAGGGAGCAGTTTCCAAGAGCAAGGTGAGGCTGTGCCCTCTCAACCTCTGGAACATCCCCACACCTTGAGGATGCTTGTACACTCTAGTAAAGAGGGATGTCATACGAAGAAACATATTGAATCCCAGTGGAGATAATCAAGAGAAGCAGATGCAGCTTTTCTGCTATTTAGAGAGAAGGTAAGCTTCAAACTGATCAGGTCAAAGAGAGTTGGCAACAGCCCCAGCAGGAGCAAGAAGAGTATTTAGTTAGGAGAATGGGAGTGGCTTCTGGAAGAGAAGTTAAAACCAGCACAGTAATTGCAGATCTGTGGTCAACAGCTTTAGTTGTCTATTAAAACCTTCGTCCCTCCCCAAGGAAAGCCTGGCGTCACATTCCAGCTTCACCACTTGCTAACTGCAGAAATGTAAGCAAGTTACCTATCTTCTCTGTGCCTCAGTTTCCTCATAGGAAAAAGGCAAGATAATAATAGTGCCTAATTCATAAGTTATGATTATGGAGATTAGATGAGTATTTGCATGTGACATGCTTTGAAAGTGACTGATAGATAGCAAGGACTTGATACATTTAAGCTCTTATTATTATTGTTACCAGGTCTTTGGGGGTTAAAATTAGGAGATAAATCCAGGAAAAAGACTAAATTTCCTGCCAACCAAATGAGTATTAATATTTGGAGCACTGCTGTATATGTGACCCTTTTGTAATACATAGCCATGAAGCCTTGGACCTACGTACTGGGTAAAGTAGTAAGAGGAATGCATATTTCAAAACTAGTAAGACATTTTTTTGTTACTTGTCAAATGGACAGATTTGTTAAAATATAATCCTCAATTCTGGTGAAAGGGCAATAAAGTGGATGCTCATACATGGCTAGCTGATATCTAAAGCATAATATTCTTTCTAGAAACAACCTAGTAACACACATAAAATAGCATAATAATGTTTCTACACTCTGTATTGTAAATATACATTAATATATCTATCCTAAGTAAACAAGTAGGAATCCCAGAAAATGTTTATATACTAATGTGTTATTTGTAATTTTAAAAAGTTTAAACAGACAAAAATACAAAACTACATTTCTGACAATGGCAGAACGATACAATAGAATACTACATAGGCATTGGAATGACGGTTTCCAAGAATTCCTCAGAAGCCGAAATATTCTTTACATAAAGCCCTGAGTACTGCTGAAACCAAGAAAACCGCCAAGAATGCACAAAATTAGGTTTATTTAGCATGATGCAGCAAGGGAAAATATACTGAAGAAAAAATTTAGGAGCATCTTCACAATGGGGAATTGCTATAGGCTGTTTGTAAAAGCCAGTTTCAGATTGTTTACAGCCAAATACATGGGAAATTTGGTTGTTCAAAATAATAATTATTTTGTGATACTTTCTTAGATTTTCTTATTTGGTTATAATTTTTATCCAGGAAGTGAGAAGGTTAATATGGGTCTAGATTTGTTGCTGGTAAAGAAACAGTGATTTCAAATTGGAAGTGTTGTATTTTTTGTCACAGTGTGCCCTTGTCTTTGTCTTGTTATGAACATCTGTATCTTGAGCAAATCATTGAAATTCTATTTGAAAAATTATATTGGATTCTTCACCAATGTTTTCATTTTCCCTAGTTATTAGCAGGACCAATTTTTACTTTCTCGCTGCAATGCAAATCTCAGTTATAGAAATAATAGAAAAAGGAAATCCATACAGACATAGCAAAAATACCGTAAAGAAATAAATCAACTGTTTAGGGGGAAAAAAAAAACTCTCTTAAACTGTGTTTTTCCTCCACTCTCACACTACCGTAACAATCATCAACACCAGAAGACTTCTGTGACCAAATATGTGGGAGTTTTTCTGACACACTAAACAGTGGATACCAACTGGGTGTCCTCCGATTCAATTCTGACACTATCTACCTGGAGATAGTATAAGATTCCACAGATTCTGGGCTCAGTCCCCAAGAGTTTCCCCCAACCAGCACAGACACACACCAGTCACAAGTCTGGGTCTCCGGAACGTCTAACCAATTGCCTTCAAATTGAGGTTTTATGATCCCCTTTTGGGGTTTGATTAATTAGCTGGAGCGGCTCACAGAACTCAAAGAAACATTTATGTTTACTGGTTTATGATCAAGGATATTACAAAGGATACAGATGAAAAGATGCCTAGGGTGAAGTATGAGGGAGGGAGAAGTTGAGCTTCCATGCCCTCCCCAAGCACACCACCCTCCAGGAAAGTATATGCCTTCACCTATGTGAAAGCTCTTGGAACCCAGTCCTCTTGGAGTTTTCTGGAAGCTTCATGACATCAGCATTCCTTCTCCAAGGGTATAGGGTGAGACCATCTCTGGAGAGGGTTTTATGACCCACGGTCAGAAAAGTGGGGGAAGATTAGAGACCTGAATTGGGGCAGGTGAAGGAAGGGCAGGAGAAAGTCATAGACATTCTGTTTTCTTAGGCCTGCTACTTCCTCAAACGGCTGTAACAAGGGGTGTGAGAGTTATGAGCCGGGAACCATGGACAAAAACCAATATATGTGTATATACCATAACACCATATCAACATATTAAAAGTGAAGAATTTATGGATTGTTGAGTTACAGAAAGTTGTGTTTTCTTTTTCTATTATTTTCTACAGTGAGCATAAATTATTTTACAATCAGACAAGTAGTAAAATAATAAATTTTAAGAAATATATGTGCTGTTCTTCTAGAATATCTATTTGGCAAATTATTCAGAAGAGAGCAGTGAACCTCACTACAATCCTGGGTGATGATACCTGGTAACAAAGCAGGAATGAGGCTCTTCTGTAGAAGGAGAAAGCAGCCCCTGTCACTAGACAATGGAATTAAGTCTACCTGCTCCATGGAAGAAGGAAATCCCAGGAGGATATGGCTAATTAACCTGGACCCTTTGTGGCTTACACAGAAATGTAAATGATTTCCCTCTGGTACCAATCCTGATAGCAATTTATATTCTCTGATGCTGGGTTTGGCACAAAGAAGGAAAAACTGGTTATGTAAAGGTCAAATGCATGATTCTTCAGGTAATCTAGTCCAATCTGTCTACCTCAGGACCTGCCATCCCATCTAAAGGTACAGCTTCCTCCAGTCATTAATGAGTTAGTTCCACCATGACATACATAGAGATTTTTCATGTTGATAACATATTCAAATGATTACAACAGATTCACTAAAACAATTTTTCTGGTAAAATCTGACACTAAAATTGTTTATAAGCCCCCAAATTATAAAACTATTAAGAACATATAGCTAGCCTCCACACCATGGCCACAGTAAATATATGAATGACTTCAACTCTTTCCCATTCAAGGCAACATATGGAAATATGATTGAATGAGAGTGAAATGATGGCGAAAATCTTGACTTCTTATTTGTTCTTTTTTCCTGTATAATCAGTAAATATAGGTGTCTTGTTTTTTTAAAATAAGCTACTATAGTCTGAAGGTTTGTCTTTCCCAAATTCATATGTTGAAAACATAAAAGACAATGTGATGATATGAAAAGATGAGGCCTTTTGGCAGAGCCCTCATGAATGGGATCAGTGCCCTTATGAAAGAGGCCCCAGGGGAACTGCCTTGATCTTTCCATAATATGAGAATACACCAAGAAGTTGCCATTTATGAACCAGGAAATGGGGCCTCACCAGACACACCATCTGCCAGTGCCTTGATCTTGGACTTCCCAGCCTCCAGACAGATAAATAAATGTCCTGTTGTTGATAAGCAACAAGCTTATAGTCTTGTATTATAGCAGCCTCAACAAAGACATATACCATATACAAATTTCAGTATTTTAACACAATACTTGAAGCAACATACCTCACAAATGACCTTTCTTCTTTACTATGATTGAAAATCATCAAATTTATTTACAAAAGCAGAGGTGTTGCCTGTTAAGGGTGACTTTTAATATTTCCAGAGAGAATGGCATTGGATTCTAGTCTTAAACAATAAACAGGAGATAGCCAGATAGGAACTTAATAGAAATACGGCATTCCAGGAGGAAAAAACAGAATCTGCAGGGTAGAAATGTATGAAAAAAAAAAACCCATGGATGATTAGAGATGCAAGAAGTCTAACATAGCTAAAGCAAGGAAAGGAAAAGCATAATGGGAAATTCAGAATTTATTCATTCTATAAGCATCAGCTAAATTTTACAATGAGAAGTATTGATCAAAATGGAATTCCATGAAGCCATGTGCGGTAACATTCACCTGTAGTCGCAGCTTCTTGGAGGCTGAAGTGGGAAGATCACTTGAGCCCGGGAGTTTTAATCCAGCCAAGGCACTATAGCAAGACTCTTATCTCTAAAAAAATTAATAATGAAAAACACCCAGGCATCTTGGCTCATGTCTGTAATCCCAGCACTTTGGGAGGGTGGAGGTGGGTGGATAGCTTGAGCCCAGGTATTCAAGACCAGCCTGGGCAATATGGCAAAACCCCATCTCTACTAAAAATTAAAAGATTAGCCAGGAGTGGGAGTGCACACCTGTGGTCCCAGCTACTCAGGAGGCTGAGGTGGGAGGATAGCTTGAACCTGAACCTGGGAGATTGAGGCTGCAGTGAGCCATGATTTTGCCATTGCACACTGCACTCCAGCCTGGGTAAGAGAGCAAGACCCTATCTCAAACAAAAAATAAAACAAACAAACAAACACAAAAACACAGATTTTTTAAAATTTCACTTCCTCCTGGTTACATGTGCAGATCATTGTTACATAGGTATACATGTGCTATGGTGGTTTGCTGCACCTATCAACCCGCCATCTAGGTTTTAAGCCCTGCATGCATTAGGTATTTGTCCTAATGCTCTCTCTCCCCTTACTCCCCACCCCCTGACAGGCCCCAGTGTGTGATGTTCTCCTCCTTGTATCCATGTGTTCTTATTGTTCAACTCCCACTTATGAGTGAGAACATGTGGTGCTTGGTTTTCTGTTCTTGTATTCATTTGCTGAGAATGATGGCTTCGAGCTTCATCCATGTCCCTGCAAAGGACATGAACTCATTCTTTTTTATGGCTGCATAGTATTCCATGGTGTATATGTACCACGTTTTCCTTATCCAGTCTATCATTGATGGGCACGTGGGTTGGTTCCAAGTCTTTGCTATTGTAAATAGTGCTGCAACAAACATAAGTGTGCATGTGGCTTTATAGCAGAGTGATTTATAAACCTTAATTAATAATTAATAATTAAATAATTAATATAATTAATATATAATTAATACATTAATATTAATTTAATTAATTAATTAATTAAATTACATTTAATTTATCTTGAGTTAATTTCTGTATAAGGTGTAAGGAAGGGGTCCAGTTTCTGTTTTCTGCATATGGCTAGCCAGTTTCCCCAGCACTATTTATTAAATCAGGAGTCTTTTCCCCATTGCTTGTTTTTGTCAGGTTTGTCGAAGATCAGATGGTTGTAGATGTGTAGTGATATTTCTGAGGCCTCTGTTCTGTTCCATTCGTCTATATATCTGTTTTTATATCAGTACCATGCTGTTTTGGTTACTGTAGCCTTGTGGTATAGTTTGAAGTCAGGTAGCATGATGCTTCCAGCTTTGTTCTTTTTGCTTAGGATTGTCTTGGCTATATGGGCTCTTTTTTGATTCCATATGAAATTTAAAGTTGTTTTTTCTAATTTTGTGAAGAAAGTCACTGGTAGCTTGACGGGAATAGTGTTGAATCTATAAATTACTTTGGGAATAGTATTGAATCTATAAATTACTTTGGGTAGTATGGCCATTTTCATGATGTTGATTCTTCCTATCCAAGAGCATGGAATATTTTTCCATTTGTTTGTGTCCTCTCTTATTTCCCTGAGCAGTGGTTTGTAGTTCTCCTTGAAGAGGTCCTTCGTGTCCCTTGTAAGATGTATTTCTAGGTATTTTATACTCTTTGAAGCAATTGTGAATAGGAATGCACTCATGATTTGGTTCTCTGCTTGTCTATTGTTGATGTATAGGAATGCTTGTGATTTTTGCACGTGGATTTTGTATCCTGCTACTTTGCTGAAGTTGCTTATCAGTTTTGGACTGAGACGATGGGGTTTTCTAAATATACAATCAGGTCATCTGCAAACGAGAAAATTTGACTTCCTCTCTTCCTATTTGAATAAACTTTATTTCTTTCTCTTGTCTGAGTGCCCTGGCCAGAACTTCCAATACTATAATGAATAGAAGTGTTGAGAGAGGGCATCCTCATCTTGTGCAGATGAAAAACAATATTTTTTTAAAAAAGGAATTTTATGATACTAAAAGAGGAAAATCAAGAATTTTAATGAGAAATAAAATGTATTCAAATATGGTAAAGATAAAAATATGTGGTTACGTTTTTTGAAAGTTTGTACTTAATAGAAATATATATTATATGTGCTGTATGATATGAATTATGTTATATGAAGATACAAGTAAACTAAGGAAGAGGAAGCTAAAAATTCTGCATTCTTAAAATCACAACAATGGAGTGAGGCAAGGAACAGCTGAAGTCTGACAGTTGGGCAGAAATGTAACTAAATAGAGCTTGGGGAATGGTGCTTCTTGTGTTCCAATTATGGAAATTCTTTATCTTGCTAATGACATTGTATTAGTCTGTTCTTATGCTGCTATAAGGACATACCTGATACTGGCTACTTTATGAAGGAAAGAGGTTTAAATGACTCACCATTCTGCAGGGATGAGGAGGCCCCAGGAAACTTACAATTATGGTGGAAGGGAAAGCAAACACATCCTTTTTCACATGGCAGCAGGAAGGAGAGGTATGACCAAAAGGGGGAAAACCCCCTTATAAAAATCATTAGATCTCATGAGAACTCACTCACTATCACAATAACAGCAGCATGGGGGTAACTGTCCCATTATTCAATTACCTCCCTCTGGGTCCCTCCCACGACCCTTTGGGATTATGGGGACTACAATTCAAGATGAGATTTGGGTGGGGACACAGCCAAACCATATCAGACATTATGATGAGAAAAACTGTATGCAAATTAAGTATGCAACTAAAACCTTTCTTAATTCCTCTTCATTCCCAGATATCAAGCTGGCAAGATTATACAGCACTCACTGCTGATGTTTCTCCCATTGTGTCATCCCAACCATAATAATAATAACAAAAATAAAAAATTAAAATACTAGCTATCATCCATTCAAAAATTACTATCTTCCAGACCCTGTTTTAAATATTTTATATTGATTAACTCATTCATTGTCACAATAACTCAATAAGATAGTTTTATTATCCTCATTTTAGCAATGAAGATACTGAGACTCAAAGGAGTTAGGTAATTTTTCAAAGATCACACAGCTAATGAGTGGCAGAGCTGGAATTGAAACTCACAAATTCTGGCTCCAGAACAAAAATTAGTAAACTGGACCCATAAATAAACTATTTGTATATCCACACTTATTACCTATCTTGCCAGTGGCCTTCAAGTTACGAAAAGAAGCCATAGAGGGCTCTACAGGAGAGTCACAAGATCTGTGTGCCAAGGTAATAGACATGTCTCAGGATTCTTATTGTCCCACAGCATTTTCTCTTGTTCATGGGCCTAGTTTCAAGGGTAGCCCTAGGAAGCCACGCTTTTTTAATGGAGCCTCACTACACCTGATCACAGCTGATACGAACAAGTATGCATACCTAAATTAAAGACTACCAGTACACAGATGACCAGAAACTAAACTCTCTTACTAGAATTTGAACAAAGAAACACAGAGACTCTGGCAACTGAGGTTAAAGAAATGTAATGCTCTGAGACTACTGGCCATGTGGAAACAGAGAAAACAAACAAGAATGTCAGTTAGTATTCTATTATTATTAGCAGCAAAAGCTGGCAATATGTCAAAAAGAAAATGTAAGGAGACTGGGTAGTTCACATAATCAAAGAAAAGAATGGAGACAACTCTGGAATCTCAATACAAGGACTCAGGCATTCCCTGTAAATAGGAATCAAGTCTCTCGATGTTACTACCAGAGGAGTTTATCAGCTTTAATCACATTTAGTGTGTCACTTCACTCAAAATTAAAATTCCTGGGAAAATAGAATATTAAAGCCTAGTTTAAGTCACATGAAATGCCTTGTCTGGAGCTAGGGACTATTGGCTATTTTCAGGAAGAAAAAGAAGTTACCTAAAAGAAAAAGTGGGGCTCTGTTTTTAAGCAGAGGCTTTGGAAAAAAAATAACATTTTTCTCTATCCTTTGTCAAAAGAGGAGAAAGAGAGAAAGCAAAGATGAGAAGATCATGTTCATGTGTCACTTGGGAATCAGTGAGAGATGAAAAGTAATTCAGCTTGAGAGACAGAGAGAAGGAAGTTTCATTTCTAACTCCATTCCTGTGATGTCTGGTGTGTTTCATTTCCAATGTCTGTGAACTATCTTGTATCTTTGCAATAAATTCCACCCCAATTGAGCAAACCTAAGTAAGTTTCTGGTTCTTGCACACAAAGAGCCTTAACTAAGAGCCAGCCCCATGCTAACATGAGGAATGCAGTGATCACAGAAAAAATATCTTAGTCATTGAGAGACTCACCCCTAATGGGGAAAATCATTATAAATCCCAAAATCAAAGTAAATACAAAAAGCTAATGGAACACAATAGATCATCCTTAAAACAGAAACTGGTGGGTTCAAGACAGGCTTTTAAAAATACATGGTAGACAAATTTACATTTGGAGAAAGGTTTGAAATGAGGAACTAAAGAAGGAAATAATAGAGTACCAAGAAAAGAACTTGTAAATAGACCAAAGACTTAAGAAACCCTGGCATATGGGAGACACAAAAAGTTCGTTATGGCTGGGAAAAAGGGTGAAACAGAAGAGAAGAAGGTTACTATAAGATTAGGCCTGCTAAGCCATTTGAATTTTATGATTAAGAAAATGTGGGAGCTATTGAAAGATTTTAATTTGATAATTGTATTAGACACAACGATTTTTACATCATTTCTTTCAAATGTGTCAACTTCATTTGATGGTACCTGACCCCTAGACAGCTCCATCTCCATCAGGAGCAACCAGTCACTTGTCCTGGGAGGGTTACATGACCAGTTTACAGTACTTTCTGCCACCTGTGGACTTAGATGAAAAGCATACATTGCTGATGAGATAGGAGGCATAGGAGAGATGACGAAATTGGGATGAATAGATAAACCAGGGTCACTTGTATAGATGGAGATGCTGTTCTTTGAGATAAGATGAATTGAAAGGGTGGAATACAACATTCAAAGTACTAAAAGAGATTTACACACAAGATTCTGTGGCAGAAGAGAGGAGGAATGTGACTTTGACCTTATGAAAAGAGTAGGTAGTAATTAGAAAAATATCTAAAGAACTAAACTTTTAACTGATTCTTATAATTATGAGTTTTCTACCTTAAAAGTTGGTGGGCGGGAAAGCATTTTAGGCATTCTACAATGCCTAAATTAGGAATTCATTTAAGCAATGCCTAAATTAAAATGTAAATTAGGTTAATAGACAATACTTAGTTTTTAAAAATATTTTATTTCATTTTATAATTTTTTTAGAAATGGGATCTCACTCCATTGCCTAGGCTGGAGTGCTATGGCAAAATTACAGCTCACTGGAGCCTTGAACTGAGCTCAAGTGATCCTGCCACCCCAGCCTCCAAGTAGCTGAGATTACAGGCATGTGCTCCCATACCCAGTTAATTATTTTATTCTTTGTAGAGATGGGGTCTGACTATGTTGTCCAGGTTTATCCTGAACTTCTGGCCCTGAGCAATTATCCCACGTTGGCCTCCCAAAGTGCTAGGATTGCAGAAATGAGCCAAGTTGCCTGGCTAATATTAGTTATAAATAATACATGCAAATAGCTAAAAATTCAGAAATTATAAAAGGGTATACACCAGAATCAACAACACAATACTAAAGGAGTACAAAGTTGGAGAACTGACACTACAGAACTTCCAGACTTGCTATGAAGCTATAGAAATTAAGACAATGTGGTTTTGGTGAAAAAAATATAGATCAATGGAACAGAATAGAGAACCCAGAATTAGACCCACGTAAATATAGTGAACTGCTTTTTGACAAAGGAGGGGAGGCAATACAATGAATTGTACAATACAATAAAATCTTTAACGTATAGAATTGAAACAACTGGACATCCACATGCAAAAAAACATGAATCTAGACACAGACTTTACATCTATCACAAAAATTAACTCAAAATAAATCACAGACCTAAATGTAAAATGCACAACAATAAAACTCCTAGAAGATAGCATAGAAGAAAATCTAGATGTCCATTGGTATGACAATGACTTTTTATATGCAATACCAAAGGCATAAAAGATGAAAGAAAGAATTGCTAAGCTGGATTTCATTAAAATTAAAAATTTCTGCTTTACAAAAGACACAGTTGCTCATGAACAGGAAGAATCAATATTATTGAAATAGCCATACTCCCCAAAGGAATTTACAGATTCAATGCTATTTCTCTCAAACTGCCAGTGAAATTCTTCACAGAACTAGAAAAAAAGAGATATTTTAAAATTCACCAAATAAGAGACCAAAAAGCCAAGGCAATCTTAAGCAAAAAGAACAAAGCAGAAGTCATCCTGCTATACAACTTCAAATTACAAGGCTATAGTAACCAAAAGAGCATGGTACTGGTACAAAAACAGACACATAAACCAAAGGAACAGAATAAAGATCACAGATATAAGGCCTTACACCTGCAGCAATATGATTTTCATTCAACAAAGGTAACAAAAACAAGCAATGGGGAAAGGACTCACTATTCAATAAATAGTGTTGGGATAACTGGCTAGCCATAAGCAGAAGATTGAAACTGGACCCTTTCTGCACATCATATACAAAAATCAACTCAAGATGGATTACAGACTTAAATGTAAAACACAAAACTATAAAAATCCTAGAAGACAACCTAGGAAGTACCTTTCTGGGAATAAAAACTTGCAAGGATTTCATGCCAAAGACACCAAAAGCAACTGCAACAAAAGTAAGAATTGACTAATGGGATCTAATTAAACTTCAGAGCTTCTGCACAGCAAAATAAACTATCGACAGAGTAAACAGCCTACAGAATCTGACAAAAATCTAACATCTAGCATCTATAAGGAACTTAAATTTACAAGAAAAAAAACAAATAACCACATTAAAAAGTGGGCAAATGACATGAACAGACACTTTTCAAAAGAAAACATACATGAGGCCAACAATTCTATGAAAATAAGTTCAGTTCAGCATCACTGATCATTAGAGAAATACAATTCATAAACACAATGAGATACTATCACATACCAGTCAGAATAGCTATTATTAAAAAGTCAAAAAATAACAGAGACTGGTGAGGTTGTGGATAAGAGGGACCACTTATACACTGTTGGTGGGAGTGTAAATTATTTCAACCATCATGAAAATCAGTGTGGTGATTCCTCAGAAAGCTAAAAACAGAACTGTTATTAGACTCAGCAATCCCATTACTGGTTATACACCAAAAAGAATATGACTGTTCTATCATAAAGACGTGTACACATACGTTCACTGCAGCACTATTCACAATAGCAAAGACATGGAATCAACCTAAATGCTCACCAACGGTAGACTGGATAAAAAAAATACATATATGGTACCTATACACCATGGAATACTATGTAGCCATAAAAAAGAGTGAGATCATGTCCTCTGCAGGAACATAGATGGAGCTGGAAGCCATCATCCTTAGAAAACTAACACAGGAACAGAAAACCAAATATCACATGTTCTCACATGTAAGTAGGTGCTAAATGATGAGAACACATGGACACAAAGAGGGGAACAACAGACCCTAGGGAGGGCCTACCAGAGGGTAGAAGGTTGGAGGAGAGCGAGGAGTAGAAAAAATAAACTATTAGGTACTAGGCTTAATACCTGAGTGATAAAATAATCTGTACATCAAGCCCCCATGGCACTAGTAAACCAATATATCAAAGCTGCACAAGTACTCAGGACCCTAAAGTAAAAGTTTTTTTAAAAAAATTTGCTTAAAAGGCATAATCTAGAGAAGTCAAAGAGAAGCTGAAAACCATAACAAAATATTTGCAAAATACATATTTGGTAAAGGATTGTTATCCAAATTATAAAAAGAACTCTTAAAATTCAACAACAAGAAAAAAACTCTCATTTAAAAATTTGCAAAAACCTTAACAAACACTCACCAAAGAAGATACACAGATGCCAATAAGCATATGATAGGATGTTACACATCATATGTCAGCAGGAAAATGTAAACTAAAACAACAATGAGGTACCACTACACAATATTAGAAAGGCAAAAGTCTAGAACATGAATAATACCAAATGCTGACAAGGATGTGCAGCAACAGGAGCTCCTATTTATTTGTGGTGGGAATGCAAATGGTACAACCACTTTGGAAGATAGTTTGGCAGTTTCTTACAAAACAGCATACTCTCTTACCATACAATCCAGCAATTATTCTCCTTGGTAGTTACCCAAAGGAGTTGAAAACTTAGGTCCACACAAAAACTTAAAAATTGGTATTTATAGCAGCTTTATTACTAATCACCAAGACTTGGAAGGAACCAATTTTTTCTTCGTTAGGTGAATGGTAAATAAATGATGGTATATCTAAGCAATGTAATATTATTCAGCACTAAAAAGAAATGATGTTTCAAACCATGAAAACACATAAAGGAAACTTAAATGCTCATTAAGTCAAAGAAGCCTGTCTGGAAAGACTACATGCTGTGCGATTTTAACCATATGATATTTAGGAAAAGGCAAAACAATGGAGGTGGTTAAAAGATAAGTTGTTCCCAGGGGCTGTGGGGAAGGAAAGGTGAAAAACTGGATAACAGAGGATTTTTAGAGCAGTGAAACTACTCTATATGATACTTTAAAAGTAGATATATTTCACCATAAACTTGTAAGAAAACAACCCATAGAATATACAACACCAAGCGTGAACCCTAATGTAAACTATGGACTTTGGGTGATAATGATGTATCAATGCAGACTCATCAGTTGTAATGTATGTACCACTGTGGTGGGGGATATTAATAATGGGGGAGGCTATCAATGTGTAGGGACAGGGAGTATAGGAGAAATCTCTGTAACTTCTGCACAATTTTGCCATAAACCTAAAATTGCTATATAAAAAACTGTCTATTTTTTAAAAAAGGACATAGAGTGAAAATTCTTCTCACTCCTGACCCCAAATCATCTAGATTTCTTCCTTAGAGACAAGTTATGCATTTTTATTTTATGCATAAATAAATATAAATATACATTTTTTCATCATTTTTACACAAATTATACTTTACAAAAAATTAGGATCTCCTACTTTTAAAAACCTAATGATGTTTCAGTACTCAAAGATCTTCTTTATTTTTATAGTGATGTATTATTCCTTTGTGCTGATGGACCACAATTTATTTAAGCAGTCCTGTTTATGGTCATTTAGATTACATCAAATGTTTTGCAATTCCATGTATATTTATAGTTTATAATCCTGTGAATTCCAAAAAGAATTCAAGCAATAATACAAGGTGCTATAAAAATAGAAAGGTAGGCAGGCAGGTAGATAATAGATAGATAGATAGATAGATAGATAGATAGATAGACAGACAGATAGATACATAATTTTCCAAAATCCCAGCACCCAGAGACAACATATAACAACTGATTCATAAACAAACTTCCATACATCTGTTTTCAAAGACACAGTTGGGTATATATTAGAATAAGCATTTCTATTCTAATAGTGGGAGAAGCATAAAAATTAATGCAAAACAATTTAGGCCTGAATATATAATAAGAGAGGCTTCATAATGTAATCTAAAACCAGATAACAAGTAAGCTTTTCTTATTATTATAATCCAATTTGCAAGAAATAGAGTCAAAGCCATATTTACAGAGATAGATGAATTTTCCCCATAATGCACTTTAGTGAGATTGGGAAGAAATTTTACCTTGCAACTTTGCTTACTTGCTGTTCTGAGCTGAACCCAGTTTTTTGGTTCCCATCTCCTCCTAGTTCTTGGTTGATTCTGGATTTTTGTGGAACACATCCACAAATATCTAACTATAACAGAGTACATGGGAAGTAAATTTTCTGACTGCTGTGGGTCAGCAAATATCCATATTCTTTCTTTATAATTATACATAGTTTGATACAGAGCTGTCTGATTTCAGATTTTAAGGTAAAAATTATTTTCCTTAGAACTGCTAAGGCTTTGTTTCATTACCTTTCAGCTTCCTAGTTTGTTTTGGAAAATCTGTGCCTGTGTGAATCATGTAGTTTCACAGATAATATATTTTGATTTTATTTTGCATGTAAGTCTGTGATGGTTTGTAACAAGCAACTGCTACACTGGATTCCACAGACCTAGAGCCTTATTACCTTCATGTCTGGGAAAATTTCTTCTATTATTTCTTTGATACTTTTTTTCTCTTGTTTTTCTTTCTTGTCTTTTTTGAGAATTCCAATTTTTTAGATATTGAAGTTTAAAGAATAACCCTCCATAATTTTTATCTTTTTATCTTTTTGTTCTACTTACTAACAGATTTCTTTCACCGTAATCCTAGCTTTTCTGCTGACCCTTTTTTAAATTCAGGAATTGTTCTCTGTTTTTTTTTTTTTTTCTTGGTCACAATGTATTGGTCTTTTTAAGAAACTATTATTCAATACCTTTATGGATATCTTCTACTAGAACTTCATTATGTCTGGCTACCCTAATGTTGGTTTGCTTTGTTTTGCTTCGGTCTCCCTCTTTCATGGTGAAGAATTTCTTCAAGTGCTTGATAATCTTTGATTCACTATTCATAGCTGTAAGACATTAAACAGCTAACTGAGAGCTTTGAATTTCCGAATTATTGACCTTTTCACTTGGTTTTAGGGCAATCAGAATGCTAGCCAGCTTGTCAGGGGAGCACAAAATACAGAATATAGAGTTCCTTTCTTTGAGGCCATTCACTTTCTGCATAGAAGAAACCTCCGTTCTCCTGCCTGGAATGTTTGAAGACTGGAAGAAGGAGACATCTGGTTGTATTATTACTTATTTTGGGTGAGGGAATGGCTGTGAGTCAATTTCCCATACGTAAATGTTCAACAAGTCCTCCTATTTTTATCCACATTTTTTACCTTGTACTACAGTTTCTCCTAGATCTAAGCCTCTAAGAGACAAATTGACTTCCTGTCCATATTCTGCTTTACAGATTTCAAAGCTGTGTCTTTCTTTGACGTGCTACATGAATTATGCTTCCATCCCTTTTTCATTTAATCTTCCAGATTCATTGAAACCTCTTCATGCCTGAAGCACACTCTCTTGCTCTTCAGCATTTATCTATTACCTATTTTTGTGTAGTATCTATCTACTTTCGGGGGATTTGTATGTTTATTCCTTTTATGGCATTTCAGGAAGGTCTTCAGAGAAGAAAAGATGAACATATGCCCTCTCTCTCATCTTCCATCAGAAGCTTCTGGTTTTTCTTTCTAATCTTAGAGTTTAGAGATAATTATCACTAATATCTAGAACCCTCTTGGTCAACAATCACCTAGATGGTAAACACAGGTTCCCAAATACCACCTTTAAAAACTATGGTTTGCGATGATTGCATTCAGTGCTAAGAATATTCATTTTTTGACAGACACCCACATTTATTCTAATAAAGTGGTCCTTGAATACATTGAGAAATGCTGTCCTAGACAAACTGAAGTTTGACAAAATCTTGTTTAGAATAATTAGGTGAGCAGAGGTGGAAATTTCCAAATGACTAAGAGATTTTTAATTATTTCCAACGTTGATATTTAGAATTACCTTTATTATATAAATATTATTGTGGTTTGCAACATTTCTACTTTTATTTTCTCTTTCTGTCCTTATAAATATCATTTTCTAAAAAAACGTTTTGTGGGCATGTAAAAAAGTTGTGTTCTCGTCAGGATAATTTTAATGTGCTTATTAGATGAATATTAATTGTATTAGTTACATTATTTAAAATACCTGTATCATTACTTATAATCTGTATTCCAAATTTATCAAGAAATCAAAATCTATGTTAATATTTTCTGCTAGTTTCATTACATGTCTGATTCTTCTTAAAATACCAGAAATTAGCTTTATTTCTGTTGTATGATTTGAAACATGTAAGTTCATTGCATGTTTATACAAAAGTATAATTTTTTATCATATTCTTTGTCATTACTTTTAACGTAATTGGTCTTTTTATTTATATATTATGCTTTTAACTTCAATTCAACTTATAGTAATCCTACCAATTTTATTACTGATTATTGTTGGGTTTGTATATTTTATTTTTGTACTTATAAACTTTGAGTTATTTCATTTATGTGGTAATTGTTTTTCTTATTGACTCAATTTTACATATATATATTTTTAATTATGTTTACCTTAAGATATATATTACATATATTACATAATACTTTATATATATAATCCCATATGCTACATGGATTATGTTAGTGGTCTTCTATTTATTATTTTATTTTTATTGTAAATCATTTATTTTTTTCTGTCTTTGGCAAAAAGTCTTTACTTTTTCATTTTCCTCTTTAACAATTCAAAATACATGCAGTCTTTTGTGGTTCATTTTTTTTAAAAAAAAGGTAAATACTTTCAAAACTTATACTTAATTTTTTTCTTTAAACTAAGAAATTGGAATAGTGCCTATTAATTTCTCAATATAAAAGATATATGTTAGCTCACTTTTTAGATAAATGGTTATGTTTCATTTTGCTTTGTTTTGTTTAGTTATGATTCTGGATGATGCATATAAATCTAGATATTTGGGTTTCTGTTGTGGTATGTATCTATACTGATGTGGGGTATCGATATGTTTCCTAGGAATTCTTAAGTTCAACTGGCACTATGTATACTATTATTATCAGGGGAATAATAAAATGTATATATGCATCCATCAAACATTTATTTTAACTTATTAAGTGTTAAAATCCATTCTTTCTTTCATTGATCTTTTAAGGTAAGACCAAAATATTTTCTTTGGTCTCCTGATTGAAGTTCCTATTATTTAAGACAAAAATTATGCCTATAAAGTGTTGTCTACTATTTTGGGTTTGGATTAATTTAGAATTGAGTATCTTGATGAGATCTGCAAAGCAATGCGCACAGAATTGAGTATGTTTTCATTTTTTCTATCTTATAGAACGTTGAGTATCTTTTATTTCAATTTACTTTTTCAATCTTCTTAAAGTATTCAACAGTTTTCATAAAGGCAAATACTTGGCTTATGTTTATTAGTTGATGTAACACTTATCCTACATAATTACCTTGAAAAGTACAAAGTTTTGGGAACAAACAGAACTAACTGTTACCATACTCCTCAGCTGATAGAAGCAGAAATAAAAGACTATTAGCATGAAGGTTACTAGCTGCCAGCATCAGGCAGTATGTTTTACAAAGGAATGAGGATCTAGATAGAGTAGAGGCCAATAAATTGACTGACTTTTGCAAAACTAGCATATATCTAAAATCCAAAGAATATATTACCTTGATGACTTCATTCAAGTGTACTTCAACCATTGAATACATGGATGCATTTTGTTATTGTTCATTGTTTTTCTCAACAGCTTGAGTTGCTAAGTATGAGAGTAACAAAGCAGCACATCACGGAAATGCCATTAAAAGATGTTATTTGTGAAGATAACAGTTCAGTTGAAAAGGCCAACATATGATGAAATATTATTCACCTGTCCAAAAAATTGTGGTAAAAAATTTGCTCAAGCATTTTATCCCATATTCCTTACAGTGTTATCATGGAAGGAAGCATACAAGTCCTCACAAAGAGATATTATTGTAAAAGTTTTGAGGATATTTTGAGTAAAATTTCTATAACAGGTAAAAATGTCAGATTGAATGAAACATTTTGTTTTTTAAAAAAACGTATTATTTTAAATAAAAACACTTTTATTTGGCATAGACTTAATTATATACATCTCCAAATTCATTAAAAGAAAATTTGATATTTACTTTGACAAATAACAGTAGAATTTTCTCTCGATATCTGAAGTTCCCATATACCACATATCCTTAAGAAGAAAAAAAATAATATATTGGCAACCTATATCTTGGAATCTAAATAAAATAAGTAACTTACTGTCTTAAATAGTGGAATAATGTTTTTTGACGTTTACTACTGCTAATAGCAGAAAGCCAATATTACAATGATCTCTGCTAGGCTGCAGGGTTGTGGAGAAGTATAAGATGGCTCCTACCCTAAGTCCACTGAGAGTCTTATAAAAACAAAAAGGCACGCACTCATGAGAAGTTAATAAACAACCTAAAATAGTATAGGATAAATACCAACCATGCAGTCTAGAAAATGCGGTGTCAAAGAACTTACCATCTCTACATCCTAACTCATTGAAAATGGAAAATATAATTATGCTTATAAAACATCAATCCACATTCTGTTAAGGATTTAACAACTTAATTTCTTAGTGGTTGCAGGTGTTTTGCATTTTACCTATGTGACTGCTGAAATAATGTATGCCACCTCTGTGTTAGGCATAGATCAGTTTATGAAACAGCTATGTAAAAGCATGTGTACACTTCATTGTGCCTGGTAGTTTTACAATTTATGGCCCTTGTAAACTAAGCATCCAAATGGTATGTTGATATTCTTTATAATAATAAACCAAACACAGTTACAATTGATATTTTTCTTGGATTAATTTGTTCATTCCAGGATCTATATCTCACGTTGTCTGTTCCATGTCAGAACCCTTTGTTCTACAAGATTTTTTTCTTGCAGTATTGATCCTTATTGATCTTAACCTAGTACAATCGTGAATAATTAAATATTTTCTCAAAGAAACAAGTATTTCCCTCTTTTCAATATGACCTTCACCTGATGTTCAAATAGTTCCCGCATTAGTGAGGAATCTTTTTGGTGCAAACTTGACCTCTGTTGTCCTACTTTGAAAACACACTTGATTTCTAACAAGAGCTTTTAGAAATGTAACAGTGCTGATTTGTTAGATAATGAAATCCAAATTGTTCTAGAAAAAGGTGCAATTATACAGCACGTAATACACAAATAAATTGACTTAATGTTACATTATAATGAAAACTGTGCAAAATCCTCTACACAGCACAATAAAATAATAAAAAGTAATAGAACAGGTAATAGATGTAAAATAAATGCTAAAAAAGTAGTTCAAATCATTTTCATACCAGTCAAAAGATACTGAGGAGGGCGCATCCAATCACAATAAAACACCAGAATGAAACACTTCTAAATAGTAATATAAATTTTTGTGGACACTTCATGTCCCATGATGTGGAATTGACATATAGTTTGATTTTCTTTTTCCTAATGTAAGCCACAGTTTTACAGTCCTAGTGAAAACATTTTATTGCTGGGGATGTATTAGACATGGTTCATTTCCCTTCTCAGTATGGCTTTAATTTTCCACATCCATGGCTTGACACAGACCCAAACACCAGAAGATGGTTGTCTGCTATAAACTGTTTGGTTTTCTTTGATTGCTTTACAATTTAATCTATAGTTCATTCCATTAACCCTTTCCATTTTAATGCTGCCAACTCTCCCAGCTCCTTAATATAAAGATAAACTTCCCCAAACATTTATGTTTATTCTGGTTTCTCATGCCCAGAGAATTATGTGCTGTGAGGGGAAAAAAGAAAGGAAATGTTTCTTTCCTAGTTAACTTTTTCGAGGCCCTGGGTAATTGCAAAATAATTGGCATATTACAATGAAGGGGGGTTCCCTTTTGCTTCATAATACATTCATCATTATTCATTCATTGGGTTTGGTTATATTCATACTGATCTGCTGAGCCAAGAAAGTGCCACTGTCATTCTAACTTTCTCCTCAAATCCCTGATCTTTCGGAGGGTGTGGGGTGGACGGCAGGGAGGGGGAATCCTTTCCCGGCTGCAGTGTTGTCACATCCGATATCCTGTTCCTTCCGGCAGAGAAAGTGTATCTGGGAGGGTCACTGGATCAGCCTGTGCCTCGGGGCGGCTCGCCTCAAGTACAAAAGACTCAACTCAACTCACGTTAGTCTTCTAGGTGGCCTATCGGCGGTGACGGACTGCCAGCTTGGGCTGTGGGCGAGCAGTGATGACTGCCTTGAAATGCTAAGTGCTTAATTAAGGACCTTTCATATCAGTTATTGAGGCCTCCATCTCCCATAGCCCTGGGCATTGTACTTTACCAAGGGCTCCCTGGAGCCAGAGCCAACTTTATTGCAGTGACAAGTAGAGAAAGAGAGAGAGAAACAAGTGGTTTCAATCCTCTCACAGCATTCCCCAAATCTAAATACAATCCGACAGCTGACTAGTCATAGTTGGCCGACTCCTAAAAATATTCTTTTTTCATGTTCATGAAAATATGGCATACTTGTGTCACACTCTCAGTGATGGATCCTGGAGTCCTCCACTGAGAACAATCTCATTGTCGGCAGCCAGGTAGCAACCACTGGGCAAATGCCATTCTTCCCCCTTGTTCACAAGACTGCTGCACCGCATGGAGGTTATATTTTTAAAATATGCAGAGATGGTTTAATCTGATGCCTTTCCATCCTCCAAACCCTGTTTTCAATGGCACTGCTATTATTTTTAACATCTATTATGTTACAATAATGTAGGATGGTGAACAATTCTGCCTATAGATTTATAAACTATTTTGCTCTTCTACAGTGATACCTCTAAGTTAACTACTTATAAAGACTTCTGTGTAGCTCCATTGCCAAATACGTATGAAGTTGTCAATTAATGTGAGGTAATTAAAAAAAAAGCTACAGCTGCTGGTGGTATCTGCTATGTTGGTTAATAGCAAAATAACTGATTACTGACAGGTAAGACACAATTAATTTTTTTCCAGCTTTATTGAGGGATACGAGTGAGGAATATAGATAAATATTTAAGATGTACAATGTAAAGTTTTGATATACTTATACATTGGATGAGGATTAACAAAGTCAAGCTAATTAACATATCTATCACCTAACATAGTTATCATTTGTGTTTGTGTGTGTGTGTGTTAAGAACACTTAAGATCTACTCACTTAGCAAATATCAAGTCTACAATACATTATTATTAACTATAGTCACCATACTGAACAATAGATCTCCCAAACTCATTCATGTAACTAACCTTTTGTACGCTTTGGCCAACATCTCCATTTCCTCCACCTCCCAGGCCCTGGTAACCACCATTCTATTCTATTTCTATGAGTTCAATCTTTTTAGATTTCTTTTGTAAGTGAGATCATGCGGTATTTGTCTTTCAGTGTCTGGCTTGTTTCACTTAGCATAATGTCCTCCAGATTCATCCAAGTTGTTGCAAATAGCAGGATTTCCTTCTTTTTAAAGGCCAAATTATACTCATATACGTGTGGCACATTTTCTTTATTTATCCGTTGATGGACACTTAGGTTATTTCCATATCTTGGCTTTCGTGAATAATGCTGCAATGAATATGAGAGTGAAATGCAATTACTTTTTTTTAAGTACAGAATGAGGAGTACAGATTGCGTACAAGCCTGATGAGGTAAAAATTCAAAGCCTTCATTCATATAAGAAAAATAGACTACTGTTGTTTAAAAGACACATTTAATAAAATTATATACATATTTAAAATTAAAATAGCAGAACTATCATTAAATGATTTTTGTCTGTAACTTGAAGTGTACATATACTGGCAAAGGCAGCATCTGTAAAACAATGTGTTTGACCTTACACTGCAGTACTGATGCATCCTCTCCAAATTTCTTGAACCAAAAGGACACATAAAATGTTTGGGGATCACTTTCTCTACTCTGCATAGAGCCACATGAAAAGATTTTTCTTAATGTTAGAATGTCTCCAAGTCAAATGTTAAATTATCTCTTCGTACACTTTGGGTTCATTTAACTAATTTAATTTTTTATTCTATTTATTTACTTATTTATTTTAGATGGAGTCTCACTCTGTAGCTCAGGCTGGAGTGCAGTGGCACAATCTCAGCTCACTGCAAACTCCACCTCCCAGGTTCGAGCAGTTCTCTGCCTCACCCTCCAGAGTAGCTGGGATTACAGGTGCCTGCCACCATGCCCAGGTAATTTTTGTATTTTTAGTAAAAACAGGGTTTCACCATCTTGGCAAGGCTGGTCTTGAACTCCTGACCTCATGATCCACACCTTGGCCTCCCAAAGTGCTGGGATTACAGGCGTGAGCCAGCACGCTCGGCCCAATGTTTTATTCTTTCACTGAGAAATTTTAATATAGGTATATGTTATTGTCATATTTATACACATATAAATAGCTGCATATTAATATCTACAAAGTAATAATAGATTTGTGTTATATTTTTCAGGCAAAATAAAGTAGCCATGTGAACAACAGTTCATGAAATTCAGCCTCTGGAGACAGATGAAATTTTAATGTTGACACTTTCTATTGGTTCTAAATGGTCAGGCTAATTGAAGGATTGGGATGGGGGTCATAATATCATCTCTATTTGTTTCAGGGATGACTAAGAGAGGGCACTTGTATGATTTACCGTGTATGAATCAATCAGAAGTGGATTTTAACTCTTAAGGTGTCAGCCTTCAGTACTGTGCACATCCATCAAATTTTAATATTTTTACCTTGGGATACTGAGTAAAACTATCCACTTTGGAAGAGACTTTTATCTAAACTTATGCTTCAGCACACAAACCTCAGTCTCTGCTTCTTCATACAGCCTGATGTTGTTGGGATTAGTCATGACATTTTGGGTGACAGAAATGACCTGAGCAAGTCAGAGCAATACTTCCTTCCAAACCAAATATTTACGCCACCCACATATTTCCATGCTAGAATTCCAGCAAATTAAATTGCTAAGGTAATTGCCTTGAATCTTAGCCCACAGAAACATATATAGCTTAATATCTACAGAAAAGAGCAAGCAGGAAATTTACTTCAGGAAAGAAATATCATGCAAAAATATTAGAATACGCGTGTTCGCAGCAATTTACTTCTACAGTAAAATCCTATAATTATGTAGAGTCTGTTCTTTAAATAGGTCAGCCCATAGATACTATTGATTCTCTATGAACAGCAAAGATGGGAAATCTTGAATTTGTAACTGAGAACTTAATACTATCTAACTTCTAGTTTAATATTGTCAAGCAGCATAGATTACATTGAAGGGCTGGTGAGAATATCAAAGAAAATAAAACATGAAAATGCCTAAGACACACACAGTGAACTAATAAATATTACTTTCCCTTCTATTAGGGAAAAAATAAATAATCTAAGTTCTCCTAAATTTGCTTCATGTATTAGAGAGATCAGTAGCTACCTCAAGACATTTAAGAGATATGGTAGCATATCTCAATTATATGGACCTTAAAGGGGATATTTTAGAATTCAAAAAAAATCCAGTTTTATTATCTATACTGCTGTTAGAATTCAGCAGATAATAGTTCAATTTTCCATATCTTTTTCTTTAAGTTTGAGTACATGGTATATGGGGTCAAATAGTAAATAGTAACTTGCTTAGCCATGACTTAGCTATATACCAAAGGGCAAAATATTGGTCCTCGTGTCCCAATAAAATGACAATCTGATAGACACAGATATCCACAGAGAAAAGACAATGTGAAGACACACAGCAGGGAAGACAGCCATGTTACTGGTGTGATATATCAACAGGCCAAGGAATGAGAAGGATTTCTGGCAAACATCAGAAGCTAGAAGAAGCAAGGAAGGGCTCTCCCCTAAAGCTGTCAGAGAGAGTATAGCCTTGTCATCCCCTTAATTTCTGACTCCTACCTACAGAATACTGAGAAAATAAACTTTTTTTGTTGCTTTAAGCCAAAAACACACACACAAATGATGGTCTGGCTGGATTTGAGCCTAGTCAGAAAGGTAGTACCTTAGTCACTCATTTGAAATATTCTTCTAGAGTAAATACCTTCCTAAGTGACAGAATCAAATGTTTTTCTGTGCGGTGAGGCAGCATGTTGGTGCCACCGAGACAGATGTAAGAAATATTTGATTAGAGACACTAGATAATTGGGTGGGAGTGGGATAATGAGGAAATAATTGAACTTTCCAAGAAATAAGCAGATTTTATCATTTTAAATTGGTTTTAAGAAGCTAGGACTCTTTTTTTCAGCATTGACATCTGACATATGTATGCTTGCATTATAATGTCAGCAAGCATCTCCGTTTACCTAGCCATAAAAGAAAACTCACACCACAATTTGACATTCGAGTTTTAGTTGGAACTAAAGAGCAATTGCAGAAAATGCAATATGAACAATTTAATTATTATCTCAAAGTCAAATAGGTACCAATAAGTCAGAAATGTTTTTATGATGTTAACACTGAATTATTAAATCAAGAATAACACAAAATTAAATAAGATAATTCACAAAATCCAAATCATACTGACTTCCTTTCCATTTCAATTTACCTGTATCTCAATTTACAGAATGACACAGCTTGCTTTTTCATATCAAAATATATAAATGCTAAACATAGCTGTTTATTTTCTTTCATATTATTTTATTTGCTTATAAAATGTTTACTCTTAAGTTAAATTCTTTACATAGAATTTAACCTGACCCCCTAAAATCATCTGTGTCTACATATTTAGAGGAAAACACAATACTTTGAATTATTCAGTTGCATTTAATGAGCTTTTGTAATCATGCAAAGAGAAGACCAAAAATGTCAGATGAAGTTCTACTGTTAAAACTTTATTTGGCCAGTAATTTTCTAACATATTGTAATAAACAGAAAATATACAGACAAATTTAGTTGTGTCTGTTGTTTGTTTTGCTTGTAAAAAAAAAAAAGGTTGAAGATATTAGATTAAATAAAGTAGAAAATGGATGGAGTAGTGCTTTTGAATCAGATCAAATTCTGGTGAATAAACAGAATTCTGGGGTATAATTTCATTCCAGGGGAAAGAAACAAGAGGGGAAAAAGAGAGAGAGAGAGATCACTAAAAAGATTATTGATAATTCAAAGACCCAGTGTCTGCACTCACTCAGCAGTGTGATACTGACGATTATTAACTACAAAACTGTGGTCACAGCATAAGGGTAAATAAGCTATCACTATGGAGCTGAGTGGTGGGGTGGTGTTCCACTGGAATGTATTTTCCTGCAGCAGGCTCTACCTGATGACAGCTACAATCAAGAGTGGCTGCAGGCAGCTGCTTTGCTCCAGGCCACATTCAATTATGTCGGACTGCATTAGTCCCTGGCGAAGCTGTCACCTTCTAGCCTGTGAAGTGATAGCGTAAAGAGGCTCCTGAAGTCTCTCCAGTCCCTTGCTTCAGGTTTCAAGGGGGGAGGAAGGGAAACAATGGGGGGCTGGGGGAAGACCATTAGTACTCTGACTGCTTGCAGCATTCATTTTGCTCTCAGAGTAGGAAAAAAAAATAGCTTAGGTGAGCTGGATTCAAGAAGTTGTCTTGTGTTGGATAATTGCAGAGTTATTTTTTTCCCCTCGAACAAGTAGCTCTTTTTCGGGAGGTAGTGCCAGGAGAGTGTCCTGTTTTCAGGATTTGAGATTGACTGTGGTTCATCCTTCTCACGAGATAGTGTTGCATTGGAATATATTTTATAATATGTGATATCCCCAAAGATTCTCTAGCAGTCAAGATATTTTTCAGGGTCTGATCTGCAAATGTGGAATATTTGACCTTTTTCCTAAGCTTTCCAGAACTTTTATGTTGGATGGCTGTTGAGATTTCTTTCCTAAGGGGCTGGTTGATGTTTGGAGCCAAAGAGAAACTAGCTCAGCTTATTCTGGGAAGTTATATGGGGACATAATCTATTTTTGATGATCAACCCTGGCCGGAAGGGTTTGTCACCTTTACTGTTCTACAACCAATGACTAAAGGATGATTGAAATAGAGTTTCAAGGTTAAGTCAGTATTTTTACTTCTACACAGAACATATAACTCTCAAATGGAGTTCAATGGGATTGTAGTAACTTATATTTCATTAAAATATCTATTTAAATATCACTATCCAGTGAAATTGGCAGGGAGATAGAAGTTGTTCACTGAAGGCACCATATAAATTCCAGGCACTGTGGTGTTAAGATGTGGTGTCAACTCTCAAAATATCATCTAGTTGGAGGAAAAACATAACATCTAAAATACTGAAGATGAATTCTAAAGGATATAAGAAACTTTCCTAGGACTGATTGTGTAATACTGGGCAAGTATGTTAACCTCTCCCTCTCTCCATTTTTGTGTTGTAAAAACGGGGATGAGGATGTGTCCAGAGGAAGATTATGACAGAGTAAAAATTACATGTTTAATTGCACTTCCAAGTAAACTCGACCAAAAAGTACAGAAATTCTGAATTTTCCAGAATATTTCGCTAATCTTTTTTGTTCATCTGAAAATGTTTTTAAAATCTTTATTTCATATTGGTAACTTTGGGCATTCTGTGGCAACATCATTATAGCAAGTGATTATTTAAAGACCATTTACTAAATGTTCAGTATCACCATGGTCATAAGTGTACAGACCTCTTACTGTGGATATTTATAAATTGATATTCTTTACAAGATAGATTTATAGTGTTACTTAGATTAAACTGGGCAGAGGAGTTGCAATAGCTTTGCAAGGCTGCAGAAATCTGGCTTCTTAGTAACTCAAAAAAACAAGTAAATAAGAGTAAGTACCAAAATATTCTGAACTAGGATCCCCATATCTCTCTGGCATGCTGTGAGGTCTTGTGCAAACCCCTTAACCTCTCCAGCAATTGAATGCCTGGCTTACTTAGTCTTCTTCTGGATTCTAGTCCTCCACACTTGGAGTAATGTATCATTCTGTTGAAAGAAAAATGCTTCCTTTTGGCCCCACTTCTTCTCAAGGTTTATGAGAACCTTCATTCAATACCTGAAAATTAATAGGTGACTTTTAATTAAAAATAAAATTATCCTTTTTTTATAGAGACAGGGTCTTGCTATGTTGCCCAGATAGATCTGGAACTACTGGGCTCAAGTGATCCTCCTGCCTTGGACTCCCAAAGTGCTAAAATTACAGGTGTGAACCATTGTGCCTGGCCAATGGTGACTTTCAAAACCAAACTTCCAACTAAAATAAGAAAGCCCCCCTTTTGTAATATATAGGGGGAGTAATATATAGATCCTTGGAAGAGTTTCTCAAGTTGCATACTTTCTGTATCCACTTTTCTATGCCTTTCTTCTCTTGGTCTATGACCCTTGGTCTGTGACTTCAGGACACATTCAATTATGTCGGACTGCATTAGTCCCTGGTGAAGCTGTCACCTTCTAGCCTGTGGAGTGATAGCATAAAGAGGCTCCTGAAGTCTCTTCAGTCCCTTGCTTCAGGTTTCAAGGCTGGAGGAAGGGAAACAATGTCGTGGGGGGAAAAGACCATTAGTATTCTGACTGCTTGCAGCATTCATTTCGCTCTTGGAGTAGAAAAAAAAATAGCTTAGGTGAGCTGGATTCAAGAAGTTGTCTTATGTTGGATAATCACAGAGTTATTATTTTTTTTCCCTCCAACAAGTAGCTCTTTTTCAGGAGGTAGTGCCAGGAGAGTGTCCTGTTTTCAGGATTTGAGATTCACTGGGGTTCATCCTTCTCAGGAGATAGTGTTGCATTGGAATATATTTTTTAATATATGATATCCCCAAAGATTCATGGTAGGGCAATTATATGTAGAGCTACACTAATTATTCAATATGAGGGGATGCAGTAGAAGAAGACCATAAAGCCCCACCTGTCTGTGAACCTGAGGCATTAAGAACATACAATCAGGCAAATTAATACAGAAACAGAAAACCAAATGCTTCATGTTCTCACCTACAAGTGGGAGCTAAACATTGAATACACATGGACATAAAGATGGTAACATCTTTAGATATTGGGGACTACTAGACACTGGAAAAGGGTTGAAAAACTACCTATCGGGTGCTATGCTTACTACCTTTGTGATGGGACCATTTGTACCCCAAACCTCAGCATCATACAACATACCCATGTAAAAAATCAACACATGTACCCCAGAGTCTAAAATAAAAGCTGAAAATTAAAAAAAAAATCATACAACCAGGCAGCCATTTCACAGATAAGCTTCACAGCTAGGACACACATTCCTCTATCTTTCTCCCAAAGATGGCTTGTGTGGGCTAGCTTATCCTGTTTCTGATGAATCAGGCCTAGAATACAGCTCACAGTTTAGTGTTCTAAGGATATTTATACCAAAAGGTCAAACACAGAACAGAGTGTACCGTTTCACATAAGAATAAATGCACCATGGGCTCAAAACCATTATCACTTCTCCTGTAATCATGGTCAGATTGGAAATACCAGAGGGAATCTCATATGAGAAACAGAATGCCTTTTTTTTTTTTTGTATCATGGCATAACTTCCCAGCTGCTAGAAAAAAAAGGTTTAGTATGCCCCTTTATCTCAGAAAAATAAAATAGATGCCATCCTTAATAGAACGAGATTTCATTGTTTCTCCAAAGTAACAAGTGCCCAACAATATGCTGTTCTACTACAGGAAAAATAACCATGGTTGAAATAAAACCATATTGATTCTCTGAAATCTTTTTTTCTCTTGGCAAGTCAAACTGTAAAAATAAACTGGAAAAATATTTTCACCCTTTAAAACAAGTTTCTGATAAGTAAATACAAAAAAATTGTGTTTTATTTCTTATAATTTGAAGGTAATAATAAGCGAGTCTCAGACACAGACTCTTCACTCCTAGCTTTAGTGAACGTGTATCTATAAGAACCAAGGTGACCTTACTGAGGTTAAAGGAAGTGGGGCATGAGGATTGGAAGAGGGAGAAGCAGGATGTGGGAGATCCTGGGGTACGAAGTGATACATTAAGGCAAAGAGAGGGGAGCAAACAGACTAGGGAAGAGAAGCAGGATGAGCATCTTGTCTACAATGGAAAAGCCATGATTAAGAAAGCTAAACCTTGAGATAGTGTAAGAAGTGGTGGGAGAGAGGAGGCAAAATGAAACTTACAGGTAGTTGAAAGAAACCACTGGATTTTCCAGGACATTGACTGAACTCACCTTGCTTTCTGATTTGCCTTGTCCATTTTTTCTTTTGTAGATCTAGAATTGCCTATCCTTGACCAGAGATGTATCAAACACATTTTGGAAATGGGAATGAAATGAATAAAAATATAATTTACAAAACATATATTATGACAGAAATGTATTTAATAGCATGGATATATAAATATACACATACATACATTATACATAAGTACTTATATACACATATTTATATATACACACTAGATATATACTTATATGTACGTATATACTTACTATTTATGTTTGTATACATATATATTCAGATGTACTCCCTACATGTCATATGCAGAAATTATTTTTCATATTGATAACCAGCTTTGAACAAAATATTCTTATTAATATTTTGCTTTGGAGAGTTTTCAAAACAATCGTAACATTAGAAGCATTCAGTGTTTATTAATTTAAAAATATCTAAAAATATCTATATGAGGCAGATTCTTGAACATAAACAGTGTGCAGAACTTTAATGACTAGCAACAAGGTGCTTTTAAGTTTAAAATGTTGCTTTCAAAAGTTGTGTTTCCACATGCAATGGCATCCCTATGCATAAATATATGGTATTCATTCAGTGACCCAAAGTTAAGAACAATGGTTTTGAGAACATGAAAATTATTGTTCCCTAGGTTTCCTCAGACGTATATGAAGGCAGGTATAGATTGAGTATTGATATGTATCTGTAGTGAAGTATTAAGCTCAGCAGAGCACACAAAGATCAAACTCCTCTTGTTTGCCCAGATGAGCAGCAGTCAAATGTTTTCATCATTGGATTTTGTGAAGAGGCCCTTGATTAATCATGTGAAGGTTCCTATAGCCTAAGCAACTGGCTGAAGAAATAAGCCAGGATGATCAGAGCACTGTGCACTTCCCAGGGAATTTCAAAAGACATGCTTAATAGAAACTCCTTGAGTTAAAAAGAAAATGGTTTCAATAACAGTTTTACCTTTGAACAAAAGCAAATATACAGTATATATAATGGGATTTTAAAAATAAACCAGATATCAAAGTTTCTTATGATCTTTTGCTTCACCTTTTTGTTTCTTTCAAGAGTCACTAGGATATTTACAAAGTTTATTTATCTAATTTTCAACGTGGTTAGAACAATGCTGCATAGATACTACAGTATGCTATCACTTCAAAATGGTTTTCCTTAGTATATGTGGCAGAAAAATAAGCTCCATTTAAAAAATATTATTCAGTGAACAATCCTCAGTTTTTTTTCTGAATGTGATGTATTCTCTTTAGATTCCAAAAAACTATAACCCACTTCAGAAATATAATCCATCGACAGGTCCACAAACCCTTACCTCAAACATGGAGCCAAATGTATTTTGTAATTCAGGAGTTTGCAAAATTTTAAATGCAATATACTGTACATTATGTAGAATGCTCAGTAGAGCCTGGGGCTTGATCGTCATTGAACACATTAACATTTCTGTAGTGAAATAAATGAATATTCATAATAACTCAAATAAATAAAGACTATAAATAACTTCATGTCAGTTCTGGTCAATTTTGATACCAAATTAATTTTTTAAAACTTAGGGCTCCCAAAATTTCTGGATTTCAGGATTAAAAACATGAACATATATTTAGAATTTTTTTACTATTTTTCTTTTGGGAGTCATTTCTTATAAAAGTGAACAGAAGAATTCTACAATTCTAGAAATAGTGCTCAGTAAAATTTCTTCAATATTTTAAAAAATATTTATGGGATTTATTGTTTGAAGATTCACAATTATGTACTACATTCTAAAAAAGTTTCTATATTTCTATATATTTTTTCAGTTAAGATGTGAACTTCACTTTTTCCATGTTATTAAAAAAATTTGTGAATATATTTAAAAGAAAATAAGAATTTACATATAATATGAAGCTTCGTATGAGTTGTTACATGTTTTTCAACAGAATAAAATGTGGAGACCAAAGGACATTAGCATGAACACTAAAAAATGTACCTTAAATGTTGTTTTTATAAACATTATTTTTATTAATTTATTTTGTTTCATCCAGAGTTTTTTCTAACTTATGATAGTAATTTTTAATTCATAACCTAGAATGTTTCTCAAATCCATGCATTGCATTTTAGGCTAACTTTAGATTTTAGAAGATTCATTTCCAGAAGAATTATTTTTAACTTCAGGAAGAAATAGCAAAGTGGGGCCCTGCATTGGTTAAATTTAAGTCATGTAATTTTTATCCCCATTGTGATGCCATATCTACGCTGATAATTAGGCAAGTCCCAAATAGTCCACTCTGGACTTTTTTTGCATACCCATATAAATTAAAGAGACAGAGGAAAAAAAAGGAAATGAGAAAAGAGAAGGAAATGTAGAAAGGAAGAGAAGGGTAGAGGAAGAAATACATAAAAAAGGAGAAAACAGAAGAAAAGAAAGCCCAACTTCCCTCTGACATGGCGGTTCCTTGGCCCCTTCAGAGGTCAGAATAAGAGAACAAAGAACAGGGATCTCTCACGGGCTGGCTGGTTTGTGAAACTGAGAAAAAATAAAACAAAAATGAGCTCCAAGGATTTAGGGTTAAAATGATTCCCAGATATGAGAAATAAAGTAGGATCTGAAACAGACATTTACAAAACAAAACGACACAAAAAGCAGTCCAAATGCCAAGAACACAAATGAGGAGAAATACAGACTGAGAGACAGGTGGGGTCAAATGAGGTGCTCACAAACCCAGTTTAGAAATCTAAAGCCAGGGTCTCAAATAAGAACGCGGGCTGAACACTATACAGAAAAAAGACCCCTGGACATGGACTTTTCTCACAGAGAGAGAAATCCAGTAGCCCAATTTCACAGAGTTGCCCAGCCTGGGTAGCAGGTTACTTTGCCCAGTCACATACATACAAATGCTTGGCAGTGGCTTATAGCACACAAAGAATACCTCAAGATAAGAATAAATAAATAAGTCAAGCTGAGTTCAGGAACAAAACAATTGCCCCCACATATATACCAATACACACTCAGCATATAAACATAGCCAGATAAAATGCTCACTTATAGATTTTATTAAATTGCCACCAGTAAGTCTCTATCCCAGCACTCATCAGCTTCCCATCCCTGTCTTGGGCCCCAGAATGACTATAGGAAGGAAGAGAGTAGAAGAGCAAGAGAAAAATGAAGAAAATAAGAAAGAAGGAAGAAAGGAAGGACCCCTCAGAGACATCAATTTAATACAAGCTCTGTTATTAAATTTACTTATA
This sequence comes from Homo sapiens, assembly GCF_000001405.40. NCBI lineage: Eukaryota > Metazoa > Chordata > Mammalia > Primates > Hominidae > Homo > Homo sapiens. The sequence continues at coordinate 50,598,513 of NC_000006.12, forward strand.
CAAATCTTGTCCTTTGCTGTGTTGGCTCTAATTCTTATAATTCCCAAAGTCTTCAAAAAGAATATTTAAAAATAATAATAGTAGTAACTATAGTACTGTTTATTCTTGGCCAGAGAGTTAATCAGTTTGTACGGTGTGTCAGTGTAATGGGCTGTGGACTGAGGACATTTTTCATCGGATGTTTTCATTTCTTGCCTTTGGCAAAAATTCCACCAGTGGTGATAAATAATTCCATACCCCTAAGTGGATATTATTATTATTTTCAAGTGTAAGCTACAGCTGGCTCCTAGCCTGTCAGCTCTCCCGGAATCGCAGATGCTACGTGCATACCTGTTGACAATTCTATGGGTGGATACAGTTCCCCATTCCCATTTCCATACTTCTGCTCTTTCATCCTAATGGTGTCCCCTGAAAAAGCAGCCAGGGAAAGGATGAAGGACAGACTGAGGCAAAGGTGCAAATAGACAGTGTGGATTTTGCCTGCAGGGTTAGAATATATACTTACTTCTCAGACGTTTTATTTTGTAGCCAACTCACTTGTTATACTAGAGGCTTGAATGAAAAAACAAGCCCACCACTATTTTAAAGGACTAGCATAATGTCCTGTACATTGCAGCCACTAAAAAATGACTGAAGAAAGGAAAAAAAGTAAATGAGGGCCAAGGTTTGTTTTGTTTTGTTTTGTTTTGTTTTAATCTGTGGACCTTCATTTCTCTGTTTTACTGTCTTCCTAATTCCTTTGGACACACACATTTCCACCATCCCCTGGTGCCTACTGTCCTCCCAGTGCCCCCTGGCTGGGCCTGGTGCAATATTCTACCTGTCCTTAGATATTATTTTCAACCTCTTACCTCTTTCCTTCTATCAAAATGTGCTCTTCCAGCCAATCACTCAAGGTCCTGTGACACTAAGTTTACTTAATTGGATAACTAAATATTTTTAAATATATTACCTAGTAATTGGGTTCCTCCTCGTCTGTCTCTTTATCCTAAACTCAGCAAGGAACTGTGAAACAATGGAAATTCCCAACATAAACTAGTCAAACAGGACAGTTTTTTTGGAAGTACTAGTAAAATTGCATCATGTACCAGTGACTGTCCCTAGTTGTATAGGGTTGGTAATCTTTATTAGGCTCAAAAAATTGAGCACACAGATTATTTGTAAATAATATGATCTTTAGTAGTTAACAAAAAGTAAAACCATCATACAAGTTTAAATTATGGGCAAGTGGGAGTAAAGTGTACTTTAGGAAGGCTATTTTATGGTGAACGTATCATATGGAAAAAACACTTCTGTTTTTCCTAAGCAAACATCACAGACTTCCATACAAATTAGAATTCCTTTTAACAAGTTTTATTACTATTAGTCAGATATTTCACTAACCATCTAAACATTGAAGAACAGCTCCCAAAAAAATAAAATTTTCAGCCTACTTTAAAAAACTAAACAAGTTAAGTCAAAAGCTCAGAATTGAATTATTGGTTTAATATTGACAACATGGTCAATAGTTTTATGGGAAGCTTCATGGCTAAGAGAAAACATTGGACTTTGACTAATGAAAACTAAATATCATTTCTACCTCTTGCACTAACTACTTGTGCAACCCTGGCAACACGGTAGAATCTTTTTTTAAATACCATGTTTAGTGAATACATAGATAAGGTACTGAATGGCCCTGGGCTAGTCATTTTAATCATTGTGAATCTATAAAATGAGAGAGCTGAATGTGAAATCTCTACAGTTTCTTCTAATGCTGAAATTCTGCAATTCACCAAACTAGCCCCAAGGGAGTCAGTAGGTATGTTCTGAAAAAGAGATGGAGAAAAGCGGTTGTCCACAGAGAATTAGAGATCAAAGTAGCATATTGGCCCCCTCTTCTTTCCCTCCCTTCTTTAGGCTGGAGGAAAGGGATCAAAGGAGTAAAGATATCATGACAGCTCTCCATGTTGGTGGCACTGCCCCAGGCACTAAACGCCAACACAACTCTTTGTGTCCATTACAAACCTGAGGTCACAGAACAGGAAAACAGAGGAGGGAAAACCTTGTAATTCAGCACCAGTGAGCTGAGTACCCTAAATAACCATTTAAAGCAGTTGCGGTCTGTCCACATAAACTACAGTGTTTTGCATAATAGGGGTATCAGCTCTTACTTTACTATTGGAATTAGTAAAAACAGAATGAAGAAGTTGATTAAAGATATGAGAAAAGTTTTCTTGTGGTATAAGTGAACATAAAAAGTTCCGTCACCTACCACCAAGGCATCAATTAAAGGTGACCATATTTTGAAAGGGATTTCATAAACTCTGAAGTGCTATGCTAATGGTTGTTAGGCCTGGGACATTTCATCACCTTCTATCTACTCACAAAACCTTTTTTTTTAATTTCCCAAATCAAACAAGGAAATGATCCATTCTATAAATTGAGTTAAAAAAAAAAAAAAGAATCTGAGGAGAGGAGAACAGAGATACCAGTTTCAATTGTGGCCCAGCTCACAACTCGTGTGTGACCTTAGGCAGTCATTTAACTCTTCTAGGCCTCAGGTTCCATTTGTTTGAGGCATTTGTGCTAAATAATTTCCCAGAACATATTCCAGATCGAATGTTCTAATGACTCTGATATATAGCACATGGTGGTTATTCTCCTTAGAGCTATTTTTAGTGACAATGAAATTTTGATGGCTAGGGGAACTTACACATAATTTTCTAAAACATTCTTCTGACATTTGTAGAAAATACTGGCAGTCTACCAAAAGGCATAAGAAATACCAATCCATAACATTTTAGTATGTCAGGATAGAAAGAATCTTCAAGCAAGGAGTAGCCAGTTTCCTCCAGAAGAGCTGTGTTAGGTGATGTCAGAAAAAGATGGGATAGAAATACTAAGAAAGGTAGCACAACATAAAAATCTAAACAACCTATATACTTCAAGATACAAAGAATGACTTTGAATGAACGGTAATTCAAAATTCTTGCTAACATTTATTGAATACACATATTCCACCAGGTGTTATGATAAGGATTTAGGACAGATGATTTTATTTAATCTGATATAACATGACATTTTACAACATTTGACAATTAAAGTTTTTGTGAACGTGATGTATTAGGAAGTGGAGAAGTTTAGGAAGAGAGACTGGCTGGAGCTCTTTGTGGGCAGGCCTTTCCTCGCTGATGCCAAAGCTCACGGTAGATTCTCAAGATGCCACTCACACATCAAAGGGTCCCCCTGTCTTGCTAACATTGTTAGTCACTAACTAAGGAAGTTTCATAAATGAATATGACTTAAGAGAAATAACAGTAATAAAACACAGCATCAAATTAATGGTTATATGAAGGTTTATAATGCTTGGCAAATTTTTGGCACTTAATAAAGATTAAGTGCCAGATGACATATTTTTCTATTAACTTAAATTTTTCTTTTTTTTTTTCTGTGATCAAACAACAGAAGCTAAGACCATGCCTGTGCCTCAGGTAAATTCAATTTGACAACTGAAGAATCATTCTGGTCATTTAGTCGCATATGTAATGATAAGAGTCCCTAAAGAAAAGTCACATGGGCCAAACATCTCTTCTTTAAGACTTCAGCTTTCAGTAGTTATAATACAAACATACATAAAATTCTGTCTATATTTAACCAGGAATTTATGTTAAGTTGATATTTAACTGCAGCACATTAACATTAAATTTTTAAAAAAGTAAACAGAAGTATTTTAAAGACCTGAAAATTCTTTCCATGTGGCATATCCACTGTTTTTCTAAAACCTCCTCAAAATATTCCTGTCCAGGTATTAGAGAAGGGAGTCATATTCACCTCTAAGAGAAAAGAATGAAAAAGTTTAAAATCTTGCTTCTTGTTTTACTAGTGCCCCCTCTAGTGGAATTTTTTCAGTACTGCATACAAAAAAGGAGGTGGAGGGGTTTATGACACCAAGCACATATTTTGTTTGCTTTTTTACATTTCCTTTTTAGAAACATTCTAAACAAAATGATGTGAAATAAACAAACATAATAGTGCATAATAGATGTACAATAGTTTTATCAGCAATTGTAATTAAACAAGGGAGTGATAAAAATCTGGTATATTCAGAACGAGAAACGTTTTGAGAGGCAATGTGGCAGACAGACATGAAAACATATTTTGCCAGAATTCAATGTCATTCATTTTGTGACTTGACTTTTCTCCCTCTATCAAACTATTTGGCCATTAGCCTAAAACTTTGCTAAGTTTCGTCTCATAAAATTTAAAACTTGTCTTTCTTCCCTCTACTGTTTGCCATTGTTCTTTTTTTATAACATCGTTAGGTGGATAATACCCTTCGTCTCTAACTTTTGCAATTCTTTTTGTCTGTAAACTACATCGATGCCTCAGAACCCAGACACTTAAGCTAATTCTGTTTACAATTACAGAGTAGTATTTTTCTAATCATTTTCTAGCATCATTTTTTCCCTCCCACACAATTTCTATGTTTGTGCTACTAAGAAAAAAAGAAGAAAAACTACCCCGACCCCCAAATAACCATCCTCGACACTGCCTCATAGGATTCTTCCTAGAGAAGTCTTGAGCTTGGTAGATGCATCTTGTTCTACAGGGATCTCTGTCAACTTCTCTTTTTATGCATTAAATGTGCTTCCCTGGTGATAGCCTAAGGGTGCTTTCACTAAACAATTAATGTAAGGCATCTCCTGGGAACCTAATGGGTATTTAGGAATAAGTTCACTTCCAGTGAATTGTATAATGTGATATTTTGACAATGCATATAGAGAAGTTGCAGAAGGGTGAACTTTTCTCGAAAAAGGTAATAAACTACCCAAGCTTCTTATCCTTTTGTTATTGTTTGGGGATGGAGGAGAACCAAGATGTAATTTAGGGTATTGTTGTATGTGCCTGCTTTTGCCATTTTGGCATAATACCACACTACTGTTCACTCTGACTAATGTAATGTACAAGTCTCAATCTATTAGTGAAAGTAAAATTTGCTGTGACATTTTGATTCTGAAGCCGCAAGCAATGAAGGAGGTAGCACTGCACAGGATATTTGTATTATGTTAATAAAAAATGATACCACCATATGATACTAATGGTAAGCAGAGAACACTGATTAGTATTTTCCCTGACCAAAGTTACAGTCCAATTTTAAAGTGGTTGAATACCAAAGTTTTAAATCTAATCACTTCATTGTCATGATAAATATTCTTTTAAAATGTTGCTTGAATTTTTTGTCTTTTGTTAACCAGAAACACGAAAACAGTAAGATGGATACCAACCTTTTTGCCTTTTTAAGACTTCCTAAAAATAAAGGTAATTTATAATTAAGGAAGCTTATATCAGAATCACACATTTTCCTATCTCAGAATATGTTCTTTATCTAGACTAGAATAATGAGCAGAAATCAATGAAAACTACAGCATATTTCTAAACAAATAGTTGTCTTTTTTCAGCATATAGGAAAGTGAGAATTCATGTATCACTTTAACCTTTAAATAGATTTTAAGCACTTCCTTGTAATTGTTCATTTTGCTTGCCTGAAGTGCTTATATAATACACACAATTATAATAATATATATGTGTCAATATGTAGACACATCCATTCATATAGAAGCTCAAAGTTTTACCATTTTTAATAAACCTGCCAATTTGCTATGTTAATAGAAAGCAGTGACCATTTCCAAACTACTATAATTTAAATTCACATAATAGACTCCCTCTTCAATTTTGCTTGCTCTTCCAATGAGGTTTGCATTCACACTTTTATTTCATATCAATACCTTGTTTTTCTTGTCAGAAAAACATTGAATGAAAAACCCTGTGACACAACATAGAGCATGTCAATTTAAAAATACAAAATACCCCACCAAGGAAGAAGAAAGTGTTGTTGTAGTATCATTGCTGTTACTGCTCCCATATTTTCATACCCACAGTGATTAATATTTTTGTGGCAACTTTAAGAAAATGAATTTAAACTCTGCAAATGTCTTTTCCATCAGAATTCAAACAATTTTATTGACTATCCTCAAAAACTGTTATTTCCCAGTGAGACCAAATGTGGGCAGTAACAATTACAAATCAATTACCATAAAAACATTTTATCAATTTTGCCCTCCTTTTCCATATCCTTAGGGCTATCAACTGATATTTTCCTACATAGGGGTGGCTCTGTGTTCCTGCCTGTTAAGCTTATTAAGCGAGTATGCCTGTTTGAATTATTACTGAACTTGTGTAGCAAACTCATATGTTGTGAAAAGAATTGCATAAACAGCTGCATCAATCTATTAAGCATAGAAATTGCATTATGAGGTCAATAAAAGATTGTAGGTAAGATATCTGGAAAGTAATTACTTCTCTTTAATGAATACATAGCCTAGTAATTTCTGAGTGCTGTAGGCATAACAGTGCTATATGTTTTATAGTTTATAAATAAATAGTTATTACCTTACACAAAGAGTAGAAATACATCCTTTGAAGAAAAGTTAATTTGTTGTAAAGAGGCATATTTTGCTTAAACTACTTACATATAATGGATTATCAAGTAATTCCAATATGCTGTAATTGAGAATTACCTCTTTCAACATGGAATATTCAATTGCATTTTGTACATCTGGGAGAAAACTGTATTTTCACCTCAGCTATTATCTTAGACATTAAAAGCATGATTTATAGCACATATTTTAGATAGGGAATAATGGCAATACAAAGTCAATTTTATGCTATGAATGAGTTAAAATTATTTCTTTAGTTTAAATATATTTGCATGCAAATTACATGTTATAATTATTCTCACATAGCAGTCTGGCTTGCTTCATTTTTTTTCTAGAATCCCATTTCTCAAGCTGCAACTTCCACATTTATTGTCAATTGCTAATTTAAATATCCATATTTTTCATGCACTGTCTCTTCTTCTCTCACCTAAGCAGTATTAAAAATTAGAATGTCATGTTTCAATATCATTTATTAGATGATATTTTAAAAATGGCTTCATCAAATCATTAGTTTATCATCCTATTAAATAAAACCATAATAAACTTTTTTTGATATTTTGACAGAGAAACTAAATGTAAAGAGCCTGAAGGGGATTTTACAAGTATACAAAGCACTACTGCCTTCATAACTCTTGCAATGTTAGGTAGATATTACAAAGGAAGATAATTTTCTTTTTCAGTAGCAGAAAGTGAGAAAGCAGCAGCAATTTTTAATGTTCTGTTGTTAGTACCACCTGTACATTGCTAAGTTCTTGTTTTTTTGAAGATTCCAAACATTGATTGAGAAATCACCAATGTTTATCAGTTAGAATTATATTTTTCAGAAAATGTTGCTATTGCAAAGACTCACTTCATTCTTTAAACCTAAATTTTAGTTTGTCTCTTACTTTTTCCTGTTTTCTGCATGAAAGTAGAAAAAATACCCCACCCATGTTTGACAATGGCACCAAATAAACAATTATATATTTCACCTAATTGACAGAACTGGACTCTTCTTAGGCCACAAAATATATAACTTTTTAAAATGGTGACCAATGTTATCATCAGGGACATCAATATCTACCACAAAGGTGACCAGAAATCCTAAAACATCAATAATGGGCACCCAAATACTGTGACTTGCTACACTCTGCAGGACGGGGGAAAGAGAGGAAGAAGGAAATAAAGAGTCTTCCTCCAGCCCTCACCATCCACCCATTGAAATCTCACATGATCTGCAGGAGAATTAACTTCTAATGCCTCTTCCGCTTCTAACCTAGGAAACTTACAGGTCATCTCTAAACTTTAATTTCTCTGTGTGTAACAGTTCCCCTTAGAAGAGCCACAGGCCTTTTAATTTTAACTTGCTATCCTTTGCATTTAGAGAGGAGAGCAACAATGGCAGAGGAATGTGATGGCAGAAAATAAAAAGTCAGTATTTATTAAGTGCCTGGCAGGTTCCTGGTTCTGTTCTAAGGGTTTCAGATGATTTCCTCATTTATTTCTCACAACAACCTTGCAATGCAAGCATTAATATTACCCCTATTTTATCTCTGAGGAATAGAGACACAAAGAAGTAAAAAGCACAGAACTAGAAAGTGGCAAAACCAGGATGTGAAATGACCCCTGTCTGGAGTGAATGCTTGCCTCTCTTTCTCTGCAGAAGTGATAATGGAGGATTGGCACCATGAGAGAGTAAGGGATGCCAGGAAGAGAATGTCAGCCTAATAAGCAGTTGGTACCCCAAATGTCAAGAAAAGGCTTTGAGGACTTACAGAGGGGCCTTACAAATAATTGTTTTCTTGCTTTTATCTTGTGTTTTCTCCCTTAACACCATTTATATCTGATACAACCTCACTTAGAGATATTAAACAACAGTTAACACAAAGTGATATAATTTATTTCTCATAGAAAAAAGTCTATTTAACCAGATCATGAATTTACCCATGCTGGCATGTTTTTTTTCTTAAACTAAGATTGTATAAGTACCTTGCCATTAAGGATTAAAAAAAAATGAAAGTTATCTGAAAGATTATAGTGAAAGAGAATAATCTAGGAGTTTGAAGTCATAACGTCTATTGCTGTGTTTATCACTAACCAGCTTTGAAAGCTTGGCTCTCAACAGTGGTAGGTCTAAGTTTTCTCATCCATAAAATGAAAGGTTTATGACAATTTCCAATCCAGCTCTAATAGTTCATCACCTTTTTTTTAGCTCCATAATCATGACAGAATAAGAGTGGTAATTATTACCACTCTTAAAGTTTTTGGAAAATTTTCCATTAACATTTAGTTGATTAACAGACCATTGCTATGTGAAATAGGGCAGAGAATTTCTCTTCCAATTTGGCTTCCAGGAATGAAATATTTTTCCTGGCAAAACTTTAGTCAAGCCAAAACACAACTAGAGTTTAGAAAACTTAGAGAATTTAATATCAACTGACTATAGTAAAGGACTAAAGAAATACAAATATTTCAACAGGTATACTCTTTCCTAAATCACACCTCTTTCAAAACCACCACTGGCCCATGTGTTTTAACAATAAAGACTAGTACCACTGCCATTCTCACAGATATTACTACAACTGCTGCTATTATTCATCTAATGATGACATCTCTATCAAAAGCACTTTTAAATATATCCTTTTTTGTTACTCACATATACCCTTTGAGGTAGGTAAGACAGTTACTATTATCTCTGATTTGCATATGGAAAAATAGAGCCTCAGAGCTATTGAGGAATGTACTCACAATCAGTCTCTAAGTAATGGGAAATTGCCAAGTAGAAAGGAAAAGGATAAAATATATTCCAGAAAGAAAGAGAAGGTGGGGAAATGGAGGTATGAAAACCTTGACCAGTAGAGGCAATTGGTTCTCAATGCCTAGAATTTAACATGCGAGTAGAAGTTTTACTAGGACCTGCAAACATTAGAAATGTCTTCCTTCCCTAGACCTATCCACCTTTCAAATCTTTTGATGACATAGAAGCAAAAACTGAGGGTTTCAAGAACCAGAGCCTGGCTGGTTAAAGCATTCTCAAGCTTTATATTACATATCAAATGCATGCAATATCAAAGAATATCCCAATGTTAGAATATTCAGCACTGCCTCCAGCTTCTCTGCCCAGATTAAGGGGCTCTTCTAAAACCTACATACTCCCTAACTCAGTCGCTGATTTTTCTTAATGGTTAGGGCTTATGACCTGGGTCGGGACCCAGTTTCTAGTTCAGACCCTAACAGAGGTTCTAACAAATGAATGAGTTTTAACACCTTTTCAAGGCCGAAATTTTAGGTTTTTGATGGAACCCAATGATAACTTCCTTTTACCTTATTTGAGATACAAAAGGATGGATAATTTTTCCCCTAATCTATCTATGAATAAATAATTTTCCCCCAACCTATCCATTGCATGTGCAATGAGAGTTTGGTCAACTATGGACCATATATATGATGGTATCTCATGAGATCATATCATAATTTTACTAAATTTTGTATATATTTAGATATGTTTGATGTATCAGTACTTACCATTGTGTTACAGTTGCTTACATTATCCAGTACAGTAACATGTTGTACAGGTTTGTAGCCAAAAAGCCATAGGCTACGAGTGTGGTAGACTATACTAAGTTTGTTTAAGTACACTCGATGATGTTTGCACAATGATGAAATCGCCTGATGCATTTCTCAGAAAGCATCCCTGTCATTAAGCAACACATGATTGAATTAAAAAGTGAAAGCACTCCGTCTCAAAAAAAAAAAAAAGTGAAAGCAAACAGAATCTCTAACCTAACTGTGTTTTAGCAGGATATTTAAAAATGTTATTCATACCCACTTCGTGTAAATACAGCTTTGCTTTTAAGAAACAGCAAGGGGCATATGGCATTCTCTCATTAGAAAAACTGGCCATAATCTACTAGATTCATCCGTTCCAGAAAGAAGAGAATGATTAAATGAGAGTTCCAGGGTATCCAACTCCATTTGAACATTTTCCCAAGGATCTCACAACAAGGGATATTTTAGAGCCATCTACTCATCTGGTGCCTGCTGTGCCCATATCCCCTTTCTGGGTACTTCAAACACAGTTGACTGTGAGCTAAATCACAAAATTCTCCTTCTCAGCCATGTCTAATTGGATCATAGACCAATACAGACTTACGTAGAAGAACATTGGCTACAAAAAAAAAATGGCAAATGTTAGGATTTTTTGTTAGGATTTTTCAGATTCTCACTTTGAGAGAAAAATGGAGTAAGAAAGAGAGGGCAAAAAAAAAAGAGTGAAAACCAAAGCAGAATTCTTAGGATATACAATGCATGCAAATTACTTGGGCATTTTTTCCTTGTGATAAATCCTAGTTTTAATGAAAGTGAAGACATGAGTAACCCTCACAACTCTGAGCCTTAAGGAAAAGAGTTGCAAGTCATCGTTTTCTCTTCATCATTCATAACCTAGAGGTAGTTACTGCTTTCATCAGTTGGGATTTCAGTTTCTAGATGAACTGAATTCCCTGTCCTTTAAGCTTTTACAGCATCAAGGTTATTACATATGGGGAGAACTAAGTTCAACATGTTTATTCCAACATCTTCAATTCATAGATAAGAAAACTAAGTCCAGAAGAGTATGTCAGGCAATAGCAGCAGTGCTTAACTCCCTACATCCGTTTTCTGGAGAACTAAAATTGATATATGTGAGAATCTTCAAATACCTAACACAAAGGCAAATTATTGTTCAACCACAAAATTATAAGTCACAAACCACAAACAAGGTAGCACTTAAGATTCAACTTAAGTCGGGGGCGGTGGCTCACGCCTGTAATCCCAGCACTTTCGGAGGCTGAGGCAGGTGGATCATGAGGTCAGGAGCTCAAGACTAGCCTGATCAACATGGTGAAACCCCATCTCTACTAAAAATACAAAAATTAGCCGGACGTGGTGGCGGGCGCCTGTAACCCCGGTTACTCAGGAGACTGAGGCAGGAGAATCGCTTGAACCCGGGAGGCGGAGGTTGCAGTGAGCCGAGATGGCGCCACTGCACTCCAAACTGGGTGACAAAGCGAGACTCCATCTCAAAAAAAAAAAAAAAAAAAAAAAGATTCAACTTAGTCTAGAATATGTTTTCCTATTGCATGTTTTTGCGTGACTATTACTGCGGCCCTTAGTACAGATCTCTCAATCTTTGGACTCCTTGCACTCAAAATCCACACCCCAGCACTTTATATAAGGATAAAGTGCTGCGTCTCCAATAGAACAGAGTTAAGATTGAAATATCCTAGTACTACCACTCACTGGCTCTGTGACCTTTGGGATAATAATAGCAAAAAAGTTTCTGGATATTCTCAAATCATGCATGTTCTAAGATTAGAAAATATGATAATGTTGTAAAATAGTACCTCTTTTTTTTTTTTTTTTTTTTTTTGAGGAAGAGTCTCACTCTGTCACCCAGGCTGGAGTGCAATGGCACAATCTCCGTCCACTGCAACCTCCGCCTCCCAGGTTCAAGTGATTCTCCTGCCTCAACCTCCCAAGTAGCTGGGATTACAGGCACACGCCACCACACCTGGCTATTTTTGTATTTTTAGTAGAGACGGGGTTTCACTATGTTGGCCAGGCTGGTCTCAAAAGTGCCTTAAATTTATAAAAGAGACGGGGTTTCACTATGTTGGCCAGGCTGGTCTCAAAAGTGCCTTAAATTTATATAACAACTTTTACCAATTCATCTGGGATATTTCACATGGAAGACATTTAACAGAAATGGTCTAATTTGTCATACTGCCCTCTAGTGAAACAAGATAGTGTTATATTAACCAAATCCCACTATAGATTTTATTCTATGTAGATTCAAAAATAGCAAAGATCAAATCATGATCCCAGATATGACACATAAAAAAGGCCCTTTTAGCATGATTAAAACACGAAATAAATGTATATCTTTCCTCAATAAATACTACCTTAATACAAATCTATACAGTTCTAAATATAGTAAATCAAGTTTAAAGAAATGAAATAACTTTCCCAAGTTTTTGCACCACCATTGTTACAAAACCTACACTTAGATTCAGATTCCTTCTCTTTTGCACAGTGTTTTTCAAGACTATACCGTGGTCTTTTAAATCATAATTTTTAAGATACATGTCCCTGGTGGGGTCCTTTGGTAGGAGAAAATAAGATAATGTCAATTATCAGGCCACTTTTAAATACTGTCATGTAGCCTCTACGCAAAATAAAGATTTTTCTATCTTTATAATATCACCATATGAGAGCCATTTGAAACACAAAAATATATTTCTTTGCACTGTGGGCTTCAGTGCTCATAAGTTTATGAAAATGTGCCTTTGTGCAAGAAGAAGCCCTTCCATGCATCATTCATTTCTTAAGCAAGTCCAAGAAAGAGAGAGATCTAAAGCAACCTTTGACAACACTCAAGCTCTTTATTTAAAAACAATGCAAACCTTTTTAGCTTCTAAAAGATGAATGTGGCCTCTGAGATATGTGTAATGTTTGTTTTTTAAGGCTGCCAATACTCATATGAATAGTAAGTTGACTAAGAGGTAAATGTACATATTCTGGTTCTTTGCTTTGTTTCTTTGTATGAAGAAGTAGTCTTGCAAAACTTTACAAACATTTACAACTTTCATTGCTTACTAAACTCTATTCTCCCATTTAAAAGAAACTTGACCATTTGAATATGGATTCTCTCTAGAAATGTAAAAAGCAAATTACAGGATTTTAGTAGTCTCTTGCCAGCTGCTCTTATACCCTTTTCCTAATCCTTAGCACATGATTTGGATAGTGGTGTATATTACCTTGTTGATATCTCACCCTGTTAGACAGGTCTTGTCAAATACAAAATTTGAAATTATTTTTCATTAATAAAGATGTTCATCCAGGAATCAGATTCTCTGCATTAACTGATAGGCAAGAGAAAGTCAGGTAGTAGAATCAGAAACAGAAGATTATTCAAGACAATGCAGAGACACATCTGAATGTATCAACCAGAAATCACAAGTCCAAGGGATGAAGCCAGAAGGGATATAGAGAGGAAAAATGAGATGGCTCTATTAAGCATTCTTCTACAGGTTTGTATTGTTGTACTTAGCTTTCACTTGCATACCCATTATATATAGCAGGTTTCTCCTCAGGTACAATTAAAGATACCACTTAGCTTTAGAAAAACAGATGGTGGAGGGCAATGGATAATAATAATGCTTATCCATGTAATCTATGAAGTGTGCGTATTACAAACAGAAGAAGAGGAACCATTCTATGACTAGACAAAGTCTAGCACTTATCAACTGTAGATGACAAAGATAGTCTTAATATTCCCCTCAACCGGACTGATGTTTAGAATATTATTTTACCTGACACTAGGCCTCTGATTCCCATTTTTTAAGCACGTATTTTAGAAAACTTGTAACTATAAATTCTTCCCTATTCTTTTGAGGTGTAAATTATTTAGAAGTTTCTTTCCAATCCCTGGGAACCACCTCTTTGCAATGTAATCAAGGAAGATAGTGCTCCTATCTTCCAGTTTCTACCAGAAGATAGGAGTTTAACTTCCATGCCACCTTGCTCCAAATTATAAAACAACTTCCTGTCATAAAAGTATGAGAAAGTATTATTTTCTTTGGGTAAAGCCAATTAGCAAACACATCCTATTATCTCCTCCCACTTCAGCACTTAAAAGCTCTCTAGCCCTTTGTTTCAGTAGAGTTGACTTCAGACTGAGTTCTGACCTCTCTCCTCTGTTGTAATAGCCTTGAATAAAGTCTTCCTTGATTATTTAAGTTTGTGCGGTGCAATTTTACTTTACCATAGAACAACTAAGAAAACTTATTTTAACATAACTTCTCCTGCTAAGTACAACTATTCCTTTTGCTGAGTACAACTAAAATACTTAGAAATTATATATGAAGCAAACATTAAAAGTTTATGAAAGGTGAAGAAAAGAAGATAGATCAGTTAGGGACCTTAGGATTCAAGGAACAGCATGATGGTGATTTCTCTGGGTTTTCTTTTTGCCTCATATCCCAGACTTCAAGCTGAAGAAGCCAGCAATCGAGAAATGACAACATGCACAAACAAAATAAACCCCAATAAAATGCCTTTTTTCTCTATCCAAAAGACATAGAGGGAGCAACCTAGAAGGACAGAAGACTTTTAGATAATAATTGCTCTGCTCCAGCTAAAGAAATATCACCAAAAAAACCTGTAGCCTCACCTCCCTCCATACGAGCAAAGGCCAAGCTGGGAGCCCTTCCAAGGCAGTAAGAGGAGCTCCAAACTCCCATGCCTGCCACCTCCTCTCCCCACTGCTTGGATGGCATCAGAGAAGGCCAAGTAGGGAGCCACGAAATTTTACCCTCAATAAAGGGGCTCCCTTATACACCCTCACCTCTACAGTATCAGTGAAGTACACGTAGGGAACCCAGACTTCCACTCATACCCAGTAGTAATAAAGTGCACCTTACTTTCCCTGAAGAAGTTATGCCAGAGTAGGCCTAGTAGAAGTCAGTGATAACATTTCCCACCACACTCAGTGGTAATGTCTCTCAGCCATGATGTTAGCAGAGATCCAGTGGAGAACAGAACCTTGGCCAGCCAGTGAGGTATCAGTGGAGGCCCACTTGGGAGCCAGAATTCACACTCCTTGCTCAGTAGTAACAACAGAATCCCCACCCTCAGGTATCAATGGAAGTTGAGTAGGGAACATCTGCCCTTACCTGGCAGTAATGAGGTGCTACTCCCCATGCTTCCCCTGCTAGAGAAGTATCAGAGGAAGACAGCTAAAACAGAAGGGCTTAATGAGATCAAAATCTCTTAACATAAGGCCCATATTTTACAGGTTTGAATAGAAAAGTACTTGTCATACAAATAACTAGGAATAATTTAACTTGAATATTAAAAGACAACCGTGTATCATACCAAGATGACAAAGATGTCAATGTCAAAATTGTCTGACAAATAATTAAATGCAGTCATCATAAAAATGCTTCAACAAGCAACTACAAAC
Organism: Homo sapiens; assembly: GCF_000001405.40. Classification (NCBI taxonomy): domain Eukaryota; kingdom Metazoa; phylum Chordata; class Mammalia; order Primates; family Hominidae; genus Homo; species Homo sapiens. Next base: position 50,613,972 of record NC_000006.12, read on the forward strand.
ATCCTTTAAACAAATGAAAAAAAAATATAGAAAGTATCAAGAAAGAAATAGAAAAGCCCAGTAAATAAATTGATAATATAAAAAGAATCAAGTTAATATTCTCTAACTGAAAAAAACAAATTAACCAAAATGAAAACAAATCAATGGATGGCCTCAATAATAAGATGAAAGGAGCAGAGAAAAGAATCAGTGAACTGGAATGAAGAGTAATAGAAATTATCCAGTCTCAAAAACAAAGAGAAAATAGACCTAAACAGATAAACAAAGCCTCAGGGATTAGTGAGACTATAACACAAGACCTAACATTTATGTCCTCTGAGTCCTGTAAAGACATAGAGAAAAAGCAGAACTAAAAAGTATTCAAGGAAATGATGACCAATAACTTCTAAATATGATCAAAAAAATACACCTATGAATTCAAGTAATTTGGTAAATCTCAAACAGGATAAATCCAAGGATAGTCACACTAAGGCACATCATAGTCAAACTCTGGCAAGCTAAATACAAATATAAAAAACCATAAAGCAGTCAGGAACAAATACCACCTTAAATATGCAGAGAAAATAATTTGAATGGAAGCAGATTTCTCATGAGAAACCATGGAGACTAGAAGTAAGTGGAACTTACCCAAAAAAAAAAAAAAAAAAAAAAAAAAGGCTGTGAGCATAGAATTTTATATTGAGTGAAAATATTCATTAGAAATTAAGAGGAAATCAAAATGAAGTAAGGAAATGAAGGAAAACTAAGAGAATTTATCTTCAAACTGATCTACCCCAAATGAATGGCAAAGCAAAGTCTTCAAACCAAAAAGAAAATGATAAAATGAGAAATCTTGGAGAATCAGGAATGAAGAAAAATCACAGTAAGAAAAACTTGGGGCAAACAAAATAGATTTTCTTTCTTCTATTGAATTTTCTAAATTATGCTTGAAAATTGAAGTTAAAGTATAACACTGAAATAATTCTAAGTGTGTATAGAGAAAATACATAAGACAATTATAAGTGAAAGATAGGAAAGAAATGTAAAGGAAAATAAGATTTCTACACTTCACTCAAACTGGTAAAATGATGACACCAGCAGTCTGTGAAAAGTCGTCTCTATGTAATGTAACATCTAGAGTAATCACTAATAAAATTATGCAAAGAGATACTCAAAAAGAGGACAGAGCAATCAAAATGGAATTCTTAAAACTGAGTAGCTCATAGGAAGGCATGTAAAAGAAAACATAAAAATATAAAAGATAGAGGCCAGGTGTGGTGGCTCACGCCTATAATCCCAGCACTTTGGGAGGCTGAGGTGGGCAGATCACGAGGTCAAGAGATCGAGACCATCCTGGCTAACACAGTGAAACCCTGTCTCTACCAAATATACAAAAAATTAGCTGGGTGTGGTGACAGGCACCTGTAGTCCCAGCTACTGGGGAGGATGAGGCAGGAGAATGGCATGAACCCATGAGGCAGAGCTTGCAGTAAGCTGAGATGGTGCCACTGCATTCCAGCCTGGATGACAGGAGAGACTCCGTCTCAAAAAACTTAAAAAAAATTTTTTTAAATATATATATAAAAGATAGAAAGAATTAAAAAGAGACAAGAAAGAAAATAGCAGACTTACACCCTAATGTATCAGTAACTACATTAAATGTAAATGGTCTAAATGTTCCAATTTAAACACAGAATTTGGCAAAGTAGATTACCAAACAAGGCCCAAATACATGCTATTTACAAGAAACTCATTTCAACTATAATGATATAAACCAGCTGAAAGTAAAGAATGGAAAAAAGATATATTACAGAAACATTAGAGAAAAGAAAGCAGAAGTAGCTATATTAATATCAGATTGTTAAAAAAGAATTCAAAGAAAATTATCAGAGACAGAGAGGGACATTACATAATAATAAGGTCATTTCATCAAAAAGCATAGTAATTCTAGATATATACACATTAAACAATAAAGCAGCAAAATATATAAGACTGATGAAGCTAAAAAGAGAAATTTAAAAACCCACAACTAAGAGATTCCAGTACCCATCTCTCAAAAATTGATAAAACAATTAAATGAAAAACATCAAGAATATATTAATAGAATAATTTAATAACACAATACACTAATGGGACCTGACATTTACAAATTGTTCCAATCACCAACAGCAGAATGCACATCCTTTTCAGGTAGCCATGGGACATACACCAAAATAGACTATATCTGGCCATCAAACAAAACTTAACAAACTTAAAATAATTAAGATCATAGTGTGTTCTCTGACAACAATGAATTAAGCCAGAAGTTTATTCATGATAAAAAGATCTCTAAATAACAGGAAATTTTCCAAACATGTGATAACCTAAAAACACATTTCTGAATAATCTAAGCGTCAAAGAGGAACACTCAAGGAAAATTTTAAAATTACATTGAATTAAATGAAAATATAAATACCTTTAAATTTCTGAGATACAGCTACAACAGTGCTGATAGGGAAATTTATAGCACAAAATGCATGTATGAGAAAAGAGAAAAAGTCTCAAATAAATCATCTAAGCTAATATCTCAAGAAGCTAGAAAAAAGAACAGAAAAATAAACCAAAAGCAAGTAGAAAGATGGAAAAAAAGCAGAGCAGAAATCCAAGAAATTTTAAAACTAAAAAAAGGAAATCAAAATAATTTAAAAGTCAAAAATAATATTTGAAATCAATAGAACAGATGATTCATTGAAAAAAAATGAACAAAATTGACAAACCTCCAGCAAGACTGACAAATTAAAAATAGAACACACAAATTTCTAAGATCAAGAACGAAACGGTATATTACTATAGACCCTGCAGACAACAAAATGAATAAAAAAGAAATATCATAAATAATTCTATATACATAGGTTTTGCATTAAGTGAGAAACACCTCAAAAAACACAAACTACTGGCCAGGCGCGGTGGCTCAAGCCTGTAATCCCAGCACTATGGGAAGTCAAGGTGGGCAGATCATGAAGTCAGGAGATCGAGACCATCCTGGCTAATATGGTGAAACTCCGTCTCTACTAAAAATACAAACAAAAATTAGCCAGGCATTGGTGGCGGGTGCCTGTAGTCCCAGCTACTCAGGAGGCTGAGGCAGGAGAATGGCGTGAACCTGGGAGGCAGAACTTGCAGTGAGCTGAGATTGCGCCCCTGCACCCCAGCCTGGACAACAGAGCGAGACTCCACCACAAAAAAAAAAAAAAAAAAAAAAAAGACTACAATTCACTCAATAGAAAATAGGTGACAAAAATAGCCCTAAGGAAATTTCCTTTAAGGAAATTGAAGTCATAATTTTTAAATCACAAAAAAGGAAATCTCCAGACACAGAGAGTTTCACTAGAGAAATCTACCAAGTGTTTAAAGAATTAACACCAGTTCTACCCAATTTATTTTCAAAAATCAAAGAGGAAGGAACACTTTTTTTTTTATGAAACTGGTGTTACCCTGAAGTCAAAACCAGAAAAAAAATGGTTAAAAAATTTAAAAACTATAGATCAAGATTTCTCATGAATGTAGACATAAAACTCCTTAACAAAGTGTTAGCAAATAAAATCCAACAGTATATAAAAAGAATTATATACCACGACCAATTGGAACTTATTCCAGAAATAGGAAGCTATATTAATATTCAAAAGTTAATCAATATAATTTACTGTGATAGAAATTAATAGGCTAAAGAAGAAAAATCACAGGAAAATGTAATTGTGGCAGAAAAAAAATTTGACAAAATAAACACCCATACAGAAAAAAAGGAATAGAGAGGGATTTTCACAACTTGATAAATAATATATGTAGACATGTAAACACCTTACACTATATATTTGATTTAAAAAAAATGTTTTCCCCCTAAGATTGAAAATATGGAGCAAAGATGTCAGTTCTCATGACTCCTATTCATGTAGTTTTGGAAGTTCTAGCTAATGCAATAAGGTAAGAAAAAGCAATAAAAGATATACAGATTGGAAAGAAAGAAAGAATACAACTAGCTCTATATGCAGATGACATGATTGCCTATATAGAACATCTGAAGAAATGTATTAAAATATTCCTAGAACCATTAAATGAATACAGTAAGGTCACATGATATAAGATAAATACACAAAAACAATTATGTTTTTACAAACTACCAATAAACACATGGGCACAAAGATTTAAAAATACAATACCATTTACAACTGTGTAGCTATTAATCTCAGAAAGCATGTAGAGGATTAAATGATATACATATACTAAAAAATGCTATATGTCAATGAAAGAAATCAAAGAAGGACTAAATAAATAGAGAGACATATTGTATTCATTGATTGATAGACTCAATATTGGGAAGTGTAAATTATCCCCAAAGAAATGACATATCGGTTTCATGAAGCTCCTATGAAAATCTCAGCAAGTAATTTTTTAGATCTAGGCAAAATTATTTAAAATGTACATGAAAAAAAACACAGGAAATAACATAGCTAAAAGACTTTTGAAAAAGAATAAACAAGTGGGAGAAATCAATCTACCCAATTTCAAGACTTACTTTCCAGCTATAACAATCAAGACTATACAGTTTTGGCAGAGGAACAGACACCCATAGATTGATAAAACAGAACAGAGATCCCAGAAAAAGACTCACACACATGCACTCAACTGACTTTGACAGGGGAGATACAGCAATTTAGTGGAGGAAAGATAGCCTTTTCAACAAATAATAAAGGAACAAAAGAATCAGTAAATATCTACCTAAACACTAGATCTGATACAAAAACTAACTCAAAATGAATCACAGACTTAAATGTAAAATGTAAATCACAAAACATGTAGATAGAGACCAAGGAGAAAATATTCAGGATCTAGGACTGAGCAAAGAATTTCCAGATTTGACACAAAACACAATCCATTAAATAAACAATTGGTAAATTAGAGTTCATCAAAATTAAAATGTTTTTCCATGAGATACACCTTGTTAAGAGAATAAAGAGTTACAAGTAGAAAATGTTAGCAATTTATATACCTGCCAAAGACTTACATCAAGAATCAATAAAGAGCTCTCAAGACACAACCTTAAGAGAAAAACAATCTAATTAAAACAAACAAAAGATTTAAGCAGAACATGTCTCTAGAAGAATGAATCTAGACCCTCATCTCTCACCTTATACAAAAATCAACTCAAGATGGATCAAATACTTAAATGTAAGACCTGAAACCATAAACATTCTAGAAGATAACATTGGAAAAACTCTTTTAGACATTGGCTTAGGCAAAGAGTTCTTGACCAAGAATCCAAAAGCAAATGCAACAAAAACAAAGATAAATATGTGGTATCTAATTAAACTAAAAAGCTTCTGCACAGCAAAAGAAATAATCAGTAGTGTAAACAGATGACCTACATAGTGGAAGAAAATATTTGCAAACTGTGTATCTAACACAGGACTAATATCCAGAATCTACAATGAACTCAAACAAATCAGCAAGAAAAAAACAAATAATCATGTCAAAAAGTGGGCAAAGAATATGAATAGACAGTTCTCAGAAAAAGATATGCAAGAGAAATAATAAGCAGTGAAATAATCAGCAAGAGAAATAATCAGCAGTGTAAACAGCCAACCTACAGAGTGGGAGAAAATATTCACAAACTAGTCATCGGACAAAGAATTATTATCCAGAGTCTACAAACAACTCAAACAAATCAGCCAGAAAAAAAATAAATAATAAATAATCCCATCAAAAAGTAGGCAAAGGACATGAATAGACAATTCTCAAAAGAAGATATACTAATGGCCAACAAACATATGAAAAAATGCTCAACATCACTAATTATCAAGGAAATGCAAATCAAAACCACAACAAGATATCACCTTATTACTGCAAGAATGGCCATTATTAAAAAATCAAAAAGTAGGGAGCCAAGATGGCCAAATAGGAACAGCTCCAGCCTACAGCTCCCAGCATGAGCGACGCAGAAGATGGGTGATTTCTGCATTTCCATCTGAGGTACCAGGTTCATCTAACTAGGGAGTGCCAGACAGTGGGTGCAAGACAGTGGGTAGAGTGCACCGTGCGCGAGCCGAAGCAGGGCGAGGCATTGCCTCACTCGGGAAGTGCAAGGGGTCAGGGAGTTCCCTTTCCTAGTCAAAGAAAGGGGTGACAGACAGCTCCTGGAAAATCGCGTCACTTCCACCCTAATACTGCGCTTTTCCAATGGGCTTAAAAAACGGCACCCCAGGAGATTATATCCCGCACATGTCTTGGAGGGTCCTACTCCCACAGTCTCACTGATTGCTAGCACAGCAGTCTGAGATCAAACTGCAAGGCAGCAGCAAGGCTAGGGGAGGGGCGCCTGCCATTGCCCAGGCTTGATTAGGTAAACAAAGCAGCTGGGAAGCTCGAACAGGGTGGAGACCACCACAGCTCAAGGAGGCCTGCCTGCCTCTGTAGGCTCCACCTCTGGGGGCAGGGCACAGACAAACAAAAAGACAGCAGTAACCTCTGCAGACTTAAATGTCCCTGTCTGACAGCTTTGAAGAGAGTAGTGGTTCTCCCAGTACAAAGCTGGAGATCTGAGAACGGGCAGACTGCTTCCTTAAGTGGGTCCTTGACCCCGGAGCAGCCTAACTGGGAGGCACCCCCAGTAAGGGCAGACTGACACCTCACACGGCTGGGTACTCCTCTGAGACAAAACTTCCAGAGGAATGATCAGGCAGCAGCATTTTGAGTTCACCAAGATCTGCTGTTCTGCAGCCACTGCTGCTGATACCCAGGCAAACAGGGTCTGGAGTGGACCTCTAGCAAACTCCAACAGACCTGCAGCTGAGGGTCCTGAGTGTCAGAAGGAAAACTAACAATAAGAAAGGACATCCACATCAAAATCCCTTCTGTATGTCACCATCATCAAAGACCAAAAGTAGATAAAACCACAAAGATGGGGAAAAAACAGAGCAGAAAAACTGGAAACTCTAAAAAGCAGAGTGCCTCTCCTCCTCCAAAGGAACGCAGCTCCTCACCAGCAATGGAACAAAGCTGGACAGAGAATGACTTTGACAAGCTGAGAGAAGAAGGCTTCAGACAATCAAACTACTCCGAGCTACAGGAGGAAATTCAAACCAATGGCAAAGAAGTTAAAAACTGTGAAAAAAAAAATTAGACAAATGGATAACTAGAATAACCAATGCAGAGAAGTCCTTAAAGGGGCTGATGGAGCTGAAAGCCAAGGCTTGAGAACTACATGAATAATGCAGAAGCCTCAGCAGCCAATTTGATCAACTGGAAGAAAGGATATCAGTGATGGAAGATGAAATGAATGAAATGAAGCGAGAAGGGAAGTTTAGATAAAAAAGAATAAAAAGAAATGAACAAAGCCTCCAAGAAATATGGGACTATGTGAAAAGACCAAATCTACATCTGATTGGTGTACCTGAAAGTGACAGGGAGATTGGAACCAAGTTGGAAAACACTCTGCAGGATATTATCCAGAAGAACTTCCCAAATCTAGCAAGGCAGGCCGACATTCAGATTCAGGAAATACAGAGAACGCCACAAAGATACTCCTCGAGAAGAGCAACTCCAAGACACATAATTGTCAATTTCACCAAAGTTGAAATGAAGGAAAAAATGTTAAGGGCAGCCAGAGAGAAAGGTCCAGTTACCCACAAAGGGAAGCTGTTAGTCTTAACAGCAGATCTCTCAGCAGAAACTCTACAAGCTAGAAGAGAGTAGGGGCCAGCATTCAACATTCTTAAAGAAAAGAATTTTCAACCCAGAATTTCATATCCAGCCAAACTAAGCTTCATAAGTGAAGGAGAAATAAAATCCTTTACAGACAAGCAAATGCTGAGAGATTTTGTCACCACCAGGCATGCCCTAAAAGAGCTCCTGAAGGAAGCACTAAACATGGAAAGGAACAACTGGTACCAGCCACTGCAAAAACATGACAAAATGTAAAGACCATCAAGACTAGGAAGAAATTGCATCAACTAATGAGCAAAATAACCAGCTAACATCATAATGACAGGACGAAATACACACATAACAATATTAACTTTAAATGTAAATGGGCTAAATGCTCCAATTAAAAGACACAGACTGGCAAACTGGATAAAGAGTCAAGACCCATCAGTGTGCTGTATTCAGGAAACCCATCTCACATGCAGAGACACATATAGACTCAAAATAAAGGGATGGAGGAAGATCTACCATGAAAATGGAAAACAAAAAAAGGCAGGTTTGCAATCCTAGTCTCTGATAAAACAGACTTTAAACCAACAAAGATCAAAAGAGACAAACGAGGCCATTACATAATGGTAAAGGGATCAATTCAACAAAAAGAGCTAACTATCCTATATATATATGCACCCAATACAGGAGCACCCAGATACATAAAGCAAGTCCTTAGTTACCTACAAAGAGACTTGGACTCCCACACAATAATAATGGGAGACTTTAAGAGCCCACTGTCAACATTAGACAGATCAACGAGACAGAAAGTTAACAAGGATACCCAGGAATTGAACTCAGCTCTGCACCAAGTGGACTTAATGGACATCTACAGAACTCTCCACCCCAAATCAACAGAATACACATTTTTTTCAGCACCACACCACACCTATTCCAAAACGGACCACATAGTTGGAAGTAAAGCACTCCTCAGCAAATGTAAAAGAAAAGAAATTAAAACAAACTATCTCTCAGACCACAGTGCAATCAAACTAGAACTCACAATTAAGAAATTCAAAACTGCTCAACTACATGGAAACTGAACAACCTGCTCCTGAATGACTACTGGGTACATAACGAAATGAAGGCAGAAATAAAGATGTTTTTTGAAACCAACGAGAACAAAGACACAACATACCAGAATCTCTGGGAAACATTCAAAGCAGTGTGTAGAGGGAAATTTATAGCACTAAATGCCCATAACAGAAAGCAGGAAACATCCAAAATTGACACCCTAGCGTCATAATTAAAAGAACTAGAAAAGCAAGAGCAAACACATCCAAAAGCTAGCAGAAGGCAAGAAATAACTAAAATCAGAGCAGAACTGAAGGAAATAGAGACACAAAAAACCCTTCAAAAAATTAATGAATCCAAGAGCTGGTTTTTTGAAAAGATCAACAAAATTGATAGACCGCTAGCAAGACTATGAAGAAGAAAAGAGAGAAGAATCAAATAGACACAATAAAAAATCATGAAGGGAATATCACCACTGATCCCACAGAAATACAAACTACCATCAGAGAATACTATAAACACCTCTATGCAAATAAACTAGAAAATCTAAAAGAAATGGATAAGTTCCTTGACACATGCACCCTCCCAAGACTAAACCATGAAGAAGTTGAATCTCTGAATAGACCAATAACAGGCTCTGAAATTGTGGCAATAATCAATAGCTTATCAACCAAAAAAAGTCCAGAGCCAGATGGATTCCCAGCCGAATTCTACCAGAGGTACAAGAAAGAGCTGGTACCATTCCTTCTGAAACTATTCCAATCAATAGAAAAAGAGGGAATCCTCCCTAACTCATTTTATGAGGCCAGCATCATCCTGAAACCAAAGCCTGGCAGAGGCACAACAAAAAAACAGAATTTTAGACCAATATCCCTGATGAACATTGATGCAAAAATCCTCAATAAAATACTGGCAAACCAAATCCAGCAGCACATCAAAAATCTTATCCACCATAATCAAGTGGGCTTCATCCCTGGGATGCAAGGCTGGTTCAACATACACAAATCAATAAATGTAATCCAGCATATAAACAGAACCAAAGACAAAAACCACATGATTATCTCAATAGATGCAGAAAAGGCCTTTGACAAAATTCAACAACGCTTCATGCTAAAAACTCTCAATAAATTAGGTAATGATGGGACGTATCTCAAAATAATAAGAGCTATCTATGACAAACCCACAGCCAATATCATACTGAATGGGCAAAAACTGGAAGCATTCCCTTTGAAAACTGGCACAAGACAGGGATGCCCTCTCTCACCACTCCTGTTCAACGTAGTGTTGGAAGTTCTGGCCAGGGCAATCAGGCAGGAGAAGGAAATAAACGGTATTCAATTGGGAAAAGAGGAAGTCAAATTGTCCCTGTTTGCAGATGACATGATTGTATATCTAGAAAACCCCATCGTCTCAGCCCAAAATCTCCTTAAGCTGATAAGCAACTTCAGCAAAGTCTCAGGATACAAAATCAATGTACAAAAATCACAAGCATTCTTATACACAAATAACAGACAAACAGAGAGCCAAACCATGAGTGAACTCCCATTCACGATTGCTACAAAGAGAATAAAATACCTAGGAATCCAACTTACAAGGGATGTGAAGGACCTCTTCAAGGAGAACTACAAACCACTGCTCAAGGAAATAAAAGAGGATACAAAGAAATGGAAGAACATTGCATTCTCATGGGTAGGAAGAATCAATATGGTGAAAATGGCCATACTACCCAAGGTAATTTATAGATTCAATGCCATCCGCATCAAGCTACCAATGACTTTCTTCACAGAATTGGAAAAAACTACTTTAAAGTTCATATGGAACCAAAAAAGAGCCCACATCACCAAGTCAATCCTAAGCCAAAAGAACAAAGTCGGAGGCACCACGCTACCTGACTTTAAGCTATACTACAAGGCTACAGTAACCAAAATGGCATGGTACTGGTACCAAAACAGAGATATAGATCAATGGAACAGAACAGAGCCCTCAGAAATAATGCCGCATATCTACAACCATCTGATCTTTGACAAATCTGACAAAAGCAAGAAATGGGGACAGGATTCCCTATTTAATAAATGGTGCTGGGAAAACTGGCTAGCCACATATAGAAAGCTGAAACTGGATCCCTTCCTTACCCCTTATACAAAAATTAATTCAAGATGGATTAAAGACTTACATGTTACACCTAAAACCATAAAAACCCTAGAAGAAAACCTAGGCAGTACCATTCAGGACACAGGCATGGGCAAGGACTTCATGTCTAAAACACCAAAAGCAATGGCAACAAAAGCCAAAATTGACAAATGGGATCCAATTAAACTAAAGAGCTTCTGCACAGCAAAAGAAACTACCATCAGAGTGAACAGGCAACCTACAGAATGGGAGAAAATTTTTGCAACCTACTCATCTGACAAAGGGCTAATATCCAGAATCTACTATGAACTCAAACAAATATACAAGAAAAAAACAAACAACTCCATCAAAAAGTGGGCGAAGGATATGAACAGACACTTCTCAAAAGAAGAAATTTATGCAGCCAAAAAACACATAAAAAAATGCTCATCATCACTGGCCATCAAAGAAATGCAAATCAAAACCACAATGAGATACCATCTCACACCAGTTAGAATGGCGATCATTAAAAAGTCAGGAAACAACAGGTGCTGGAGAGGATGTGGAGAAATAGGAACACTTTTACACTGTTGGTGGGACTGTAAACTAGTTCAACCATTGTGGAAGTAAGTGTGGCAATTCCTCAGGGATCTAGAACTAGAAATATCATTTGACCCAGCCATCCCATTACTGGGTATATACCCAAAGGATTATAAATCATGCTGCTATAAAGACACATGCACACATATGTTTATTGCGGCACTATTCACAATAGCAAAGACTTGGAACCAACCCAAATGTCCAACAATGATAGACTGGATTAAGAAAATGTGGCACATATACACCATGGAATACTATGAAGCCATAAAAAAGGATGAGTTCATGTCCTTTGTAAGGACATGGATGAAGCTGGAAACCATCATTCTCAGCAAACTATTGCAAGGACAAAAAACCAAACACCGCATGTTCTCACTCATAGGTGGGAATTGAACAATGAGAACACAAGGACACAGGAAGGGGAGCATCACACTCCGGGTACTGTTGTGGGGTGGTGGGAGGGGGGAGGGAAAGCATTAGGAGATATGCCTAATGCTAAATGACGAGTTAATGGGTGCAGCACACCAACATGGCACATGTATACATATGTAAGAAACCTGCACATTGTGCACATGCACGCTAAAACTTAAAGTATAATAATAATAAAATAAAATTAAAAAAAAGAAAAAAAATCAAAAAGTAACAGATTTTGGCAAGGATGTGGTGAAAAAGGAACACTTTTACACTGCTGATGGGAATGTAAACTAGTACAATCACTATGGAAAACAGTATAGAGATTTCTTAAAGAACTAAAAGTAGAACTACCATTTGATCCAGCAATCCCACTACTGGGTATCTACCCAGAGGAAAAGAATTCATTATATTAAAAAGACACTTGCACATGCATCTTTATAGCAGCATAATTTTCAGCTGCAAAAATACGGACCCAGCACAAATGCCCATCAAGCAACAAGTGGAGATTATATATATATATATTTATCTAGTAATACTACTCAGCCATAAAAAAAAAAAGAATGAAATAATGGCATTTGCAGTAACCAGGATGGAGTTGGAGACCATTGTTCTAAGTGAAGTAATTCGGGAATGGAAAACCAAACATTGTATGTTTTCACTTATAAGCGGGAAATAAGCTATGAAGATGTAAAGGCGTAAGAATAATACAATGGGCTTTGGGGAATCAGGGGGAATGGTGGGAGGGGAATGAGGAATAGAAGACCATACATTGGGAACATCATACACTGTTTGGGTGATTAGTGTAGCAAAATCACAGAAATCACCACTAAAGAACTTTTCCATGCAACCAAACACCACCTGTTCCCCAAAACTATTGAAATAAAAAGAAAAAGAAAATGGCAAATAAGCACACAAAAATATTCAACATAATTATTCATTAAAGAAAGGCACATTGAAACATTAGCGAGATTTACCACACATGTAGTAAAAAAGTTTAAATTTAACAAAAAACTTCCCAAGTTTTAGCAAAGATGTGGCGAAACTTTAACTCTTATATATGGCTGGTGGCAATGTAAAATGGCACAATTTGGAAAACTGGCCACTTATTTAAAATGTCAGCATATACTTAGCACATAATTCAGCTATTCTCATTTACCTATCTGCCCAAAAGGAATGAGAGCCTATAGCCATATAAGACTGTTTATAACTGCTGCTAGCTCCTTTACTTGCACTTTTCAAACAAAATCTAAATGCCTATCAATAGGTGAATGGATAAACAAATTGACATACCCACATAATTGAATACCATTTCACAACAAAAAAAAGTGAACCACTGACATATATATATATCAGTATACGTATATCAGATATATATCTCAGATATATGATATCAGATATCATATATATCTGATATACATATATCTGCTATATATATCATATATATGATCTCATATCATATATATGATATCTCATATATATCTCATATATATCAGATATATATAGCAATATGTATAACTCATAATAATCACACTGAGTGAAAGAAGTGGAAGAAAAGTACATATTGTATGATTCAGTTATATAAATTTCTAGAAAATGTTAACTAATCTACAGTGACAGAAATTAGAACAGTGATTATCTGGGGACTAGAGTAGAAGAGTTACAGGACATAGAGTTTACAAAGAGACCATAAAGAAACTTTGGTGAGTAATGTATAGGGACATTATCTTGATTATGGTGATGGCTTCATGGACGTATACATACGTCAAAATTTATCTATTTGTATAATTTATATGTATGTCATTTAAGATATCAATTATTCCTCAATACAATTATTTTTAAAATAATTTTTCTGACTTCTACTTAGGATATAAAAAGAAAGAAATAGTGCCATTCCTATCTTTACACAAAATGTTCCATAATCTGCAAAATCACAACTTTCCTGGATCCCTAAAACCAACTAACCATAAATATAAGGAAAGATAAGAAAGAATAGCCTCATTGGTCTATTGCAATTAGGCCAAGGGTGAGGATTCATTGTATTTGTGAAAACAGAATAGAAAAAAAAGTGTTCTCTACCCTTGGTGACTGGTTGTAAAACATTCTAGATCCAGTCTCTTAGAGTTTTCTAACACTAAGAGGGAGTAGGAAAACTGAAAGGTCTTATACCCAAGACCTAAAGACACATCTTATGCCTGATACTGAGGTTAAACCAGAGCAGAGAGTGTTCCTTCACCCACTAGCATAAGGTTAACAAATTCCAAATAACAGGTGAGAGTAGTTGACTGTTGAAAAATGTTCAAGAGTGTGGAAAGAGATTTGTTTTTACTCACAGATACAAAGAAAATAATATCTAAAGTTAAAGGTGGAACAGACATTGAGAAAAATATTCTGGCAACCACCATAAAGACAAGTTAATGCTAGAGTAATTGAAAGCTTGTGGTGCACTGAGGGCAATCATGCAACTAATAAAAACCAAATCTATGAACTCCTAACTAGATTATTTCAACCTCCTTCACATTAAAGTCATATCAAAAGAAAATGAAAATGCATGTTTATGGGCAGGCATAAGATCTACTTATATCTCCCACGTAAGATGTTGAGCTTTCAACCAAACATTGCAAGACACCAAAAAGACAAAAAAGGGAAACAACATACTTCCAAGAAACCAAGAAATTAATACAACAACTAGATATGAACCAGATCTTGGACTATCAGAGATTTAAAAAATAATTATGATCAATAAAGTCTGCAGTGAAAAAGGTGGATACTGTACAGGAACATATGGAGACTTTCAGCAAAGAAATGGTAATTATAAAACATCATAAAATGGAAATGCTAGAAATGAAAAACCTGAGAGGAGAGATAAAGACTACCTTTGATGGCTCTGTGGTAGACTCAACACAACCAACAGAAGAATCAAAAAGAGGTCAGTGAAATTTGCTCAAACCTAAACACAAAAAGAAAAAAAAAACAGAACAGACAATGCAAAGGCTGTGGGAAAATATTAAACATTCTACCCTAGATGTAATAAGTAGAATTTCAGAACTCAAAGAGAGAATGAGATGGAAAAAATGTTTGAAAAAATAATGGCTGAGAAATTTCCAAAACAACAAACAACAACAGAAAGACGAAGTTCAGAGAACATTAAGCAGCATAAATACACACACACACGCACACACCCACACACCCACACACCCACCCATACATGTCATATTCAAACTGTTTAAAAAAAAAGATAAAGGGATAATTTTGAAGGCACCAAAGGTTAAAAGCACATTTTATTCAAGAGACCAAAGATAAAAAATTATAGCAGGATTTTGTCAAAATTTATGTATGCCAGAAGATAATGACAAAGAAAGAAAGAAAATGCTGAAAGGAAGAAAAAAATGAATTCTACTTTCTCCACACATAAAGCAGAATGATATTATTTGAAGGTTGCATTGGTGCAATTATTGTATTAATTATAATTAATCAAAGAGAGGTATTGTAAACCATATGAAAGCCACAAGAAAACTTGCAAAAACAATGATCTATAAAATAATAACCTGAGAATGGAGATAAAGCAGAATGATAAAAAATACTTAATACAAAATGAAGGCAAAAAAGAAGGAATAAAGAAGCAAAGAAGAAACAAAGGAAGACAGTCAGCAATACCCAATAATCCAATCATATCCATAATGACATTGAATGTAAACAGTCTGAACGCATCAAGTAAAAGAAATTGTTATTTTGGGTGAAATAGCATGGACCCATACACATTATTACAAGAAACGTATTAAACATAAGAAGATTAGGTTAAAAGTAATATCACAGAAAGAGATATACTGTGGAAAAACTAAGGAAAATTAAGCTAAGGTGGATACATTTATCTCAGACAAAAAGGAATTTAGAACAAAGAAAAAATAAAGGAGTCAATTCACCAAGAAAGACATAAAAATCCTACTGTGTCTACTGACACAGCTTCAAACATTACAAAGTAAAAAAACTGACAAAATTGATGAGAGAAATAGATAAACTTGCAATTTGCCTATGAAGTACACAGACATTTTAACATTCCCCTTCCTGTAATCAATAGAAAAAGTAGACAGAAAATCAATGCAGATGAGGCCTTGAATATCCCTAGGAAGTAACTTGGCCTAATTGACATTTATAGAATACTCGACTTAATCATAGTAGAATACACATTCTTGTTTTTTTCTTAATATATATTTTTATTATAATTTAAGTTCTAGGGTACATAAGCACAACGTGCAGGTTTGTTACATATGTATACATGTGCCATGTTGGTGTGCTGCACCCACTAACTCATCATTTACATTAGGTGTATCTCCTAATGCTATCCCTCCCCCATGCCCCAACCCCATGACAGGCCCTGGTGTGTGATTTTCCCCTTCCTGTGTCCAAGTGTTCTCATTGTTCAATTCCCACCTACGAGTGAGAACATGCAGTGTTTGGTTTTCTGTCCTTGCAATAGTTTGCTGAGAATGATGGTTTCCAGCTTCATTCATGTCCCTACAAAAGACAGGAACTCATCATTTTTTATGGCTGCTTAGTATTCCATGGTGTATATGTGCCACATTTTCTTAATCCAGTCTATCTTTGATGGATGTTTGGGTTGGTTCCAAGTCTTTGCTATTGTGAATAGTGTCACAATGAACATACGTGTGCATGTGTCTTTATAGCAGCATGATTTATAATCCTTTGGGTATATACCCAGTAATGGGATGGCTGGGTCAAATGATATTTCTAGTTCTAGATCCCTGAGGAATTGCCACACTGTCTTCTACAATGGTTGAACTAGTTTACAGTCCCACTAACAGTGCAAAAGTGTTCCTATTTCTCCACATCCTCTCCAGCACCTGTTGTTTCCTGACTTTTTAATGATCGCCATTCTAACTGGTGTGAGATGGTATCTCATTGTGGTTTTGATTTGTATTTCTCTGATGGTCAGTGATGATGAGCATTTTTTTATGTGTCTTTTGGCTACATAAATGTCTTCTTTTGAGAAGTGTCTGTTCATATCCTTTGCCCACTTTGTGATGGGGTTGTTTGTTTTTTTCTTGTAAATTTGTTTGAGTTCTTTGTAGATTCTGGATATTAGCCCTTTGTCAGATGAGTAGATTGCAAAAATTTTCTCCCATTCTATAGGTTGCCTGTTCACTCTGATGGTTGTTCACTCTGATGGTAGTTTCTTTTGCTGTGCAGAAGCTCTTTAGTTTAATTAGATCCCATTTATCTATTTTGGCTTTTGTTGCCACTGCTTTTGGTGTTTTAGACATGAAGTCCTTGCCCATGCCTATGTCCTGAATGGTACTGCCTAGGTTTTCTTCTAGGGTTTTTATGGTTTTAGGTGTAACATGTAAGTCTTTAATCCATCTGGAATTAATTTTTGTATAAGATATAAAGAAGGGATCCAATTTCAGCTTTCTACATATGGCTACCCAGTTTTCCCAGCACCATTTATTAAATAGGGAATCCTTTCCCCATTTCTTGTTTTTGTCAGGTTTGTCAAAGGTCAGATGGTTGTAGATGTGTGGTATTATTTCTGAGGGCTCTGTTCTGTTCCATTGGTCTATATCTCTGTTTTGGTACCAGTACCATGCCATTTTGGTTACTGTAGCCTTGTAGTATAGTTTAAAGTCAGGTAGCGTGATGCCTCTGGCTTTGTTCCTTTGGCTTAGGATTGACTTGGTGATGCGGGCTCTTTTTTGGTTCCATATGAACTTTAAAGTAGTTTTTTCCAGTTCTGTGAGGAAAGTCATTGGTAGCTTGATGCGGATGGCATTGAATCTATAAATTACCTTGGGCAGTATGGCCATTTTCATGATATTGATTCTTCGTACCCATGAGAATGCAATGTTCTTCCATTTCTTTGTATCCTCTTTTATTTCCTTGAGCAGTGGTTTGTAGTTCTCCTTGAAGAGGTCCTTCACATCCCTTGTAAGTTGGATTCCTAGGTATTTTATTCTCTTTGTAGCAATTGTGAATGGGAGTTCACTCATGATTTGGTTCTCTGCTTGTCTGTTAATGGTGTATAAGAATGCTTGTGATTTTTGTACATTGATTTTGTATCCTGAGTCTTTGCTGAAGTTGCTTATCAGCTTAAGGAGATTTTGGGTTGAGACGACGGGGTTTTCTAGATATACAATCATGTCATCTGCAAACAGGGAAAATTTGACTTCCTCTTTTCCTAATTGAATACCCTTTATTTCCTTCTCCTGCCTGATTGCCCTGGCCAGAACTTCCAACACTATATTGAATAGGAGTGGTGAGAGAGGGCATCCCTGTCTTGTGCCAGTTTTCGAAGAGAATGCTTCCAGTTTTTGCCCATTCAGTATGATACTGGCTGTGGGTTTGTCATAAATAGCTCTTATTATTTTGAGATACGTCCCATCAATACCAAATTTTATTGAGGGTTTTTAGCATGAGTAGCCATTGAATTTTGTCAAAGGCCTTTTCTGAATCTATTGAGATAATCATGTGGTTTTTGTCTTTGGTTCTGTTTATATGCTGGATTACATTTATTGATTTGTGTATGTTGAACCAGCCTTGCATCCCAGGGATGAAGCACACTTGATTATGGTGGATAAGCTTTTTGATGTTCTGCTGGATTCGGTTTGCCAGTATTTTATTGAGGATTTTTGCATCGAAGCTAGCCTTCTGCTAGCTTTTGAATTTGTTTGCTCTTGCTTCTCCAGTTCTTTTAATTGTGATGTTACCTTGTCAATTTTAGGGATTTCCTGCTTTCTCTTGTGGGCATTTAGTGCTATAAATTTCCCTCTACACACTGCTTTAAATGTGTCCCGGAAATTCTGGTATGCTGTGTCTTTGTTCTCACTGGTTTCAGAGAACATCTTTATTTCTGCCTTCATTTCATTATGTACCCAGTAGTCATTTAGGAGCAGGTTGTTCAGTTTCCATGTAGTTGAGCAGTTTTGAGTTTCTTAACTGTGAGTTCTAGTTTGGTTGCACTGTGGTCTGAGAGACAGTTTGTTGTGATTTCTGTTCTTTTACATTTGCTGAACACTGCTTTACTTCCAACTATGTGGTCAATTTTGGAATAAGTGTGATGTGGTGCTGAGAAGAATGTATATTCTGTTGATTTGGGGTGGAGAGTTCTGTAGATGTCTATTAGGTCTGCTTGGTGCAGAGCTGAGTTCAATTCCTAGACATCCTTGTTAACTTTCTGTCTCATTGATCTGTCTGATGTTGATAGTGGGGTGTTAAAGTCTCCCATTATTATTGTGTGGGAGTCTAAGTCTCTTTGTAGGTCTCTACGGACTTGCTTTATGAATCTGAGTGCTCCTATATGGGGTGCATATATATTTAGGATAATGAGTTCTTCTTGTTGAATTGATCTCTTTACCATTATGTAATGGCCTTCTTTGTCTTTTTTGATCTTTGTTGGTCTAAAGTCAGTTTTTTCAGAGACTAGGATTGCAAACCCTGCCTTTTTTTGTTTTCCATTTTCTTAGTAGATCTTCCTCCATCCCTTTATTTTGAGCCTATATGTGTCTCTGCACATGAGATGGGTTTCCTGAATACAGCACACTGATGGGTCTTGACTCTTTATCCAATTTGCTTTCTACATCTTTAAACCAGCAATGCTTCACAAAGCCATTCTGATGTTTCAAATATCTGTGAATTCATTTTTTGCTGTCAGTCAGTGAAAAACTTTTGCTTTTAAAAGGTGCATTACTTAGGACTGTCCTACTCAGATCAACTGATTAGTAACCTCAAGATCAACTGATTGGTAACCTTAATTACATCTGCAAAATCCCTTTGCCATGGAATGTAACATGATCACGGAAATAATGACCCATCATATTCACAGAAGAGGAAATTTTATATGCCGTTTGTCACTGGGGGCTATTCTGTGTTAGGAATTCTGTGTACCACAAAGTGAATATTGGGAACAATTTTATGCCCATAAATTTGACAACATAGAGGCGTTACATAAATTCCTCAAATGATAAGAAAATTACTGAAGATTAAATAACCTGGATATTGTTATGTCTATTAAAGAAAGATAATTTATAGTTTAAAGCCTTCCAAAAGAGAAACCTCCAGGCTCAGATAGTTTTATTGACATATTCTATTACATGTTGGAGAAAGAAATAATACCAATTTCAAAAAGGCCTTTCAGAATACAAGTGAAGGGGGAAACTGCAACTCATTTTAAGACAAGGTTATTGCCCTATACCAAACTGGAAAAACTGCATAAGAAAGGAAAACTACAGACCAATATTCCTAATGACTACAAATACAAAACTTTTAACTAAATACTAGAAAACTAAATTCAACACAGTAAAAAGAAAATATATCCCCTTTAAGTGGGTTTTGTCCTGAAAACTCAAGATTCATTCAAATTTTTTTAAAAAACGTCTATCAATGTAATTTACCTAATATAAGACTAATGATTAAAAATGCCACGGTCCCCTCAATAAATGCAGACAAAAGCATGTGACAACATCTAACACTCATTTCTGATAATAAATAAATAAATAAATAAATAAATAAAACTCTCAACAAAGTAGGAACAGAAGGGAATTTCATCAACCTGATAAAAGACATTTGCAAAGTTTCTACAGCTAACAACATACTTAATGTTGAAAGACTGAATGTTTTTCCCCTAAGATTAGGTACAAAGCAAGGACATCCACTCTCACCACCTATATTTGTCATCATACGTGATATCTTAGTGAATGCAACAAGGCAATAAAAAGAAATAAAATCCATACAGATTAAAAAAAGAAATGAAACTGTATTCTCAGACAACATCTTTTTCTACATAGATAATCATAATGAATCCACAAATCTATTAGAACTCATAAGTTCAACAAAGTCACAGGATACAACATCAATACAAAAAAACATCAATTACCTAAGTCCTGTATACTTTAGAATTGCCAAGATTAGATTTTAAATGTTTTCACCACAAAAAAAGATTGATAAGTATGTGAGGTAATGCATATGTACATTAGCATTGATTTAACTATCTCACAATGTATACATATATCAAAGCATTGTGTTGTATATCATAAATACATATAATTATTAATTATTTGTCAAAATATATAAATAAATATATAGATAATCCTATTTCTATTCATTAACAATGAAAAATTGGAAGCAGATTTTTTAGTTTTATTCCATTACAATAGCTGTTTCATATTCAAAAATATGAAGAAATGAAATGGTTAAAATAACTATTTCATATTCAAATATATGAAATGGTTAAATGTAAATTGTGCAACACAAGTGCACTATTGTTATGCTAAAACTAAAAGAACACTGATAAAAGGAACCTAAGAAAACCAAAGTAATAAAAAGAACTAGCACATCATGGAATGAACAACTCAATATTTTAAAGAAGTCAATCCTTTCCAAAATGATCTATTGGTGAAATAAAACTTCATTCTAAAATCTCAGTGTAACATTTTTGTCAGAATCAATCAGCTGATTCTAACGTTTATATAGAAAAGTAAAGAGACTGGGAGAGCCAAACACTTGAAAAATAAAAACAAATTTGGACAAAATTTAGTTTATGCAAGATTAATAAGTTCTGAAGACCTAATGTATAAAAAATGTGACTATAGTTAGCAATACTGTATTGTATACTTGAAATTTGCACAAAGAAAGAAGAAAATAAAGATGGAAGGGAGGAAAGAGGGAAGGAGGAAGGAAGGAAGGAAAGAAGGAAGGAAGGAAGGAAAGAAAGGGAGGGAGGGAGGGGAGAAGGGAGGGGAGAAGGGGAAAGGGAGGGAGGGAGGAGGGAAAGAGGGAGGAAGAGAAGGAGGGATTATGTGTGGTGATTATATACTACACTCATTTGTCAGAATTACCTATAAAATAAGTGAACTAATCTATATGTCAATAAAATCTTAATAAGAATGAGAAAGAAATTCATTCTTCTCTAAACATCAACTGAGAGCCAAATCCTTTGCAATATTATAAGGTAATTATGAAGCAAATAATTTATATTTAACATCTCACATTTATCTTTAAAATTTCTCTTTCCTGTGGATTTATAACCCATGATATTTCCTCCACCCCATTTAACATTTCTCCCAGCCCCCACCTCCAAGTGCACTAAGCTTGGGAACTCTCCTTCCTCTTATTTATCACCAGAAATACTCGTTCTTGGTCACTATGGATCCAGTTACTTCCTAGAACCACAATAAGATCACTCAAATAGATGACCCTCGAATCATTCTGAGGCCGAGGAAAACAGTTTTTAAATTTCAGAGGGGTGGTCTCTTTTTGTGAATTACTCTAATTATATTATGCATGCAGTAAACTCCTCATTAGATTAATTCTTATCGACTTTAAGAACCAGTGCAGCAAAGAAGAGATTTTACAGCAAATAATTTCTCACTTGGAGCACTGTTTATCCACCCCAGACTTCTTTTCCATAGTTCTTTTCTTCAAAATTGTATTTGTTAAAGTCCTCTGGACTCAGGTAGATCGGGATTTAAAATTCCAGCCTTTTTAGCATTGACATATGAGTTCAGAACATTCAATATTTGTATTTCTGTGCCTGATTTATTTCACTTAACAGAATGTCCTGCAGTTCCAACCATGCTACAAATGACAGGATTTCATTCTTTTTTATGACTGAATAGTACTCCACTGTGTATATGTACTACATTTTCTTTGTATATTCATCCATTGATGGACACTTAGGCTGATTCCATAACGTGGCTACTGTGAATAATGCTGCTATGGGGTGACTATAGAAGCCAATAATTTATTGTATATTTTCAAATAGCTACAAATGAGGGTTTTGAATGTTCCCAACATAAAAAAATGGTAAATGTTTGAGGAGATAGATGTGCTAATTATCCTGATTTGATCATTACATATTATTTCCAGGTTCCAAAATATTACACTGTACTCCATAAATAAGTGCAATTATTATGCATCAATTTAAAATATTTTTTTAATCTTACCTTTGCTCTTAGCTTTCTCTCCTTAGTTAATTCACTTTTCTTCTCCTTGCCTTGGCTTCCTCATATTTAAAGGAAGGAAGTGAATCTCATCTACTTCAAGAAGACTTTGTGAAGAATATATGAGTAATATAAATAAAACAGCACAGGTCTGACATGTAATAAATAAGTGATAAATAGTAACTACTCTTGCTATTAATACTATTAGCAACACTTACTCCAATTAAGCACTAAACTAGTAGCCACATATATGTGCATATTTATAAACCTTACTAGAAGAAGATGTATAGCTATTCACCATATAAAAACAATTTAAAGAGTTGCTTTCTAATATATGTAAAACAGAAATAATGCTTGCCAAATGTCACTTACATTGAGACACACATCACTGGCAACTAAACTTCAAATGCTATACTTGCAAAGGTTACAACGTAGAAAGAATAACATTTTACCCTATTCAAATATTTGTTAATATTATCCTAATTATCAGAAACACTTTCATGGTGTAAATCTCTTTATACTCATCAAAACTTTGTTTAGCTTTAAAAAATGACAGCTACAGTGGCCTAGGTCATTAATTATCTTAGGAACTCAGCACTCTGCTCTCAGTCCAGCAACCACAGGCCACTACTGAGAGTGACTATGGCAACCACCTTGGTGCCCCCATCCTGACAACTTAACAGGAGACATTGTGACAGAAGGTATCAGGAGGTACCGTTGCCACAGACACTCTCAGAGACAGCTAGTGGTTGCTTGGTAACCTGCTCTACTGGATGGGGTTAGCCCAAGATAAGGTGAGGAACTAACGAGCGCTGACAAGAGTTCACACTTATTTGAGAAAGGGAGAGAGGGTATGATGCAGCCATACATTTCCGAGAAGGAAAAGAGATCAAAACCCATTATATTCTCAGAGATTACATTATAATTTCTGCCACCACCACCTGGGAAAACACACCTGGCATTTCACCACTAAAAGGAGAAACTTACAAAATTAATTTCTGAATAATTTTATATTAGTCAATTAAATATTCTTTACAAATTTTCTGTAAGCATATGTATGATTATGATAACTCAGTGGCTTCTGATATTAATTATTCATTGATTTGACTGTCTGAGGAGTATAACTTATTAAGTTTTATCTATATTAAAAAAAATTGCGATGGCACCAACAAGCAAGGTTGAACAGTCTTAGATTAATGAGGGGTTATAATCATGACGGAATTCATGACAATGTTTTTTCTCTACTTAAATTTATCTGGTTGTACTATATTGCAGTTTTAAATAGCACCACTGAGAGTCAGCCCCGTGAAAACTACTTTTTAGTAAAGAGAAATTAACAAATCTTTCAAGAGTATTAATTCCCATTAGTAACCCAAAACAGATCAAAATCATAATCTCCTATACTATAATTCTTTGTAATTTATAATACAAGCCTGCTTAATCAAAAGAAAAGTTCTTTTTTTCTTTCCTGGAAATATTTTTGCTTTATTGATTTCTTCCCATTACTCATTTTACCATGACTCTATAAAAATTACACTACATCATATTTTTATCATCCCTACGTTATTTCAGGGCTAACAGGCTCCCTGTTTTGGCTCACAACTGTTTGGAAGATAGAGGACTTGGAAAAGGAGATGAATATGTGGATTATTTCTATGTATTTCAATTTAGAGTTGGACTGCTTCAAAAAGATAGTCCTGGCAGCAAGGTTAATATAACACTTTAAAGGGAAAAGGAAGAAAAAAAGGATAAGTGAAGACACTAAGGCCAATGCTGCCTAAACTGGAAAAAAATAAAAAATTGCTGTTATAAATTATTTTACTAGATTCTGTTCACATGGAGCTTAAAAAGGGAATAGGAGTAGTAGACGTTTTGAAACCAAAATAATTTAAATTAGAAATGGAATACATTTTTATAGCTATTTGTGCATTATGCTATGGAATGCTTATTGAGCCACTAATATGTGCCATACCCTTAATATAGACTTGCAAAATTTTTAAATGGAGGCAAAAGGTTATGTTAACATCTTGTAATAGTTGATTTGCTTTAGATACAATAAACATATAGAAAAAAATAGCATTTCATCTTTTTTGATTTTATAAATTATAAATGCTGATCTAATACTTATTTTTCCTCCAACTTACTCTTCACTTTTCCCCTGTTCAGCTCTGCTTCTCAGGGAGCCTGACTGAGGTACAGACAGGATTTTCAGGCTCTAGTGTCAGCTGGCTGCCAATGGAATGGTGGCAAAATAGATGGCAAGAGTAAAGAAGAAGCCATATTAATAAATGTGAAGTGATGGCCATTTATATTTAAGCATGGGTAATACAATAACTAAATGGAAGCTCTGTCCACATGGATATGCCTAGTAGACCTTGGGCTTAATTCTCAAATGAACCCTGACTATCTACCTGAGCATACTGAATTATATAATTTTCTTCTGTTCTGCCTGAATACTTCCTGCTTAACTGTAACATTATATATGTTTAATTCCTCTGTCTTAGGTAAACTCAAGACCTTAGCCCATACTCATTGTCAACCCATAACCCAAACCAACTCAATCACCTCCAAGTCTGGACATATACAGGAAGATTTATATCCCTATAATTTGGAAAATGGAGGTAACATAGATCACCAGTAAATCTAGAAGCAGCAATTAAAACACCTTAGGTTACATGCTTGTATAACTTTGATAAATTTGAATACTATTTTAAAACTGACAAAAATAAACACCTACCCATGTCCCTACCTTGTTATCCAATTGAAGTCTATAAGGGGAATTTTAATTCTAGCAGGCAAACTATTACTGATGAGCTATTTTCTCTCACAGAAACACACACACTCACATGTCTTCAATTAGGGTTCAATTTTGGAATGACAACTCAGAGCAAAAAATAGTAAGTGAGAGGGTTTCTATCATAAATGTATAAATGTATATGGGCACTTCATCACATCCTGCAGAGGGCAGAGGATATGATGTGGAAAAAATCCTCAAAATTGAGGGGCAGGAAAAGAAAAGTATTTAAAGATAATAATTTGAGAGTAAGAGCAGGTAATGACTTAACACCGTAATTCCTTGTTACATATAAATTAAAATAGATTCTTAAAATACCTTATTTTTACACTACAGGCTTGTCTTTCTTAAGAATTAATAAGAATGCATCATGTTTAGTAGAACATCTATGTAAAGAATGAAGAAAGGTTTCAAACTAGTGTGCTTATTAAACACAGGAAATAACTCAGCTTTGGTTATTCGTTAAAGGAAAAATGAAATATGAGGTCTAAAATTCATTTTAGTGCCATTTTTGCTAAAATATTCTCTTTATTCTAATGATCATATATATTACTCTGATAATAAAAACTTCAAATTATGATATTTACTCAGAATGTGGCATACAGCAATAATAATGATATGGAACAATGGTTATAAAACATGGCCCCTTTCATGAAAACATAGAATAGCAGATGAACACAGAAAAAAAAAATCAAGCTCAGAGAGAAATTTATTCAGCAGCCAGCAAACATGAGTTTGTAGTAATCTAGCCTAGAGGAAATAGAGGTAAACATGAGTTTTGGTGTATCTGATCTAATGACAGAGATGACCAAAGCTGAACCTTAACAGAAATAAATTATTTGCTTCTTCTCCCCTGTCAAACCCCAAGTCTATATGTTTAGTAGCCATCAGCTTACCACCAGGCTTCAGAACATAAAAAAGGATTTGGTGAAACATCAAAGAACAACATAGATCCTTAAAATACCTTAATAACTAGTCCAACTAAAGTAGGTGGTGGTTTGTGAAAATATACCCCCTAACAGCCAGTCCATGAAGCACTTAAACTCCAAGTCAGAGAACTGAAAACAGTTGCACAACTCTTTAATGAGACTCAAATGTGTGAGTGAATAGAGACCATTTCTACTTGTTTAGATTTATTATTTTATATTCTGGAAGCTTTAATAATTCTATGGAAGAAATGGCTAGCGATTTACCAAAAATTTCTGCATCCCTTTCCATAGTGTGAGTAGTTTTGAGAATCGGTTGTCCAGCCAGGCAGAATTTTTCTCAGATTTCTTGTATATGAAGGAGCCATGCAGCAAGTTCTTGACAATGTAATATTGTCAGAAATGGTGCTTATTCCTTCCACATGGTTAAGGGTAAATATGGTTTCTTTTCCTTCACTCTTCCCATTTGTCCAATGAATGAAGACGACTCTAAGGCCCCAAGAAATAGCATGGTCACAAGATAGTAAGATACTGGGTCCCTCAATCATCACATGGAGGAAACCCACCCACCAGGAACATCTGCACTGGATTGTTATGTGTGCAAGAAAGTAAGCTTTTACTGAAAAAAATATCTGAAAGCTTTGAGTGAGTTTATGACAGAGACTAGTGGTGCCCTAACTAGTATGGATTTCTATAGGAATCATTTAGTGAGTGCCTGTTATACGCAAATACAGTGGGGCAGGCTTATTGAAATATTGCCGTTCTTCAAGTCCTAGTTCATAAGCTGCAAGTTGTGAGAAACATATTTTAAAATATAGAATTTATATATTTATCAAGTACTCATGTTCCAGACATCACACTAAAAGCTTTAAAAGCTTTAGATACCTTATCTCATTCAATCCTCTCTGATGCAGTTCTTTGGATTATTGGCCCAGCTTATAAGATGTCCCCACCAGCCACACCCACCCACCTACAGCAGTGGACACAACAGTCATTTTCTTCTACGTGATCTCATACTCTTGGCCAGAGATGATCAAAAACCTACAGAAGGCTAAACCAAGCAAGAAAGCATCAGAGATTGCCTAGCAAAAAGTGTCATAAGCTTTCTTACTCTGCTCCAGCTACATGCCCTCCATGTAACATTATCTGACTCCATTTAAAATGTATCTTGTAATTGTATTGTACGTGTGGGAGGGGGTGTTTTTTGTTGTTGTTCTACAAAATAAGTATTTTGCCTAGGGCCCAGCACACTGAAGATTAAGTCTTTTTCCAGTAGGTATCACAATATGTCTTTAATAGAATATGTAGATATATAGTTCCAGACAACCTATATAATTTTAGCATATTATCAATGGGCTTGAGGTTAGAGGTTATATTTGTTTGTTGATTTGTGTGTTTTTATAGCGTCTAATGTTCTGGCAAGGCTAGCATATTAATAGTTGACTTATGAGTTATAATTTCAAGAGCACTAACTGTCTCCCATCAAATTAAAAAATACCTCTCATTTTGGCTTTCCATATACCTGATACCTCACCAGTAGAGCCTTCTAATGTCATCTTGGTTAAAGCAATTATGTTTTTTGAAAAGCTGTGAGATATCATCAACCTATTGTTGTCCTAAGCCATGAAACAGGGAAGTCTTGAAGAAAAAGACCCCAAGATGTATTATTTTACAAAAGGAATGAGGTCAGAAGCATTGAGGAATTCTTCCCTTAATGGGCACATATCATTAAAGCTCTGAGCCCAGAATTGCATAAAAGCATCAGGATCCTGAAAGTGTAGAATTATAGATCTCTAGCATTTTCCAGGAATAACTATTATAAGCTACGCTGCTATTGGATATTCATCCTAGGCTCCCCAAACTCTGATGAAACCTGCACTCCTGAGTTTATAAGGACAGAGAAGTTTTATTTTGATTCATGTTGTACTTCAGTATAGAATTACTTTATTTTTACTGTATTATACCAACAGTAACTCCAGGGAGGCAAAGAAATCACAGGTGATTCAGTGAGAAGCTGTATTTCTAACCCACATGTATATACAATGCTCTCTGTGACTCTGAAGAGATAGTCATCTAAAAGGCTCACAGAGAACTCTCCCGCAAAAACGAGGGAGTTGTGCTCCTCAAATACTACGTAAATCTACTTTCCCAAAATAAGAGGATATATCAATATCTATCATGTTATTCAAGGGACCTAACAGACCTTGTAACATAAATGAACAATAGTAAAGTATATTACTGACACAGATAAAAATTGAGGTGGCATGGATGGAACTGGAGATCATTATTCTTAGTAAAATGACTCAGAAACAGAAAGTAAAAAACCACATGTTATCACTTATAAGTGGGTGCTTAACAATGGGTACACAGGGACATGTAGAGAGGAATAATAGACATTGGAGACTCCAAAAGTTGGGATGGTGGAGCAGGGAGAGATGAAATATTATCTAGGGGATACAATGTACACTATGTGTATGATGGGTACACTAAAAGCCCAGACTTCACCACTATGCAATACATGCATGTAACACAACTGTATTTGCACCCCTAAATCCATATAAATAAAACTTTTAAAAAATTGACTGCCAGCCAGGCATGGTGGCTCACATCTGTAATCCCAGCAATTTGGGAGGCCAAGGCGGGTGGATCACGAGGTCAGGAGATCGAGACCATCCTGGCTAACATGGTGAAACCCCGTCTCTACCAAAAAATAGAAAAAATTAGCCGGGCGTGGTGGCGGGTGCCTGTAGTCCCAGCTACTCGGGTGGCTGAGGCAGGAGAATGAAGTGAACCCAGGAGGCGGAGCTTGCAGTGAGGTGAGATCGTGCCACTGCCCTCCAGCCTGGGCGACAGAGCAAGACCCCGTCTCAAAAAAAAAAAAAAAATTTGAAAGCCATAATAGTACACAAGTACACAGAGTATACTGCCATCATAGTACACAAGACAGGGTAATAGACTAGAAGAATCCCACCCTGGGTGTAGGGACCCAAGGGCCAAACAAGTTGGACAATGCCCCCACAAAGACAGACTTAGAATATATGTAGTTATTTCTAGCCTAGTATGCTTTCTGCTATATAACAACATATGTTTGTGATGATGCTTCATGTGGGGAAGATGAAGAAATCCCACCAAATATTGGCTTTTAAAAAAAAGTATTATTATACTTGAAGTTCTAGAGTACATGTGCACAACGTGCAAGATTGTTAAATAGGTATACATATGCCATGTTGGTTCGTTGCACCCATGAACTCGTCATTTACATTGGGTATTTCTCCTAACTCTATCCCTTGCCCAGTCCCCCACCCCATGACAGGCCCTTATATGTGATGTTCCCTGCCTTGTGTCCAAGTGTTCTCATTGTGCAATTCCCACCTGTGAGTGAAAACATGCGGTGTTTGGTTTTCTGTCCTTGTGATAGTTTGCTCAGAATGATGGTTTCCAGCTTCATCCATGTCCCTGCAAAGGACAGGAACTCATCCTTTTTTATGGCTGCATAGTATTCCATGGTGTATATATGCCACATTTTCTTTTTTTTTTTTTTCTTTTTTTTTTTTTTTATTATACTCTAAGTTTTAGGGTACATGTGCACATTGTGCAGGTTAGTTACATATGTATACATGTGCCATGCTGGTGCGCTGCACCCACTAATGTGTCATCTAGCATTAGGTATATCTCCCAATGCTATCCCTCCCCCCTCCCCCGACTGCACCACAGTCCCCAGAGTGTGATATTCCCCTTCCTGTGTCCATGTGATCTCATTGTTCAATTCCCACCTATGAGTGAGAATATGCGGTGTTTGGTTTTTTGTCCTTGCAATAGTTTGCTGAGAATGATGGTTTCCAGCTTCATCCATGTCCCTACAAAGGACATGAACTCATCCTTTTTTATGGCTTCATAGTATTCCATGGTGTATATGTGCCACATTTTCTTAATCCAGTCTATCATTGATGGACATTTGGATTGTTCCAAGTCTTTGCTATTGTGAATAGTGCTGCAATAAACATATGTGTGCATGTGTCTTTATAGTAGCATGATTTATAATCCTTTGGATATATACCTAGTAATGGGATGGCTGGGCCAAATGATATTTCTAATTCTAGATCCTTGAGGAATCGTCACACTGTCTTCCACAATGGTTGAACTAATTTACACTCCCATCAACAGTGTAAAAGCATTCCTATTTCTCCACATCCTCTCCCACATCTGTTGTTTCCTGACTTTTTAATGATCACCATTCTAACAGGTGTAAAATGGTATCTCATTGTGGTTTTGATTTGCATTTCTCTGATGACCAGTGATGATAAACATTTTTACATGTGTCTGTTGGCTACATAAATGTCTTCTTTTGAGAAGTGCCTGTTTGTATCCTTTGCCAACTTTTTGATGGTGTTGTTTGCTTTTTTCTTGAAAATTTGTTTGAGTTCTTTGTAGATTCTGGATATTAGCCCTTTGTCAGATGGGTAGATTGCAAAAATTTTCTCCTATTCTGTAGGTTGCCTGTTCACTCTGATGGTAGTTTCTTTTGCTGTGCAGAAGTTCTTTAGTTTAATTAGATCCCATTTATCTATTTTGACTTTTGCTGCCATTGCTTTTGGTGTTTTAGTGTTTGGTGAAGCCCTGGCCCACGCCCATGTCCTGAATGGTATTGCCTAGGTTTTCTTCTAGGGTTTTTATGGTTTCAGGTCTAACATTTAAGTCTTTAATCCATCTTGAATTAATTTTTGTATAAGGTGTAAGGAAGGGATCCAGTTTCAGCTTTATACATATGATTAGCCAGTTTTCCCAAAACATTTATTAAATAGGGAATCCTGTCCCCATTTCTTGTTTTTGTCAGCTTTGTCAAAGGTCAGATGGTTGTAGATGTATGGTGTTACTTCTGAGACTTCTGTTCTGTTCCATTGGTCTATATATCTGTTTTGGTACCAGTATTATGCTATTTTGGTTACTGTAGCCTTGTAGTATAGTTTGAAGTCAGGTAGCGTGTGGCCTCCAGCTTTGTCCTTTTTGCTTAGGATTGTCTTGGCAATGTGGGCTCTTTTTTGGTTCCATATGAACTTTAAAGTAGTTTTTTCCAATTAGGTAAAGAAAGTCATTGGTAGTTTGATGGGGATGGCATTGAATCTATAAATTACCTTGGGCAGTATGGCCATTTTCACAATATTGATTCTTCCTATCCATGAGCATAGAATGTTCTTCCATTTGTTTTTATCCTCTTTTATTTCGTTGAGCAATGTTTGTAATTCTCCTTGAAGAGGTCCTTCACATCCCTTGTAAGTTGGATTCCTAGGTATTTTCTTCTCTTTGTAGCAATTGTGAATGGGAGTTCACTCATGATTTGGCTCTCTGTTTGTCTGTTATTGGTGTATAAGAATGCTTGTGATTTTTGCACATTGATTTTGTATCCTGAGACTTTGCTGAAGTTGCTTATCAGCTTAAGGAGATTTTGGGCTGAGACGATGGGGTTTTCTAAATATACAATCATGTCATCTGCAAACAGGGACAATTTGACTTCTACTTTTCCTAAATGAATACCCTTTATTTCTTTCTTTTGCCTGATTGCCCTGGCCAGAGCTTCCAACATTGTGTTGAATAGGAGTGGTAAGAGAGGGCATCCCTGTCTTGTGCCAGTTTTCGAAGAGAATGCTTCCAGTTTTTGCCCATTCAGTATGATACTGGCTGTGGGTTTGTCATAAATAGCTCTTATTATTTTGAGATACATCCCATCAATACCTAGTTTATTGAGAGTTTTTAGCATGAAGGGCTGCTGAATTTTGTCGAAGGCCTTTTCTGAGTTATTGAGATATTCATGTGGTTTTTGTCATTGGTTCTGTTTATGTGATGGATTATGTTTATTGATTTGCATATGTTGAACCAGCCTTGCTTCCTAGAGATGAAGCTGACGTGATTGTGGAGGATAAGCTTTTTGATGTTCTGCTGGATTCGGTTTGTCAGTATTTTATTGAGGATTTTCGCATCAAAGTTCATCAGGAATATTAGTCTAAAATTCTCTATTTTGTTGTTGTGTCTCTGCCAGGTTTTGGTATCAGGATGATGCTGGCCTCATAAAATGAGTTAGGGAGCATTCCCTCTTTTTCTATTGATTGGAATAGTTTCAGAAGGAATGGTACCAGCTCCTCTTAGTACCTCTGGTATAATTCAGTTGTGAATCCATCTGGTCCTGGACTTTTTTTGGTTGGAAGGCTATTAATTATTGCCTCAATTTCAGAGCTTGTTATTGGTCTATTCAGAGATTCAACTTCTTCCTGGTTTAGTCTTGGGAGGGTGTATGTGTCAAGGAATTTATCCATTTCTTCTAGATTTTCTAGTTTATTTGCATAGAGGTGTTTATAGTATTCTCTGATGGTAGTTTGTATTTCTGTGGGATCAGTAGTGATATCCCCTTTTTTTATTTTTTATTGTGTCTATTTGATTCTTCTCTGTTTCCTTCTTTATTAGTCTTGTTAGCGGTCTATCAATTTTGTTGATCTTTTCAAAAAGCCAGCTCCTGAATTCATTGATTTTTTGAAGGGTTTTTTGTGTCTCTATCTCCTTCAGTTCTGCTTTAATCTTAGTTATTTCTTGCCTTCTGCTAGCTTTTGAATTTGTTTGCTCTTGCTTCTCTAGTTCTTTTAATTGTGATATTAGCTTGTCAATTTTAGATCTTTCCTGCTTTCTCTTGTGGGCATTTAGTGCTATAAATTTCCCTCTATACACTGCTTTAAATGTGTCCCAGAGATTCTGGTACGTTGTGTCTTTGTTCTCATTGGTTTCAAAGAACATCTTTATTTCTACCTTCATTTCGTTATTTACCCAGTAGTCATTCAGGAGCAGGTTGTTCAGTTTCCATGTAGTTGTGTGGTTTTGAGTGAGTTTCCTAATCGTGAGTTCTAGTTTGGTTGCACTGTGGTCTGAGAGATAGTTTGTTGTGATTTCTGTTCTATTACATTTGCTGAACACTGCTTTACTTCCAACTATGTGGTCAATTTTGGAATAAGTGTGATGTGGTGCTGAGAACAATGTACATTCTGGTGATTTAGAGTGGAGAGTTCTGTAGATGTCTATTAGGTCTGCTTGGTGCAGAGCTGAGTTCAATTCCTGGATATCCTTGTTAACCTTCTGGCTCGTTGATCTGTCTAATATAAACAGTGGGGTGTTAAAGTCTCACATTATTATTGTGTGGGAGCCTACGTCTCTTTGTAGGTCTCTAGAGACTTGCTGTATGAATCTGGGTGCTCTTGTATTGGGTACATATATATTTAGGTTAGTTAGCTCTTCTTGTTGAATTGATCTCTTTACCATTATGTAATGCCCTTCTTTGTCTCTTTTGATCTTTGTTGGTTTAAAGTCTGTTTTATCAGAGACTAGGGTTGCAACCGCTGTTTTTTTTTTTTTTTTTTTTTTTTTTTGCTTTCCATTTGCTTGGTAGATCTTCCTCCATCCCTTTATTTTGAGCTTATGTGTGTCTTTGCACGTGAGAGGGGTCTCCTAAATACAACACACTGACGGGTCTTGATTCTTTATCCAATTTGCCAGTCTGTGTCTTTTAACTGGGGCATTTAGCCCATTTACATTTAAGGTTAATATTGTTATGTGTGGATTTGATGCTGTCATTATGATGTTAGCTGGTTATTTTGCCTGTTAATTGATGCAGTTTCTTCCTAGCCTCGATGGCCTTTACAATTTGGCATGGTTTTGCAATGGCTGGTACTGGTTGTTTCTTTCCATGTTTAGTGCTTCCTTCAGGAGCTCTTGTAAGGCATGCCTGGTGGTGACAAAATCTCTCAGCATTTGCTTGTCTGTAAAGGATTTTATTTCTCCTTCATTTATGAAGCTTAGTTTGGCTGGATATGAAATTCTGGGTTGAAAATTCTTTTCTTTTAGAATATTGAATATTGGCCCCCACTCTCTTCTAGCTTGTAGAGTTTCTGCTGAGAGATCTGCTGTTAGTCTGATGGGCTTCCCTTTGTGGGTAACTGGACCTTTCTCTCTGGCTGCCCTTAACATATTTTCCCGCATTTCAACCTTGATGAATCTGACAATTATATGTCTTGGGGTTGCTCTTCTCAAGGAGTATCTTTGTGGTGTTCTCTATATTTCCTGAATTTGACTGTTGGCCTGCCTTGCTAGGTTGGGGAAGTTCTCTTGGATAATATCCTGCAGAGTGTTTTCCAAATTGGTTTCATTCTCCCTGTCACTTTCAGGTACACCAATCAGATGTAGATTTGGTCTTTTCACATAGTCCCATATTTCTTGGAGGCTTTGTTCATTTCTTTTTACTCTTTTTTCTCTAAACTTCGTTTCTCACTTTATCCTCATGGTAAGTGGGAGAGTGAGTCACAGTAGTATTATTGGCCATTGTCAACAATTCATTTGATGTTGATTACTAGCTTAAGTGAAATCAATTTACTCCTATAGTGGGGTTTTCTTTAGCAGTTCTCAGCTTTATGATGTAGTCTGATGTTTTAGCTGTGTCCTCACCCAAATCTTATCTTGAATTGTAGCTCCCGTAATTCCCAAGTGTCATGAACTGGTGGGAGTTAATTGAATAATGGGAGAGGGTCTTTCCCATGCTGTTCTCATGACATTGAGTTAATCTCATGAGATCTGATAGTTTTATAAAAGATCTGCACATGCTGTCTTGCCTACCACCAT
The DNA here is from genome assembly GCF_000001405.40 of Homo sapiens. Taxonomy (NCBI): domain Eukaryota; kingdom Metazoa; phylum Chordata; class Mammalia; order Primates; family Hominidae; genus Homo; species Homo sapiens. The sequence continues at coordinate 50,649,131 of NC_000006.12, forward strand.
ATAAGACTTGACTTTGCTCCTCATTTACCGTCTGCCATGATTGTGAGGCCTCTCTAACCATGTGGAACTGAATCAATTAAACCTCTTTCCTTTATAAATTACCCAATCTCTGCTATGCCTTTATTAGTAGTGTGAGTACAGACTAATATGGTAAATTGGTACCAGGAGTGGGGTGCTGTTGTAATGATATCCAAAAATGTGGAAGCGACTTTGGAACTGGGTAACAGGCAGAGGTTATAATAGTTTGGAGGGCTTAGAAGAAGATAGGGAAATGTAGGAAAATTTGGAACTTCCTAGAGACTTGGATGGCTCAGAAGACAGAAAGATGTGGCAAAGTTTGGAACTTACTAGAGATTTGTTGAATGGCTTTGACAAAAATGGTGATAGTGATATGGACAACAAGGTCCAGGCTCAGTTGGTCTCAAATGAAGATGAGCAATTTGTTGAGAACTGGAGTAAAGGTCACCCTTGGCTATACAAGGAGACTGGTGGCATTTTGCCACTGCCCTAGAGATCTGTGCAACTTTAAACTTCAGAGAGATGATTTAGGGTATCTGGTGGAAAAAATTTCTAAGCAGCAAAGTGTTCAAAAGGAAGCAGAGTATAAAAATTTGGAAATTTTGTAGCCTGACAATGCAATAGAAAATAAAACTCCATTTTCTGGGGAAAAATTCAAGCCTGCTACAGAAATTTGCATAAGTAACAAGGAGCAAAATGTTAATCACCAAGACAATGGGGAAAATGTCTCCAGGGTATGTCAGAGACCTTTAGGGAAACCCCTTCAATCACAGGCCTAGAGGCCTAATAGGAAATAATGGTTTCATGGGCTGGGCCCAGGGGCCCTCTGCTGGGTACAGCCTAGGGACTTGTTGCCCTCCATCCCAGCCATTCCAGCTGTAGCTAAAAGGGGCCAAGGTACAGGTCAGGCTGTGGCTTCAGAGGGTGCAAACCCCAAGCCTTGGCAGCTTCCACATGGTGTTGAGCCAGCAGGTACACAGAAGTCAAGAATTGATGTCTGGGAACCTCCACCTAGATTTCAGAGGATGTATGAAAATTCATGGATGTGAAGGAAGAAGTTTGCTGTAGGGATGCAGTCTTCATGGAGAACCTCTGCTAGGGCAGTGCAGAAGGGAAATGTGGAGTCAGAGCTCCCACACAGAGTGCCCACTAAGGGAGGCTAGTGGAGCTGTAAGAAGAGGGCCATCATCCTACAGACCCTAGAATGGTAGATCCACCGACAACTTGCACCATGCACCTGGAAAAGCTGCAGACACTCAACACCAGCCCATGAAAGCAGCTGGGAGTGGGGACTGTACCCTGCAAAGCCACAGGGGCAGAGGTGACCAAGACTGTGGGAGCCTACCTCTTGCATCAGCATGACCTGCATGTGAGACATGGAGTCAAAGGAGATTATTTTGGAACTTTAAAGTTTAATGACTGCCCTATTGAATGTTGAACTTGCATCAGGCCTGTAGACCCTTCACTCGGGCCAATTTGTCCCATTTGGAATGGGTGTATTTACCCAATGCCTGTACCCCCATTGTATTTAGGAAGTAGCTAGCTTGCTTTTAATTTTACAGGCTCATAACTGGAAGGGACTTGCTTTGTCTCAGATGAGACTGGATTGTGGACTTTTGAGTTAATGCTGAAATGAGTTAAGACTTTGGGGGACTGTGTGGAAGGCATGGTTGGTTTTGAAATGTGAAGACATGAGATTTGGGGGGGCCAGTGGTGGAATGATATGGCTTGTCTGTGTCTCCACCCAAATCTTATCTTGAATTGTAGCTCCCATAATTTCCACATGTCGTGGGAGGGACTTGGTGGGACGTAAATGAGTCATGGGGGTAGGTCTTCCTTGTGCTGTTCTCATGATAGTGAATAAGGCTCATGAGATCTGGTGATTTTATAAAGAATAGTTTCCCTGAACACAGTTTCTTGTCTGCCACCATTTAAGACATGACTTTGTTCCTCATTTGCCTTCCATCATGATTCTGAGGCCTCCCCAGCCATGTGGAACTGTGAGTCAACTAAACTTTTTTCCTTTATAAATCACCCAGTCTTGGCTATGTTTTCAGTAGCAGCATCAGAACAGACTCATTTATTGGAATAAAAAAATTTCCCAGAAGAATAGGCTGGGATTATGTCAGAAAGATAAAATGAAAAGAGAAAGATAATCAAGTAATGATGTGGTATCAACTAGTGGATTTTTGAGGTAATAAACTGTGGGAATATAAACTGAAAACTGAGGGAAGTAACAAAAGAAGAAGGCCAATGGATAGAAAAAAAATAGAATGATCAATAGATTATAGGTTCTGATGAGGTACAGATCTTGAATAGTGAAAACAATTGAACAAGCAAGCAGGAAGGAAAAAATATTATGGTAACAGAGATGAAATAGTGATTTCAAAAATGGAGAATTCATGTCCATTGATAAGGTTCAAGTTATGATGTGGTGAAGATGTGATGGTCACTGAAGATGAAGAGGATGAGAAATTGAGAGGCCATGGTATTGGATAAGCCATCTGCAGGATATCAAGTCCCCAGAATGATAGCAGGATACTTAATGAGAGTAATCTGTAAATTATAGAATCTTATATAAGACTCTGTTGAATTACAGAGTCTACAGTAAATGAAGTAAATTAATTGCAGTGAGAAGAGTATGGTATAGTAAAATGTATCATGCAAGTCCAAGATAAGATGGTGGAGAGGTACTCTCTGCATAAGATGAGGTACTATCTGAATAAGATGGTGCAGAAGTACTGTCTGCATAGAGCAGTGGGGATCAATGGAGACTAAGCACATCAGCTTCTAATGCAAAGTCCCTGTTGGAAAGGACTACAGAGGATGTGGTGCCCTGGGGTGGTAGGCTAGGGGGAAGTTTAATTGAAGCAAAGAAAGGAAAGAAACTCTAGAAGATGAAATTAAGAATACTGGGGAGTTGGCTGGGTGTGGAACAATAGTTAAAGATGGTACATAGTCATATATGAAGATTAGAGGAAAGAGAGTAGGAATAAGGAAGTTCAGGGCATTGTAGGAATAACAGTTTGGTAACATAAGAAACTCAGAGGTCGTACACATTTGGGGATGATTATTGTAAATAAAGATAAGCAGTTCAGGAAATTTTGTGTAGATTCTCTTTGAGAAGAGTGAACAATAACCCTAATAGTAATCTGAATCATTTATTATTCCTTATAGTTGCTAAGTATTTTTCACTTTTATTCAAACCCATAGCAAGCTGAGTATTCATCAATGTTAGCAATCCCTTATCGATCAGATATGCATAGGATTTCACATTTTTAATGTTGCAAAAGATAGGTGAGTTTAGATTATCTTTGGTTAATCACTAAATATGGTATCTTATCCTTTTTAGATAAATTATATATATCAATTTAACTAGAGCAGGGTCAATCACCTCATTGCCAACATTATAAGATTTATATTTTTTACAACTTGGGATTAGTATTACCTATTTCCATTCCTTTGCCTTGAAACTAAAGCACATGTATATATCTTTATTTACAAGATAAAGGCAATGGTGAAAATGTTTTAAAAACTTAGCAAACAAATTACTAATAATTTGTTTAATTTTAGTAAAAAGAAAGAAACATTGGTCAATGTTTGAAAAAATGTGTGACTGACTTTAATGATATAAACAGGTAAAAATTAATTTTTATTAACTCCAACCACATCTTAGAAATAGAGAAAAGGAAGTGCATTCTCGGGGTCTTTTGTCTACACATAAGGATAGCCTCCAGTTAGATGTATTGAACAGTTCCAGGGACTGCTCTACCTCAGTGAGCAGAGCTATCATAAGAAACCAGCAGAGAGTAGCACGCTTTCTATGGGGCTGGGAAAACAAAGGGTAGAGCTTTAAACACACACACAACAAACACTCAGAGAAGAAAAAGGACAAAAAAGAGCAATCAGTTTCCGTGTAAAAGTGCTGTTTTTAAAGGTGAGCTTCTTTGCTATTTGCAAATCCAATTTGCCAAAATACAACATTTGAAAATTACCATGATCTGATATCATAACAAGGCATTGATGTGTGCAGGCACTGGTGTGTGTTCTGTTGCCTCTGCCTTTGTCTGTTTTTCTTCAAGTGGCTGACTGATAATCCGCACTCTTTATTTCCTCATAGATCTCTCAAAGTCTAAAGAAATGAAATCCTTGGAGGTGTCATTGAGAGACATAAGATATGCAAGAGCGAATTTCTAACGTAGAAGAGCTTAGCACAGGCATCTTTTCCATTAGGGTGAAAAAAAAGAGCATCCCTCCTTTTGTGGTCCACCTGGCAAAGCTGGATCCTTGGCTTAGATCTGACAGCATGATTGCAGCAAGGAGGGGTCTGGCCACTGGAAGGAGCACTTCCTAATTAATGCTGCAGTGCCAGGCATCTTCTTAGATGCAGCATTGTAACAGGATGTGTTTTTGGCTGTAATTTTTCTCAGAACAAAAACATGACGAATAGGGTGCATCTTTCTGTCCATCAACTCTCTGGGTAACACACTAAAAGGCAGCAAGACCTGAAACTCCATCTTAGGCACCCATCTGACATCCAAAAAAACCCAAATGCTTCCATAGCCTAAACTCACATTACTTTCCACTGGGCTTCCAACAAAACTCAAAACTAAACCTTCTACGTTAAGTTCTGTGCTCTCAAATAATCTCTAAACAAAGTCTCCATGATAGTTTCTTTAATTATTACAGAGTCTTCTCAGCTGTTCCAAAGAATGTTGACAACAACTCAAGAAGTAGTAGAATCTCTCTTAACTTTGTTCATGTCAGGAAGAAAGGAGTTGATTTTTGGAGAATGATCATTGCCTGAGTCATTTTTAAAACAGAAGACACTGGGGTTATGTTTAAACAAAGAAGAAACACAGACTAAATGGGGAAAGTGTAGTCAGTCATGTAAGGTGGACTGAAAGATCCAGATGTATACTGAAACTTGCCTCTTTTCTGCTTCGTATTGCTCTGTACAAAAATTCAAACTATTATTCAGCAACTTACAGGCTCAGTCTATTCCAAAGTTTAAGAGTTAATATTGATATTAGGCACTGAGAGCATAAGGAGTCCTCTAGGCTTAGGTTACCACTGTTCTTATCTGTCCCCTTGTGTCCCAGCTGAGAAAACTTGCCTAGTTTTAGTCACATAGCATCTGCACAGTTCCCTGTATGTGAATCCACACTATAACCCATCCACCATTAAATGTTATTTACTCAGCCACGTCATAAGCTATGATGTGTATAAAACCATTCACATGACCGCCTGAGGCCTACAAAGTCAATGACAAAGCTGGGCTCACACTAAAAGGAAACTTATAAACATTTGGTAAGCTTTATTTGAGAAATTTGGTTAAGAAATTTAATGGAACTGGGATTATTGTAGCCAGGGAAAATAAAGTAGAGATGATAACTATGTTTTAAGTATAGAAAATCTTCTTCACTAGATGATAACCAAACTGCTTTTTCATTTTAACCGCAGGTACAATGGGAATTAGGCTACATATTGTTAAGACAATTGTTTCTATTAAGATAATGGAAAATGTGCAAACCTAAGTATCAAAATTTACACACGCTCTCATGCACATGCACAGACACCTCTCCACACTCCAACTAAGTTTTTGGGTGAGTCATTGAATATCACCTTTCCTCTCATTTGTACCTATTATCAGTAAAACAAAAGATTCACACACATAATCTTCAATCCTGACTTATTGGAATCTGTTAATAATCGTACAGACCTCCCTCATGTGGCTATGGTTTGGATGTTTGGTCTCTTCCAAATCTTTGCTGGAATTTGATCTTCAGTGTTGCAGGTGAGGCTGACTGGGAGGTGTCTGAGTCATGGAGGTGGATCTCTCATGAATGGTTTGGTGCCATCCCTGAGGTAATCAGTGAGTTTTTGCTGTATTAGTTCAAAAGAGAGCTGTTTGTTTAAAAAAGAGTGGCACCGCTTCCCTCTCTCTGTTGCTCCCTCTCTTGCCAGGTGACACTCCTCCCCTTCCTCTTCTACCATGATTGGAAGCTTTCTGAGCTCCTCACCAGAGGCAGGTTCTGGTGCCATGTTTCTCTTACAGCCTGCAAAAACATGAGCCAAATAAACCTTTTCTTAAAAAAAAATAATTACCCAGCCTCAGGTATTCCTTTATAGCAAAGCTAACAGACTAAGACATCTACCCCAGAAAACCCAACTAAAATTAAATATTTTCAACTGATTCAGAGTTAGCATGTTGTATTTTATTGACTGATACACTGTCAGAGGCACTAAAATAAAAAATCACGGTCAATCTTGTTACTTTACATAGTATATTAAAGCTAGCTGCTGTAATAGGCAAACCTATAAACAGGTGAGAAAGTTTATTTTTCATTCAAGTAAAAATTTTAGGTGGTATGTCAAGTGAGAGTGGGGCTGGAGATGAAAGGTGAAGCTTCTGCTTCATGTAGTCGTTCAGGGACACTGTCTTATGTGTCTCTGCTCTCTTCAACATGTGACTTCCATGGTTGCCTTGGGCATCGACATCCAGGCAATACTTGGAGGGAAGAAGGTGAGTGGAACATCAAATGCTGATACTGTCATTAGGCAGTTGGTGGAATTATAATTGCTAGCAGTCAAAGTAATTTGGACAAACAAACAGGGAGAATTCTCACCACTTTTCTATTTAAATGATATCATGATTTGTAAGGAAAATATCTATTTTCCCTACAAGGGAACTCAAGGGTTTCCATTTAGAAATAAGGGTTTCCATTTAGAAATAAGTCTGGTGGAGAAGACTTTTATACAACGAATAATCACCTCTTACTTTGTGATCACGTTTGTCACTTTACAAATGAAGGTTTGTCACTTGAGACTTTAGAATGGTTATTGTCATTTCTCAGTGACAGAAGATGCAATGTATGTACCCTGCCACCAGGTGGTGGTTCCTCTAACATGTGCTTTGAGAATAAAATTAAAACTAGAAATGATTTCTCATTTAATTCACTGAAATATAACTTTCTATGCTGTTTATATTTAGCTATTTTAATAATCAGATTTAGCCTGGCATTCTAAGATCTCTATTCTCAGTCTCCAGTTTATACAGAAAAGCAAATCTATAAATCTAGTGTGATCACTATTTCTCACGTTTTTTTCTCATTATACGTTTGTGTATTTTTTTTTCTTTTTAATCTAGTGCTGGCCTAGAGCACCTAGCACATAGTAAGCCTAAATCAATGCATATTTTAAGGTTTCACTCATTTATTCCATTTATCTAAAATGCTTTAGCACTTTGTTCATAAAAATTCCTTCAGTAAAAATTAAAATTGGATGTCATTTCTCCCATGATTGTCCAAGTAAGAGGTAATATCCTTCCTCCGACCCAAACCCGGGTAAGTGCTACGTTTTTGTTTTTGTTTTTTGTTTGTTTTTTAGCGCAAATGTAGCTCTTATTCACTGTGTCCAATTGTAGCTTTTAAACCTTATTCTCCCATCTTGATGTCCCATAGTCCTTAGCACAGTTTTTGGACATTCAATGACTATTAGTTGAATGGATGCATTTTAATACCGCATTTTAGAAAAAATTGTAAAAGGAAATTCCTGCAACATTACTATTACATTTTTATTGGTCCTTAACTTTTCCTTTATCATTTCATCCTGAACTCTAATTTGAAGTCAAATTCCCTACATTGTAGTTTAAAAGTTATTGAGAAGCCAAGTCTTCAAAATTTAGGCCAGCTGGTATCAATATTTCTTGAGGTATTAACACTTTGTCTTGGGGCAAATTTTTGACCTCTTTCCAGGTTAGTCAAAAGGCAGATTTTCTTTTGTCTGACTTACTAAATGAATCAATTAAACTTTTTTTCTAACCAATCCTAGCTCCATCTTCGCCCATGAGCCTCTCTTCTGACTGTTTAAGGTTACTTTTAACATCTAACACCAGAATATTTAAGAAAAACATTACTATTTTATTCATCATTAAAAGAAAACATGACAAGCACTCACTATGTTTTTCTTTCATTGGAATTAGTAGCTAAGTGACCTTGAACTATATGTCCAATATATCTTCCTTCAGAAACACTCTAGCAATAAATGGATTTTCTAACCTGTCCTAGTACTGAGTTCCCAAAACAGTTTCCTGAAGGAGTTTATGCTCTTCCTAAAGAAGAGAACATTTTAAAATAAAGCTATTTTAAAATGAGGTTTAGGGATGGAAATTTAAAGCAGTTTCATGACAGTAACATTTATCTCTTTTGGCAGTTCTGATATTTATGTATTGGGTTTTCTCAAAGCTAGGTCACCTTTCTCTGCAACCATTTGGTCTGTTTTAAAAAGTGATTTCCTAAAGACCAAAGACTACCCTATTCTACTTAGAGTCCAGCTTCACACTGTTAGAACTTAAAATTCCCCAGACTCTAATGGCAGAGCTGCTTTAGGTCAAACTACCGCCAAATACAGCTGCCTAGGCTCTACCCTCAAAAAGGTCTCAGTCTTCACAAGGGTTAACAGCACCAGTTATGATGGAGTCCATAGCTGTTTCATTCAAGTGCTGTGACTACAGATCCCTATGCCAAGGTCCCAGATGGTTTTGGTTAGGTCTGCAAATACTCAATTGGGCAAATATTTATTCAACATTTAATATGTGCCACATATTGTATTAGCTCCAAAGATGCAAAGTTAAACAAGACATGATTCATGCCATTGAGAAGTTTACTGTAAATTGGTCATTGCTTTACTGGACTTCTTGCCTGCATTTCTGTGTTTTTCTAGGTCCTTGACCTTTAGACCAGTGTCATTTAAATAATTGACTTTCCAGACATCCTGCATTTTAGAGTGTTCCAGTGCTCCCTGTTGGTATAATATGTGACCAAACATTTGTCTTATAGTCTTTATCCATTGAAATCTGGCACTCACCCAGCCGAAGGAATAAAAATAATTAATAAATATTAGATAATAATATCTGAGCTCATGATAAAGCTTACAGATTTTTCCAAAATAAAAAGGAATGTCAGAAATCATCTAAGTCTGCTTCTCATGTTCTTTAATGTGCATAAGGATCAGCTGGGGATATTGTTGACATCCAGATTCTGATTCTACTGAATCAGAATCAGGTATGGGGCCTGAGATTCTGCATTTCTAACAATTTTCTCCTGATACCGTGATGACACTTATGCCAGCAAAGTCCTTGGACTTTTCCCTGCTTCTAAATGAAGGCAAAGCCATGAGAGATGAGCAAGATCCAGTCAATATGGTCCTGGACTCAGAAAACATTATTAAATGAATTCAGTCATCTAGTACAAGAATTGTTTGTTTGTTTGTTTATTTGTATTTTAAGGCAACAGAAGCATTGGTGGCGAGGCACTGGATGAACAGAGCTCTTGTTACCTTCTCAGGACATAAAGTTGAAGAAGGTTAAAACAGTATGGCAGTTTGTCAAAAAATTAAAAATAGAATTTGATGATTCTGTGATTCAGCAATTCAACTTCTGGATACATACCCAAAATAATTAAAAGCAGGGACTTGAAGAAATATTTTTACATCTATGTTCATTCACAATAGCCAAAAGGAGGAAGCAACCCAAGTGTCTATTAACAGATAAATAAATAAAATGTGGTATGTGTGTACAAAGCAATATTAGCCTTAAAAACGAAGGAAATTCTGACTCATGCTAAAACATGGTTGAACCTTAAAGACATTGTGCTACATGAAACGAGCTCACCACAAAAAAAAAAAAAAAAAAAAAATTCTGTGATATTGTTTATCTAAAGTACCTAGAGTGATCAAACTCTTGGAGACAGAAAGTAGAGTAGAGTGGTGGTTACCAGAGCTGTTGTGAGAAGGGAATGAGGACTTACTGTTTAATCCGTACAGAATTTCGATTTTGCAAGGTGAAAAGTATTCTTTGGATGAATGGTGGTGATGGTAGCACAACAATGTAAACTTAATATGTACTTAATGACATTGAACCATGGTTAAAAAGAGTTGAGATGGGAAGGTTGATGTCATGTGTATTTTACCACAATTAATCCTTTTAAAAATTAAAGAAGGCTTACACAAGGGTATGAACTATCCAGTGAAATAATGCTAGGGTATCTTTGGAACCAGATTTGTTTTATGGAGGTTCAAGTTCAAACCGTCAGCGGAGGAAGTTATAGACTTTTCTGTTCACTCAATTTGGACGAAAAAATTGACTGCTGGTGTGACTTGTACCCAGGATTATGGGCTATATTACCAATTTCTTTGTAGAACATAAAGGTCCTATTGTTGTAGAGACTACAAACAAGAACCCAACATATCTGTCAGAACGGTAATAAAAACTACCCTGTACATCTGCAATCCTAAATTTTATGTCCTGGCCAAAATTCTCTGGTCCTGTTTCCTGGGATTGGTAGCCACAACTTTCTTGGAAAGTTGTTCAACCAATGGCAAAGTGTCTTTTTTAATTAAGTAGATTTATTAAATAAATCAAATCCATGTTAATAATTTTGTGCATAGCTTAATTTGCAGATTTAGTATTTAAACTGTTTGTAAAATTAGATCAATATCTTTAAGATTCAGCCTTGTGATTTAATAGTAAATGTGGATGCTTAATTAGGTATGCAAAATACATAATTAAATAATTTTTTCACCTTTCTGATTTCAAGTTGAAATGTATAAGATCATTTATTTATGTTTCTAAAAATTCTTGAAATGATTCCAAGAACTAAACATGGTTAAGTGTATTTTTTAATTTTAATTGTGAGATATATCAGAGTTCAGTACTTGGGAAGGATGTACTTGCTGGGTCAAATATCTGAAGTATTTATAAAAGAAAGTTGAATATATTTAATTTATAAATACAGTTTTAAATGTTTTAGAAAATTAAACTAATGAACTTTAAATATGGACTGATTACCAAATAATTATTAATTATTATTATTATTCTGTTCTAAGTTGATCAATCATATCCCCCTTGGAACTGACTGCTAAAATTCAAAACATCTGAAAATTAAAAGCTTAAGAAAAACAAGATTTGGGGTTTAATACTTTAATAAATTTAGTACAAATTTAAAAGCTAAAGAAACATCTAATTCATTTATATGCACAAAAACTGCTTTAAAATCACTAAAAACCTTCCACTGGCATTCCTAGATCATCTTAGATGAACAACCAACCTGTTTCACAGGACCAGGAAAATAAATTTCGAATACTTGTTTGATGAAGTTGTATAACCTATAAGCATTTCATTGCTCCACATGTGGTGGTTGTGCAGCCAGGACAGATCAAAAGCCTTGAGGCAATACAGGGACCCCAAATAGCCTACCTGGTCATATGTTGGGTCATGGAAAGAAATGCTAAGAAATTAATTGTTAATGCCAAGCTGGGTATAGGTAATCAGGTGTGTAGCATGAAAAGGTTGACAGTTAGAAATCAATTATGTAAATCATAGTTGAGATATGGATGAAATATCAATGCTTGAGCTTGCAGTGAAATAGAAGCAAGACAGATAATCCAGAACCCTAAAAGCAGACAAGAAGCTGCTTAAAAGCAAAGAAAATAGTGTTCTTGTTCAGTGCTGTATCTACAGGCTTTCAGGGCAGGGACCATGTCTTGTTCATCTTTTAACTCCAGTGCCTAGCATAGTTTCAAGAATAAAGCAAATGCTCAAATATCAGTCAAATGAATGAAACACAAGATAACGAAGCTTAAAAAAATTGGTAGGCAAAAACTAATAGTTAGGAAAAGTAAACAAAATGAGTGTATAAAGACTTTAATAACAAAAAGGAATCAACATTCTGCCCATTGATCTGCCACTTAATGTGGTCAGCATAAATTTAACAAGTAATGAAAATAACAGGATAATTGGAGGGTTTGTGCATAGAAGTTGCTTCTGGTAAACAGATAATATTCCTAAACCAAAAGTAAGTCTTCACCGAGTATTTCTACAGACATTCAGCATGCAACCTTCAAACCTTCACATGTCTGGAATAGTAGAGATTACTATTTCCTTAGACCGGTGTTTCTGGGAATGTGCTCTGTACACTGTAAATCCATACCATAAATTCATACCATAGATGGAATGGCAATAGGTGTAACTTGAGAACTGCTTCTTAAGCAGTTCCTAAGCCTAAGGTATTCCACTTTAGCTAACTAGCTTTTCAAACCCTCCTGGAAGAGACTATATCCAAGCTCTAAAACAAAACAAACAAACTAACAAACAAAAATAGGTAGGAATAGATGTTACCACCTTTCAAAAAAAAGCCACCGGGGGGGGGTTCTCCTATAAAATCCACTGTGAATTTTAAAGGGAAAAATGCAGTTGTTTTGTAAAATTATGGACTCTTTTTTTTTTCCTAAAATACCTTGAGAAAATAATGCTTAATGGAATCTTCTTGGTCTCTTGAAGCCAAGCTCAATTCAGATCTGAAAAACAAATAGCAAAGATTTTTCATGGGACCTAGTAGAAATGTGGCTTTGTAGGATGTCTTAATGTTTTTGTTTCCTTGTTTTGCTTGTTTTTATGTTTATTTGATTTCATTCTTGGCAGAACTCCCCTTGTAAAGTACAACTATAAGTTAACATGCAACTGCACAGAGATTATACAACCAATATTTAAGGCGATATACTACAATAATAGATAACATTTGCATGCTACTTTTACAGTTTTCAAAGGCATTTCCTTCCTTTGAGTCTCTCCAACATCCTTGTGAGACAGTCAGGGCACATTTCCACCAACAACAGGAAAACTAGGATGTGACTTCTTATACATGAGTCACTTCTCAGCTCTAGTTCCTTGAATCAGAGGCTAGACTATGTGACCTATGTTTGAGTTATGTTTGTTATCAGCTGCAAAAATGTTTATTCTCTTCATTTATCAAGTATCCTATAATGTAACCATGATGACAAAATTGAAATGTGATTTGAAGAATTAAATTTTTATTGTTTAAAAAATTAACAGGCAGAACCAGTGGGATGGTAATCAACCTAGCACCTTTAGTTAGAATTTTCTTCATATGAGTTCATTTCTCATCCAGTATATGCAATGTAATACTTCTCTCACTTATATGTACTTTATTTTCTAAATCAATTCTCTCAACCTTCAAGCATCACATAATCAATCAATCAATGAAACCAATTCCTCTCATTGGTCTACCTCTTAAACATTGATTTAGCCAACTGGTTCACCAAAAATGGATCCCAAAATTATTTAAAGATTTTCTCAATACTTTTTCTTTCTGAAGTCTTAGTGAACTTTCAAAACAGCTGATCCTTTTTCTCAGGTTGTCAGGGTCAAAACCAAGAAGGATCCTAAATTCTTGATTCACCAGATGACCAAATCTAAGTCACTCACTAAACAACTCTTTGTATAATGGATATAACAGGAAAATTTTTCATCCCTAAAGTCCCAAATCAAGTTGAAAGTTACATCCGTTGCACATCTAAAGGATACTGAAGAAATGATAGATGCTGATGTAGGTTTCTCAGCATCTGAAATTATTTTCTACAGTTTATAAATATGAAACTGTCAATGTTTACAGAGAAGGAATCTTGTTTTATTCGTCTATTTTCCAAGTGCTTAGTACAGTGTCTGGCCCAAAATATGGGTTCAAAAAAGGCTGATTATTCTTATTATCTCTTCTGCCTGACAGAAATAAGTAAGTTTCCATTAGTGTTTGACCCAATCCCAGCATGAAGCTGAGGCACTGGGAAATCTGTCTCCATGATACATAAAATTATTTTTTCCAAAATATTCAGAGCATCAGATTAGCTAACAACATATGGGCCAGAGATAAGAGAGCACCCATCAGGGTTTTGGTGTTTTGGTTTTATAAAAACCTTGAGAAATTTTGTTTTGAAGCTGATATTTTCAAAAAAGTTCTTTGAATTTTTTAGAACATTTCAATCACTGCTTTTCAAGGGAAATTTTAGTAATTTTTTTCCAACTGAATGGGAAGCTGTGCTATGCAAACAACAAAGATTCTTTTCTTTTGAAAATTATTCATGTTCTGCTTCCAGGATTGTCAGGGAAATTGAATTTTTTAAAAAAACTTAACCAAGCAGGCAATCAGAGTTATATCATACTAGAGACAACCTAAACTCTGAAGTTCACAAGCTTTTTTTTAATTTTATTATTATTATACTTTAAGTTTTAGGGTACATGTGCACAATGTGCAGGTTTGTTACATATGTATACATGTGTCATGTTGTTGTGCTGCACCCATTAACTCATCATTTAGCATTAGGTATATGTCCTAATGCTAGCCCTCCCCCCTCCCCCCACCCCACAACAGTTCCCGGTGTGTGATGTTCCCCTTCCTGTGTCCATGTGTTCTCACTCTTCAGTTCCCACCTATGAGTTCACAAGTTTTATGTTTCCTTCTAAGCTTGGGGCCCATGTTTTTCAGATGAGTTCTTGAGTTAGCCAAATAAGCTTGCATGACCTGTAGCCAAGTTTATTTTCTTTTAATAGATGTCTGTATTTATTTTTACAAATTTTCCTTTTCTTTCTTTATTCTCCTGTGGGTAAACAGTCTTAATTTTCATGTGTTTCTCAAGAATAGAGCAAACCCACATTTGGCATGAAGCTACATTCACCATTTTTTTCAGAAATCATTTCTTCATTCTGTTTTGTTTTGTACATTAAGAAAAGCTGTGCATAGTTGTATGTTATTGTCCATATTTTAAATACAAGAAAAGTGGCATGGTGTCACACAGCTATGATTCAAATCTAGGACTTTTAAACTCCAAACCTAATTGAGTTCTACTTTCTAGTGATAGAATAGTTACTGCACCTAGAATAGTTATGGCAGATGTAGGTTTTCAGACACTACTTTTGGGAATTGTGACTCAGTAGATCTTACTTGGGCTCAGAAATCTGAATTTTTAACAAGCATTCTGGATGACTCTAAAGTAAGTCATCTACATTCCAATTGATTGGATCACATTCCAATTAAGATTTAACTACACCTGTTTTCTCTTTTCTGCCTCATACCAACAGCCTGAACTCCACTACTGGTCACCGCATAGTATGAACCAGAGGAACTCATTTTCCCATTTGAATCCTGGTTTTCTTAGCTGATAAATGGAAATAATTATAATTTTCTTACCCCAAAGGATTAATATAAAGATCAGATAACATGATAGGCACTGCAATGCTTATATCAGTAGAATGTGTTATTTTAAAACAGAGTACTAAAGCAAATATTCTGATAACAGATGTAAAGCACAAATCATATTTAGATGCTTTAATGTAGGATTATCTGATCACAATATGGTAAAAATAAATATTCAGTTTATATTCATAACTTCTTCAATTTACTAAGCCCTCATCCATAATCACTATGCAGTATAGAATATCCTTTATTAATTTACCCATTCCACTATCTCTGGACCTATGCACACACATTCACACATTCTAGTAAGGACAGTATCGTCAGTGTCTCCCAATTCAGATATGCGCATGTGCACCAACTAACACACACGGTTGCAACTGCTAAGTTAATGGCAGATTTTTCATGGACTCCATTCTACATTTCACTAAAAGAAAAGAGATAACATCTCTTTTCAAGACAATGCAGATTGGTTAACATGAAGTACCTATGACCATCACTGACACTTCCACCAACCACAAGGACATTGCAGGATCAAGGTGTTTTTTTCCTCAGGTGTATGAACTTCCATTACCCTCCCCCAGGGAGAAAAACAATTGGTATGACAAAAGAGACTGACACTAACGGTCACAGCTTGATTTCATGGTATACCACATGGGATTTTTCTAAAAATGAAGAAACTTTAGCATTTTCTTGTTATTTGGGGCTACAATGCCATAAGCCTTCCACCTATCCTGTGTCGACTTTAAAAAGAGCAGACCGGCTGGAAAACAAGAGGTAATTTGCATGTGAAGAATAAACAAACAGAAGTCTGCAGTATGCCATCTCAAAAAAACAGAATTGATGTCTTTGTTTAGAAAAAGTGGAGCAACGAAGTTTAAGAGAGGAAATAGCAGGCTAGTAATGCACCATCTTTCACTTTCTGTTCTCCTAATACACATCTTAAATAAACCTGACTTGATCTCCCTACATCATCAATAGCCTTCTCTCAGTCCTCACTGATCCAAGGCTTTTCCTCACCCTAATACATCAATGCACACAGCATTAGTTTTTTCTAAATAATGAAATTACCATCTCCCATTGCACTTCAGTCATTAAGTTATTTTATATTTTATAGCATCAAGAATATATCCCTCTGTTGGCCAGGCACAGTGGCTCATGCCTGTAATCCCAGCAGTCTGGGAGGCTGAGGCAGGTGAATCACCTGAGGTCAGGAGTTGGAGACCAGCCTGGCCAACATGATGAAACCCCGTCTCTACTAAAAATAAAAAAAAATTATCCAGGCGCAGTGGTGGGCACCTGTAATCCCAGCTACCTGGGAGGCTGAGGCAAGAGAATCACTTGAACCTGGGAGGTAGAGGTTGCAGCGAGCCAAGATCGCACCACTGCACCCCAGCCTGGGAAATAAGAACTAAACTCCATCTCAAAAAAAAGAAAAAAAGAATATATCTCGGTCTGGTATTCATTGCCTTTCATAAAGTTTTTCTTCTGTCAAATTTCCAATAATTCCTTGATTTCCAATCTACCCACCCCACTACCTCTGTACCTATGCACGCACATTCACACATTCCAGTAAGGTCAATATCTTCAGTATCTCCCGATTCAGATATATACATTTCTGCCTCCATATTTTCACTAATATTCAAATCTATCAAAAATTATTTAGTGAGACTCTGTGCACTTAAGTGACTGTGAAAGGTTTGGAAGGAAAAGATTCCAAAAAGTTTCAAAAAGCTGGTTTATAATGGGGTGGCAAGACACTTATTTACTCACACAGATAAAGATAGATGATAGATAAACAGATACATAGATACAGAGATAGATACATAGATACATAGAGAGATAGATATAGATATAGATATATATGCATGCCTGCACACACACACACACACACACACACAAACACAAATACATGTACATATGCATAGTATATATTTTGCAGAAAGGGCTGCTTATGCAATCACCAAAATCAATTTCCTATTTCTCCTGGACACACATTTATTTTCCTGCTGGAAGGCTGGGAGATGAATGTATGTCTGAGTTCTGGCTAAGGATGTGTGGACGCACGTGATATATGTGTCACATATATCATGTGTCACATATATTAGGATGACATATTTAGGCCTCGCTCATACAAAGCTTATAAGCATCTGACTCTCTTGTTTCTTCTGTCTTCTACTAGCTGCAGAAAATCCAAGAGGATTATAAGGCTCTGGTACAGTCCTGCCTAATAAAAATATTACATGTGCATTTCTAAATGTTCTAATAGCCAAAAACAAAAGGTGAAATTAATTTAAATAATGAATTTAATTTAATCTACTTAATTCAGGAAATATAAAATATTGTCATTTCCACATGTAATCAATAAGAAAATTATTAAATCTAAATTTTCATTTTTTATACTGTCTTTAAAATGGGCATATATTTCACACTTCCAGTAGATCTAATTTAGTGCTAGCTACATTTCAAATGCTCGATAGCCATATGCAGGCCAGTGACTACTATGTTAGACAGCATAGCTATAGGGAATAGTGGAACACTGACCTGGAAGGCACCTGTGTCTCTGAAACACTTTGTGGATGTCCATCCCCAAAACACTCCAACTATTCTATGAGCAAGGCTTATACTTTTATTTTGTAAATCTACTGAGATTTTTAAGTTGATTAATTCAACAGCTTATCCTATCTAATACTCTCTTATTATATAAAAACCTATGAATGATAGTGCACTTTGAGATACTTCTACCACCAAATCAATGGCACAGACACAGAACACTACAGTAGTAGAGGAGATAAGATCTCTGTGGCCTGAGTAGCCCTGGGTGACTTCACAACAGAAAATAAAATTTGAAATAAGAAAAACTCAAATAGCCAGGCACAGTGACTCACATCTATAATCCCAGCACTTTGGGAGGCCAAGACAGGCAGATCACTTGCGCTCAGGAGTTCAAAACAAGCCTGGGAAACATGGAGAAACTGGTCTCCACAAAAAATACAAAAATTATCTGGGCATGGTGGTGCATACCTGTAGTACCAGCTACTCGGGAGGCTGAGGCGGGAGGATCACTTGAGCATGGGAGGCAGAGGTTGCAGTGAGCCGTGATCGCACCATTGCACTCCAGCCTGGGCAACAGAGCAAGATCCTGTCTCAAAAAAAGAAAAAGAAAAAAAGGAAATCTAAAATAAATAAACAGGTCATGGAAGACATTCCAGGAATGAATCGAGAGAGAAAAGTCATGTGCACATAAAATTTTAATTCACAACAAATTAATCTCTCAAAGTATAAGTTTATGTAACAGAATTAATAAGATTTTGGTAGAAGATGTAAATTGAGACCACGTTGAGATAATTTTAACTGACCTACTGAATGGATTTGAACTTTGAACTTTAATCTTCCTCAAAGAGATCTCATAATATCACTTTGTTATGCAATAAATACATATTTTTTTTTCATCTTGCACAAAATAGTCTAGTGGAACTATGGTACTTAAAACCGATTAAGGCTGAAGTGATTTAAAACAACAAAGTCAGTTTTAAGACACTTAATACTGGTTTTGGCAAAAGAAAATTAAGTGTGAAGTAAGGAGTTTGAGAGGGGAAAAGGGAGAAGGCGGAAAAAAAGCATATGGAATGTATCTGTTATTTACCAAGTTCATTCACATTTAATCCTCCTTAAAAATGTTATGGGGTAATATTTTTACCAATGCAAAAGTAGGCTTAGAGAGGTGTACCAACATCTAGGTTTTCACACATAGTATGGGCTAGACTTGGGATTTAAACCTAATTTCATTAATCTTTTTATTCTGAGAAAGTGAGCCATTGACTAATAATTTGGCCTTAATGTATACCCACGTTTGGGAGCTCAGAAGAGTAGTAGAATGTTTGGAAAGTATGATGTGGAAGAAACAGTCAGAAATATGAAGAAAACAGAAGAGCAAAATGTTACTAAAACCAAAATGAAAGCAAATAACTTTAGCTAGTATGGACAAGAGGATCAAAACAGTTTTCTTTGAATAGAGAGCAAATGTGTGCTTATTGATAGACGAAGGAAAATCAGGCAGAGGTCAGGACTGGTGATGTTAGAGAGAACAGGGATAATTAAGGCAGATCTCTTATGCCATGTTTAGTTTTTTCACTTTTTCCTCCTGTAAACTCAAAGAGAACTTCATAGCTTATGTAACAGACTCAATATTGATCCATAGTACAATAGAAAGAGTAGAGAGGGGATATATAAAATGCATGTATATAAGATTGGAACTAGAAGTAGCCAAGTGAGTTAGACAAGTGTCCTAACTGTAATATTCTTTAGGGCTAACCCCAAATGTTTGAGTTCTCCTTTGGTGCACAAAATAGGATTTTACTTCCACACTCCCTCTGACATTAGACATGGCCATGTGATCTGCTTTAGCCAATGAAATATGAGTGAAGGTGACAGAAAATCTGTAGGAGCCTGTGCAAGACTCATATTTCCCTCCCACTGTCACAGAAGTGTATAAATTATCAAATGGGATCCATAACTCTGACCAATAATTATCAAATAGAGAACATTTATCAAAGCACTTGTTGATTGTGAGGTGTTGCCTGTGTATGTCTGTGATGCGCAGATAGAATGTCAGGTTTTTGGCTGGGCACGGTGGCTCATGCCTGTAGCCCTAGCACTTTTGGGAGGTCGAGGCAGGTGGACTGCCTGAGCTCAAGAGTTCGAGACCAGCCTGGTCAATGTAGCAAAACCCCGTCTCTACTAAAAACACCAAAATATTAGCCAGGTGTGGAGGTGCGCACCTGTAGTCCCAGCTACTTGGGAGGCTGAGGCAGGAGAATCACTTGAACCAGGGAGGCGGAGGTTGCAGTGAGCCGAGATCACGCCATTGCACTTCAGCCTGGGTGACAGAGCAAGACTGTGTATCAAAAAAAAAGTCAGGTTTTCATATGGCAAGTAATCATCCTAGAAACTTTCAGTAATTACTGGATGTGG
This sequence comes from Homo sapiens, assembly GCF_000001405.40. Classification (NCBI taxonomy): domain Eukaryota; kingdom Metazoa; phylum Chordata; class Mammalia; order Primates; family Hominidae; genus Homo; species Homo sapiens. Next base: position 50,669,167 of record NC_000006.12, read on the forward strand.
TACAACCTATTGTTAAGGAAAATTTACAAGCCATATCTTATATTACTTTTACTGACAATGTGAGGAGCCAGTAATATTAGATTGTTAAAGAATTTTTATTCTTATTAGAGTATTATATTCAAGTCATTTATATTAAAGGTATCTAATATCACATTAGCCTCCATTTTTAAACACGTAAGTAATACTCATTTTTAACAATGACTTAAATAAGATATTTATAACCCAATTTTCCTGACAAGTCCAGCTGAAAGCTAAAAAATAGGGTCATAATTCCAATAAATATTCAAATTTTAATAGATCAAACTCCTATATATTTGATGTCTAGAATATGGTTGCTCTCATCATTTTGGAAGTGTCTCAAGGTGTTGTCATAAATGTACTCATAAATGGCACTTATAGTGCTGCCATGTAACCTCCTCTTCTTTGGCTATTGAGAAATCACCATTCCACTGACCTTGGCAATGCACATGGATGCACACAGTTGCTACTTTACTCTGGCTTGGAAGAAGAAAGGGAAACTGATCTCCCATTTAGTACTCCATATCAAGCCTGGCTTGAGTCTGTGTCTCAATTTCTCTGTTAGTCAGGATAAGCTAGTTAAAACTGTGTTAATAACCCCAAATTTCAATGGCTTACAACAGGGGACAGCAGAGTACAGCCCACAGATCAAATCTGGACAACTGCTGGTTTTTGTAAATAAAAATTCACTGGAACACAGCCACATCCATTCATTTTTGTATTTTTTCTATGTCTGCTTTTGTACAAAAATGGCAGAGTTAAGTAGTGGCAACAGAGATTGCAAAGCCTAAAATGCTTACTATCCAGAACTTAACAGAAGAAAATTTGCTGGCACCTGGCTTAAAACAACAAAACTAAATATCGCAATAGGCCAATATCAATCACATGTCATCAGCTCTGCTCCACATCATCCCAGGCTAATGGAGGCTCAACATGTGGACAACGACTTGTAACATAGCAGCAGGAAATCACCAACAAACTTGTAAATGCTTCTATTAAAAAGGGACATAAGATACTTTTGCTCATATTTCATTAATCAAAGTAAAGGATATGACCATACCTCACTTCAAAGAGGTATAAAAATGTAATTCTGTGTTGTAGCTAGAAGAGAAACAGAAGTATAGGTAAGCAAACCTAATTATTTTACTATTCCTCACAACATAGAAAATTTAAAAACTGTAATTTTTTTAATTTTTTTACAGCTTTATTGAGGTATAAGTGACAAATAATAGATAAACTGCACCTATATACAGTGTACAACTCACATATGTATATCTGGATACCATCAGAAACAAGAAACATGTTTATCACTCCCTGAAGTTTCCTTATATTCCTTTGTATTCTTTATTTCTCTCAGCAAAGTTTTGTAGTTTCCAGTGTACAAGTCTTTCACATCTTTGTAAAATATATTCTACTTATTCAAATTTTTTGATATAGTAAGTCATATTTTTTATTTTAAATTCCAATAGTTCATTACTAGCATATAGAAAAAAACATTTTCGTATATTGATCATTTACCCTATAACATCTCTAAACTCAGTTCTAGTATCTCTTTTGCAGATTTCACTGGATTCTCTACATAGACAATCATGTCATCTATTAATAAAGACAATTCTTCTTCTTCTTCCTTTCCAATCTAGATGACTCATATTTATTTTCTTCCTGAGTAAACTTTGGTAGTGTGTATATTCCAAGGAATTTGTCAATTTCATCAAAGACGTCAAGTTTATTGGCATAGAGTTGATAATATTTCCTTATTTTTCCTTGAATATCCGTACAGCATTAATAACATTACCTTTTAGATTTCCAATAATGTTAACTTGTGCCTTTTCTATAGTTTTCTGATCAATCTGACTAGGTGCTTTTAAATTTTATTAAGCTCAAAAAAACAGCTCTTAATTTCAATGATTTTCCCTATAATGTTATTCCATTATATCTTTATTAATTTCCACTCTGGTCTTTATAAGTTTCTGTCTTCTGCTGTCTTTGGATTTTATTTTCTTCTTTTTTCTGGTTTCATAAGGTGGAAGCTGAGGTCATTAATTTAGGATGACCATTGTTGCCCCTGCTTGCCCAACACAAAAGAGCACTATTATCAAAGAAAATCCTGGCGACAATATTGGAATGTTTTTTTAAAGAAATGCTATATCACCAAAAGTCTTGATTACACATAATTTAATATTATTTGGGAAAAAACATAGACATTGACAACTTTCCATTTTTAAATGATGTAAAATAGATTCTTAGTGTGAAACTTTTTAAGCTATCTTGAGTAACTCATTTTATTTAAAGATGTTTTTGTATACTTATGTGTGACGAATTACAAAATTTATGTCAAGATGGACCTCAAAAACTATTTGCAATACATTTAAAACAAACATCTAGGTAATTTTAAAAAGCAAGGCAGATGGCCATACATAATTGGCATCATTTTTTTCTTGGTGGGACATGAAATCAAGGAAAATCTTATTATTAAAGGCATTTTAGATACAATGAAATATGATATTTCACTGGACAAGACATGTCTTTTGAGTTCTTTTTCCAAAATGTTAGTAGAATCAATAGTATTTGAACATTCTAGCCCCGAACACCTTGTGAAAGAGGACATGTTTTCTCAAGATTAAAAAAAAAAAATCAAGATTAGGATTGGATTGTGGTCTGAGGCTATAAAGCATAGCCAAGTAAATGGCTTAATTAGGATACCCAAACTTGGTCTCCTTTGTATTTTATTAATCAGTGATGAAATCATTGCTTCCCGCATAAAGTTGTACTTTACCAAATTCATTGTTTTCATTTTATTCTTTCCTGGTGACCTTTAAAGCAGGCAGAAGAGGGTAGACCAGAGGACTTAAATAATTGATAAATTGACTCTTTTGCCTCACCAGTAAATCCCTTAAGCATAAAATTTCCCAAAACAAAAAGAAAAAGAGTAAGCAAAGGTGGAAAAAATAGCTAAATGCAATTTCCTAAATAAAATGCCTGACACAGAATGAGATTAAGATAGGTGTTTCTTTTTCATCAAAGTAGTCATCTTCTCATTACTGAATTGGCCTCACAACAATATGCCTCAATGTCTCTTGAGACATCAACTCTGGCATATGATCAGTGGCATGTCAAGGGTGGGTAGGAGTGATGTGCCCTGGGTGCCAGCAATAAGAGATTAGACTGTCTATTTAAAATCTTAAAACAATGATAAAATAAACTAAAAATTGGGCTGCTTTTTTTTTTATCACCATGTACCAGTGATTCTGAACAATGTCTAATAAAATACTTCTCACCAGTAGGATGGGCTACTTCCATACATCACTTCCCCTTGGCTGCCAACTGGATCATCAGATGCAAAAAAGTGAGGTTAGGGTGAGGAAGTATGAGAGAATAAAGAAGGCTTGAAGGAGAAGCTTGTCAATTATTCCAGGTGCCCTACAGCGGCATTAACTGATTCCCAGTATGTAGAACTTCAAATATTCAGAGTTAAGGCTTCATAAAGGAGTTTCCTTCAAAGGCTCCCCTACTTACACACAATACAAGAATGAGAAAATTATTATACCAGGCATTTGTGTAGTTAATGAGTCAAATTAAAAGTGACAATAACACACTTCCTTCTTGTCCTTCTCTATCATAAACCACACCCTAAGGCGGAAGCAGTTCTCACAGATCAGCTTACTCAGCAGCCTGGAGGATTGCTTGACACCTGGATAATAAGGCAAAAACATAAAATGCAAGGTTTTCGAAACTATCCAAATTGAAGTGTAACACGATCATTGGTCAGGAACTAAGAAAAGTAGAATAGGGGTGGTATTTATACATTTCATTTGTGTTCTTCTGGTCACTGATGTTATGTATACAGTAGACAATTAGTGTTGACAAACTATATTTTATAGACTTTATGGGCTAGTTGCATAGGGATTTGTGTGGGCTTTACTGTTTTTAATATATTTTTTAATCCACCCCTCTAGAACCATGTGGGTAGACAGGTGTTAGGGTTAAAAATTCATATGGTATGTGATAGGATTTTGGTGAGGAAATGGAGCAGAAGGGATGGACATTTTAACAGCTTGTGAGGTTTTAGAAGTGAAAAGGGAAGGGGGAGAAGTATTTTGCCTATTGAAAAAAAATCATTGAAATATACAACTTATGCATACTGAGGTATCAAAAAGGTTTAGCTCTAAAGTTACAGAAAAAGTAATAAATCAAAAATATTTTGTAGGACTAAGAGACTATGCAAAATGGGAATTGTTCTCCAGAGAATTTTCTAACTAATTAGCACAGGGACAGATTAATCCTGTTATTAATCAGTAAATCAATGTAGGACAGACAGAGAAAGAGGGAAACAGGCTTCTCTTGTTATTTCATTTCTTAAGAGCCTGTTTGCATTTATTTATTTATTCAACAAGATATAATGTGCTCTTAATATGTGCAAAAAAAAATCCTAGGAATAACTGTGGAGGATACAAAATTTTTTAAAAATATCAGTTCTACCCTCCTTTAATTTATAAGTGGGAAATGATATAAAAATAAAAATTGTTACAGTTTTTGCAATTCTACTACATATCAGGCATTTTTGTAGGAGTTTTACCTGCTTTATTTGTAATGGTGGATTTTTTTTTTTTTTAGAGGGAGTTTTGCTCTTATTGCCCAGGCTGGAGTGCAATGACACCATCTCAGCTCACTGCAACCTCCACCTCCTGGGTTCAAGCGATTTTCCTGCCTCAGCCTCCCAAGTAGCTGGGATTATAGGCACCCTCCACCATGCTCGGCTAATTTTTATATTTTAGTAGAGACGATCTTTCACCATGTTGGCCAGGCTGGTCTCAAACTCCTGACCTCAGGTGATCCACCTGCCTCAGCCACCCAAAATGCTGGGATTACAGGTGTGAGCTACTGTGACTAGCCAAGGGGAATATTTTTAATTTCCATTATACAGAAAATTTAAGCTCAGAAAGTCTTAAAGATCATAGAGCTATTACATAATAGAATCAAGATTTCAACCTAAAAAGATTTGAAACTTTTTTGCACTTTGCTATATTAATAACTGCAAAGGCACATGTGGGAAGCAGAAACATCATGATACAAAATAATTAGAAGTTTAAAGGAAAAGAAGAAATACATTTTCAACCCTCCTCTTCACTCTGAACCCTTGAATTTCTTTCAACATCATTGACATCCATTTTTGTTTTGTCATTTATTCAATAATTTAACAAATATTGATTACCTTCTATACTATTATATTTATCATACTATTATATATTATATGATATATTAAATACATAATTTACTTATAATACTATGTACTATGCTGTATTATATACTATACTAATATATGACTATTGGTGCTGTCCTAGGATTGAGAGGCAGAGATAAGTAAAGCAAAGCCCCTGTCATCATGGAACTTGCATTCTAGTGTGGGAGTTGGACAGGCGATAAACAAATAAACAATATAATGTCAGATAGTGAAATGTGCTATGAAGAAAGATAAAGTAAACCAGAGATAGAAAAAATGGTGCTATTTTAGACCATTTAGAAACAATACCACTCCAGAGAAATGACATTGCAAATGCTGTCCTATAATGAATTGTGCAAATACCTGAAGATGAACACTCTGAGTAGAGGGAAACAGTAAAGTAAAGGCCCTAATGCTGAACACACTTGAAACAAAATTTAAGAAACAGCAAGGAGGCCGTGTTGTATGGCTACAGTAGAAGAAGGGCTGGAAAGAGTGGCAAAGCGTGAGGTCAGAGATGGTGTCAGATCATATATGAACCAGATAATGTAGGTTTGTATGGGTCATGGGATTCTTTAGTTTTATTAAGTGTGATAAGAAGCTGTTACAGAGTTTTGTTATTGTTGTTGCTTTTTCTTAGCATAAGAGGAACCACAATGAATATTGGAGAGCTTTGAGGAAGAAAATAATATCATACCATTTACAACTTTTTAAAATTGCCTTGGTTGCTGCAGGAAGAACAGACCCTAGCAGAAGAAAAATTGAAGGCAAGGAAACCATTTAGAAGACTGTTTTAATTCGGAAGGGAAATAATTACCTTTTCAATACATAGTTCTGGGTCATGTGTATCTATATGGAAAAAAACATGAATATTGACCTCTAATTCATATCATACACAAAACTTAATTTAAGCAGAGTGTGGTGGCTCACACCTGTAATCCTAGCACTTTGGGAGGCTGAGGCAGGAGGCCAGGAATTCGAGATCAGCCTGGGCAATGTAGCAAGACCCCGTCTTTTTTTAAAAAAATTGTTTTTAATTGGCCAGGTGGACATGGTGATATGCACCTGTAGTCCTAGCTACTTGGGAGACGGGGGAGGGAGGATCACTTGAGTCCAGGAGTTCAAGGCTGTAGTGCACTATGATCGCACCACTGCACTCCAGCCTGGATGACAGAGAGAGACGTTTTCTCTTTGAAAAAAAAAATTTAGAAAACAATTTAGCTTGAGAAATCTTATAAGCTCAATATGAAGGCTAAAATATGACCCTTTAGAAGAAAACATAAGAGAATATGTTCAGAACCTTGAGAGAGTAAAAGATTTGTTTAAAAGGACACAAAAGCACTAATCACAAAAGGTTCATAAATTGGACTTTATTATAATTAAGAATAGTTGATTATCAAAAAGAAAAAATTAATACAGTAAAAAGGTAAGTGCTAGACTGGGAGAAGATATGTGAGTTAGATGATAGATAGATGATAGATAGATAGATGATAGATAGAGATAGATAGATCGATCGATCGACAGACAGACAGAGATGATGATAGATAGACAGACAGATAGATAGATAGATAGATAGATAGATAGATAGATAGATAGATAATAAATAGATAGATAGATACTGTATAATCGTATAACTAATTCCAGAAGATAGAAGAAACCTGTACATGTTAACAAGGCAAAAAAAATTTAATGTAATCATGGAAATGATATCCTGTCATCTTTGCCATATTGCACGGGTTGAAAACAAGTCACAGTTGCAACCAACATTCCAAGGGTATTAGGGGCATGAACACCAGGAGGCAAGGATCTTTGAAAACCATCTTAGAGTCTACCACATATCCTACCCCCTGCTTACACAAAAGGAAGCAGACTATACATGCTATTCTCACCTTCTCTTTTTTTTTTTTTTTTTTTTTTTTACTGAACTAGTACTCACTCCATAAGAGAATAGGGAAAACTTTCCTATTCCTTTTTAGAGCTTCATAGTATTCTTTTGTACAGATGCACTATATATTTTTTTCAATCAGAAATTTGGGTTGTTTCCCAGTCTTTTGCTATAGTAAACTGTGCTGCAATGAATTACCTCATGCATACAAAATTTCTTTCTTTCTTTGTTTTACCAGTGTATCTGTGGGATAAATTTTTAGAAGTAATTTCTTCATCACAAGGTTAATGTACATATAATTTTGTATTCCTTACAGTAATGTGTGAAAGTACCTATTGTATTATTGAATATAATATTTCATTTGTAATTTTAATTTATGTTTCTCTTACAGGCAACATCAAGTTTCTTGTCATCAATTTAAGGGCTATTTGCATTTTTCTGAGCTTTCTATTTGTGTCTTTAGTCCATTTTCTCTGTTGTGTGATTGGCCTTCTCAATTTTTTTTTTCTTTATTGAGATGGAGTCTCGCTCTGTCACAGAGGCTGGAGTCACCGAGGCTGGCACGATCTCCGCTCACTGCAATCTCTGCCTTCTGAGTTCAAGCAATTCTCGTGCCTCGGCCTCCCGAGTAACTGGGATTACAGGTGTGTGCCACCATGCCTAGCTAATTTTTTATTTTTATTTTTAGTAGAGATGGCGTTTCACCATGTTGCCCAGGCTGGTCTCAAACTCCTGACCTCAGGTGATCCACCCACCTTGGCCTCCTAAAGTGCTGGGAATACAGGCGTAAGCCACCATGCCCAGCCTGGCCGTCTCAATTTTTATAAGCTTTTTAAAATATTGGAATAATTAATTGCCCCTGTTTATGGTATAAGATTAAAATATTTATGCCTTTTTATGCTTAGGTTTTTGCTCAGTGTGCATCCTTGTCTTTTTCCTGACCTTAACAAAAGCAAACATCTCTAATATTTACTCATTAAGAAAGACCCATTAGCTCTCTTGGGCTAAGCTTTGTAAGTGTATATAAATGTTTATAAATTTAGATATATAATCAGGTTAAGGCAGTAACTATCAATTTATATCGATTTTATACTTGTTTTATTAAAAGAATTCTTTTCCTATTCTTTTTTAGAGCTTCATAGTATTCTTTTGTATGGATGCACGATATAAAAATCTGACATAAATTACACCAAAGTGAAAACTACAGAGTATTAATGCCAAATTTATAAATTGAATATTAGCAGAACGATTCCAAGAGCACTTAAAAATGCATCATGATCAAGTGGTGTTTATTTCAGGAGTGCAAGTGTAGTTTAATAATTGGAAGACCCATAATATACTTAAAAATAGAGCTAAAGAGGAGAAAAATCACTGGACAACAAAGCATTTGACATAACTCAATAATTATTCATATTAATAATATACAAAAATATACACCTTTCGCTGAGAAGAAGCCTAGGGGCGGGAGATATAGTCCTGTTCTTTCCTGTTGATCTAAAGAACAGGCAAAGAGTAAAGCCAATGGCAAGAAGATTTGGAAAATGGGCAGAGTTCTACAGCAAGTTACTAACAAACAAACTGCAAAGGGAGGCAAGGGTGAGGGTTTTGATGGTAGCCTATAGTCAAGTACCAGGATGAGATAAGAGCACCAAAAGTCGTGGAGAGCTGAAAGAGTAAAAAAGAAACTCAATCAAGTAGTAGTTGATTAGAATTGTAAGGGCTTTGTATTGCTGAAAAAGAAAACAGAAAGTCTATTTCTGGCAAACAGAGACTTGTCATTACTATTCTCTAGGCCCAGGCAATTCATCCTCTACCTTTTGCCCCATCCCCAACAAACCCAAACCTACAGAGAGTAGGAGACTAAAGCATTGCAGCTTCTGGAAGGGAAATCCCTCTCCATCTACTTCAGTTGTGGCCACAAAAGGCACTAAACTAGGCAGAGACTTTTATTGGACTCACCAAGAAACCATTTCTCCAGGCAAGGCAAAGATTTCTTGTTCTTCTTGCTCAAGAGACTCTTAGAGACATGTAAATTTGGAATTTATGTATTGTCGAGTCATGTGGAGGCACATCTGGACTCAACCTTATGAGAGACATCTGGAATTGGGGATAGATGCAGTAGCTAGAAATGACAATATGTGTCTCGCACTGGGGAGGGACGAATGCATTTCGTATAGCAACTAGGATGGTTCTTAAAGTCATTAATCAGAAAAAGCACACATGTGCATTTATATGTGTGTTCCCACACAAAGATGCTTAGGAAACCACTTATCCATCTAGGTAAGAGCTAGCTGTTATCTCTTTCTGAAAAATTCCTCTTTTCTAATGGAGAATCCATCATGTATTATTCAGATAGGGACTATCTCACCTCTTCATAGTCTTTATTCTGGGTACTGGGGATACAACAGTGAACAGAATAAACCAAATCCATGGCCTCTAGTAGCTCTCATTCTTGTCATTACAGAAATACTATTTAAAAAACTAATACATATAAAATATGTCCAGGCAGAGCACCTGTAATCCCAGAGTTTTGGGAGGCCAAGGTGGGAGGATTGCCTGAGGCCAGGAGTTGGAGTATAGAGTGGACCACATAATGGGACCCCATTTCTATAAAAAATTTAAAAATTAGACAGATGTGATGATGCACCCCTGTAATCCAGCCTACTCAGGAGGCTCAGGGGGAGGATGGCTTGAGCCTAGTAGTTTGAGGCTGCAGTGAGCTATGATTGCACCGCTGCATTCCAGCCTGGGTGACAGAGACCGTGTTGCTAAAAAAAATTTTAGAAAAAGGTCAAAAATGATCAATGTGAAAAAATAAAGAAAGAAGTACAAGGGGAAGTGCATTATTTAATTAATCAATTAGTGTTTTCAAAGTAACAGTTGCTGGATTTTAATGCACAATATGCTCAAAAATTTTGAAATGCACAGAAAATAGCAATCAGTTCTGAGCATTTTTTTAATTTGTTTTCTTTCTCTTTTTAAAAAAACATTTAAATTTTCTCTTATATCTAAAGCTGTATCTAGAAAATGCTGAAAAATTTCTGAAGCTGATTTAATATAAGCACTAAAATATGCCATTTATTTCATTTATAAGGTATTGATGAGATCTGCAAATATTTCAAAACTCACTTTTCTCTGTGTAGAGCTGTCAAAGCAAAATCAGTGACTTTTAAATATCTTAAATTTATCTCTGCAGAGTATTGGGACTTTTTCAGAAATATATCATTCATGAGTAATTCTTTGGCTTCAAATCCTGTGCAGAGGAAACAATAGAAGGAAAGGTTTGCAGTGTAATCATTTCTAAAGAACATATTTTAAACCATATTAACAGTAATTCATGAAGCTTTAAGAAGAAAAAAAGAATGTGTGTCATCAGCTTAGCCATAGCAAATAAGAAAACTCATGCATTAAACATTGCAAACAGAAGTAATACGGCTTTAGTTCAATCTGTAATTTGTGAGCTATCACAGAGATTCTGGCCTGGCACCACTCACAAATGTTCGCTGAATGTCATTGAAAAGGTTTGAGAGGACTCTCCAAGGCCCAATTAAAGGAATGGAGAACTAGGGAAGATTGTTCACCACTAAGAAAAAGCAAGAAGAATGGCACAAGATGAATGTGGCTTTCCAGTTTTATTATTTTGTCTGTAAATAGGGAAACAGGAGCTAAAAATAAATAATATTAAACGTTTCATTCATTATTTGTTCCTCATCATTTAGAAGGAGTTTTCGTACAGTTTTGATTACCCCTGTTCTCCTAAAGTCTGGTAGTCCTCCACTCCCAAATACCAAACTGAGTCATTGACTGCATTATCATTACCCCTTTATCCTGTTTCAATGTATATATGTATATATACATATACATATTCATACAAACACAGATATATTTCCAACTTGTATAATTTCATTTAATTAACAAGTAGTGTGTGACTCAAAAAATAGAAATCAAAGATTCGTATTCAACTATACAAGCCAAAAGTTGTTTAAGATATTCTTTATCAACTTAAACTCATTACCAACCACCCATTTTCATGTTTCATGTATGATATGTTATACATGTATCATTAACATATATAATGTCCCTTCTAAAGTTGTTCAGGGTGTGTAATAGACACTCAAATATCAATTCACTAATTAGTTAACTAATTGACTAGTGGGACTGGTTGGACTAAGTGTATTTAATAAATCCTTTGCAAAAAAAATCTTTTCTTATTTCCACAGGTATTGTTTATCCAAAGTTAATTGATATTTGATATTTTCAGAGATTTAAGAGGAAAGCTACTGACTAGATTCATTACACATAAGGTTTCCATTTACATAATTAGTTTTTGTAAGTCTGGGCTATGGATGGAGGAGAAACCACAAAAGGAAGATGAACAGAATGGAGGAGAAAATGGGTTCTCTCCCTTAGCCTATGGATTTTAATCTTCTCAAAGGTAAGGACCTTCTTTCCGTATTCTTCTATATGCTACACAATGCCCAATGATAAATAATAAATCTTCATTTATAACTTGTTATACTATTAAAAGGCAGAAATCTAGAGAAAACTTAAATTCCTTAAAGTCATTCTGTCCTGAAGAACTCGCTACTTTGTTTTCTCTTCTATGTCTTTTTCACTTTGGGGTAGTTTTAGTCCTTTTTCAGGCTTAATCTCTGAAATAAACCACAACCATTTCTGTTCTCAAAAAAGGAAGGGTGAGCAGCCTTGCAGAAGGGAGAAGTCCACTGCCAGGTCCAGTTAGAATAACTGGGTTGAATGAGGCAGCGGAGTGGTGAATTCAAAGAGTCCTGGATTGAGAGTAACTAGGCACGCCCTATAAAACAATTTGCCTTTCCTCTCTGAGATGGAGTTTCTTCATTAGTAAAATTAAGGGACTGAATCATGTGTTCCATTCTAGCTCTAATATTCAGTAATTTTTTATAATTTCTCTAAGTCATATACTTCACAATCATTCATAATTAGCATAGATACATTTCACACTGACATGTCTAATGTCAAAGTGAATAACCATTTTCTACTGATTTTCTTTACTTTGTTATGACCAACTGATATGTAAAAACTAAGTTTCACTCAGTTGAGTATACGTCATAAACAAGCCTTGTAGTACTACTGTAGACGGTATCACAATGTTTTTTTCATTATGAGCTAACAGGTCCTTTAAACCCAGTAGACTTATGAGCTCCTCCAGGGCAAGTACTGTGTCTCAGTCATTTTTTATCCTCAGTGCATGATTTTAGCATGAAAACATTAAACATTTTTAATAATTAGCCTAAGTAGCTAGAGAAAAGCACGCAGAAGAGCAGCAAGCTGACCAATTTCACTTCCTATGCATGACCACGAACCTCAAGACAGCCCTCAGTGCTCCTGGCAATCAAACTGTATTTCCCTGGTTCACTCAGTGCACACTCATAGATGTCTACTTCAGACTTCATTTTCTATTCTAAATCCTCAACACCTCCTATTTTCTTCTAAAAAGAGTATCCATCAGCTCCCATGTACATTTCTATCAGGATTTTATATGTCTTCCTCCCTCTACAAAGGATGAGCAGCCTGTGCTCCTGGGCAAGTCAACCCATTCATTTGTACAATAAATCCCAACCACTTACCCCAACACAAGAACAATTATTCATTCAGCAATTCTCCTTACTCTCTCCTGAACCACTATGTTCTCTCTATATATCTTTTACATCAGTGTACACTCATGTGATTATTTCTCTCATCTTAAAAACAAAACTCTCTTTTGACCCAACTTCTGCCTCTAACTGCTGCTCTATTTCACTTCTTGAATCCTCTCCAATCATACCTCCCATTTTCCACCAAATCTGCCCTTGTCAAATTTGCCAACGACCTCCACCTGCTAAGTTATGACTGTGAATTCTCAGTCCTCATCCTTCCTGATCTGTCAGCAGCATGTGACTTGCTTCATTATTTCTTCTCCCTTAAAATGTTTTCTTCACTTGTCTTCCAAGGCACCACACTCTGCTGCTTCTCCGCCAGCATCGCCTCCCTGCTTCTCTTCCTCCTTTGTGGATTCCTCCTCATCAGCCCAGCTTCTCAAAAGTGATGGCCTCTAGAGCTCAGGCTCTGGACTTTTCTTCTTCTATCTCTCTATGTTGTTTGACCCAGGTCCATGGAGTTTTAAAACATCCACATGCCAGTAATTTCAAAATTTATACTAAATTTGTATCTTGAGGCCCAACCTACCACCTAGTATCCAAATTGATATATTCAATTACCTATTAACATCACTACCTGGAAGTCTAATAGCCTTCTTAAACTAAACCCATCCCCAAATCAAAGTCATAAACTTCTTTCTCAATCTTTTTTCTAGACAGGTCTCACTCTGTCACTCAGGCAGGAGTAGAGTGGCAGGATCATAGCTCACTGCAGGCTTGATCTCCTGGGGCTCAATCAATTTCTCTCACCTCAATCTCTTGAACGGTTGGGACCACAGGTGCACACCACCACACCCACCTGATTTTTAAAAACTATTTTTGTAGAGACAGGGTCTTGCTATGTTACTCAGGCTGGTCTTAACTCCTGGGCTCAAGCAATCCTCCCACTTTAGCCTCCCAAAGTGCTGGTGAGCCACAGGCGCCTGGCTGTTTTTTCCTAATAAATAGGTATAACTCCATAATTTCAGTTGCTCAAGCCAATAAGTTGAGTCATTCTTGATTTCTCTTTTTTTTCACATTCGAATATGTAATCAAATTATATCAGATAAATCTCTAAAAATATATCATGAATACAACTTTTGCCACCTTCACCCTCACCACTCTGGCCCAGTATGTCATTGTTTCTCACTTGAATTATTGCAATAGCCTCCTAACTTCTTTTGCCCTTGCTTACCTCCAGAAAATTCCCAGCATAGCAGCCAAAATGATCCCATAATGTCAAATTTGGTCAAAATATTGCAATCTTGGCTGGGCACAGTGGCTCAGGCCTATAATCCCAGTACTTTGGGAGGCCAAGGCAGGCTGATCACCTGAGGTGGGAGGTTTGAGACCAGCCTGACCAACACGGAGAAACCCCATCTCAACTAAAAATACAAAATTATCCAGCTGTGGTGGTGCATGCCTGTAATTCCAGCTGCCCAGGAGGCTGAGGCAGGAGAATTGTTTTAACCTGGGAGGAGGAGGTTGCAGTTAGCTGAGATCATGCCATTGCACTCCAGCCTGGGCAACAAGAGCAAAACTCTGTCTCAAAAAATAAAATAATAAAAAAAGAAAAATCTTGCAATCTTTTCTCAACTCAAAGTAAAGGCACACACACCAAAAAAAGCCTCATCAAAATTATCAGGCCTCTTGTGTCTCTGGCCTACTACATTTGTCCTGGGTATCTTCTTCCCAGCCACAGTGCCCCCCACTCCTTGCTGTCACTTAAACACTCTAGGTACATTCTTATTCAGGTCTTTGCACTTGCTATTTCCTCTGCCTACAATATTCGTCTCCCAGGAGGCTTGCTCTCTCACTTCCTTTAGGTCTTTACTCAAATGTCAACTCAATGAGATCTTCTCTGTCCTCCCTACATAAAATTTCAACTCCTCCCTGTCAATCCCCCACAGTCTCTATCCCCTTTTCTGCCATATTCTGGAACATAGTAAGATCTTGATAAGCATTTGTTTAATGAATAAAAACTAAAGAAAAGGGAATAGCAATAAAACAAAGTCTATATTAGACATAATATTTTAAAAATGAAATCTATTTTTAAATGTCTCCCAGAAATTCATGAAGCACTCTCTAAGATTTCTTAAAAGTCTTTAATTAATAGACAAGAGTTATTTATAAGTGGCATATAAATCTTTTGGAAACAATCAGATGCTATTAAAGTATTTAAAAGAGTTTGAAAGAATTCTTCTTGAGAATGAGAAATATTAACAGATGAATTTTATAGAATTATTGATTATTTATCTTCGCTGCAGACTTAAACTGGAATTCATTCTTTTCTCTGAGACTACCCAGACAAAGCATTTTATATTTAATTTGAATTTGATCTTTAATAGTTAAAGAAAATAAAATTAAGTAACATACCAAAACTTATATAATCCACCTAATAGATACATAGTAGGGACATAGTAAAATGAAGGTTCTTTCTTCTGGTTTACTGTTGTTATTATTATTTTATAAAGTATTTTTATAATTTACTGTCTAAACTACATGTCTCATAATCACAGTGTTTCTATAAGCAATTTAAAATATTTTTCCAATTATATAACTTTTGCCAGAAAGGGAGCTAGTCACTAAGTAGAATAAAACTTAAGACTTTTCTTACTGTTTCTTAGGGAAAATTTGCTACTTAGACATTACCTTCATGAGCTATCTAAGGTAGCTGCTATTGTATATATTTAATATTTTAAATATAAGGAGTCCGAAAAGCAAAAGTCATGAACCAAATAATAGTTGAATTTAAATTTTAAATTTTAAACTGAATGCTGGATATTAAAGAGGGAGACATTAGTAACTTGGTTGGTAGCTTTACATCATATAATGTAAGGAAATACAATCATTATTTTTTTTGAGGGGAGATGTTTGGCCACCTTCTGATGATTTCTTAGCCTGGAGGGAAGCTTCTGAATATAAGCCGTCGAAATGACAGTGAAGAACTGAAGTTCAGCAAAGTCTGGAGAGATTTAGGAACAAAGAAAGGTTTTTCAGTTTGTGGGTTTTTTTTTTTTTTTTTTAAGAACTATGAAATTAGTTCCTAATCCAGAGGGTCAGACGCTCCTGGTTTCAAATGAGCTCTCAAACTGCATTTAAGCTCCTCGAAATGAGGGTTGCTGATTGAAATTTGGGGGAAGCAGAAAGTGACTTGCTACTTCTGTTTGTTTTAGTGATTTACCCTTCCTCCTGACATTATATTACTTTCTTTAAAAGATATTGTTGAATCCATTGTTTGGTAGACTGTTTTTCATTCACCCATCAAAGCACCCTGCCTCCTTCTTTTCAGAGTATTATCCAGAGTGCATACAGGTAGATAAAAAGAAGGATATAAAGTCAATGGTCATGTGCAGAAATTAGCTTCAGTTAGAAAAATAAGTAGTAGATATCCAGTGGTTTTGACTTTTTACTCTTTGAAAGTCTCCCTGGAGAGAAGAGAAAGGGAGAAAAATGTCCCTCTAGTTCCTACAGAGTTTTCCTCTCTAGTTAGTCGTAAACCTGAGTGACAGAGAAAAGATGAAGGCCTCTGCTGCTGCTAGGAAAAGAAATCAGTATAAGAATATTTTACATAACCTTGCACAAAAACCATCATTATATGTGCATAACCTTTAGCTCCACCCAAAACCAATCCTCAATTAAAGTAACAACAATACTAAGAGTCATGCTGAGAATCATTTATCCAGCCTCTGAAGTATTCCTCCTTCTTCATAGGAAATATATAATTTCTTCTTTTTCTTTTAATTATATACCTGTGCATTTATGTTGGTGGATATGGTAAAAGCTTTGAATTGGTGCACCAGTCTCTATCGCCTGACAAAGTGCCATAGAATGGCTGCCACATCCCCTGTATATTTATTTAAGGCTGTAAGTCTTTCTTCAAAATATAAACTATAAAAATATAAACGTTGTATTTGCCATTAGGATGGCTGTGAATTTATTTTTCTTTCTTGTTAAGTGGGTTCAATTTGCACTTATGACAAACCAGCAAAGGGGGTGAAAACAAAATCTATTGAGATTGATGATATTATCATCGCATGGCTGGTTTTAAGCCTTGAAACCCCATATCACAGACTTCTGAAAACTTGACCCAAAGGAATCTATAGTAGTAATCCAGTTGACACATAACAAAAGCCAAGTGTGAATATGGGCATGCATGTGTATATGTGCGGGTGTACCTGCTTGTGTGTGTGTGTGTGTGTGTTTGTCTATCTTGCTATTTTCTATTTGTAGACATTGGAAGGCTTACTTCTTCACTACACAGGCTATCCAAGGAATTTCCACTGAAGCAGCAGGAAGTCAGATAAATCATAATTAATTAATTCTATATTGAACCAAATCCCAGCCCCAACTCCAATATACTTGTTAGACTCTGCTTTAGATTGCATATAATTGCTTGTAATTGACCTAAATAAATATGAATCTCCCCTGATTCTGGTCACGAATTTTATTTGTTCTTTCTTGTTTATGTCATGACTGAAAGATCATAGCCAAAAAGAAACAGGACACACTTTTTACTTTTACTCTGAAAGTCACCACCAAAACCAACAGCATTGCCACCACCACCCTCACCATGACCAAAAACACCACAACCACAACCACATCACCACCACCGTCATTACCACCACTACCACATCACCACCACCACCTCCAGCACAACTACCACCATCATTATCACCATCACCATCACCACCATTATCCCTTCATCAGCACACCAACACCATCACCACCAACACTACCACTCCCACCTCCTCTACCATCACCACTATCACCCCCACCTCCAGAACCACACTACTAGCACCTAACATGCACCCTGGTTGCAATCCTTATGTTACATAGTACTTACCAGTGGTGTTTTCAAAGTAGGTATAATATATGCAGCTGCTCTCTCAGTATTTGCATTGTGAAGCCAGCAAAACCTTGTTGCAACCTCAGCATCCTTATCAGAGAGAGAACCTCAAATGTAACTTCGTATAATTTTTTGATAAACTTTTTAAGGAAAAGTAAAGTATCATTGGTGAAATATGACTTAACTGCTGCCCTTTTAGAAGGTCAGCTTTCCCTATAGAGCCTGTACATCTCAGAAGATAGTAAGGGCCAAGTCCTGCAGGTTCAGAATAATCTTGAAGATCTTCCAGAAAAATAGATTGAAACAAAAGTGAAAATAGTACTTCACTCTGGTTCAAAACAAGGACTACTCCCTGAGGAAAGAGTTTGGAGGAAATTAAACAGATTATAACTAAAGTAACTAGTAAGTTAGAGGATTTTTAGATTTAAATGTGAGAAGTATTAAGTTTTGTAATTTATATAAAAGCCATGAATAAGATCAATTAGATTTTTTCACCAAATCCCTAAATTTTACATGCAGGACCAAAACCATGAAATTCAAAGAAGATATTTTTAGGATAAATAAATCACCTTTGTGAGTGGAAAATTTATGATATGGACTACACCAAGTAGTAACATAAACTAGAGATACAAGTAAAATAGATCAAAATCATAAATCTAGATAATGGGAATCTGGTTATGAGGGATTTTTTAAGCACAATAAAATAAAGACAATGATGTTTTCACATAAAATACTACTTGCCTTACTCTCAGTGTTTTAACATTGGGATCAATGGACCATTTTTCTCACCCAGAGAATAATGGCAATCTATTCATTGCCATTATTTCAAGAGCATGGCCTCTTGGGCCCACTTGCCTCTGTTCAAATCCTGGATCCATGACTAATCAGGTAAGTGATTGCTCAGGTCACTTAACTTCTGTTAGGGTTTTCTTAGCTCTAGAATAGTAAGTAATAACTCAGCCTACCTCTCAGGGTTTTTGTGAAGATTCAATAAGATACTCCATGTAAAGCATTTAGCCCAGTGCAGGATATATAGTAATTGCTCAATTGATTTTAAGTTTCCTCTATAATAACATAAAATAAGCAATTTAAAATTTACTATCAAGTTAAATAAAGAAATAGACCCAGCATCCTCTTAAAGATTCAATTAGACCCTGAAAATTCTTTCTTCTTGTCTTCATGTATCTATCATAAAATGTTAGATCAATAACTTTACTACTGTGTATAATCAGCTAATGCTACAAAATGATGAATTACAAATAACTTCATAGTCTTGGTGGTTTACATTGTTAAATACTTATTTTTCTCACTCACTGGGGTGGGGTTGAAGTTTCGGTAGTCTCAACCAGACTCAGGTGGGCTTGGCCCAGGTCAAGGTCTGGGTTAGACCTGCTCCATGAGTTTTAATCCCCACCAGGGACATATAACAAGGCAAATATGAAAGCATATTTTAGGGCCCTATAACATTTCATGAGCCAAACCAAGTCACATTGCCAAGACCAACATTAAATGGGTCAGAAAAGTACAGTCTACCCTCAGTGCAAGGAGGGGGAGCAAATATACATTGAACAACTCTCCTAATGATCACTCCAGTTGATACCAAAGGTGAGCAGAATTTTATAAGAAAGAAGGGTGTGGGGAAGGACTCTCACTGTAAACAAGATAGCTAGAAATTGTACTCATGATTCATGCTTCACTTCAAAATAAAGAGTCAAATTTGACAAATACACAGGGGAAAATATAATGGAAGCATCAGACTATGTCCAAAAAGATCCAATAGACTCCATCATCTGGAGCTTCCAAAAGGATAGTGGCATGATCTCAAAAGTGCACATTGCATTGGCAACACAAAAATACACATTGTTACTCACTCGAGGAACATGCTCCATTCAACAGTGTTCTTATGTCTTTAAATTAGTATTTATTAAAGCAAGGATATATGCTGTTCAAATAAATTTAACAGAACCTGTA
The DNA here is from genome assembly GCF_000001405.40 of Homo sapiens. NCBI lineage: Eukaryota > Metazoa > Chordata > Mammalia > Primates > Hominidae > Homo > Homo sapiens. The sequence continues at coordinate 50,688,765 of NC_000006.12, forward strand.
GAAGCATGGCACGACCTAATTTATGCTGACTGTAAAATACCATTCTAGAGTTTGTATGTCAATAGCAACACATTTCTTAGTCCCCTCTCACTGAAAAATATTGGATAAAAGCAAAAGCCTGAAGGAGGTAAAAAGATACAAGCATCATATGTCCAGAATCAAATGTATTGTGAGATCCCTGGCCAATGATATTGGTTACTTTGTAAATGAATTGGAAGTCCTAATTCTGCTTTAACTTAGAAATATGATTATCCTACAGCTTGTAAGAAATCAACTTTAATCCTCTTTTAAATGTCATTCTACAAGTTCTCTGCTGTACAGGGGATGCAAATGAATTTTTCTTATCAAATCTTTTCTAATTCACTTTCCTTCCACAGGACATTCTCAGAAATAATTTAAGACTGAACTCAGGAACTTGCTCCAATATTGAATAACATATGTTTGAAGCATATTGTCTCTCCAACTAGCAAATTATTTCCGAATCACTGTTCAAAGCAGAGACCCTTACTCCTCCACACAAAAATTAAACATGAAATATTTCTGGCATATTATGTCCACATCTAAGCTGTGCTGTATATATTTTAGTGTCAGCTCAAAATAAAACTTTTAAACTCCAGCATTGTCTACCCTATTCAAAAGAAACCCAACTTTCTTATTACGTAATCATAGCCAAGTTTTCAAGAGGTTGGGAGATATAACTAAAAACGCACCTTCTCCAGTTAGAGAAAAATAGTACTAGTACTTGCTCTTCCAGCATACAAAGAGAAAAATAAATATTGAAATGGAGTCCAAGTCCTGTTTAGTCTCAAATCTGTAGGATAATATGAAAAAAACTACATCTTCAAGCATAATTTTGAGTTGGAAAATAAATACAATTTTACTTGTGTGTTGATAATTAGGCCCTTTTAACGGCATAGCTATTAAAAAGTCCCTGTGAGTAACATGTAATATATAATCTGTATGACCTAAAACTGAACGTATACACTTGGTTGAACCCTTGATACAGAAATTTAAAATGAAATTTATGAGGCTTCATTAACCATATGTGACCCTTCTAAGAAAGTCTTGGGATGCATGAGTTCTATTTCTTTGTCTGCTTCAGTGTAGACAGTTATATAAGTGGCTTTTCATTTGTGTGTTTGTTTGTTTTGTTTTGTTTGAGACAGACTCTCACTCTGTTTCCCAGTCTGGAGTGTGGTGGCATAATCTTGGACCTCTGTCTCCCAGGTTCAAGAGATTCTCATGCCTCGTCCTCCTGAGGAGTTGGGATTACAAGGCCCCTGCCACCATACTGGCTAAATTTTTTTGTTTTTGGTAGAGACAGGTTTTCACCATGTTGGCCAGGCTGGTCTTGAACTCCTGTCATCAAGTGATCTGCCCGCCTCAGCCTCCCAAAATGCTGGGATTACAGGCAAGATTACTTGCCCAGCTTACGTAAGTGTTAAATGATTCCATTTACTCTACACCAGCATTACCTCTTTGGGTTTTTGAAGAAGTTATTATACCAGAGACAGATCAATGTTACATTTAGAGCTAGAAGAACATCAGTCAGTAATTGTTACTGTCTTTTTCTCCTAAGATACAGGTTTTTTTTTTTATTTTGTATCTCTGTGTGTGTGTGTGTATCATCTGGACACATTGTATATATACATACACATTCTTAGGATGTAGATGCAAAATGGCAGTTCTCATCTAAGAGTAACATGTGTGACTCCCAGTATTTTAATCCCATCCCTATTTTTAGGAATTCCTCACTTTGTAAGGCCTTATAAGAGGAAGAACCTGTCCCACCCTGGACAACATGGTGAAATGCTGTCTCTACTAAAAATACAAAAATTAGCCAGGTGTTGTGGCATGCACCTCTAGCCCCAGGTACTTGGGAGCCTGAGGCACGAGAATAGCTTGAACCAGGGAGGCGGAGGTTGCAGTGAGCTGAGATCAGGCCACTGCACTCCAGCCTAAGTGACAGAGCGAGACTCCATCTCAAAAAAAGAAAAAAGAAAAAAGAAGGAACCTGTCTTCCATGAGGAAAAAAGGCTAAAAAACTAGATACTGATTCTTTTGCCCTTCATTAAACCTCAAAATAGCAAATAAACTAGGCTTGGCCGATCAGAAATAGCTTCCCCAGGTTTGATTCCAGGAGCTAGTAGAATAGAAAGCAGGGATGTTGGAGGATCCATGCTGGAGGCAGTGGCAGTGGTTCAGGATAGTATCCAGTGTTCAACAAGCAATGACAATCTTGTCCTCACCCAAATAATTGTAAGGCATGATTTATCCCTGAGATTCACACTTCTTGGGACCTTTACGCTGCCTGTTTTACAAAACAATTTCTGACAATTAAATAAACCATTTGAAATCTTTTAAATAACCTTCCTTTCTGCAAAATCACTTAAAATCCGTTTGGGTTGCTTGTAGCAAGAAATCTTGACTAAATACACTAGGGCTTTGCAGAAAAGATATCAAGGTATGAAGTATGCTAGCTGTGGTATGTGGCAATCTTTGAGGCAACCATGACATGTAACCAACCTCCTCGTCAGAATTACCTAAATTAAATAGTAGTAGCTGCTTACCTTAAAATTAAATTATTAGGTTGGTGCAAAACTAATTGTGGGATTTGTCATTACATTTAATATTTAGCAACAACTGTAGATTTTAAGTAAAGTTAACAGACTTAAAATACATTCCTAAAATTATATTCTTTGACTACCCACACAGGTGGTTTCTACACCACTCTCACCTCTTAAATATACTGCAAACATCTTATGCTAATTATTTTCATTAGCTTCTTAAAAAAAAAAATCATTCTATACCTTCCTGTGCCTTTTTTGGTTCCCTAGTAGGCTTGACTGCAGCTTGCATAATTTGAGCTCCCTGACCATTTTATTTATCTAATTGGATTTTTCAGTTGCTGGCAATAATGGCACAATGTCTTTGGCAGCAGTTGTGCCCCGCCTTGACCACAGCTCCTGCTGAATATGTGTAGCTCCTGTAGGGTATGAAAGAGCAACAAGATAACAAGAACCTGGAGGGCTGAGTGTTGTCTGGGTGTTGTCTTCATCCGTTTGGTTGAAGCTGGGTGATGTCCACCAAAGGAATGAGGAAGGCAATACATGGAAAGTGCATAATTTCCTTTTAAGTGAAGAATGTAGAAGTTACACACATCAATTCAACTCACATTCAATTGGAAAGAATTTAATCGTATGGCCACGCCTAGCTGCCAGAGAGGCTGAGAAATGAGGTCTCCAGCTGGATAGCCATATGTAACATCAACATAACTATGGGATAAGGGAGAATGCATATGAGGGAACAACTACTCATCTTATACAAAAGCTGTCATGAGGATTCAAAAAGCATATGAAGAGTGCCTTGTCCTTAATAAACAGCACATAAATGTTGGTTTCCTCTCTCTGCATACTTTCCTACCCAATAAGCTCAGAGAGCATTCCTGCCATGGAAAGTTATTACACGCAGTTCTCTCTGTATGGCACAAAACTCCCATTATTGTTTCCTAATTGAGTTTAATGTGTGCCACTAAATCACTGAGAGCCATCTGCTCCATCACTCCTTTTACATTTACCCAAAGTCTATGTGCAAGTACCAACACAGCATGGTTAGAGTTTATTTCTTGCTTTCATTATGTTTAGAACTAATTTTCAGTAACTTAGTAGAAAAATTAAAAAATAGAGTGCTTATATTCAAGTTGTAAGACATTCTGCTAGCTTGGCTGTAGCTTGAGAGTTATAGTGAAAACCCAGTTTAAAAAAATTGATTTTATGTTTTAGAGCAGTTTGAGGTTTACAGAAAAATAGCAGTGTGGTGTATTTGTTACAATTGATGGATGAATACTGATTCAACATTATTATTATTAATAGAAATCCATAGTTTACATGAGGCTCACACTTTGTGTTATACAGTTCCATGGGTTGTGACAAATGCATAGTGTCATATAGCCGGCATTATAGTATCATACAGAACAGTTCCACTGTCCTAAAAAGGCCCTGATCTCCACCTATTCATAGCTCCCCCTTTTCTGTGAATCACTGGTAACCACCAATCTTTTTAAACACTTAACAAGTTGCCCCTATTCCATCAGACATAAGTTCCTATGGTTTTGACTTTTCCAGAATATCATATAGTTGGAATCATACAGTATGTAGCCTTTTCAGAGTGGCTTTTTTCGCTTAGCAATATGCATTTTTAAATATCGAACTATTTTATATTTTAGGTGTTTTATTATTTGCTTTTTAATTGACAAATTAAAATTCTATCTATTTATGGTGTCCAATATGATGTTTTAAAATATGTATACATTGTGGAATGGCTAAATTGAGCTAATTAGCATATGCATTGCCTCACATATTTATTTGGGGTGAGAACCCTTTAAAACTATTTTCTTAGCAATTTTCTAGTATGCAATATGTTGTTATTATCTAAGTTACTATGTTGTATAATATGGTGACTATAGCATTCCCCCTTGAAAGCATTCCTCCTATTTAACTAAAATGTTGTATCCTTTGGTAAATATCACCCCAGTCCATCACCTCAGTCCCCTCCATCCCCTAGTCCTTAATCACCACTATTCTACTCCCTGCCTCTATGAATTCAACTTTTTTAGATTCCACACATAAAGGAGATCATGAGGTGTTTCTCTTTCTGTGCCAAACTTATTGCATTTAATGTAGTATCTTCCAGGTTCATCCATGTGGTTGTAGATGACAGAATTTTCTTCTTTCTTAAGGCTGAATAGTATTTCATTATGTGCATATCACATTTTTTTATCCATTCATTCACTGATGGACACTTAGACGCTATAATGAACATGGGAACATTCATTATAGCATTATTCACAAAACCATGGTTTCCTGTGTTCAGGATAAGTTTACCTTGAAAAACTTCTTAAAAGTTAATTTTTAAAAAGCAATAAGTAATAATGGAAAGGTAGTATATAGGTGTCAAAGTGCCAAGTGTTAAAGTTCACTCATACAAGACAAACTTCAGCAATAACCAACCCCTTATTTACTTACTGTAATGATGTAAGCAAGAGACAGAAATAGGCACCAGTTCTCTAATGTTCTATATGTCCCCATACAACAGCACCAAGAGAGGATCAGATAACATGCAGCACAGGTGGGAAGGATTCTCTCACTCTCTAGGAAGCCAAACCTCTAGGAAGAGGTTCTGAGTTCTTCTGGAGTTCTTCCTGGAGGAAGTAGCAGTGCAAGTTCTTGACTGCAACTCCCTCCAAAAGAATACAGTACACTGGCTGTGCAACAAACCTAGTGTGGGGAGAATAACTGTCCCTCATAAAGCCTGACATGCAAGCCCTTTGTCATTGCCTGTAGTAGAGCCTGAAAGATCACACATGGTTTTTTGTGTGTATCCTTTGCTTAAAATGTAATGTAATATGTCTATCCTTTGCTTAAAATCTTTAGTTGATCTCAAAGTCTCCAAGATTAACTGTGAACGTCTTTACTTGACACATTCTCAGTCTAGTTTCAACAAAGACACTTGTACTTCACTTGTGCAAAAACATTCTCCATGATAGTCCTGTTAAACTACTAGGTTTCACCAAATATACTATACAACTTTCTATCTATTCTAAGGCTTTTCCGATGTGCTTTTCTTAGCATAGAGTGTAATTCATCTAGTTTCTAGTTCATACTTTCCTTGTAATCATTAAATATCTAATTCAAATATTACCTCTTCAGGGAAGATTTCTCTGGAATCCAAGAGATCGATAGCTCCACACTTCAATTTCAGAGGTAATCTACAAATCTCTGTTCTATTACAATTTCACTCTAACGTTTTGGAAGCCATCAAGCCAAGTCAATAAGTCTAATTATGGCCAAATATTCTGTGATCTGTATTTCTCCAATATCCATTCTCCTCTCTTTTATAGTAATAGAAGTTTAGTTGGTCTCACTGTTTCTCCAAATAAGACTACATTTCCCAACTTCCACTGAAGGTAGATGTACCCATTGACCATGTTTTGAATAAAAATACTGTTTGCATTTTCCTGATAGTGCCTTTAAAATGTGGAATAGGGCCATTTCTTGCTCTTTCACTTTTCCGTGGGCTAAATGGTAGATATGATAGAAGTGAAGCATTCATTTAAGGCCAGATGAATTGTAAAAATGGCAGAGCATGAAAAAGACCCTCTTTTTATGCTAACATAGTTAGCATATTGTCTAGAATGTAGTGTGTGTCAAATCAATAATTACTAAGAACTACATTTCTGTGGACACAGGGCAAATGTTAAAACAATAAGGCAAATATAGATCTATTGATTTCCTAAGGCAAGTGAGAGTGGGACACCATGGCAGTTACCAACATAATTAGCCATTGGGTTGGGTAAAGCCAAAAAGTAGTATTCAGCTTTGTAAGGATAAATATATTTTTTTAATCTTTATCTGGACCAAAGATGAAATAAGGACTACTATAATTGGTAGAGGGCATTTAAGGAAAGGCAGAAATATAAACATACAAAAATAGAAATAAAAGGGAACTGACCACCTAGAACGACTTCAAAATTTTACCTGGAGAATATATATTACAAAATTCTAGCAATTATTAATTGCTCCCTCCAACTGTAAAAGTTTTGGAAATACTATAAGATTTCTTGTGCTAAAAAAAAAAAAAAAAAATCTCCAAAGGTAAGTGTCCCAGCCCATATGGTGGACATTTTTCCAGCTTTAAAAGTCATTCAGGATCTTTTTCACTGCATTCTGTTAGTTAAAAAGAAACATTAAGGTCAGTCTAGGTTCAAGGCTAAAGAACATACACACACACATGCTTCTCGGTGGAAAGAGTATAAAAGATTTTGTGAACAAGTGATAAAACCTTCACTTGATAAGTTGTTATATTTGTAGACTAAGGTCCTAAAGTTTTTATATGTGTATTCTGGGCCTGAGTTACTGAACATAACACATTATTTCTAATACTATAAATCAAACATTATTTAAGCAAAGCTATTACACAGCACATAGTATATATTTTTTAATTATAATGGCATCCTTTACCCTAAGTCTTCTTTTCAAAGTTTGTAAATATATTTCAAATGTAACAGACAGAATATATTAGCAAAAACATGTTTGTCATAGCAGAAACTTCCTCAAAATAGTTTTTCAAAATACAAATTAGATGTAAATGTTATGTATATTTATAGACAACAGATGATATTAGAAAGCCTTGTAGATATGTTTCCCAAAACTTTCCTACCCTACAATCACCATTAGAAATTATGTATTTTTTACAAAGCTGCATCTTTAGCCTAAAAGCTCATACGGGCGGTTCTATGGCTTACTAATTTTAATTGTCATTATTTCAATTAGGAGTCATTCATCCCAATTTATTCTGGATCAAGTCTAATTTCTGAGTCTGCAGTAGTCGGTTAGACTATTGCTTTAAAAGAAGCTCAATTTATTGTTCAGTGGCAGGAATATTATTCTTATTTGGGGAAGTCTAAATTGTACAGCTGGCCTGAAAATGATCACATACAAACAAAATCTACCAAACTTGACTCTAGCCTCATGCTTTCAGTTTGATATGCTATGACCTGCACTTCTGCCCTAATGTGTCTCTCTTATCTAGTTATCATCCAAGCAGTCTCGTGGGAATTTCAGGTTTATGCTTTGAATGTGAGTATCATTTCCTTTCTTAGAACAAAAAAAGAGAGTTTCCCAGAAAGAAAAAGGCTTTATATAAAGGACAAAATGATAGGTATATTCTAATATTAAAGTGGGAAGAAATAAAATCTATAGAAGAAAAGCTAGATGTTGAAAATGTGAATAAATTATTATAATTCTGTTACTTTGATTTTCAATACCACATGTCAATGACTAGGTTATGACCATGCTTCTTTACAATGTCCCTCTTCACCACATCCCAGAAAACTCAACCTACACCACTGTCTGCTCCACTTTATGAAGTCACATTTTGATACCAGAGTTTGCCATTCATAATGTTTTGTTATGTATTTTTAACTTTTTTCTATGTACATACTGTTGTCCCAACTCGATTTTAAGTTCCCCAAACAGCAAAAATAAATGTTTCATGTATTTTTCAATGTCTTCTTTACTATCTGATATTACAGGTATATAAATATAATTGGTGCTTAACAACTACTTGTCATGATTTTAATTTCACTACCTTATTGCAAATCAACATGTTAAACTTATATCTAAAGAAAGGTAAAAGAACTAACATTGATTATCAGAATCAGTTTAATTTTGAGTAGTTTCTTGAAAATAAAACAAATTTTTATGATGTAAAATCAAATCAGACCCTGATTAACTATTAAGAAAGCAATAATAATGAATTTTGTTTTAACAAAGGGTTAGTTATTCCACAATAATACAAGATAAAGGAGGTTTGTGGGAGTAAACATAACAAAATATAAATTTTCAGAGAAAATTAATAAAAGTTGAAATAATTATGATTATTTAAACTTTGTTGACTAAAATTCCCATATTATGTTTACATAGAAACAAACTAAAAACAGTGACTCAAAGAAGACAATTTTTAACTTATATAAGAATGGCATCACTCAAGCCCAGTAGAGTTTAAGGCTGCAATGAGCTATGATCACACCAGCCTGGGCCACAGAGTAAGCAAGACTCTGTCTCAAAGAAAAATGAAAACAAAAACAAAAGAAGAATGGCAAATGGCATGACAGGACTAGGAATGAAAACTTCAGGAGTTGAAAATGTTCAGTTATAACTAAAGAAGATCAGGCCAGGCGTGGTGGCTCACGCCTGTAATCCCAACACTTTGGGAGGTCAAGGTGGGCAGGTCACTTGACCAGCCTGGCCAACATGGTAAAACCCCATCTCTACTAAAATTACAAAAATTAGCCAGGTGTGGTGGTACGTACCTGTAATCCCAGATACTCAGGAAGCTGAGGCATGAGAATCACTTGAACCCGGGAGGTGGAAGTTGCAGTGAGCAGAGATGGTGCCACTGCACATCAGCCTGGGAAACAAGGGCGAAACTCCATATCAAAAAAAAAAAAAAAAAAAAAAAAAAAAAGAATCAAAGAAGGTCAAAGCATGAAGAAATCTTAAAGATGCTTGATATACCTACCTAACATTAGAGACGAAGTATCTAAGACCAAGAGAGCTTCTGAGATTTGCCATGGGTATGAAAATTAGTGACTAAACTGGGAACAGAAAACATCTCTCTTCCAGTGCCCTTTTTATAACAATATACGGATATCCACACACCTATCATGAAGAATAATGCACATTGGCTCATTTGTAAACTCTGTTATTTTGAATTCCTTAACAACGTTCTTCTCTTCCAAGGAATGCTTCAAATTTTCCACTTATTGTCTCTTTTCACCATCTGCATGATATGTCAATAACGTATTAACTGCCAGCCTTCCTGGTGGGCAGAGGAAATCAAATTGTCCATTTCATATAACACATGATGGACAAAGGAAAAACCTGGATTGGCATGTATTCTTCACCAGTCCGAGGGTACTCAAACTTCAACGAGAGAGAAAATTTGGACAATCAAGTGTTGATTTTTATATTCAAATATCTCACTGTATTCTTAAAAATTAATTCCATCAAAATTGATGCAAATTTTTAATTTTTAAACATGTATCTTTAAATCAGTTCATTGGCTTGTACTCCATGGTGTTCTTGCCAAAGAAGGAAAGAACTCAGCTTTTTTCATTAGTTTAGGATGTTTCCAAAGTATGTAATTAGCAAAAAATTCAGAAAATTTACTGTGAGTAAAAATCAGCAGGCTGCTTGCACAGAATTATTTAATGAATAAACACATTCTTCTAGATAAAGGTTTTGATCCCTTTTTGCCTGGGAACTTACTGCCCAGTAAATTATATAAATCATGTCCAAAAATAAGTAGGTGGACCAAGAAGTAAATTATCAGGGCCAGATGCAGATGCATAATACAGACAATATATGCTCCAGTAGTTCAGTGGAAGGAGAAGTGCTTAGAGAGAGGGCTGGAGGGGTGGAGAGGTGGGGGATGGGGTGTGGCTAATATAACTGGACTGGATGCTGCTGCTACAAAGAACTTCCTCAGAAGAAAATAAGAATGATTCTGCAATTAAATCCTTTGAAGGGTTGTTTCACTGTCACCATATAGACAGCTTTTGAATGCAATATGTAGGACAGCATATCCAACTGAAGTGTAAAAATCCTTTTCAAAAAAAGCATTTTCCTTATTACCTTAGGATCAAATAATAAATAATAATAATAAATGCAGCTTGAGGAGGAAAAGCCACACTCCCATTTATTCTTTTTTTGTGTGTGTTTCACCTTAAAAGAAGCTTTGATAGTTTTATACATCACTCAGCATCCAGCTCATTTCCGTATTGGTGTGTTAACCTTCTCCCTCTGGACGCTTGGGATATTAATATTATCCTCTGTAACAATCAGCAGAAGAAATAAAGCATTTACACAAATACTGCAAATTAGATTAAACTGCAGTTCTGATGTAACCCTGTGACATACAGTTTCTTGCGAATTAAGCCAAATGTACAAGCATTTAATGACTAATCCTTTTAGGTATTTTAATGCCCACATGAAGATTTATTGAGGAGAAAGGGAAAGCATATGCGATTTTCCGTTAGAGCCTGCCTGCGGGCGGAGGATTGAGCAGATTGGCTTTTTTTAATTAATATTTCAGTTCTTTGTGTTTTGGCGGGCAGGTTGCACGTGGCCCTGGTACTGAACGGACAGCTCCTTTCTCTCAGGCTGTGTGCAGGGGGCTAGCATTCTAGGAGGGCAGTGGCAGACCCTGGAGACAGGAAAGGAGAAAAGGAGGGGGCGGGAAAATGAGATGAAGTGCTGTGGCCCCCCTTTCTTCTACCCCACACAGCCATAGGCTTACCTCCTCCAGAAATTAACCTACTGATCTATATTGGTAGAATTAGTCATACTAGAAGCCTTCTCAGTTCAGCCACAAAAGGGGAGGAGAAAGCTTGTCAGACCCTCCTCCTTCCCCTGGGCTTACTACAAACAACTTTTCTGATGCTAGGAGGAGACCTTTGAAGATAAGAAGGGCAAATTCGCCTGCATTTTAGGAATCTTCCTGCAGATGGGAGGATTCTAACTAATGAAGTCTCCAGGATCACACTTTGTTTTTAATGTTATGAAATCTTGTTGAATAAAGTAATATATGGTGTGTGTGTATGTGTGTCTGTGTGTGTGTGCATATGGTGGGGGGAAAGAAATAGATGTAGATTTAAATACAGAGCCTTACTTTAAATAAGGCCTTAACTTTAAAAAGTCAATGATCCTGAAGACCTTCTTCTTTTCTATTTAATCTTATTACATAACACTTTCAAAACACAGTTTTAACTTTGTTTTGAAAGTTTATCTTAGCATGAGAAGGGGAGGTAAAGAATTGCGAGCTCTTGGTAACTACACATTTCATCTAAGTAGCTGAAAACTTCAAATTGTTGCCATACAACTATGAACTAGAAGACTTAAGCATGTTTTTAAAAAATTGCATCTTCAGTGTCAGTGTAGATACCCTCTGAGTCCAGGCCTCCTAAGCAAAATACATTAGGCATGTGTCAAATATGTCACACATTTGTGTTAAACTAGAGATCTAGAGCATGTATTTCTATTTACATTTTTCTCTTTATGGCAGATATTGCAATTGCTTTTCATTTTCACTTCTCTCCTTCTTCTGGGAATAGGGGAAGAGATTACACTCTCCAGATGCCCTATGATTAAGCAGAGCCACATGACTAGATCTGGCCAATGTGTTTCTGGAACCAATAACTTATTTACTTGCAGAAGACCGTCCAGCACCCTCCACCTTATGATGATGCAGAAATAAATATCTCACTAGATCCCTGTGCTGCCAAATGGAGAACAGCTCCCTGGTGAGGTATTCAGACTCACAGTGAATTGTGTGTTTGAGAGAAATAACTTTTTGTTGTGTTAAACCACAGAGATTTGTGAGTTGTTTGTTACTCACAGTATAGTGTCTCCTAATGAGATTAATTAACTTCTTTGAAAAAAGCTGTATGCTGTGTATGCATGGTCAGGATGGTCAATTATTGGCTATTCTGGGACATTATAAAACAATGCAAATTCAACAGAAATGAAATGCAAGCCACATATGTAATTTTAAATTTTCTAGTGGCTACATTAAAAAAGAACAGGCAAATTGACTTTTAATAATACATTCTATCAGCATTTCCAAAATATTATCATTATAATTAATATGAAATTATGAAATATTTTACATTCTCTTTTTCATATTAAGTATTTGAAAATCAAATGTGTATTTTATACTTACAGTATATCTCAATTTGGACTAGCTTTATTTCAAATTGCCAATGCTTTCTAACCAAAGACCACCAAGCACACAGCTGTAGTTGAAATTTGGTTTACAACTTTCATCAAGAAAGGGCACATGTCATGGGAAACCACTGAACATCAGAGTAAAACAGTGTTAGAAAGGATTTGGACTTTGGTTGGATAATTTCAGAAATTGTCCAAAAAAGCAGTGGTTCACACTGTATTGAATTACCTCAGAAAACAGGAAGAACTCTGGTTGGGTACCTCAACAAACTTTTTATACAGTGTAAATACTTGAATGGCCCTGGAGCTATAAATGGTTAAGAAGTAGCAGTCACTCCTATTGGCCAGAGGAGGAGAATGTTTGGTATTTTGTGGCTTAAACAATGTTCATGTTTTGTCTGTGTGCAGGCATTACTAGAGTTATTACTTTCATCTTCATCCATCATGGTCACAGAGAGGCCCTGCCTGATATTGATGTTCTATAAGATTGTGCTCAACGGGAGAGCACAAAGACCTAACTGTGAGTGCCAGGCCAGCTTGCAGGAAAACTAAGTTCTCACCAATAGTACTAGGCCAACTCCTAATATCAGGGGATACTGTTGTTGTTTCCTCCAAGTGTTTGTATTAGTCTGCTAGAACTGCCATAACACAATACCACAGATTGTGGAACTTAAACAACAGAAATTTATTTTCTTACAGGTGTGGAAGCTGAAAATCCAAGATCAAGGTCTCAGCAGATTTGGTTTCTTCAGAGGAGAGATCCTTGGCTTGTAGATAGCAATTTTTCTTTTGCTGTTTCCCCACATGACCTTCCTCTGATGTCTCCTCTTCTTTTTTTAAGAACACTAGTGCTCTTTGGTTTGGGATTAGGACCCAACCTTATGACCTCAGTTAACATCCTTCAAGGACTTATTTTCAAATACACTCACATTGGAGTTAGGGTTTTAAGATAGGAATTCAGTCCATGACAGTCCTCAATAGCCACATGTGGCTACCATCACTGCATAAGACAGCACAGTCATAGACAATTTGATATTGCTTGTGTCCATCTGTTAGACACTCACATTGGGTGAGAAAATTTCTCATTAGAATAAAAAGATATTTTGCAAGTTTTGCTGCTGGTAAAGGGAGCTCTGGATTTTCTTTGGTTTATCTTTTCATTATCTTCTTTCCCTATAATGTAAGGTACTGTAATTAGGTGTTGAGATGGCCCTATATTCTGCACTAAGGTGCCATTGTATGAACAGTTGAATCAAGTAAGTGAAATATGTCCCTACTCTTTAGCATTTTTAAATATCTAGTGAATCAATCACTTCTTAAAAAATAGACTAGACTCTATGGCATCATAAATCCCTAAATGTCATTCCAAGCCACCCAATTGGCATTCTCCTCATAACATAAACTCATCTTCATGTAAATATACCATCTTGGGGAAAGACAAGATGAACTTCCTATATTCATTTTCTAATAAGGCAGTAGTCATATTTATCTGTGGAAGTGTGAAAAGATTCCATGTTCTCTGGGAAAACACAGTCTGTGAAGTGACCTTTGGTTTTCTGATTTTGAAAAAAAGAGTCAAAATTGTTAGAATTAACAATTTGAAATCCTCACTCCTTAAAGATTGGGCAATTTTAGCCACCATAATCTACATTATAATGATGAACAAGTATATTGTCAAGGTATAAAATTTCTACATTTCAAGGATTTTGAATTTTGCTGTCAACTGCATCTGAAACACATTTGACCTTGTCGATGAAAAGCACATTAAAATGATGCATTTCTAACATTCTCCACTACTCCCTGTCCTCCATCATCAGAGTCCAGATAATTAACGGGAGAGCTTCCTTCTCTAAGTAAAAACTGAATGTGCCAGGGCAGAGCACCTACATGTGCTTAGTTTTGCCACCATCTAAATCTTAGCATTCAGGTTGGAACACACTCCTAAATGACTAATGCTGTTTCAACGTATTTAACTAGGGAAAGAAACCTGTTCTCTTTATCTGCTGGCACATAAATATATGAGAAGTAGATAGTGTTCAATCATACAAAGAGCCTTACATTGTATTATTTATCAGAATGTCTGCATTCATTACAGATATTTCTAATATATGGTACATATTTAATACATCACAGTCTACACCTGTTTCCAGTGTCTTGTACTAGCGAGAAGTTCCAATGCTAGATTTAGTCACAATTTCTCTGTAAAGAAGGGTGCAAGATGGCTGGGCGCAGTGGCTCATGCCTGTAATCCCAGCACTTTGCAAGGCCAAGGTGGGTGGATCACCCGAGATCAGGAGTTCAAGACTAGCCTGGCCAAGATGGTGAAACCTCGTCATGACATTGGGTAGCATTAACTACAAGTTTTGTGCTTCCAAATCACTTTTTGGTTTTTAAGAATTTCTTGATACTCTTATAGCTTGCATTTGATTTTGATCCTTTATTCTTCCTATTTGTCAGGTGCACAAGATTACCTTCCTTTTTTAGCCTTCTATCTTGTCACCAACCATTCCTACTTGGTAGCCATGTACTTGGAAAGAGGCCGCATGATCTTTCTGGCTCCACTCAATGTTTAAGGCACCCTGCTTCCTTTGCTTGCATCCCACAGACTATTTCCCTCATCCTATTTACTGCAGCAAATCTCTCCTTAGTTGATGAGATTGTGTTTATCTCCCTTTAAAACCCTACCTATCCTGAATGGTCTGTCATTGTCTGCCTTTAAAATCCTCCCTCTTTCTTCTTCCTCTATTCTCTAAATAATGATGGGGCTAAGTTATACCCAAAGCTCACTTTACAAAGTATTTCCTCAGTACTTTGCAGAAAACACCAAACAAAAATGCCATTTTAAAAGAGGTGTATTTTTTCTTTTAGAATGTAAGCTCCTCAAGAGCAGGGACAATGTTTTCTGTATTGTCCCTAGTACACTGTAAATGCTCAATAAATATTGATGATGGGGGAAAAAAAAAAGAAACTACAAAAATTAGCTGGGAGTGGTGGCGGGCACCTGTAGTCCCAGCTACTCTGGAGGCTGAGGCAGGAGAATGGTGTGAACCCGGGAGGCGGATCTTGCAGTGAGCAGAGATCACACCACTGCGCTCCAGCCTGGGTGACAGAGCAAGATTCTGTCTCAAAAAAAAAAAAAAAAAAGGGTGCAAGAGGTGACATTTTCGCACCTAAAGATAGCAAAGCAAAAACCTACACTGCCCCATTTCACTGAACTTAAAATGAACTTTCCGTTACATGAACTATTCCAAGCCAGGTTGCCAGGATGCCCCTAAGGGGGAGACATTCCAAGAATCACTGGAGTGAATTGTGTCTTTTTTTTTTTTTCAGTATGTTTTTTAGTAAAGGCCCTCTATCTAAAAACAAAGACTGGAAAAGGGATGGGTGGTTGAGAGTAGGAGTGGAAACTGATCAAGAGAGGATTACCAAAGAGTAGGGGTGGGGGTAGTCTTTTACTGGGATTACAATGTCCATCCTTTGCAGATGACATTGAGAGATAGAGAGGGGATTCAGTAGGGTGGCTATTGTTTTCCTCAAGGCTTTTCATGACACCAAAATGGAGACGAGGCCTGAAGAAAAGGTATCACAATCTGAATCTAGACTTTTGAAACACAGTGCTCTAACAAGGATGTCAGTAGAAATATCTATGATCAAGACAGACAGACCACAGCTGAGTGTTGGAAAGGAGAGGTCATAGAAGAAAAGCAATACTTTTCATCACTATTAGGATTGATATTAAGCCAACGAAGAGACTTGACCTACCAGAAAGAATGTGAGTTGCAGCAATAAACTATACTAAATAATTTTAAAGTACATTATCAGTTCCAAAGTTGTTTCATACCTATTTGTCCTCATTTAATACAGCCTGGCTGTGAAAGAGAGCAGCGTGGTTAAGTGTCTGAGGTCCCAGAGCCAATCAGTGGCAGTCAGTGAATACTCCATTGTCCTCCACTTGCTCAAAAGGAAATCAAAGGAGTGAAAGTCATCCTAGCAATTATCTAATGTCCCTATGATGCCTACAACCAGAACTAGCTTAGGAGGAAGGGGCATTATCACAGTTCACCAAAAGTGTCAGGGCCAAATTAGGAAAATATATCTTTTTAATGGAATGTTCTGTTGGGTCAGATCTGTAATAAAGCAGATATTGTGCAAATTTCTGGACACTATCCATAGGCATTACAGGCAGCAACGAGATAGTAGGAAACAAAGGAATAAGACAAATATGAATGGGCCAGGAGTTTCAAAACAAAACTCTTCAAGGGTAAGTAAAAGACAGACGTGAGGTCTAAACAGCATGCACAGAGTGTGGAGATTCAGCAAGATTACATAATGAAGTCGAGAAAGTGTAAAGGCAAACACTAGCAGAGCCAAGTTGAAGAAAAAAGGACGATTGCACCAGAGATTAAGATAAATAAAATAATAAGGCATTGTTCCAGTACATAAGGAAGAAAAGGTCAATGGAAAAATAAACGTGGCCTCTGAGAGGCTACTGGGGTAATTGACAGAAGAAACAGACAAAGCTCTTTTAGCAAAAAAAAAAAAAAAAAAAAAAGTAACTGGAGGCCTTGGTTGCCTCAAAGCTCCCCAAGGCTAGTAGGAAGGAGAAGAGGCAGGAGCTTGGGGTCAGCAACA